>NC_000001.11:144434587-145059587 GCF_000001405.40 Homo sapiens | reverse complement strand
AGGAGGCAGCAGCAAAGGGAAAGAGATAGCAGTTGGAGGCCACCTTCTTTAGTCCCCCTTCCCCAAAGAAGAGCCGTAGCTAGTATTGTGGTTGGCATTAAATTGATATAAAGACACCCTGGCCTGGAAGTTAAAAGTTTTTTTTCTTTCTTTTTTGAGACAGAGTCTTCCTCTATCGCCCAGGCTGAAATGCAGTGGCATGATCTTGGCTCACTGCAACCTCCACCTCCTGGGTTCAAGCAGTTCTTGTGCCTCAGCCTCCCGAGTAGCTGGGACTACAGGCATGCGCCACCATGCCCGGCTGATTTTTATATTTTTAGTAGAGACGGAGTTTCACCATGTTGGCCAGGCTGGTCTTCAACTCCCAACCTTAGGTGATCTGACTGCCTCAGCCTCCCGAAGTGCTGGGAATTACAGGCATAAGCCATTGCTCTCAGCCGAATGAAAAGATTTTTGATGTACTTTTTAGCCAGAGGGAGTTTATGCTGCTGTGTGGCCAGTTTTTCCACATGTCTGCAACAGTTACAATTTTTGACAGATATCTTGAGAAGATTATAGATTTTGATAGAGGCAGTAACTTTATTAGCAAGACTGATTTCATATTAGAATGAAATCTCTGGGTCTTTTTCGGATTACTTTATGTTCCTTAAAAAGAAAGACATTGGGCCAGGCACGGTGGCTCACGCCTGTAATCCCAGCACTTTGGGAGGCCAAGGCGGGCGGATCACGAGATCAGGAGTTCGAGACCAGCCTGACTAACATGGTGAAACCTCGTCTCTACTAAAAATACAAAAAAATTAGCTGGGCATGGTGGTGGGCGCCTGTAATCCCAGCTACTCAGGAGGCTGAGGCAGGAGAGCTGCTTGAACCCGGGAGGCAGAGGTTGCAATGAGCTGAGATCGCACCATTGCACTCTAGCCTGGGCAACAGAGTGAGACAACGTCTCAAAAAAAAAAAAAAAAAAAAAAAAGACATTGACTGGTCTTGGCAGTCTTTGGGTTTTATTCTGAACTGTGTAGAGTTGGCCAACTCAGGAATTCTAGACTAGGGAGAGAATTTTGCAGTGCTTTTGAGCATGTCTGTGTAAATGTGCTGTACTCATCACTATGGAATGGTTCTCCAGTTTGGCTGTAAACTCATGGAGCTGGCTCCTTGAAATGCTAGCGTCCTAGCCATGCACGCATGCAAGCAAGCAGAATTTGTTCACGCCTAGGCCATATGTGGATGTCACTCTTCTTCAGTTTCATATCCAGTTTCTGCTTGCCTGAGCTAGAAATGAAGTCATCCAGCACTCACAAAGCCTCTGGCCTTAGAGGCTTAAAAACAAAAACAAAACAAACATAGCAACTATCCCATACCACCTTAGTGAGGTGGATATTATTGTCCTCTTTTCAGAAGTGAGGAAACTAAGGCTCAGAAATTAAGATACGTGCTCATGGTCACACAGGTCCTAGGAACTGGGATCCAGGATCCCAAAGTCTGCCTCTAAAGCCTATGCGTTTCCCATAGGGCTGCTGAACCTGACCTTTGCACTTTGCCATTTATGTTACTTCTTCCATTCCTTGGGAGTAAATTGAAATGGGTTTGGGTTGGCGCTGTGGCTCACACCTGTAATCCCACCACTTTGGGAGGCTGAGGTGGGTGGATTGCTTGAACCCAGGAGTTCGAGAGCAGCCTGGGCAACATAAGGAGACCCCATCTCTACAGATAATTTAAAAATTAGCTGGACTTGGTGGCGCCCACCTGTGGTCCCAGCTACTTGGGAGGCTGAGGCAGGAGGATCACCTAAGCCCGGAAGGTCGAGGCTACGGTGAGCTGTAATCATGCCTCTACACTCTGGCCTGGGTGAAAGAGCAAGACCCTGTCTCAAAAACAAGCTAACAAAAACCCCCCTAAAAACAAAAGAAATGGGTTTGAGAGAGAAGAAGAGAGAGAAACTTAACTGTGGGTGTTCGTAGTTAGGTACTCGTGGAGGACCACCTACCATCAGACGGGAGTGGCTAGCCCTTGTTTTCATTTATGCAGACAGACTTCCTTTTCTACCTCTGCTGGTTATACCAGGTACAAATAGGGATGCTGCAGTAGAGCAGAGGAGCTAAACGTGGCTTCCTCTGACTTACATAATAAAATAAGAATCTCCCCAATGGCCCTTTCCTGTCTGCTGGTCTCTGTGATGAAGTGGGCCACCCTAGGGACAGCTTCACTTAAGGGCCTCCCCAGGGTTATCAGGTCCACAAAGGGTCTTGGGATCAAATGTACAGCTAAATTGATGAGATCAATTCATTAAGATAAAGACTTCTACTTCCGAAGCAGTATGGTGCTTGGGTCAGTGTCTCTTGAGAAATTAATGTATAGATAAAATATTTCATATTAGGGAGAGCTCTGTGCTGCCCTTTCCCAAAGCTTTGGTTATTTGATGGGAGGGGAAGTCTTCTCGAACCTATGTCAGAATATTCCGCTTTGAAAGATGAGGGTTTTTCTTGAGGCTAGTTTTGTACCTGCTGTTTCTTTTAGAAATGATTGCTTTATGGATTTAAAAGGTGACCCAAATGACTTTTTTATTATTATTATTTTTTAATGCTGGGAGGAGTTTGCGTGTGTGTGTGTGTGTGTGTGTGTGTGTGTGTGTGTGTGTTTTATCTCCTTCAACTCTGACCACCTGGAAGTCAGCCTAATCTCTGCCCTCGTGTTGATCTTTAATTCAACATTTAATTACCTATCTTGGTATCCATATGAATTTGATTGTTTTTTTGGCTTTTTTTGAACTCATAAAAGGTATCCAAGTTCCTGGAGGGCATAGTGCCCATCTCCTCCCATCCACCAGTGGACATTCTTTTCCAAAAGACACATGGCAAGTACCCCTCACACCTGAGCTGTGGTGGTTTGGGTTTGTCCCCTTTGCTTTTGTTTGCAGAACACCTTTTACTCCTTTTGCACTTGATGGTTCTGTTGTACTTGTAAGGAAAATCAGTTGAAATAAAAAGATATTAAATTGAGAGACAAAAAGATGTTGCCACACTCCCAGTTAGAGGCAGACTTTAGTCTATATTTTCAGATTTATTTTGATTATAAAGTGTAGTCTCCCCCCGCCACCCCCTGTCTGCTTTTCTTTGTAGTTCTGTAATCAGGAGTCTGTTATTCTCTTTCCAATGCTATAATTAATAGTCTGGTCTAAAATATAAAAACCTCAAAGTTATTAATGGAAATGTCACTACTCACCTCATTTTTACAGAGGCCGCTTGGCCTCTAAGTCATTGAGTCTTTGGACAAACATCATTTAGCATTGACTATGTGCAAGAACTGTGCTGTATGCTGGGGATTTAAAGACAAAGAAATACAGTTTCTGCCTCTGAGCGTGCATCATCTCACTGGTGAGGCTCACATACAAACAAACAGGCAGAATTCAGTGTAATTGAGAAATGTTGTAATTGAGTTATATATAGGGTTCTTATTTTGCACGTCTCTGTAGAGTAGTAGTTTCCATACTGTGCGGTATTTGCCTGTTCACTTGCCTGTTCCTTTGTGAGCTCTCGAGGGCCAGGAACAAATATGGATATAAACATGGAACCATGAGCGAATAGATGTTTCTTATCAATGCTCGGCCTGTCTTACGAGGTGTTCCATAGTGGAACCACCTGGGAAACAATTGATTTTGCATTCTTGTTTGTTAGCTAAATGCCTGATTTGCTTTTTAGGATTCTTTTAGGTTAAATCATATGAAATTACCATTTTGTTGATAATTTCACATGGTTCCATGTAATAAAAAGAGATCAATTTTACAGACTTCTGGTTTCAGGTCATGCACAGAGGTGAAGTTCTGCACAGGTACTGGGCATCCTATATGTATTTCCACTAGGTTACTATTTCCGAGTGTGAGTCTCTATTTGGAACTTCAGAGAGGGAGCCTGTGGCCCAGCTACTCCTGTGTCACTCAGCTCTGGAGTGGAATTCTTCTAGGTAGTGCCTGTTTGTAGACTGGACAGGGAATAAAACCACTACTCTGTGCCCGTTTATAAATATTTGCATTTACCTTGGAGAATGTACAAGACCTGGGCTTCATGCGTGTGTGAGAGAAAATAGCAAGTGAAAAGGATGTGTACACAGCAGCATGAATGGGGTGCTATTCTTAGCTGGGTCTCTAACCTAGAGAACAGGAAACAAGATGCTTCTGAATGTGGACTATGGCTGCCCTATGCTAGAGCCAAGAGGCTTCGAGTCATAGGGAAACTCATGACAGTTGCTAGTGTCCTTCAGACCTTCCTCTTTTGTAGAAAGTTTCATTCTTTGTGTGTCTCAGACTGAGATGGAGGAGGGGTGACTCTGTTTTCTAAGGGATCTAGAGAGAAAGGGCAGATGTAGTCTTGAGCAGTGGGCTTCTCAGCTGTGCTGCTTCTTCCACGGAGACCATCTGGATCTACTCGGTTGATGGAGCAGCTCCTCTCATTCTGAGTGGGTTTAGCATTTGAGAAATAGAGGGGCACCTTGGCTGACTGGACTAAACCTTCTTTGGCAATTTATAATAAATGCTCTCTGATTTATTGTTTATTCTTTCACATTGAGGTTGAACCTGATTTGCCTTTGAAAGTTAAGAGCAGGACTAGGACTAGAACTAGAAATGCCTGATGTATACTGTAGCACACAGTGGAGCGTTGTCCACTTTTTAGTCACTTGGTGACTACCGATTAATTGATTTGAATATATCAATGTCTGGCAGTTGGACCAATTACTCAGCTTCCCAATCTGATGGTGTGGTTGATAGAAATGTTTCCTGGTGGCATTTTCCCACAGGATTAGGATGGTGGTGGCATTAGCCAGGATCTCTTTTGTCACTGCCACTGTTACTGAATGATCTGTATTTTGAACTTTCTTGACTTAGTATAGTATTATACATCCAGCCCTTACCCTAAATGCTTATTATTTAATATTGACAACTTACAGGTTAATGTTTTAAATCTTTTTTTTTTTTTTAAGGCAGAGTCATGCTCCGTCACCCAGGCTGGAGTGTGATCTCAGCTCACTGCAACCTCTGCCTCCCAGGTTCAAGTGATTCTCCTGCCTCAGCCTCCCGAGTAGCTGGGATTACAGGCGCCCGCCACCACGCCCAGCTAATTTTTGTATTTTTAGTAGAGACGGGGTTTCACCAGGTTGGCCAGGCTGGTCTCAAACTTCTGACCTCAGGTGATCCAACTGCCTCGGCCTCCCAAAGTGCTGGGATTACAGGTGTGAGCCACCACGCCCGGCAAAACAGCATATCTTTAATTAGAACCCAACACGAGATGGTATTTCTTCAAAGAGGGCCTGAAATTGTGGTATTACCTCCAAGCGAACTTTATGAAAGGGATCGGGTCTGTATATAAACCATTTAATTTCTCCATTTCTCTAAATGGGAAAAAAAATTTGTTTTTGTTTCTTTTTTACTCAGAACACCAAGCCCATTCAGCCACCTCAAAAGAGGTTATAGCCAGGGCGCCCCTCTTAGAAGAAAAGACATTTTTTTTTTTTCCTTAAGATTGGTGCATGGAAGCTTAGAGCCTCATTTCACCACCTCTCCTGATTTGATATAGATTTATGAGAAATGAATATAGGGAAAATACCGGCTGTAGACTTGACAACTGTTAACTTGGTGAACAGCATGTTCTTGTTTATGTTAACTGTGTACTTTGACTGTTCAAGATCCCCATTACTTTTCACTTGTCATGCCACATCATTGCTGCAAGTTAGCCTCCTTAGATAAGATACATGGCAGTTAGCTATCTTCACCTGATGGGGAGGAATAGGGTAGAGAAAAGAATGTGACCAGCTGTTGTCAGCTTCTCCGTGGAAGTGGTAACCATGTCAGAGCCAGGCCCTGGAGACCTGGCTTGGAAAAGAATGAAGTTTTCCTACTAGGAACTTCTGTAGAGCCCTAGACCTTTCCATCTTAGTGCCGAGTTAAATGAGTCACGTAGCCTTCAGGTAAAGTCATTTCCAAGGGATTGTGAGAATGTGCCCAGGTTGGTTTGGACTGTGTCACACTTACTTGTACTGGCTTATCTTTGCTACTAATTTTTTTGTGTGTGTTATTGTTCTTCTAACTATTGTTGATGATTTGAGTGATGCGAAAGATTTTGATGATGGTAACTTTCTATAAGAGATGTAGAAGCAAGAGGCCCAGAGAATTGATCTTGCCCTTCATCTGACACATTGTGACCAGTTTGTTGAACATGATAAGGCCTGGAATTGTCACTTCGAATGTCTTCTTAATCTGGGAAATTTGAAGAGGTCTGCAGCAGGGAGGCTGGTCAGGGAAGTAACTTTGCAAAATAAAATCTTCATACTGATGCAATCCCAGAGAACTTGCCTTTGGGTTTGTGATTGCAAAGTGTTGAATCAGTCTTTGGTGTGGATACAGAATATTTGAAGCTAGTTGAAGTGTAGGGGTGTTGGGACAGGAGAAATGATGAGATGAAGTCTTATCAGAGGCTGAAGGTCACCGGATATTTTCCTAGTAAAGGTTCCTTTGATGTGGAATTTATCCGTTTAGCCCACCTAATTGGAGTTATCTGGTTTCTGTCCCTGAAGATTCTGCTGTTGGCCCTGGACTACTTAATTCTGTTTGCTCACCAAATCGGTGACATAAGTTACAAGTTATGAGATTTAATGTTTAGAGTATGGTTTTGGATTATAGGTTCCTTGCATTCTTAAGTTAGCAGAAGGAAACCAAGAGAAGCAGCATGGTACAAACAAAACCCCAAACAAGTGCTAATGTCAGAGAGACCTGGGTTCAAATCCTAGCTATGCCACATATAAGTTTTATCATGAGAGTAAATTGCGTAATCTCCCAGAACCTCAGTGTTCTTGTTGCTAAATGTGCACAAAATAACTGGCTATCTTATAGAGACGTTGTGAAGTTAGAGTGAGTGAAGGTGACATGCCTAGTAAGGACCTGGCACGTAGAAGCACACAATCAGCTTTAACTGTTTCTGTTATTAGCAGTGGACTTAGCACTGTATAAATCTGTCCCTCCATGCTTCCCACTTGCCCATTTGTCAAATGGACTTGACATTCCTTACTCAGTGGTTGACAGGGAGCCAAGTGAGATATCTGAGCTGTTGAGGATGGATGTGTATCTCAAGATCCTGGCATTCAGACTGGGGCTCTACAAGTCGCACTATATTTGCAAGTTGTAGCAGAACTATATTAAAAACATGCCCTGCCTGTTTCCCCTCGTTGGTCCTCCCATTCAGAGAGGGGCTTTCTGGCCTTGTGCTTTAAATAGTCCTCAGACGGTAATGTGGATAGTAGATGAACACAATTCTTGTGAATCCATTTGCCTTGTGCTTGGGAGTTCTATTCTTAGACCACAATCACCGGAATAGAAAGCCTCCGACCCCACATCCGAACTGAAGCCATGTGGGCCTGGCTAATGGATTTCTTTGGGAAGCTGGGACAAAGGACCGGGTCTGCTTCTGTCATTGACTAGGCCAGGTATGGAGCAGTCCATTAGAAACCAGTCTCCTCCCAATTGTCTGGAGTTTATGAGCCTGGCTTACCTGGGATCATTTTCATGTTATGATCCTAATTAAAGTTCAGCCTGTTTACTCTGCTCCAGTCAAGGAGTTACAGGGGGAATCAAGGCAGATAAGATGTTTATGGGTGAACCCTGTTTCATTTTCCTCGGATCCACAATTAAAGAATTAACAGCACTTGTTATTTATTGAGCAGAACCGTGGGCGGGAGGAGGGCTTTAGTGCTTGTTTTGCTGCTTCTGTGAGCCCAGGGCTGCGCCAGCAGCATTTCACTTTTAATCCTTAGTATTGTTAGGCCTATACTTCCACCTATAGAGGTGGCAATTGAGGATCTTGACTTGCCCAGGGGTTCATGATCACGAACCTTCTACTACTTCATACCTTGAACACCATCTCTTCTAATAGATGGGCAACAATATGGTCATTTCTGTGAAGATACTGGTGACTTAAAAGCATTACTAAATGTTTATTAAACACTTGAATATAGTAATTATATATGTGAGAATGGATTCACATCTAGGGCTCCTGACAGTATCTGTCAAGATGCTGGCCCCAAACCCTGAGTTTGTCATGTTATGTGGGCATATTTGGTTGCCCAACTCTGAAGCCAAATGATGCCAGGGAGAGAGAGCCTCCATGCTGTGGGGGTGTTTCTAAGAGCAGCCTGGTCCTTAATTATCCTACTAAAGACAGTGTCCTCTGTGATCTCAGACTCATAACATCCCTGTTAAGATAGGAGGGGGCTGAAATCATTTGTTCTCCTTCACATTGAGGGGAGACTCAGGCACAGATGAGAGACAGAGGCAGAGAAGTTAAATAATTAGTCCAAGGTCACATCAAATGATTTCCAACTCAGCTGATGAATCTGTCTAGGTCTCGGTCTCCAAATATTGCAGCTTCCCTTACAATGTAATTTGATCTCAAACACTTTACGTGTCTTATTTTTCTTCCTCCTTTTTCTATTTTGGTAAATAAGATGTTTTTTACACCTACTGCCAGATTAATGTTGGGTTTTAATTTAGCCCTTCAAGATGATCAATGACTTAACCGAGGAAACTGCTGCCAGAATGTAGTTTATAATGTACCTTTTTTCCTATACTCGGTTTTCTGCTTCTGTATTTTGTACATTGTCAGTCTCTGTGGGTTAAGAACTTTGGGACTCTCAAGGGTCATCTTGACAGAGGAGCTTCTGCAGTTGGGAATTGTTACCTTTCTCAGAGCAGTGCTATTGGGAAAAAAAAATCTAAGCATTTTTGTTCTCAGCTTCACAGAGGAAGTGAAGCACATTCAAGGGTAGCCCATTGGCTTCTCGTATAGGAATAGTATAGATTTGGCTTATTTTATTCCTTGCTTATTATAATATTATTATTCATAAGCATACCTTTTCAGTTACCCTCATGATTTACTATCTGTAAGAGCATAAGCTTACTGTTTGTGTAATATTTGTCCCTGTATTTTAGATGGGAGTTGCTGAGGTGGTATAAGGTTTGGTAACTGCATCCGGCCTCTCAGGGAAATAACCAAGTTGTTCAGATTCTTAGCTGTATTATGTGAAGTTGTTTGTCAGCTTCATTGCTTACTACTGTGAAATAAGTTATAAAGAGGAACTTTTAATAAAAATAAATGGATTCACTCAGGGGAGGGGTATTCATTGTTGGTGAAATATGTCGAGGACCAGATGCTTTTTGGTCTCCCAAAGACCTATCAAACTGCAGATCTTTTGGCTTTGTAATATATTCAGTTCCACATTTATTCATTCAAGATTTTTGTGTCCTCATTATGTGCCAAGTACTGGGTTGGACACTAGGTGACAGAGATGAACAAATCCCTAATCTTGGGATTTCACAGTGGATGTTGGAATTTAGTACCGTTTAGCTTCATTAGGTTCTGCAGTAGTCCCAAGATTTTCCAAGATCATCCTGTCCTCCAGTGTTCTATTGATTCAACTTCAGAATATATCCCAGACTCTGTCCCTCTTTACTCCTCACTGCTGTTGCCCTGGGTCCATCTGCCATCATCTCTCACCTGGATTATCTCAGTAGTTTCCCAACTGGTTTCCTTGTTTCCATTCTTGCCTCCTTCTGTCTACTCTCAATATAACAGCTAGAACAATCCTTTTACAATGGAATTCAGATCATGTTTACCCCTCTGTTCAAATTCTCCAGTGACTTTCCAGTTTTTACATGATCTGGCTCCTACTACCTGTCTCACTGTGTTTCCTACTACTCTCCTGCCCTTTCTCCTCTTAATAAACACTGGGCTCATGGTGTTTCCTTTAACATGCCAGGCATGCTTGACCCTGTCCTGTCTCAGGGCCCTGCTGTTCCCTCTGCCTGGAACATTCTTCCCATAGTGTCTGCATGGCTCGCTCTCTCACTGCTTTGGATTGCTGCTCAAAAGTCACCTTATCAAAGGCCTTTCCCAAAGGTTTAAAAATCATTCTACTATAAAGACACATGCATACATATGTTTATTGCAGCACTATTCACAATAACAAAGACTTGGAACCAACCCAAATGCCCATCAATGATAGACTGGATAAAGAAAATATGGCACGTAAGCACCATGGAATACTATGCAGCCATAAAAAAGAATGAGTTCATGTCCTTTGCAGGGACATGGATGAAGCTGGAAACCATTATTCTCAGCAAACTAACACAGGAACAGAAAACCAAACACCGCATGTTCTCACTCATAAGTGGGAGTTGAACAATGAGAACATACGGGCACAGTGGGGGGAACATCACACACCAGGGCCTGTCGGGGGGTGAGAGGCAAGGGAAGTGATAGCATTAAGAGAAATACCTAATGTAGATTATGGGTTGATGGGGGCAGCAAACCACCATGGCACATGTGTACCTATGTAACAAACCTGCACATTCTGCACATATATCCCAGAACTTAAAGTATAATTAAAGAAAAAGAAAAAGAAAAAAAAAGTCACCTTATCAAGACCCTCTAGGCTACTCTGCATAAAATATACCCCACTTCATATTTCCTATTTGATGTCTGACTCCCCCTCCTCCTTCACTAAAACGTAAGCTCCATAAGGGAAGGGATTTTGTCTGTTTTGTTCTGTTGTATCCCTAAATACCTAGAAGGTGCTCAGTAAATATTTGTTGGTTGAATGAATAAATCAGCCTATTATTTAATCAGTCAATGTCCTCTGTAAAAAGGACTTCTCATACCAGTGGCACATATCTGTATGATGGTCAGTGTAGGGAGGGACATGGTCAGAATGGCTCTGTCTGTGTGGGATAGTTTTTCTTAGTATAATCCCAGAAGACTCCTATTGGGGTTAAGCCACAGATTTAGCGTTATTAGTACCACTCTTTAATCATAAAGTCAGAGGATGTTATGACTGGAAGGGATCTGGGGGACTGTTTGGTCCACTTTTCTCATTATTGATGTGAGAATAACAGAGCCTAGAGAAAGTAAGTGAATTACTCACAGTCATAAAGCTGTAGGGGTCAATCTGAAATTAGGCTTCTGACATACGATTCTGTAGTCTTTCCTGCATGTGTTCCCCCTGGCTGAGACAGTTTGTGGGCTTTCAGAGTTGACAATTTTCTCTCCAGTCTCTAAACAGGAGCTTTTATCTGGACATTCTAGGTTAGCATAGATGGACGATGACCCTGTAATGTGTGGAAAGTCCCAAAGGGTGAGCACTGTGAATGGGAACTACCCCAGATGTGTCAGGAGCACCACAGGCACGCTCACTCTTCCATTGGCAGGAGATGTGTAGGGTGGAAAGGAAACCAAAATCAAGACCCTTTGTTGCTCCAGTTCTTTTATTACATGTCACAGTCGAATGTGTCTCCATTTAAATTCAGATTTTTTGATGAATGGCCAGACCAGCTGCAGGCCCTTTGGGCCAGAAGCCTTGATCTCGCCAACTGTTCATTTTCTTGATGGACTTCCTTATTTCAGGCATTTGTGTGTAGCTGGTCTATTGTGGAGTTGTCAGAGGGGTGTAGAGCCCCCTCTTTGGGACAGTCAGTCCTCCCTGTGCAGCATGTCCTGAAGCTGGCCTGCCTCCATCCTCTTTCTAAGTGTGTGAGGTCTTTTGTTAAACAGGGTAAAGTGAGGGAGGACTCCTAAAGAGAGAAAAACTCCTCCAGCATTTGCTGGAACATGTTTGTGAACTGAGCAAGATGTAATTGGGATGGCATAAAAAAAAGACTTACATTTACTTAATTTCTTGCTGTCTGGTTTGTGATATATGGTGCCCCAAATTGAGGTTAGAAGGAGCTTTGATCATATGTCAAGGAGGTGTCATATTTAATTCTACTCCCTGTGGCCTCTCTTACAATACCAGTCATGCATAAAGCCCGTGGTTTTGCTGCATCTAGTTTTACTGAAGCAAAGGCTCTGCACTTTCATAGTTTACACTGACATATTTCTAGTTTGCATCTGAAGTGTACTCTGAGGATGCTGACTTCCAGATAGCCATTTTTGGGTTAAGGGAAGTTCAAGTCTCCTGAGTATAGTAGCTACACCACCTGGAGAGCTTCATTTTGGTTTGGTGACAAAATTTATTTTAGCTTAGTTTTCTTACATTAGGTGGGCAAAATAAGAAAGGCCAGAAAAGTTTAGGACAGTTTTCTGAGACACTCAGCAAAACTATGAGGCCTAGAATTGAGAACTGGGTATTACCCTGTAGATGATGTCTTTTCAAGCTGGGCTAGTGGAGTTTCTGAGCAGCAGCTGCATTCTCCTTGTACATCTTCAGGTTTTGTAGGATTACCTTTAGCCCTCTAAGTGATCAGATCCGCCTCACTGTCACTCATGGGAGCCCTTGATCTGGACAACGTGGACCTTGAGTAGCTGAGTTCAAACAACTGAGGTGGCAAGAGGGATCTCCCCCTTGGTTCTTTTTTTTTTTTTTTTTTTTTTTTTTTTTTGAGACAGAGTCTTGCTCTGTTGCCCAGTCTGGGGTGCAGTGGTGCGATCTTGGCTCATTGCAGCCTCCGCCTCCTGGATTCAAGTGTTTCTCCTGCCTCAGCCTCCTAAGTAGCTGGGACTACAGGCACCCACGACCATGCCTGGCTAATTTTTTTATTTATAGTAGAGATGGGGTTTCGCCATGTGGGCCAGGCTGTTCTCGAACTCCTGACCTCAGGTTATCCACACGCCTCAGTCTTCCAAAGTGCTGGGATTACAGACATGAGCCACCGTGCCCGGCCCTTATATATATTTTTTAATTGAAGAGGTAGAGAAGCAATCTCAAGGTCAGGACAACTTACCCTGAGGTTCTCACTTGTCAGGGATTGTGCTGGATTCTGACTTAGGTTCTGCCATCAAACACAGAATGCCCTGATCCTTAGAGGCAGAGGCAGCTCTTTAGCCTATAGGGTAAATAACCGGGAATGGAATTCTCACCAATTCTTATCTTCTATGCTAAAAGTTTTACTTTAAGATTTAGGCCTGCTTTTTTCTTTCTCTCTGTCTCTCTCTCTTTTTTTTTCCCCCAGTAACAGTTTAAAATTGGTGCCTTAGACGCAAGCAAAAAGATATTAGCACAGCTTTAGAAATAAGTGTGAGTCCGCATGTAATTTTTTAGTTTCTCCTCTCCCTTCGCTTTTTGCTTTCTTGGTAGTATGCTAATTGTATTCTTTTTCTGCATCTTTTTTCCCCATTCTTTGGCAGATATTATTACTTGTCTTGAAAGAGTAGGTGAAGAGCTGTTTTTAGGACTCTTTGAAAGGGTACAGTATGGATGACAGTCTTGGCTAAATGTAATCAGATCCAGGAAGCTGGAGTCAGTGTGAGCTGGAATCAGTTCAAATTAGCAAAGCACTGGCGCTCAGTGGCAGGAATACAAGTGACCACAAAGTGTTAAACACATCTGGAAAGGGATTCTGACATCATCCTGAGAATCTTTGGGGAATACATATAGCCTGTAGACCCATTCCTCTTTGACCCTATAAAGATTCTTTAAAGAGTAATACCCTGAGTGGTTTTCTGGCCAGCTTGCCTGCTCATTTATCTTTGAGGAGATGGAAGGAGACAATATGCCTCGTGGAGATCCACAGGCCCTAGAGGTGTATGGATTGTGCATTTGGAAGTGCTGAAGCTGAGAGACTGGGTCTCTTGGTGGACCCCAAGGGATCTGCTTTTCCTCTACTCATTGTCCCTACACAACTTTTCCTGGCAGCTGGCATTGCTGTTTAGATGGGTTGTTCTTTGCTGTTTAAGTTGTTTGGCAGTGGTGTGTCAGGATGCGGGTTTTCTGAATACTTTCCCAGCTGGTTACTTGAGTGGTGGTTAGGGAGGGGCTGTTCTGGGGCTGCTCTGGAGCTGTTGAGGTCGGGTGTCTGTCTGGATACTCACAGCTGGTCTGTCGAGGAGAACGCTGTTCTCATTCTGCTGCCTTTGGTGGTGCTGTGTGTGGCTCTTTAGATGTGGGTGGAGATGAGTTGGGGGAGTTAATGAGATCTTTTTTTAGCTGCTTTTGATAAAGTAGTCTGTACTACAGGATTCATTGTGACTTTTTCCCTTAACCTGTGCATACTTCTTTGCTAGCCTTTGTGAAAGAGAGTTCAGGCCCTCTTGCCCTCTTGCTCTTTCGCTCTCTCTTGCCCTTCTGCCTTCTGCCATGGGATGATGCAGCAAGAAGACCCTCACCAGAGGCAGGTTCCTTGACCTTGGACTTCCTAGCCTCCAGAACTGTAAGAAATTCTTTTCTCTTTTCTTTTCTTATTTTCTTTCCTCCCTCCCTCACTTCCTTCACTCTCTCTCTCTTTCTTTCTCTTTTCTTTCTTTCTTTTTTTTTTTTTTTTTGAGGCGGAGTCTCGCTCCGTCCCCCAGGCTGGAGTGCAGTGGCTAGATCTCGGCTCGCTGCAAGCTCCGCCTCCCGGGTTCACGCCATTCTCCATTCTCCATTCTCCAGCTTCAGCTCCCGAGTAGCTGGGACTACAGGCGCCCGCCACCAGGCCCGGCTAATTTTTTTTGTATTTTTAGCAGAGACGGGGTTTCACCGTGTTAACCAGGATGGTATCGATCCTTTTTTTTTTGTTTTAAATTATGCAGTCTGTGGCATTCTGTTATAACAGCATGAAATAGACAAAGGCTCCATTTTCAAGAGCAAGCCCTTTTGTAGTTTCTGAGCTAATTATGACTGCAAAGGAAGTTCTATAGGTAGCCTCAGATCTACCACCTAGTAAATCTGCTACTACCCAGACCTAGAATCTAGGATTCTAGATCAAGTGCTGGGCAACATGATACCTCTGCAACTTGGCACCTCCCTATATCCCTCCAGTTGGTTTGGCCCATCAGGACTAATATTACCCCTCATATCCTAGTCTCTCTTGTAGGCAGAAGCCTTGCCTAAACCCTAAGCTGCTTAGCTCACATTCTGTCTTGTCTTGCTTTTTCTGTTTTTTTTTTTTTTTTTTTTTTTTTTTTTTTTTTTTTTTTTTTTTTTTTTAGGAGGGGGTTCAAATATAAAATATACGGAAAAGAAATATAATGAACCTCCATGTACTCAACACCCGGATTAAACAGTTATCTCAATTTTGCCAGACTTGTTTCATCTACTTCAATCTCCCTAAACATTTACATTTGTACAGGAAAAACTGGATAAATACCTAATTCTCCACCCTATCTCCCATTTTAAGTCATTTTTCAGAATAATGAGTTAGTGACTAGTAACCTCCACTGTAGTGACCAATAGTTTTTTTTCCTGAATATCGTAATGAGCTCATAGATTATTGTTTGCATTTGAGCCCATTGTAGTCACTATTAATTGTTTTAGATGCTCATATTGTCTCAGGTTAATAAGTATCTCTTCAAGTTGACTCCCATGGCCTTTTGACGTGATCCTGTTGGACTTGGATGGCTTCCTTGCTTTCTGGCAAAAAAAAAAAAAAAAGGTGTTCCAGGATCTATATCCTGCACCATACATGGAGTCAGCCATTTCTCTAGGGGGTCTTGATTCCTTTTAGTAGAGAACACAGTTTGGGCTCTAGGACTGAATTACTTTTGTGAACCTCCTCTCCTGCGATTACAGCCTGCACCCCTGCTTATAGCCAGTAGAAGCTCTTGTTGGGCATCAACAGATCGAAAATCACCATGTAGTTCTGCCTCACTCTTACAAAGATTCATCTCTTGAGAATTTTGTGCTCTACCCCCGTTGTAGTCTTTATGGTTTTGAAACTTTTGCTTCAGTCACCCTGAATTTTGCCAGCCATAGACATGCCATACCTTGGATTGCCAAACTGCCCTCACTGGAGCCAATTTCTCTGGTTAGAATAGTTGTCCCAACTCATGCTTAATACTCTAGTAAGCAAGGTTCCACCTGGGCTCAGGTTAACTTTTCTCCTTTGGGCCCTGTGTTCTACCAGCATTCCATTTATCTGAAACCCTCCCTCACCTCATCAAGATCTTATCTGGTCTTTAATGATTTACTCTGCTGCTTCCTGGGTTCTAAAGAACCCAGTTCAGGAGTTCCTCTTTCAGTTCGAGATCTTATTGGCCTGTCTCGTCAGGTTGGTGTCAGCCCAGCTAGGATTAAGCAGAATGGGGTTGGGGGTTGTAGTGCACTTTTGACACAGCGTGTACCTGGCTGACTACTTCTCTGTCTTTTTTTTCCTATTGCAATTCATGAGTCTCAGCATCTTCTGAATGGTGTTTAGTAGGTCATCATGTTGAGTTCCTGCTCTAGGGAGTAGCATACTCTGGCTCTGTATCATTGGCAAAGGGATTTAAGGTTAGATGATAGGCTGCAGTTTTGTTAAATGGAACAATATGAAGAGATGGCATTATAAAGAGGCTTGGCAGCAGGGCCCATTTGAATGGTTGGTTCTTGATTCCCATGTTGATATAGGCAGATCCTTGACAGGAATTTTGAATGGTCCCAAATGTGGTAAATCGCTGGTACATCAAGTCATCCTCAAAGTTGTCTGTGTAACTGTGTTGAATGCAGTTTTGTGAATCTCTGGTGATTGTCTGTATAGGGCTTCATCATTTAGTTATTTTAGTTGAGCCTGTTTAACTTCTTCAAGAAGATAAGATATGTGAAAGAGATGCAGACAGTAGGGAAAAAGCTAGGAGCTTTGCTCCCCCATCCTCTACTTGGGTTCTGGAACTGGACTCATAGGTGAGTAGTGAGGAGCTGGGCTCAAGCGAATTAATCCCGGATCTAGCTGTGCTATGTGTTCGCTCCAGTCCTTGTGTCAAAGTTCACTTTGAGCCACTCAGAGTAGCGTGTAGAGTGGTCATTCAGGACTGTGCTAACTTACACTTCATTGTATCAAATGGGAGATCCAGTAATTTATAGTCTATTATTTCTGGAGTCTGGAGATGACTCTGTATAAGCTTTGCTGAAGCAGATTTTATTACATTAGAAGAGAACCTACCTGGCTGCATCCAACACCAGAAGCTTTTAGATGCTAAGTAAGGAGGTCATAGTAAAGGTAACAGAATGACTCTGGAACCCATTACCCCACCCAAGAAGGGGAGTAATGAATTCCGGGTTGCCCTCTTTTCATTTCCCTTTGATTTTGAGTAATAAATTCCCTCCTTACTTCCCAGCTGAACAAATTGGGAGTCTGTATTCCCTAGAAAGACTGTTCACATACCCATCAGACTAAATTAGGTGAAATCTCTTTGGCCTTAATGAATGTTGAAGGATTTTAAAGGGCTAATGGAAATTCTTCTAGAAGTAACAATTCCCATTCTATTGGTGAGGCAGTTCTAAAGAAAGTCCCTGAACCTCTTAGGTTATTTTGTACAGCAAAAGAACCAGCATTGGGTTTTCTTTGCTAATAGATGACAGGGAGAATGTAGACACTTGGAATCCATGGAGAATCCCTAAGTTGCATTTTAGCCTTCATGTTATGTCTCCTTTCCTAACCTTTTTACCAGAGCTGATCACAGGAAACAGCATGATAGATTTGCATGACCTAGCTCCCTGCCTTCTCCTGCCATTCTTTTAGAAAGTGGTGAGTGGCTGCCTGCCAGGTAAAATCTGGGTGACAAAATCCAAAGTTAGATTCAGAGTTATAAGCATAGCCCCCACCCAAGTTGCTTCCAAAGAAAAGAAAGGAAGAGTGTTGTGTAAAATCTTGCTTCTTTGCCTTTAAATTGGGTACTTATTGAGTTACCACATTAGAATCGTGCATTGTGCTAGTTGTTGTACTCCTGTTGATTGATTAATTTCATTCTACATTCATGGAACACCAACAATGTGCCTGGTACTATGCTGAGTACCTGAGATAAAAAGATAAACAGGAGTTGGTCCTTACCACTTAGAGCTCACAGTCTACTACTGTGAGAGTGTGGGAAGGTGTGATAAGAGCTATAGTGGTCTTGCCACATAATTTGCATTTGTATCTTAAAGCCAGTGGGGAACCATGGAAATATTTTAAGCAGGGGAGTGACATGATTCATTTGCATTTTACTTTTTTTTTTTCTTTTATGAGACAGAGTCTTGCTCTGTCGCCCAGGCTTGAGTGCAGTAGTGTGATCATAGCTCACTGTAACCTCAGACTCCTGGGCTGAAGTGATCCTCTTGCCTCAGCCTGTTAAGTAGCAGGGACTACAATTGTGCACCACTACACACTGCTATTTTTTTTTTTTTTTTTTTTTTTGAGATGGGGTCTCACTCTTGTTTCCCAGGATGGAGTGCAGTAGTGTGATCATGGCTTGCTGCAGCCTCACCTACCTGGGTTCAAGCGATCCTTGTGCCTCAGCCTCCCAAGGTGCTGCGATTACAGGTGTGAGCCACTATATTTGGTCTCATTTGTATTTTTGAAAGATCACTGGTGGCAGTGAAGATACCAGTGGGTTGGAGGGAGGGAGACTAGAGGCAATAACAGTTTAGATAATAGATATTTACTGAGCCCCTGCTAAGTGCCAGGCACCGATCCAGGTGCTGGGAACCTAGGGGGTGAGTGAATAAGACAGTCTCTGCCCTCATGGAGCTTACATTCTAATAGTGGTAGAGTAGTGTGGTGGTAGGAAAGCAGACTATATATATATATATATATATATATATATATACTATATATATACATGCAACAAATGATATTTTTTCAGATGGTGATAAGTAATTTGAAAAAATAAATAAATAGAGCTATGGGAGTTAGAGTGTTTGGGCATTGGGATGGGTACTAATGGGAATGGGCAGTGAAGGCCTCTCTGAGGAGGTGATATTTGAGCTGAGGCAGCTATGAGAAGACCTAGGCAAGAGTGGTCCTGATGGGTGGAACGGCAAGTGCAGGGACCTAAGATGTGAACAGGCTTGGCACGGTGCGTAAGCACCGTAAAGATGGTCAGAGTAGCTGGAGCATGGTGGAGCCCAGAGGAGCAAGTAATAGTCAGTTGAGGGTGGAGCACATTCTAAGCCATGGGAAGGAATCTGGATTAATTCCAGTGGAGTAAGAAGCACTGTGATTAATTAAATCAGGGGTCAGCAAACTACAGCCCATGGGTCAAATCTGTCCTGCTGCCTATTTTTATGAATAAGCCATATTGGAACAGTCATACCCATGGGTTTGTATATCGTCCATGGCTATTTTTAATGTTACAAGAGCAGAGTTGAGTAGTTTCAACAGAGAACATATGGCCCAGAAGCCTAAAATATTTACTATCTGGCCTTTATAGGAAGAGTTTACTATCCCTGAATTAAATGATCTAATTTAAGTTTTGAGGAGACACTCTGGCTACTGTTGAGATAATTAATGGTAGGAGACAAGAGTATATCTGAATAGTTCAGATAAGAAATAACTAGATGTTGAGCCACCAGAAAGCAAAGATCACACCGTTTTTGTTCTGTTTAAAAACACCTAGGTATGCTTTATACTCATTAAATATTGTTGAATGAATGATGAGATGCTGAATAAGGGAGTGCCAGTGAATATGAAGGGGAAGTGAGGTTTTGAGAAATATTTAGGAGGTAAAAAATCAGTGCAGCTTATTGTTGACAAGGTGAATAGAAATAGGAGTAGGACAGAAGGAGGACTGTAGATGCCCTTCAGGCTTCTGGTTCAGGGATCTTGGTGCATGGTTGGTGTTCCATGAACCTAGAATGAAATTGATCAATCAACAGGCTATTAACTGAGACAGGAGAAGTGGAGATACAAAGAGCATACACTGCCAGGAAGAAGGAATTAATCTTTGGACATGAGACTCCCGGGACATCCAGGTAGAGATGTCTAAAAGGTAGTTGGAAAGACAGAGCTCGGTGGCATGATGCGTAGACTTATGGTAACCAGAATTCTGGAGTCGTTAGCTAGTGTGGGCTCTCCTAAGAAGGGTGTGTGATGAGAAGGTCAGGGTTGGATTTCATAAGGCATTCATTTCCATTACATTTTGGATCCAGAGAGGAGGCAAAGGTAAACTAGCTGTGTGGACAGTTTGCATCAGTCAGTCAGTCAGATCATCCCATGACCATGGCATATTTTTTCTGCAGAAGCTGATAGGCTCAGATGAAGCCTTGCCTTATCTGTTCCTCTGGCTGCCAACCTCTTTCTCTTAGTTGGGTTGACTGGGGCAGTGGTGGAGGTTTCTTCCCAGACTCTCTGCTAAGGTTGGAACATTTGTGGCCTTTTAATTCTGTAGGTGATTCATATTTGCATTTATCTTTTTTTTTTTTTTTAAAAGAGACAGGGTCTCATCCTGTCACCCAGGCTGGAGTGTGATGGCATGATCATAGCTCACTGCAGCCTCGACCTTCTGGGCTCGAGTGATCCTCCCACCTCAGCCTCCCAAGTAACTGGGACCACAGGTGCGTGCCACCAAGCCCAGCTAATTTTTTATTTTTTGTAGAGACAGGGTCTCCCTATGTTCCCCAGGCTGATCTCAAACTCCTGGGCTCAAGTGTTCCTCTCACTTTGGCTTTCCAAAGTACTGGGATTACAGGAGTGAGCCAACATGTTTGCATTTATCTAGTTGAGGCTATGGGTAGGTAGAAGTGTCTAGTTGTTCTTGGTGTTTTGTTAGAGCAAGAACTCTCTGACCCAAGGGTTAGGTAAGTGGCTAAGTTTTATTAAACATTGTTAAATATTAATAAATTTATTAAATATTATTAAATATTATTAAATTTATTAAATATTGTGGGTTCTTTTAACCCACAAAGCTAGATAAACCCATTAGAAGTCCTGAACAATAGCTTCCCCTTTCCTTTTTGTCTGGGGAAGGGGAACCACAGAAATACTTAATAAAAAAGCACTTGTGCTGAAAATGGTCTTAAAACTGGATGCAAATCTCCCCTTTACAGAAGTTCATTATGAAAACCCAAGGATGAAATCAACATTGTAAAGGGAGTAGGGAAGGAGGACCACTCTCTATCCCGCTCTTCCACCCCCCTCATATTTTTTTCAGCATACTGTCACACCTCTGTTGTTTGTACATTTTTAGAAGACACTTTTTGAACACATTTTAACCCCGTCTTACATATAATATTCAAATATTAGGGTCCCATGTTTTATGAGTTTCTCCTTTTCTAAAGAAACAGTTGAGTAATAGTTTTGCTACTCCTCTAACCTAAATTATTCCTGTCATGAGGTTAGTGACTTCTGACAGGCAGAGGTAAGTAGTTTAAAGCCTGATTACCTAGTCCCAAAGTGGACGAAATGGAGCCTTGAACCAAATAAATAGGTAGTAAAGGTAAATTTAAAATATGAAAAAAAATTTTTTTGAAAGGCATATGTTGACGAGTATTATTTCCACTCCTGTCTGGTCCACCCTGTAGAACCCCTGCTCCTTATTGTGGGTGTCACTCTTAATAGTTCCTTATATATCTGTGCAGTGTTTCTTTATGTAAGTAAAAGGAGATATGAATATATGTTCTTACCCCTCCACGTTCTTTTACATGAAAGGTAAATCATTATCTAACCTGTTGTGTACTATTTTGTCCTTAACAGTATGTCTTGGGGATCTTTCCTTGTTGGTACAGAGAAAGCTTTCTCATTCGTATATCAGAGCTGCATAGTATTCCATTGTGTGGATGGCTGCCTCCTACTTTATTGAATCAGTTCCTTACAAATGTGCACTTGAGTTGTTTCCAGTATTTGCTATTACAAGCAATACTTCAGTGAACAAAGGCAGCTTTTTAAAGGGTCGCACAGCACTGCATATGCTACTTAAAATGAGATTATTATTCTTCATTCTTAGAATGCCAGTTGGTTTTGTTGGTTGATAAATTCCCAATTACTCGTATTCATGAGTGCAACATTGATGATGAATGTGACATCCCTTCATAACTTAAGAATCATTAGTATGACTGCCCCATGGAGGCATACTGTTCTATCTCAGGTTTATTTCAATAATAAAACCTTTGGAAATTTTAATAATGAAACCTACTTAAGACCCTTTGCTTAAGAAGTCTGAATCACTGATCACTGCAATTACTGCCATGGCAGCTGTAGAGCAATTTAACAGGATAATAGTGAATAAGATAAATTACACTTCAGATTCTTAATGGATTGATGTGCAGAAGTATGCAAGGGAAGATGGGGGTGGGAGAGGAGCGCCTTTAAAATTTCAGCACACAGTAATAAAATAGGGAACTGGGCCATTGTAGCCGTTACTACTAGGAGTTAGTAATCTCGTACAAACCTCTGGGGCTCTGTGGTGGGTAGAATGTCCTGTTTATTATAGACAACAAATTGGGTTAATTCTCTTGTTTGTGTGCCTCTGTGGAGTGGGTGGAAATTCTAGGTGACTTGCTAATTGTCTTATTTGGAATACTCCCGTTTCTACTAAAGAATTAGTATCTTTGGTATAAAAATAAGGAGGCAGACCAGTTTTACAAATAGCTGCTGGCCAGGAGAATAACAGTTTCTGCCAGGTGAGCAGTTAAAAAAAAGGCAGACTGGAAAAATAACTGTGGAATGGTGTTTCTTATTTACAAGGCTAACATAAAGTCTCCCTGTGTGTTGGGGATGGGGGAGGGGACGGATTGGCTAAGAAGTAAGTACGGTGCTTGCTTTGTATGTCCCTCGATTTGTGTTTAGGGGAGAATAGTGAGGATGTGGTCATACGGGTAGGCGTGGGGCCCGAGGAAGGGGTCCAAGGAAGCAAATCCAGGAGACTTGGCTGCAGTTCTACCCTTATGGACATTCCTTGGCACTTGGTCACACTGTGGACACCTCAATATCTGCTGGGTATTGATCTTGTATACCTTCATTCTCAGTACAAAACCCTTAGCACCCATTATCTCATTCTTCCCCACCAAAGCCCTTGGAGATGAAGAGCAGGAGAATGAAGTCTTTTCTCTCTTAATGTTTAATCAGCATTAACACACCTTTAAGTGCCATTGGATTTAGAGCAGTGTTGTTATTAAAGCAAACTAAATTGTCTTGAAGTGTAGAAAGCACTTTTAGAAAAAGAAGCAAGGTTAGGCTGAGAGAACAAGACAGATGAAGTTACTCCTCTGAGCTGGAAAAGATCTTGTGTCAAAGGAGGAAGCCTCAGAGATAATCTGGGCCAGAAGATTCTGTGTTCAAATCCTGGTTCTGCCTCTTGGTCAAGTTATATAACCTCCGATTTATAATTATTTAAATCTGTAAAGTAAAGAGAGTGATATCTACCATGCAGTGTTTTTGTTTTTTTTTTTTTTGAAATGATTAAATGAGATAATAGAAATAAAGTTGGCCCTCAATAGGTGGTAGCTGATACTATTAATATTATTAACAGAGGGTCTTCTAAAGAATCTCATGATAGTTTTGGAGCAAAGGAAGGCACTCTCTTTTACATGAGGAGATTGGTACTTCTGGCAGTAAATCGAGGGCTGCCTTTAGGGTTGGGAAGCATATTGACAGTATTGGAGGAAGGTGTTAGTTGCCATGGCAACTTGGGAATTCATTTGGAGAGAGAGTTGTGACTGGAGGTTATCTCACTGTAAGAGACTGACTGGTGGAGATTAAAAAAAAAAAAAGCTTGTCTGGCAGGAATGAAATCTTGCTTGCTGTATATCTGCAGGAAATACCAAGAGATGTGCTCTAGAGAAAGTTCCAAACATGAGTCAGAATGATGTGCAGGCCTTCTTTGGTAATGGGTGGTTGTGTCTTAGTGGGCCTAAATGCTGCCACCAGTTGATTGCTTTTGTTCGCATGTATTACTTTGGTAAAAAAATAAATGTATGAATGGGATTTCAGTGAACAGGGTTTTATCGTGGGTTTTTTTTTTTTTTTTTGTCTTCTGAAAACATGACGTCAAATTGTTGGATATTTTCCTACAGTTGGTTTAGTCCCCAAGAAGGTTTTAGTAAAAGAGCATGAATACAGAGCGTAACTGAATCATTTACCTTGTTCCTAAGGTAAATGACATAAGGAATACAAGTATTTCCTTTTGATTGGGCAATTAAGACTTTTTTTTTTTCCTATAAAGGTTCTCCTGATAGTGCCACTTGATTACTGATTTTGAAAAGCCTCTTGGTATGATGTACTTAATGTCCATTGTTAGTTTGTCTGCTTGTTTAGTACATCTGCTGTTATCTGTTACCTTCTGATTGCAGCCTTGCCTGGAAACAGGGCTGGACCAAATGAACCCCTTAAAACAGCAAGATTCTGGAGTCGCTGTTTAATTTTTTACAGGCTTCCAGTGCTTACTCACATCTATTTCCTTCCTTCCCTTTCAAGTTAGGGGTACCATTTGACTTGCATTGGCCAGCAAAATGTGGCCATACATGGCAATTCTGGGCAGAAGCAGTTGCCAGTATGGGACAGTTCAGTGCTCTCTTTTCTTGCCTTGGTGATGGTGAAAGTTTGTGAGCAGGTGGAACCTCTGTCAATCTGAGCTCTTGAACTACAATGATGGAAAGATTGCCCCTCCCTGACCCTTGTTGGACACACAGCATAAAAAATAAATGAGCTTTTGTGAGGTTAAGCCACTGAAATTTTGGGGGTTAGTTGTTCATGCAGCAGAACCCAGCCCATTCTTACTGCCTTAATAGTCATTTAATACATATGTATTGAGTATTTAACTTTGTGCTGGGCACTGTTAGGTTGGGGATATAACAGTGAACAACACAGAAGTCTCTTCTCTAATGGAGATTACATCTATGAGGGAGACATAATAAATAAACTAAGATAATTAAATATTGAGATAAGTGCTATAAAAGAAAATAAACAAGATCATGTGATAGAAAAATCTCCAAAGAACAAAGAGGCTATGAGAAGGAAATGGGAATCCCCCAGGACTCATATTAATGACTTTTAATATTTCCCTATATGTCTTAAGACTCTGGATACTTCTAGAGTAGTTTCTTATGCCTTGGAAAGGGGATAACACTGAAGGCAAGAAAGCAATGTGTTGTATTACTTGGTAGCATGTGACAAAATTAAATAACTAGTGTACTCCAAAATAAATGACAACCGAGAATGATATTAGTTTGCTCTGCATCTTTAGAAACTCATTAGTGTCCTGCTGGGTTTAGTGGAAGATGAAATCTGAGCTTTGTTTATGTGCTGTGTTAAGCCCCTCCCCGAGGGCATCCATCTTCAGCATTCAGACTTTCCAGAGATCTAGTTGCTTAGTAGGTACTGATCCAGTTTAATTGTATTAACCAGACTCTCACACTGGGGAGAAGTGGAATGCAAATTGATGCATAATGCTTATATCTTGCATAATATAATTTTGGAAGGAAATAGAATGATGACATATTTCCTTAAATCTTAAATGCTCTCCAGTGAAAACTTTGAGAATGGTTATAACTTTTCTGGAAGAAACATAGGGATAGAGCTCAGGTCTGATCATTGAGGAACATTAGGTTCAGTGCCAGTTGGCAATGATGATTTACTTTGTGTGACCGTAAGAAATCTCTTGGTACGAGGGTGGGCAGCACCTATTCTGCCTTGATAGGAAGAAATGAGAAAAGTGTTACTTGGGAGTTGTAATGGGGAAAGGAGAGCTTTATCTGCTTTTCTTTTCTTCCTTTTCTTTGGGGCAAACCAAAGCAATGAGAATAGGAGAAGGTCAGGAGAGGAGGCATGTCTAAATGACAGTTATAAGGAAGAATCAATTCATTCAAAAACTTTGGGCACTGGAAGAGTATGGGCTGTTTAATTCTATGTCCAAACTGGGAAACATGCTTTTGCTACTGCAATGAAGGGAATTCAGAGTGATGTGCATGGTGACATTTGCCCCTCATCCATCAAGCCAGTCTTATGATCATCCCTGGAGGAAGATTGAGAATCTCTAAACTGGGGCTCAGATTTTTCTTTCTGTCTCGAATATTTTAGTCATCTCATGTTGGCACATACTCTAAAAATCTGATCTGGGTGAAACTCCAGGGAAGTAGGAAAAATTGATCAAAGTAAGAACAGCATTGAAGACACACACATCCTTGCAAATATATGGGTTTATTGATACAGTGTAAATTTCCGTGCCAGGACACATGCCAACAGTTTAATGATGTGTATATAGCAAAGTCCCTTGTTAACCCCATTCAGAAACTCTAAAATGAGTTGCAAGGCTGAAAGTATTGAAGCCAAAGGCCAAAAACAATGATCATGTTACCTAGGATCTCATGAATAATTCAGCTGAGTTTAATGCTTTTTCCATGGTGAAACTAAAAAGCTGAAATATTTGGCATAATGTAGACAAATTGTACCCCGCTTCCTTTTGGGAGGATGGTTGGTCATGAGGAATGTAAGGAAGGGTGGAGAAAAATAAGGAATCTTTTCATATTTGTTTTAACCAAATATATGGAATCTCTCAACATTCCACCTCTAAAGAAGTAAAAATATAAAAATTCAAGTTGGGGATTTAAAGATGTTCTCTTTGAATGTTCATTAATAGCTGAAGATTTGGGCTTGAGAGGCACTTAGAAAATTGCTCCTAAAGTCCTAGAAAGACGGTCACAGAAATACCAAGAGAGAAGGAATGCTTGATATTCTTGGTGATAGGAATCACCAAGAATAGTGTATTGGTCTGTTTCAGAAAAATAATAGTAATTAGAGATGAACAAAAGAGCATGTGGATATTTTTGAAAGTTGTGTGCAAATTGAATTACTGTAAATCTAATCATAATTTCAAGGCATTAGAAAAGCATTATAACAAAACCTGCCAGAAGATTAGAATTATTTTTCATAAAGTGAACGTGTTTTTTTCTCTCCAGCTTAATTTTTAAACCTAGGTTTTGGTATATTGATTTAACTTAAATTGAGACCTCTGCCATTCAGGGGATAAAGCTCTGGACATTCTACATCCTTAGACTTCAGTTCTTGCCTCTTAAATAGGTAAACTCTCCTATTTCTTTCTACTTTTCTCCTAAAAATAATGAGAAGATAAGCAAGTTAATAGAATCTAAGAATGTTTGAGCTGGAAGGTGCTTAGAGATCATCTAGTGCAGGTCACTCATTTGACTGAAACTAAGACCTAAAGAGGTTATGTGACTCTTCAGAGTCTCCAGTTATAAAAGAGAAGGCAAATTATTATGAATAGGGCAAACATAACTCAAAGAAGGCATTCTTTTTATTAAAAAATATGGGAAAGGAAACAGACCTGGCTGGCATGGCCCATTGTTTTCATTCTCTATGTTTCTTTTTTTTTTTCTTTGAGATGGAGTCTTGCTCTTGTTGCCCAGGCTGGAGTGCAATGGTGCGATCTCGGCTCACTGCACCCTCCGCCTCCTGGTTTCAAGCGATTCTCTTGCCTCAGCCTCTTGAGTAGCTAGGATTACAGGCATGTGCCACCACGCCCGGCTAATGTTGTATTTTTAGTAGAGATGGAGTTTCTCCATGTTGGTCAGGCTGGTCTTGGACTCCTGACCTCAGGTGATCCTCCCGCCTCTGCCTCCCAAACTGCTGGGATTACAGGCATGAGCCACCACGCCCGACCTTCTGTATTTTTTATTGCTTAAAATATGATGAGATGCCTGGACATTCAGCTGCCATCTTGTGATGTGAAGTGCTGTGTTAACTCACTGAAGAAAAATAGATGGAGCCCTGCATCCTTAATGACAATCATCAAGCTGCCTTACCAGCTATGCTTGTCCCTCCTCCAGGTTTCTTCATTGGAGGTCTTCTTCTGGATATCATGGACAATATAATTCCATAAGGAATAATCCAAAATTGGGACAAAATTTTGGTAATCTGTTTGAAGTCAGTGGAGAGCTAACAAAGCAGCAGGATATTATGGAGCCAAGATCTTGGAGAACAAGGAAATTCGAGAGTGACATTGGGACAAACTTTCCCCTAGAGGCATATCTTCTGATTCTTAAAGAGGCAGCTGAGAGGCTAGAAATCTTTCCAGCAAAACTTACTTTTTTTTTTTTTTTTTTTTTGAGACGGAGTCTTGCTCTGTCGCCCAGGCTGGAGTGCAGTGGCGCAATCTTGGCTCACTGCAAGCTCCGCCTCCCGGGTTCACGCCATTCTCCTGCCTCAGCCTCCCAAGTAGCTGGGACTACAGGCGCCCACCACCACTCCGGGCTAATTTTTTGTATTTTTAGTAGAGACGGGGTTTCACCGTGTTAGCCAGGATGGTCTCGATCTCCTGACCTCGTGATCCGCCTGCCTCTGCCTCCCAAAGTGCTGGGATTACAGGCGTGAGCCACCGAGCCCGGCCACTTTCAAACATTCATGGTGCTAGAGGCTCAAAATTTAGGACCTGCCAAGGAGAGTGGGCCGTGGCAAATATCTTTGGCTTTGGGTTGCTATTCTGAGGTGCTGAACTTTAGGATCGAGTATGAACGGAAAATTGACTAGCCCTCATAGAGACTGAGGCCCAGCTTCATACCCTCTCATTCCCTGACTGGGTTAAGGATCTTGATTGGATGGCCAGTTTTCTTAGCTCCATCTCAGAAGCAAAGGACGATCCTCTTGGTGAAGTCTTAAATTATTTCTCTAATTTCTATATTTTTTCATATAAAATGTCCAGTATGCAGTTAAAAACAGCCAGGCATATGAGGTAACATAACAAAATAATTTGAAACTAAGAGACGTAATAAATAATAGAAACAGATCCACAGAGTATCCAGATAATGGAGTCATCAGGTATGGATTTAAAAATAACTTTTCAAAATATGTTTAAGGGTAAGATAAAAACAAGATATATTATTTTGGCAGAGAACTGGAAATTCAAAACTGGATAAAGTGACAAATATAAAACTAAAAATATAATAAATGAAAGTAAGAATTTAGTGGATGGGTTTTATGCAGAGTGAATAGAAAAGAGTGATGGATGAATTCTCAATAGAAAAAAAGGAATCCAGAAAAAAATGGATTTATATCTTCAAAATAAGGAAAATAACATACAAATAAAATTCTCTACAGTGTGAAAATATCCTTTAAAATGAAGGTGACAAGTTCTTCCATGCAAATATGATTTGGGAAAATTTTAACAAAAGGGCTTATGATGAACATGGACTATATATATATATATATATATATATATATATATATATATATATTTTTTTTTTTTTTTTTTTAAATTATACTTTAAGTTCTAGAGTACATATGCACAATGTGCAGGTTTGTTACATATGTATACATGTGCCATGTTGGTGTGCTGCACCCATTAACTCTTCATTTACAATAAGTATATCTCCTAATACTATCCCTCCCACCTCCCCCCACCCCATGACAGGCCCCTGTGTGTGATGTTCCCCATCCTGTGTCCAAGTGTTCTCATTGTTCAGTTCCCACCTATGAATGAGAACATGCCGTGTTTGGTTTTTTTTTTCCTTGCGATAGTTTGCTCAGAATGATGGTTTCATCCATGTCCCTACAAAGGACTTGAACTCATCCTTTTTTATGGCTGTATAGTATTCAAACATGGAATATATTTTAAGATAGATATAAGACTAAAGCAAAGGTAAGGAAAGGATGGAAGAATAACGTGTGTAAATGATATATGTTCTGAAAAATAGAAATAAAGCCAATAAAAATGGGAGCAGAATGGAGGAAGGCAGATAAAAAGGGGAGAATAGAATCAGACTGTCACAAAGTTAATAAATAATTGGGAGTCAAAGAATTCATTATTGAAAGCTGACAAACCAGATAGTAGGAGAGTAAGAACAAAAGGGGGCTAAGGACATTATAAAAAGTATTAGTGTAAAGATAACCACTAGAACAAAAATGCGGACTCCCCTAAATAGAAAAACAGGCAAAGAAAACAAATCACAGAGTGAATTTAACATAATAGAAACAGTAAAAATAATATAAAATAATATGACAGGCTTAAGACTAAATATATCAGTAATATAAATATATAAATGAGCTGAAAATCACCTAATAAAAGGAAAATATTTTCAGATTGACTTTCAAGCAAAACCAATTCATTGCTCTGTAGAAGAGACATACCTAAAACAAAAGGATTCAGAAAGGATAAAACTAGTAGGATGACTTAAAGGCATACAAAGATGCTCTTAGCAGTGTTAATTATAAGACCCAAATAACTACCAAAATGCTCTTCAGAAGTAGAATGAATAAACAAAGTGTGGTGTATTCATACAGTGGAATACTACGTATATAATGAGAGTATGAATATGAATTTTACAAAACAACATGGATGAATCTCATAGTAAGGAGTGAAAGAGGCATGAAACAAGAGTGCATCCTATATGATTCCATTTATATGAAATTTTAAAAGAGGCAGGACCAATCTATGGTGATAGTAATCCGTATCATGGTCACCCTTATGGAAGGGTAATGACTGGAAGGGAAGCCAAAGGGGCTTTCAGAGCACTAGCGATGCTCTATTTTTTATCTGGGTGCTGGTTGCATGATTTTGTTAACTTTGTGAAAATTCTTTAAGCTGGATACTTAAGAGTTGTGTTCCTTTCTGTATCTACGTTACATTTTAATAAAAGGTTTACATTTAAAAATATAAACTATTTACAAGCAGAAGATGAGGCTTGGGGTAAAGTCCCATGGAATAGCTGGACTTAGAGTCATCAGAGAGAATGATTTTTAATTCCAATTTCTATGAACACTGCCTCTAGGCTCTAAAGGCCATTTTCTTTTCTTTATGACACTTCAAGGTTGCTCCCTAGATTTGTTTTTGCCATCTCCAAATTAAAAATAGAGTCTAGAAAAACAGGGTAGAGAATGCAGAAGTACAGCCGAATACACAAAGGCATTTGGCATAGAGTAAACCATGGTATTTCAAATTGGTGGGATGGGAGAGAGGAATGGATTTTTCAATAACTGGTTTTGAGACAACTGGGTAGCCATTTGGGAAAAAATTAAATTGGATCCCTGTCTTCCTCCTTATATGGAAGTAAATTTTATATTGATTAAAATATACATGTACAAAATGAAACCATAAAAATATTAAAAGAAAATATAGAGGTATATATTTTTAAACCATGGAATATAATGTAAGCCTGACTGAAAATTCAGGAGCTATGTAAGAAAAGATTGACAAATTTTAAAAGTTCTACATGGTTAAAAATAATATCATAAAACCAAAAGATGAACTGGGAAAAATATTTGCAACACATGAGAAGGGGCTAATTTCCTTTATAAAGTGTTCACACAGTCAACAAAAAGTCAAAAAAGATCAGTAATCCAAAGAAAAAATGAGTAAAGAACATGAACTGTTGTTTAAAACAGACTAACTAAATAACTTACTAACACCCGCAAAGACTTATTGCAACATGGAAACCTATGAACATAGGAAATGAATGATGCCAGGTCTTATTCATAATAGAGGAATACAAATTAAATTGCAAGTACAGTATGTAGTCATTTTTCACATATTAGATAAAAAACATTTGCTCATACATTGCATTCTGAGTACAGAGTAGCAAGAAGTCTCCTATATTGTTGAATGGGCAGTATTAGAAATAATTTAAAATGTATATACCCTTTGACTTACTGGTTTCCTTCTACCACTTTATTCTGTAGATACACCCACATCTACATTCATTACAGCATTGTTTATGGCAGCAAAAAATTGGAAACAATGGCAGGTACCACCAAAAAAAGAGACTGGTTGAATAAACAAAAGCATAGCTATGCAGTGGAATGCTATGCAGCTGGTAGAAAGAAGGGGCAGATTGATATGTACTAATATGAAAAATCTCCAAGACACACTGTTAAATGAAAAAAATGTGGCACACGTGCCACGTTTTAAAAAGGGAAGGGGCATATACACAGATGCTTGTTTACACAGTTAGTATTTCTTGAAGGATATATAAGAAAATGGTTTCCTCAGAGGTATAGACCTTTGGGGAAGGGTAGGGATGAGAGGGAAACTTACTTGTCATTGTTTACTGTTTTGTATTGAGAATGTTTCCCCCAGGTGAATGACTGTTATACCTATTTAGGAAAACAGACGAAACCAATAAAACCAAACTATTTCTATACAGTGATTATTAGCAGAGATGCCATTGGCATTTTAGATGCATTTTGGGACTGTTCCACACATTTAGGACATTACATTCCTTTCCCTTTGCACTAAATGCCAGTAGCACTTCCCTAGACACTGACAAACAAAAAGTGCCCCTGTAGATTTCTGAAAAGGCCAGGGTGTGGATTGGGGTGGTGGTGTTGTTTGAGTCTAAAAGAATGTAACTTCTCTTCAGGGTTTCCCAGTTTCCAGGTTATGTTGGCCTGGCAGGGAGGGTCTTGACCGACACGGATGGTTATGGACCTTTACTTAGTGAAAAACTCAAATGAACTTCCTTTCTAGAACTCATGGTTTTCATTCAGTGACACTGGACTTTGCCCTGGAGCAGTGACTGGTCAGGGAGCTGTATCTAAGTGGGAGTTGCACCTGTGTGGGCAAAAGTGTGGCACTCAGATTTTCGTAACAATGGGCAAGATTTCAGGAAGCAGGATTTTGGTTCCCTTACTTTAAAATGCATGGAGAATGGCTGGGTTTGGTGGCCCATGCCTGTAATCCCAGCACTTTGGGAGGCCGAGGTGGGCAGATCACCTGAGGCCAGGAGTTCAAGACCAGCCTGGCCAACATGGCAAAACTCCATCTCTACTAAAAATACAAAGCCTAGCATGGTGGAACATGCCTGTAGTCCCAGCTACTTGGGAGGGTGCGGCACGAGAATCACTTGAGCCCAGGAGGCAGGGGTTGCAGCAAGCCGAGATCACACCACTGCACTCCAGCCTGGGCAACAGACCGAGACTCCATCTCAAAAAAAAAAAAAAAAAAAAAAAATTAAAAAAAGCATAGAGGACTGGTTGTATCCTAATAGCACTGGTCCATTTTTCTGTGGTGTGCATTTTAGCTTTTTTCCTAACAAAAAAATCTTACCACATGATTCTCTGCCAACAGATTTTCCTGAGCTGGAAGGAACAGATGTTTCTGTTGGAAATGGGCATCTGTTTCTCCCCTCGCTGTGGCGTGTGCTTCCTATGAGCCCAGGCCCAGGTAACAGTGAATTATCATTAGAAGGCTCTCTCGTAAGACTCATGGGGAAGAACCTATAAGACCCTAGTCTTCCAGGAGGCCAGAAGGAGAGTAGAATGGAGGGTGAGCTTCAGAGCACTGAGGACTGCAAAGGGGAACAGAGCTGCTGTCCTGTCTGCTTGGCAGTGACCAGCAGCTGCTTCTGGCCCTCCTGAAACAGGAGGCGAGTTACTGAGACAGTAGAGAAACCCTGAGTCTTTAGAACTGTATTATCTACCTGGGCCTTATAACCTGGACATGCCCAGGGGTAAAATATATCCAAGTAGAAATCTTCCTTCTCAGAACATACCCAGAAATAATGATTCTCTATTTTGAGTACTTTCTTGTGCAGTATACTAACCAGGTGCCTACTGCTATAAATTAATTTTTTTATTTTTCGTTTTTCTCTTTTTTGATGGAGTCTCGCTCCGTCACCCAGGCTGGAGTGCAGTGGCACGATCTCGGCTCTCTGCAGTCTCAACCTCCTGGGTTCAAGCGATTCTCCTGCCTCAGCTTCCTGAGTAGCTGGGACTGCAGGCATGCGCCACCATGCCCAGCTAATTTTTGCATTTTTGGTAGAGGTGGGGTTTCACCATGTTTGCCAGGCTGGTCTTGAACTCCTGAGCTCAGCTCCTCCACTCACCTCAGCCTCCCAAAGAGCTGGGATTACAGGCGTGAGCCACTGTGCCCAGCAATTTTTTTCTTTAGTCTAAGTGTGCACATTAATGCATAGGAAATCCCCATCTTTCCCCAACCCCCTAGTTTTTCTTTTCCTCTTTTTAAAAACTGGATTTTCATTCATTCTTTCCCTTTCCGCCTCCCATCCCCTGCCCTCCCCAAGGCGTGTTGTAGGTACCCCCAGACCATTGCGTTAAAGCGTTCAGGATAGTGCTCTGCTGATTTTAAAAAAACATTTAAAATAACATTTCCTGCTTTTTCTAATTAGAAAAGCAACATGCTTATCATAGACAGTTTGGAAAATACAGAAAAGCAAAGTGAAGAAAATAATTATCAAGGAAAACGATATGCCTTTCTTTTAAGCCATCATTTTCTCTCCATCTTTGCAGCCACAAAGTCCTTTGTTCCACTTTTTACGTCTTAGAGTAGCTGGGGGTTGGCACACAGATGGTTGGAAGTCCTTGGATCTCACTGTGTTATAAGAGTACAGAAATACAGCAGGCAGCTCTTTGGCTTTGTTTTGAAGCCCTGAAGAATGGGAGAATGCTCTGCATCACTGGAGAACATTTGACTGCATTCATCTCCCAACAAGAGTGGTTGCTGGGAGGAATGAGCAGAAGGAGTGGTGTGTACCAGACTGTACAGGAGTCTTTCCTCCCTAGGCCTGGTCAGCTTTTGCCCTTGGACAGGGGAAGAGGATATCTGGGGATTTATATTTTCTATCAGAATTTGAGCCTTGTCACCTTGGCTGTCCCTCTGTGTCCTTGGGTTTTTAAAATGGAACCTCTTTGTTGTAAAATATTAGTTGTACAGTTGAATTTTTCAGAGTAGAATTGGGATCCAGAGTGAGAAACTTTCTCCCTGAAGGGGCTCCCTGGACTTTTGCTCTTGGCGAGTTGCTGGCAGATACTGACACTAGAAATAAGTGTCAGAGAGGTCTGATATCACTTCAGTTTCAGACTGACCCCAGAGCAACCCTTGAGGACAGCAGTGTGTAAGCTCAAAAAAGATTGTTCTAATTTTGATGACCCTCAGAGTTAAGGCTTCTAGGGGAACTCTTCATTTTCGTAAAAATCCGTCTGTGGGTGGTCACTGTGTTGAGAGATGAGAATTTATGGGTTGAAGTTGTTTTTATGATTTCAGACTAAGTGCTTCTACAACGGGATATTGGGCTTGGGAGTGTAGACGTTGTGGGACCAGGAGCTTTGCAGACTTCCCTTGTTCCCAATTTCTTGGATTTTTTTTTTCTATCCCTTCATTCAGTTGATTCTGATGTCCTAGTATTTTTTCCTAGATCCCAGATCAAGAGATACTTTTATTCCTAATTCTCCCTCTGAAAATTCTATGTCTTTCAGAACAAGATAGGGGAAAAGAGAAATGAGCTTATTAAAAACTATGATATCACAAGGTCAGGAGTTCAAGACCAGCCTAACTAACATGGTGAAACCCCGTCTCTACTAAAAATACAAAAATTATCTGGGTGTGGTGGCATGTGCCTGTAATCCCAGCTACTCAGGAGGCTGAGACAGGAGAATCGCTTGAACCCGGGAGGCGTAGGTTGCAGTGAGCCGAGATTGTATCACTGCACTCCAGCCTGGGTGACAAAGCAAGACTCAGTCTCAAAAACAAAAACAAAAACAAACTACTATGGGCTGGACATGGTGGCTCATGCCTGTAATCCCAGCACTTTGGGAGGCCAAGGCAGGAGGATCACTTGAGCCTAGGAGTTGAAGACCAACCTGGACAATGTAGTGAGACCTTATCTCTACTAAAAATAAAAAATAAAAAATTCACCGGGTGTGATGGTGTGTTCCTGTAGTCCCTGCTAATCCCAGAGGCTGGAGTGGGATGATTGCCTTACCCCAGGAGTTCAAGCTTGCAGTGAGCTATGATCATGCCGCTGCACTCCAGCCTGGGTGACGCAGCAAGACCCTGTCTAAAACAAACAAACAAAAAACTAGGGTGGTTAAAAAAAAATCTTGGTGAACAACCTCTCTTGTGGATTGTAATTTCTCAAAGAAAAATATGATGTAAAGATTCTTTCTTTTACTCTCCCTTCCGGGTGTCTCATCAAAAAGCGTATATTCCTGAGCTTTGCTGGCAATCGTATTATTTTTTCTCTCCACCTCAGTCCCTGTAACTTTCCTCTTTGTCCATTCTGGAGTTGTGGAGGTGATAAATGGGTCCAAAAATGCTGTTAAGAGTGATCTTTAGGTGGGCACAGGTTCTTTATGATATATCCCTAATCAAGAGCCTTTACAGGTTCTCCCCAAAGTCTCTTTGTGCAGGAATGGGAGCCTGCTGTGTTTTAGACTGGATGGGGCTCTGACCAAGTATTTTTTGTCTTTCCCCGCAGGGCATAGTAGTAGGTGCTCAGTAAAGATTTGTTGGATTGAAGTGGTTTGAATTAAATATGATTTGTATGTAATTTTATATTCAAATAAAGTCTGTTCCTGGTCTGAGTTACTTTTCAAATTATATATTGTTACTCTGAAGATTGTCATTTCCTGAATTTTATTTTCTTTGTTCCTTTTCACCCACTTGCTTCCATTGTTCCAAATTTAGTCGTGTTGGAAATCAGACTAGGTAGGTGTGGAAATAATTGTCAAATCAAATTGTTCAGTCAGGGGAAGGTGGGGGGTAGATGGCTAAAGACATCAGAATCTTTTGTCTGGGTTTTAGGGTCAGAAAATGGAAACTGGCAGAGCAAAAAGGTCAAAAAGTATCAGGAATACCCTGCTTTGCTTTAAATCTCTATTTGCCTTAGAGCAGTCATCTGTAGTGTGGTGACCACAGGCTTTCTAATGTCTATGGGTTTAACCCCCTAGAGAGCAATTCCTTTGGGGTGAGGAGACTGGAGGGGATATTCTTCCCTTCCAGGGGTCTTCTCATTGCCTTCTTTTTAATTTTTTAAATTTAAATTTTTTTTTTTTTTTTGAGACAGAGTCTCACTCTGTCACCAGGCTGGAGTGCAGTGGCGCGATCTCTGCTCACTGCAACCTCCGCCTCTCCCGGGTTCAAGTGATTCTCCTGCCTCAGCCTCCCAAGTAGCTGAGACTATAGGCACGCATCGCCATGCCCAGCTAATTTTTGTATTTTTAGTAGAGACGGGGCTTCACCACATTTGCCAGGATGGTCTCGATCTCTTGACCTCGTGATCCACCAGCCTGGGCCTCCCAAAGTGCTGGGATTACAAGTGTGAGCCACCATGCCAGGCCCCATTGCCTTCTAATAGCCCTTTTCTCTTACCCTTTAGCTCTTGGCGCTTGACTTCCTATGTCCATCCCCAATATCCCTACTCCGTGAAAGTGAGGTGAAAATGCCATCATCTTTCTGCCTGTCCTGCTTTTAATCATCTTCCAAGGCAGCAGCAAGTGCAATTCTAGTCCCTTTCAACCCCGTCCATGTGGGTGTTAGACTGATTGTTTAGCTTCTTTATGAAGATGCACATTAGCCATTCAGAAACTTAATCTCATAATGATTTGTGTGTGTTGGTAAAAAAGAAAAGCCATGATCTCTGACTGGTATACTCAGATGTTCCCTTTGGTCACTGATGGCAGGATTTCAGAAGCGAAGGACCATTTAATTTAATTTTGCAGATGGCAGGAGGTAAGCAGGAAAGCTTGGTCACAATATGCCCCCTCCTGGGAGAGTGGCTTCAGTAAATTCAGGTTGCCGAGAGCCTTAGATGTGAGAAATTTAACCCTCTGCCTTCTTTCCACTTCCCCTCCCTTATATAAAACTTGGTTGTTGTTTTTGTGTGTGGGGTTGGGGGGTGGGGTAGGGGGTGGAGTTGAGGAAGGGTGGGAAGGTGGAGTGAAGAAAATTGCCTGGGTTGAAAAGCCAGTGACTGATGTTAGATTACCTTGTAGTGATGTTGCTTTGGGCATATGGATTATGACCAGATACAGATTAACCCGTTCCTCTATAATTGTTTTATGGCCTCATCCTTCTGAAATTGCCTCCTTGTGGCCTGAAATCCTTTCTGGGGTTTTCCTTAGGCTGGGAACTCTGCTTGCAGATGAGAAATAAACCTACCTCTCTCCAGGGCATGAGTTCCACAGTGAAACTGAGGAGTAGATGGATGAGGAATCTTCTTTTATTTTGTTTTTAGGGTGGTGCCCTTCCCACAGGGAAGCAAGCTGCGGATTCTGAATTTGTTAATTGCACAGCAGCTGAGTATTTGCTGCCTAGTCCTGTTGAAGTTCCAGGATTGGATATCCAAGCTGTTGGCTTTTAGGATACATCCCCAAATGGTCATCTATCACTCTTTTTTTTTTTTTTTTTTGAGACGGAGTTTTGCTCCTGTTGCCCAGGCTGGAGTGCAATGGCGTGACCTTGGCTCACGGCAACCTCTGCCTCCTGGGTTCAAGAGATTCTCCTGCGTCAGCCTCCTGAGTAGCTGGGATTACAGGCATGTGCCACCACACCCGGCTAATTTTTGTATTTTTAGTAGAGACGAGATTTCTCCATGTTGTTCAGGCCATCTATCACTCTTTACGGCCAATAGTCACACCCAAAATTTTGGTGACTTTCACAGTCTGGCTATTGGATAAATTTGGTTTCGGATCTTGCCAAAATGAGGCAAAATTGTTTTTCTTCATGCTTCAGAGCCATGCTGCTCTATAAGGAAGTCTATATTAAATAGGTAAAGACATATTTCTTAATAAATCAGTCTAGATGATGGTATTCAGAAGCTTGACAAAATTATCTTCCTAAAACTTGTTTGTTCCTGCTTTGCTAAAGGTTAATAGAAATAACTCATGGATAAGTAGTGAACTTTTTAAAGTTGCTGTTTTTGTCTTAAATCCCTCCTGTCTTTGCTCTTTTCCCTTCCTTTGTGGTGGCTGCCAATCCTACCTTGCAGATAACTTCTCCCTCATGAAAACAGAGGAGGATCTGATATTATTAATTTATCCTGGTAGTTTGACCATTGTAATGCTGTCCGTGAACATTTGCATTTCAGTTGTTTATCTATGAGTAGAAGGCCCTCTGGCTGGGAGTGGTGGCTCTTGCCTGTAATCCCAGCACTTTGGGATGCTGAGACGGACAGATCACTTGAGGTCAGGAGTTCTAGACCAACCTGGACAACTTGGTGAAAAATACTAAAAATGCAAAAATAAAAAAATTTAAAAAATTAGCCGGCATGGTGGCGCACGCTTGTAATCCCAGCTACTTGGGAAGCTGAGGCATGAGAATTGCTTGAACCAGGGAGTCAGGGTTTGCAGTGAGCCAAGATCATGCCACTGCACTCCAGCCTGGGTGACAGAGTGAGACTGTCTCAAAAAAAAAAAAGAGAAGAAAATAGAGTAGAAGACCCTTTTTTTCTTTTAGCCACTACCAAGTAGGTGAAGATATACTTATATGTTTTACAATTATTCATTCATTTATTCATTCATTCATCTGTGCAACAGGTATTTTTGATGATCATGTATCAGACACTACTCTAGATGCTTTATTTCAGTCAATACAATAAAGATCTCTGTGAGTTAACATTTCAGTTGGGGAAGAGGGAGACAAACAATAAACATGATGAATATATAAATTGCTAGTATTTAGAAGGTAATAAGTACAGTAAGGAGCATCAAGAATGCTGGGTAGTTGTGAGGGGAGTTGCTTTTTAAAATTTTTTCTTCTTTCTTCTTCTACCTTTTTTTTTTTTTTTTTTTTTAAAGAGACAAGGTCTCTCTCTCTCTTGCCCAGGTTGGAGTGCAGTGGCACCATGATAGCTCATTGCAGCCTCCAACTCCTGGGCTCAAGGGATCCTTCTGCCTCAGCCTCCTGAAGTACTTGGGACCACAGTCACATACCACTATGCCTGGCTAATTTTTTAATTTTTAATTTTTATTTTTTAGAGACAGGGTCTCATTTTGTTGCCCAGGCTGGTCTCAAACTCCTGGCTTCAAGCAATCCTCCCACCTCAGCTTCCTAAAGTACTGGGATTACAGGTGTGAGCTACCTGTGCCTGGCCCAGGTTGCATTTTAAAATAAGGGGTAGGGAGCTTTTAGATGAGGCCTCATGGAATAGGTCACATTTGTGCAAAAATTTAAAGGAGGTAAGAGTGTAAGCCACGTGGATATTGGGGGAAGGGCATTTCAGGCAGAGGAAACAGCCAGTTTAAAGGCCTTAAGGTGGAGCCCTAAGGCTCAAGTGTGCTTGGTGTATTTGAGGAATGGCAAGAAGGCCACTGTGGCTGAAGCAGAGTGCTCTGGTGGGAATGAGGCGGAAAAGGACTAGGAGATGAGGTCAGAGAGGAGAGGGTGAGAGGTTTTTAGGAGGAAGGGAGGAGATGCCTGATTACATCATACCATGTTAGGCTGTTGGCTTTTATTCTGTAAATATCTATATCTACATCAATTATATCTCTCAGGACTTACAACTTTCCATCTTTATCGTCTTCTGAACTCCATAAGATCTTTCTAAGAATTGAGGGGAAAGTTGATTATAAGGGAGAATATACAAAACCTGGCATCGAAGCCTTACTAGAGACCTGGAACCTACTCTTTTTGGGACTTGGTAAATTGATGAGATTCCATGCGCCCCCACCCCCCATTCTCTGGCATACAGAACAGGAATACTTATATAGCTTACTCTCAACCCAACCTTTCCCTTCGTCTGCTTCAAGAATCTCAAATACTTACGATTTTTGGCATATTTGACATTATTTTAGTTAATTTCTGAACATGTTTTCCCACTGTTAACCCTCTTACCCCAGACAGCATTTTGAAACACTTTTTTCTTTTTTTTCTTTTTTTTGGCAGGGTCTCTCTGTCACCAGGCTGGAGTGCAGTGGTGTGATCATGGCTTACTGCAGCCTTGACCTCCTGGGCTCAGGCAATCCTCCCACCTCAGCCTCCCAAATAGCTGGGACCACAGACATGCACCACCACACCTGGCTATTTTTTTTTTTTTTTTTTTTTTTGTAGAGACAAGGTCTCCTTATTTTGCCCAGGCTGGTCTCGAACCCCTGGACTCAAGTGATGCTCCTGCCTCAGCTTCCCAAAAGTGCTGGGATTACAGGCATAAGCCACCGTGCTCGGCCCTGAAATGCTTTTCTCTACCACCTAATACTTTCCAGTTCTGGAAATGAACTTTCTGACAGCATCTCATTAAATGAAATAATAGAAGTGAAAGCACTTTGAAACTCAGAAAGTCCAGGAAGAAATCGGCTGGTTGTCTCCACTCTCTTCATTACCCACCTGCATGCTAGCGGATGTACATAGCCAGAGGATCACTTTGGAGGCATTTCATTTCATTGGCGGGCGAGGGGGCAGTTCTTTTGGCCTAGTTGAATATTAGGCATATCTGGATCTAGTCTAGCCCCGACCTCCTTACAAGTCTTTGTGCTACAAAGTCCAGCGTTGGTGTGGTTTTTCAAGGAAGGATATAGAATGGTTTATTTTGGATGAGAATTTCATTTTGTGTACCTGATTTTGTATTTTTTTTTTCCTCTTAAGACAAGGTTTCACTATGTTGCCCCAGCTGGTCTCCAGCTCCAAGGCTCAAGCAATTCTCCCGTCAGCCTCCTGAATAGCTGGGATTACAGGAACGTACCATTGCGCCCAGCCCTTGTTTTGTTTTTGAAAGCTGTCGTGTTACTGCTTAAAGTCTCCAAACTGTTATTGAGAACACTGACCAGAGCCCTGTCCATAGACCAGTGTTTTTCCAAGTGCAGATTGCAACTCCTTTGCAGAGTAGGTTGTGGAGCCATTTTAGCTGACTACTCACCAGCTTTCTTCAAAATGTAAATGGAATAGGATAGAAAAATAATGAAAAATTGTAAAGTGAATTGGATGCAAAAAGGGTAAATATTGTTGTGTCAGACTTTTTTGGGTGAGTGTGCATGTGTTCACATACTGGATCACATTATAACATGTATTGCTCATTATGGGTTGTGGTCAGAAAAAATTCAGAAAACGCTGTCTCAGACTGTCCCAAAGTTGTATTTGCTTATTATGGAACTGATGAGGATAGAAGATGAGTGGCTCAGAAGGTTGTATCTTGGTGAGATAAAAGAAGACATCAAATGACAGTTTTAGTTAGAAAAATAATCCCAATTGAGTTTGTTACTCTTCTATGAAGGTGGAAGATTCTGTGCCAGAACATTATGCTCTTCAGGTCAACAGGAACTAAGCTTGTTGTTTCTCTCTGCACAAAGAATTGTGCAATTTCCAGCGGGAACTCCCCTCTGGAGGTGGAGAGGGAAGGGGAAGGAAGAGTGGAGATAGAGGCAATTAGGAAGAAATCTTTACTGTGAGCCTTAGCTGACCCAGGATCTGCACATAGTTAACTCTGAGGCTTTGTTGGAATCCGCCAAAGATTCATTGTTAAAGACAGGGAAAGCACAACTCATTTCCATTTATTTTAGTTCAACATTTATGCCAGCTCTGCGCTAGGTGCTGGGATATAACAATGAATAAGACATGGTCTTGGACTTAACGGTGCTCCTAACCTGGCAGGGAAGACAGATGTAAATTGCTAATTATTGTACATTGTACTGAGTGTCATAATACAGTGTAAAATGCTCCAGTTTATGAATTAGAGGAACTATGCTTTCAGCCTTTTATTCTGAGAAATGTGCCATTTAATAATAAAGAACTGGGATACGGGTTTTTTTTTTCTAAAATTTGGGGAAGACTACTTTGTTGAAAAGGAAAATGAAATTTCCAAGGGAATCAGGTTCATCCAGTCAAGCTATTGTGTTATTTTGTGTCTTTTCCTCTAAAAGTATTCTAATGTCAAAAAATTTTTTAAATCAAGTTGACATAATACACACCTGCCCAGGGAACCTGGAGACCTGTAAAATAATTTAAAACCATTTTTTTTATCATATCTTTAAAAAATACTGGCAAACATAGTAATAAGAATTTGAGACTGGGTGCGGTGGCTCATGCCTGTAATCTCAGCACTTTGGGAGGCTGAGTTGGGCAGATCGCTTGAGGTCAGGAGTTTGAGACCAGCCTGGCCAACATAGCGAAATCCTGTCTCTACTAAAATACTTATAATCCTAGCTACTCCAGAGGCTGAGGCATGGGAATCGCTTGAGCCCAGGAGGTGGAGGTTGCAGCCAGCTGAGATCACACCACTGCACTCTAGCCTGGGTGACAAAGCAAGACTCTGTCTCAAAAAACAAACAAACAAACAAAAAAAACTTGAACCCGGGAGGCGGTGCTTGCGGTGAGCAGAGATCGCACCACTGCACTCCAGCCTGGGCGACAGAGTGAGACTCCGTCTCAAAAAAAAAACAAAAAAAAAAAAACTTGAGTGCTTTTCTTTGTTGGAACCTGTAACACTTTGCTTTTACATTCTCATTGATTTTTAAAATTACTAATAACTTTTTGAGACATGTAAAATCATGACAAATTCTACAGAAGTTCTATCAAAGCAAGTCATGTAGTGTGTTCAGGGTCCAGAACCTGAGTTCACCAGCTCCAGGCTGATTCACTTTTGTCAGCTGCATCCAACCTAAGCCTGGAACCAGATTGAATCAAATGCTAAGTTTTAATGTCTTTCATTTGGTTCTTTTATTTAGTTCAGTGTTTCTTACTGCTAGCTGACTTGGCTCTGAATTTTGTTCCTGCCTCAAGCAAATTCTGAATATGCCCATCTATGGATTTGAACAGTAGGATGTTTTTTCAGAGGTGTGAAATGATCAGGCAGCTTGATAACTTTAGACATACTGTACGTTATGAAGCATTTTCTTGCTTCTTGTTGTCTTTTTCTGGTGGATTGAGTCAATGCAGTTGGTAGAATCTTTTCCACTTATGTTATTGAGGCATGTGGTTGAAAAGTGGCCTTTAAATGGTGTGAGGTGGGTAGGCAGGGGATAAATTCTTACCACAGTTTCTAGGATGAGGAAAGTGAAACTCAGAGGCCCAAATCTTCTGACTCACACAGTGATTCTGGGGCTGTCTGTAATATCTAAACGATGAGACTGATCTACTTGCAAGGTCAGGGCATGTGGTCATTTTCTTGCTAGCCTTTGGATCACCAGGCTGTCAGCATTTTGAGGGGGAGTATTTGCATCTTGCTTTATTTGGAAGATTCAGCTTGAGGGAGTCATTATTAGAAGATTCTTAGAACACTTGAGCCCTCTGAAAATGAAAAGTCTCACATTTCCCTTCTACTTTGGCTCTCTGTTGGAGGGGAACACTTATGTCATTAAAAACATTGTACTTTGCTTATCTAATTCCCACTCTGTGTTCACATTAATAGCTTCCCATTGCTCTTAGGAACAATTCCATACTTCTTCAGACTATTTGCAATACTCACCAGAGCTTGACCCCTGCTTCTTTCAACAGTCTCATCTTTTTTTCCTCTTCTCATTTAAATTCTATGCTTCAGTTACCCTGAATTTCTTCGATTATTTCGGTTCCTTGCATGCAGCTTCTTTTCTGTTGCCTCTGGGCCTTTGAACATGCTGTTGGCTGGAGTACTTTTCCTGCCTTCTTCCCATAGGTAATTCCAATCCTTTACGTCTAGCTCCTCTGCGAGCCTCTTGCTGAGCCCTAGACCAATTTCTGTATACTCCTACAGCATCGTCTTTTTCCCCGATAATGGGCTTTTTACATTGCAATTACTTCTTATGGTAGTCTGTCTTCTCTGGTAGACTAGATTCCTTTGGAAGGCAGGCCCAAGAAGCTGGTTTAAATTACTGGAGTCTGACTAAAAAGACTTTTATATTAGACTGGTATTTCCCAACATTTAAAAATTTATGAACTTGGGCAGGGCATGGTGGCTCACGCCCATAATCCCAGCACTTTGGGAGGCTGAGGCGGGTAGATCACTTGAGACCAGGAGTTCAAGACCAACCTGGCCAACATGGTGTAACCCCATCTCTACTAAAAATACAAAAATTAGCCGGGCATGGTGGCACACCATTGTAATTCCAGCTACTCGGGAGGCTGAGGCTCACTAGAATTGCTTGAACCCAGGAGGCAGAGGCCGCAGTGAGCCGAGATCATGCCACTGTACTCCAGCCTGGGCAACCAAGTGAGACTCTGTCTCAAAAAAAAAAAAATGAACTTCTTTCAGAGTAATATAATTTTGTGAACCCCCTCAGGAATTTAAAAAATAATGTCATTACTTTTATAGACTATTATAAAGCAAATTTATGTAAAATATTTTCTTTTACATCAACATTATTAAATTATTATACAGCTTATTTTAATATACACTTTAAAATTTAATAGCGTCCATTTTATATAAAGATGTTTTCTCATTTAATAGGTGATATACACTAATTTATTTAAATGAATTATGTAAGCGTGTGATTTGTTTAAAATTTATAATAAAATATAGTGCTTAGTTTGAGACCAAATATACATTAAAAATATAGTTGGAAATTTAATTACTTGCTAACACATTTTTTAAAAATAAGAGAAACCTGCATTCTTGACCTAATGTTTGGAATTTTTGCATTTCACACTCTAGAATGACTGCTTCTTACATGTAATTTTTAAGTTTTGTTTCTACATGGTAGCGGTTACCACAGAGAGTTTCAACTGCATATCTACAAGGGAGTAACACCTTGTAGCTATGGAATGCCTTTCCTCTAACAGTTACAAAGCCAATTTGGATATGGTTATCTCTATATCTTATGTCTTTAATATTGGATTTTGAAATACTAAAGATTTAATCAGGTAAATGTAACCTAGTGATCTGGTGAAAATCATCTAGATGTGAATTGGATGCCTTGGTACTGTTTTTTATGCTTCTAGTTGACAATTGGGTTTTATCAATGTCTTAGACTTCTTGTTGTTGGTTTTTTTGTTTGTTCGTTTGTTGTTGTTGTTTTTTTTGAGATGGAGTCTCACTCTGTCGCCCAGGCTGGATACAATGGTGCAATCTCTGCTCACTGCAACCTTTGCGTCCTGGGTTCAAGTGATTGTCATGCCTCAGACTCCCGAGTAGCTGGAATTACAGGTGCCTACACCACACCTGGCTAATTTTTGTATTGTTTTGTAGAGATGGGGTTTCGCCATGTTGGCCAGGCTGGTCTGGAACTCCTGACTTCAAGTGGTCCTCCCCCTTCGGCCTCCCAAAGTGCTGGGATTATAGGCTTGAGCCACCATGCCCAGCCAACTTCTTGTTTTTAATCCACAGTCCACTATGACTGTACATTTTATGATATATGACAAAGAATAAGAGCAGTGAAAAACTGTAGAATGCTCATACCATCTTGGCCTAAGTGGTGGTTGCAAAACCACCATGGCCTAGATAATGATGTTTATTAGCTCATCACCCCTAATCGTTGTGCATACTCACTTGATATATCTGAGGCTCTAAACTGCCCAATTATAAAGGGATAATTGGGAAGACAATAAGGTTGTTGATTTTTTAAAAAAGGAAACGAAGGAGTTGCCATGATTGCGGTTAGCAGTGTGAAGACCCTGGAAGACCTGCTTGAACTTCTGGGGTGTTCACAGTCTATTGCTTGGTCAGGAGCCTTAGAAAACTTAGACATATGTGTTAGGAGACCAGGTTTTGAAACTTGCTCAGGGTTGCATAAACTTCTACATTAAGTTCCATGATGCCAGATTAGTAGTCCACATTTGCATAGTAGACATGCTGTTGCTGTTCCTTTTCTTATCACGAAAAGAGCAGAAGATGCAGATTATACCTGAGACAGAAAGATACAGGGGAGATACTGAGCTTGTTGCCTACCTTTGGGCGCCTCTCATGCCTTGTATTTCACATTGAGCCTCACTTATCAGTGACACAGGGAATGGTCCTTTTGCTCTCCACCTTCCCCATGGCTGCCTGGAGGCAGGGGAGGCAGATTGTGCCACTTGCTGACATTGTGTTGCTGTGGATTAGTTGGAGGGACAGGGACAGGAAACTTTCCTGGTGGTGCATGTGTCACTGGGGCTCACACGGGTACTTTTAAATCTTCTTCTCACTGGCCTCTGTGATTCTGTGAACCTGGTTATTACATGTTCAAAAAGTGTCAGCTTATTTGAAAGGGATATTCTTATTTTGTATTTAAACATTATGAAAGATCATCACACTTTTTTTTGGAGACAGAGTGTTGCTCTGTCACCCAGGCTGGAGTGCAGCGGTGTGATCTCGGCTCAGTGCAATCTTTGCCTTGTGGGCTCAAGCAGTTCTCATGGCTTGGCTTCCTGAGTAGCTGGGCTTACAGGTGCACCACCATGCCTGGCTACTTTTTGTATTTCTAGTAGAGATGGGGTTCTGCCATGTTGGCCAGGCTGGTCTTGAACTCCTGGCCTCAAGTGATCTGCCTGCCTCAGCCTCCCAAAGTACTGGGATTACAGGTGTGAGCCACCACACCTGGCCCATCACACTTTTTGGGTTTCAGGATGCCAACAGATCCTGGATTCTGGCATCTGGATTATGGTAGCAATATTGAAAAAAATATTATAGTGGGGAGTAAAATTTAGGAAAACCTTGCAAATTTTTATTCTTACTCAGGAGCTTTGTCTTCATACTCCATGGTCAGCCCTGGGCAATTAAAACTTTTGTTCCAGTAAAGGTTTCATTCTAAAGAGGTTTCATTAATTATGAAAAATTCCCCGTGGGCATTACATTGTGAATCCTTTTGTAGCTATCATAAATAATGAAGGAAAAACACTTGTCAAAATATAGCAGAGGTGACTAGATAATGCATCTCTCCTTTGATTTTTGATGGGTTTCCTTTTTTAATTTTTAAAGGAATAACTCTTGCTTATTTTTTTAAAAAAGTAAATACTCGTTATAAAAAATTCAAGCAAAACTGAAAAGTAAAAAGAAGCCAGCAATAAATTGTTCCAAATCCCATCACCCAAAAAACAGCTCTTGATTCATTCATTCAATGTGCCTTTATTGAGTGCTTACTCTATGTGAGGCACTGTGGCATCGGGGATCAGCAGGGAACAAAGTGAAGTCCCTACCATCATGGAACTTACACTCTAGTGGGAGGAGAAAATGATAAACACCTAAATAGATTTACAAGTGGCATGAAGAAAAATTAAAATGAGGTAAGAGCATAGAGAGTGTCGGGGCACTTTCAGATGGAGTGGTCACAAAGGCTGCTGTGAGCAGAGAGCTCAATGAAGTGAGAGAGCTAACCACGTGACTGTGGGGAAGTGTGCTTCCAGCGAAGGGAAGCATATGCAAAGGCCCTGAGGTGGGTGTTTGCTTGCCATGTTCTATGACCAGAGAGGCCAGTGTAGCTGGGGGCCAGTGAGTAAGGGTGAACTGGGCCATGTAAGGTTTTGGAAAGCCGTTAGCTTTTCTCCACTGGGAAGCCATTGAAAGATGATGAGCAGGGCTGCAGTGTGGAGAGTAGACTGCAGGGAAGCAAGGGAGGAGGCAGCAAGACCAGTTAGGAGCTACCACAGCAATTCAGAACAAAATGAGGCTGAGTTGCACTGTTCAAAAGGTGGAAGGGATAGGAAGGGTTGAATTCTAGACTCATTTTGAAGGTAGAGCTGATAGGATTTGCTCATGAATTGGATTGGGAATTTGTAAGAGAAGAGTCAATAATAACTCTGAAGATTTGTGGCCTGGCAGGTGAATGGTGGTACCGTTACTGGGGTAGGGAACGTGCTGGGGTGTGGTCAGGATGGGGTGTCAAGAGTTCAGGTTCAGGCATGTTAAGTTCTAGGTACCTGTTAGATGGCTATGAGGGAATGGTAAGTCAGTTGGAGGCTGGAGTTGACTGAGAGATCTAGACTGTAGATACAGATTTGGGAATCACCAGACATAGAATGGAATGGGATCTGATAGGAAGCAAGGAGAGATAGAAAACAGATCCTATGACTGAATCATGCATGGGGCATTTCAGCATTTAGATGTTGGAAAAGGAGAGGGCCCAACAAAGGAGACAGAATGTGTGTCTGTAGCATATCAAGAGAGTGTGGTGTTCTCAGGCCAGTGATGGTGGTGGTGGAGTCTCAAGAGTTGGCAATATTTAGCCATGTGCAGGTCATTACCACCCACCACAAGAGTGGTAGAAGCAAGAGCCTGGTTACAGTGGCCTTAAGAGAAAAAGGGAAGAAAGAAGGTGGAGGCAGGGAGTACGGACACCATTTTGAGTCTTAATGTAAAGAGAAGCCACGATGAAAAGGTAGGTGGGTTGGGAGAAGGGAAGAGATCAAGGAAAATATGCGTTTGTTTGTTTAATAAGATGGGAGAAAATACAGTGTGTTTGACTGCTGCTGGTAATGGGCCAGTAGAGATGGAAAATGATGATACGGAAAATAAGAGTGTATAATTTTAGGAGGAAAGGGCTTGAGTAAGCAAGAAGGGGTGGGTTCTGGTTTGCAGGTAGAAAGATAAACCTAGGTTAGAGGCTGAGACAGGGCAGGCAGGTAGGAGGGGAAGGCTCTGGATTTGGTAATGGTGCGTATGGACTTTCTCTTCCAGTGTTAACATTTGGTACACATAAACAGAAGGGTGGCTGGTGAGGGTGAAATAATTTTATAAGAATGGCATTATACCGTATGTACTATAAAAATAAAAATAACTGCATTTCTTTTTACTTGAATTTAACAGAAGAAAAGAAAACTGAAATGAAAGTGAAAGAGCTGCTGTACTTTTTTCTCTACCAAAGATAATAGTTCCTAAAAGTTTTCTCTAAGGTTAAAAAAAGATTATGAAAACTGTTAGGAGGCTAAAGTCACTATTAATATTTTTAAAGACATTTTTAGTTATATCTTCACTTTAGATGATTGTCTGGAAGAATTAGGTAATTCGTGTTTTTAAACTTCCTTGCACTACTCTTCCTATCTCTCAATTTTTATAGCTTATCTTTTTTTTTGTTGTTTCTTTTTTTGCCTTGGCAATTTTCTAACATTTACATTCCAACTTGCATGCTCCCATTTTTTGGTCTTGGTGCCATATGTAGCCACTTGTTCTTTGATCGTGGCTTTCCTGTTCCTGTGGTTTTTGTTTTGATTGATCTACTGGGTGCAAGATTTCTGTTTCTCAAGACGAGTTCGTGGGTGCTTCATAGGCTGAGATCTTTCAAGTTGCAGAGGAAGAGAGATGTCTGAACCTTTTTTACACTTGAGTGATGACTCAGCTTCTCCTAATATTCTTGGATCACAGTTGCTCTCTATCAGAATTTTTTAAGACATGGCTACATTATCTTCAGGCCTTGAATATTGCTATGGAGAAGTCTGAGACCAATCTGGGTTTCTGCTGTATTTTGTTAGCAATCCATTGATTCTTAAATAACTCTTTCTTTATCCTTGAAGGGCAAAAATTTAAACATTATAAGTCTTTGTTGATTTTTCTGTGTTCATTTCATGATATATTATGGGCCTTTTCTATTCACAGATTTAGTTCTCTGGATATTTTTTTCTGTTTTATTTATTGTCTTCCTCTGCATTTATTGTGAGTCTCTTAAGCCTTTTTTTTACACACCATTAATTAGATATTTAAAAACTTTTTATTATAAAAAATTTCAAATATATACAGTAGAGAGACTAGTGTTATGGATTCTCATGTACCCATCATGCTACTTTGATAATCATCAGCTCAGGGCCAATTTTGTTTTTTTTTTTTTTGAGACGGAGTCTCGCTCTGTCGCCCAGGCTGGAGTGCAGTGGCGGGATCTCGGCTCACTGCAAGCTCCGCCTCCCGGGTTCACGCCATTCTCCTGCCTCAGCCTCCCAAGTAGCTGGGACTACAGGCGCCCGCCACTACGCCCGGCTAATTTTTTGTATTTTTAGTAGAGACGGGGTTTCACCGTTTTAGCCGGGATGGTCTCGATCTCCTGACCTCGTGATCCGCCCGCCTCGGCCTCCCAAAGTGCTGGGATTACAGGCGTGAGCCACCGCGCCCGGCCGCCAGTTTTGTTTTATCTGTATCCCTCACCCATTCCCACTCTCCTCCATTACTTTGAAACAATAGCAGATATAATTTATCTTTGAATATTTCAATATTTAAGAGATAAGGAGGTTTTTTTTTTTTTTTTTGAGACGGAGTCTCGCTCTGTCGCCCAGGCTGGAGTGCAGTGGTGCCATCTCAGCTCACTGCAAGCTCCGCCTCCCAGGTTCACGCCATTCTCCTGCCTCAGCCTCCTGAGTAGCTGGGACTACAGGCGCCCGCCACCACGCCCAGCTACTTTTTTTGTATTTTTTTTTTAGTAGAGACGGGGTTTCACTGTGTTAGCCAGGATGGTCTCGATCTCCTGACCTCGTGGTCCGCCTGCCTTGGCCTCCCAAAGTCCTGGGATTATAGGCGTGAGCCACCGCGCCCAGCTGGACTGTTTTTTTTTTTTGGTGTTTTGTTTTGTTTTTTTAAACTTAACCACTAATAAGTTTCATCTAGTCTGTTTATAATCTTTTTACTAAATATATAACAACATTGCCTTGTGGTGTTTAGATCAGCAACTTCTTTGCTCCAAAGGTACAGTGAATGATGACGGTTGCTGGGCCTCAAAATAAGGAAGACGAAACTAAGAGAACAGGCCACAGGACTCTCCCTGATGTTGAATGGCAGCACCTTAGATTGGGCAACAGTAACATGAGTTGCATACATAGGAAGTGCCCACTGGTTCCTGGGTGTTCTCTGAATTTCTAGTGCTCACGTGAACTGTGGAGGGCAAAGGAGGAGGATACGGAATGTACAGTTTCTTTTACAGCAAGAAGTGAAACTTAGGCCCTTTCTGATTTAATAATAACCCATGAAGAAGGAGCTGAGTGGTTTGAAGACTGTTCTAGTTCTGCCTTTGGTGGCCATGTGGTTTATTCCACAGCTTTTCAAACTGCAGGTTGAGACCTTTTACTAAATCATGAAAGCAAATTAGTGAGCCACAACCAGCATTTAAAAAGTTATAGAAAATATCAGAGTTCATGACTAAGGATAAATGTTGTTTCATGACACTTTTCAGTTGTGTGTGTATGTGTGTGTGCATGTGTGTTGGATTGCCAAAGTTTGAAGCCACTAGTTTTGTTCAATTCCTATCACTTTCTGTACCTTCTTTATCGAAAAGTTAAAGGATCAAAGAACCTATGGGATAGATTTTATGTATTATCAGAAATGTATATAAGTCGGGCACGGTGGGTCATGCCTGTAATCCCAGCACTTTGGGAGGCCAAGGCAGGTGGATCACCAGAGGTCAGGAGTTTGAGACCAGCCTGACCAACATGGTGAAACTTTGTCTCTATACAAAAAAATTGGCCCGGCGTGGTGGCAGGTGCCTGTAATCCCAGCTACTTGGAAGGCTGAGGCAAGAGAATTGCTTGAGGCTGGGAGGCAGAGGTTGCAGTGGGCTGAGATTGCTCTATTGCACTCCAGCCTGGGCAACAGAGCGAGACTCCATCTCAAAAAAAAAAAAAAAAAAAAAAGAAGAAGAAATGTATGTAGTGCTTACAGTATAATGTACCAGGAATTATTCTAATAACTTTACAAATATTAACTCATAAAAACTCTGTGAGGTAGATACTGTTATTAACAAAATTTTACAGAATAGGGACATTCTTGCATAGAGAGATAAGTAATTTGCCCAAGGTCACACATAGCTAGTAGGTGGTGGAGCTGGCATTTTGAGCCCAGGCAGTCCAGTTCCAGGGTCAGAATTTTCTCTGCGGCCTCTCCAGTGGATAGCATCTCTAGATGATGGCATGGACTTTTTCCTGCTATTGCCTTCAAGAAGAAATGGTAAAAAGGTGGTTCCCCCTCTTTCCCAACACATACACCTAAACATTCAGAGTTAAGACAGTGAGAATGAGGATTCTTAATTTGGTGAAGGTGAAGGAATTCGGGGATTCTTTTTGTTAACCAATCAACATTGCCAGCCTAGCACTAAAAGATTCCACTATGACAGACAACCACATGAGGCCGTATCTCAGCATTAGAAACAAATGGATGGGGGAGAGTGGTTAAGAGCACTGATTTTAAGAATTAAACACATCTAGGTTCAAATCCTGTTGTGATCTGTTACTGTCTGAGTGAGCTTAGGCAGTTAACTGATCTCTCTGAACCTCAGTGGTCCCTCGTTGTGAAATGGGAGGAATCGTGGTTGCCTTTTAATGGAGGCTTACTAGGCATCAGGCATGTAGCAAGCACTTTATATTCTCCATCTCTTTTATTCTTCATAACAATCCAGTGGAGTGGCTGCTATTACAAACTCCATTTTGTAGATAATGAAAACAACTTAGAGAGATTAAGTGTCTTGTTCAGGGAGACACAGGTACCAGGTGGCAGAACTACAATTAAAATTCAAGTTTTTCTGAATGCGGTCTATCCTCTTAATCACTCAGCTTTGCTGTGAACTAATCTCCCTGGGGTGTTTTGAGGATTAAGTGAGATACCTTTATACTTGAATAGTGACTCAATAGGAGCCTACTTGGCACATAATAAGCACTTAATGAATGGGATATGTGATTACTAGTAAATATATAAGATGTGTCTGCCTATAACTTTTGTGGGGACAGTTTACCTTTCCATAAAAAAAAACTGTGGTCAACTAAATCAGTTCTTATAACAAACCAGTCACTTCACATGTATATTGAGTTGTTGAAAAATAAATGGTTATCTATTCTGAAGGATCTGCTGGGCAGATTCTTTCATTGGAATAAGTTTTGTCAAGGACGGGACTGTCTACCCAACATCCAGAACAGTACCTGTCACAAGGTAGGTGTCTTAGTCTAGAGTCCTTGAAAATATAAATTAGAGGGAGAGGCAAAAGCGTACACTTCATTTGCAAGAGTCATCCCAGGGAAGCAGGAATGGGGAGAAAGGGAAGGAGGGAGAACATAACAAGAGATTGCTTATAAGTTGACTATAGCTTCATGAGAGGATGATTGCTTGGTCTTGTGGGACATCTTCATGTAACTATGTGAAGCTACTGCATCTCTGAACAGTCCACTGGGGCAAGGAGGGAAAATATTTCATTCGTCAGTTTCTATCTCCTGTAGGTCAAAGTTTGATTCTTGAAGCCTCCACTTCTCTGTACTTGTTGTTGACATGACTGCTGATTGAATAGGTCACTCCAAGTCTCATGCTTCAGTAGCAGGAGAGAAAGCCTGGGTGGGATTGAGAGTCACGCCGCAGGGGTAGAAGGCAATGCACTGTCAGGCTGGTGCATCAACAACATATGAAGGCCCAGGAACAGCCATTGCAATAGGAACTGGGCAGACTGTTTCAGCCAGCAGCAAGGTAGTTGTGTTCATCTGGGGTGGTGCATAAACTGAATCTGGCAGAGCAGGCCCTCAATAATGATAGACTTCTCATTGCCAAGGTTAATGAGCTCTTTGCCTTGCTGTCTTATTTAAATACTCCATAGTTATTGACACTTTTGTACATCTCTCTTCATTCTTAATCTACTTTCCTATCTCTCCTTGCTTTGCTTTCCACCTAAATGGGGATATCCTAAGCCTACATCTTTTTAATTCTACATGCTGTCTATGGACAGCTGCATTCACTTTGCTGGTTAACTTCCTAACTGCCATCTATAATATTTGCTGATGGCTCCCAAGTGTCTATTTCTAGACTTGACCTCTCCTGAGAACAGAAGGAGAATACAACTGCCTTTTCCAGTAGGATGCTTCGTAGGCATTTCACGGGCCAACTGAACTTCTTGGTCTTCTTTAATCATTTTTGTTTGTCCTTCTCACTGGTAACGAATAGGTGCTTGGTCCCTGCTTGTTGAACTAAACTTGAAACAATGTGCCAGTACTTATGCTAAGCTGGGTCCTGCACAAAATGAAGTGAACTCTCCAGAGCCAGCTCTACAGGAACGTAGGGTCTGGATTTTAATATTGATCTGGTTTGTTTTCAACTCGATTGTGTTGGAGCCTTGAGCACATACAGTGTGCCTTTGTCCTCTAAGAGAGTGGACATGTTTGAACTGACATTTGGTCTTTTCAGGAATTGTTTGGTAGGAAATTTCTTGGATTTTTACTCTCCTTGAGCTTTGACTCTTCTTGGGCTGTCCTGCTTTTCAAGACTCTCATTTTGCTTTGTCCAGAGTTTACAGAGCCCTTTAGAACTGTGTTTGTATCTGTTCTGCTCATCAGGCATGCAGGACCCTCTCTGCTGGCCCTGGCCTGCTTATTTACCCCTTCTCTTCATACTCTTCTGTGTGAACCTTCAAGTCACAAGGCTTCTCACAGCCTCCTGAGCTTCATCTGCCCATTTTAGCCTCTTTGACTTTGCTTTGCTAACTACAACCCTTCATCTGTCATCCCCCTCGCTTCTGTTTAAATCCCCCCCTACCCAAGGTCTCAAGAGGTCCATGCTAGATTTTACTGATTTCTTCCTCTCTTAATGTAGTCTGGGACCATTATTTTGGCACTTAGGATGCCAGTCTTATACTCTTAAATATTTTTGCATTTAGTCCTCCTTTTCTCCAATTCAATTGTAAGCTCCTTGAGAGTAAGAGACTGTCTTACATTTTCTTGTGTAAATATCTTACATTTTCATGTGTGTTCCAATGATTCATCACCCAGATCTTCCCACAGAGTTGGTGTTAGATAAATATTTGCTGGGTTTGTTGGTTGATTATCGTGGTCCTTGGGAACTGACTTGCAGCTTGTCACTAGCAATGAATCAGGAGCATCAGACTAGCTGACATTTCCCAGAGGAGCTGCTGGTCTTCACATCCTGCATCTTTAGTTTGTGGTACAAGTTAATTCTAAATTTTGGACCTTGAGAATTCTGTTTCTTAAACATCTCAGGCAAGACCTAGGAGCTAAAATTACTACTTTGGCATTTGATGTGGCAGCTTTTTCATTTGGGATCCTTTTGTCTTTAACTTGCTTTTGAGTCACTTGAAAGAACTAAGGCAGCCTGCCAGAGTAGTCACGATGATATTGAAATATCCCTCTCATTGGCTTTATGAGATTGCCTTCTGTGCATTCACTTGGGGCTGGAAAGTTAATGGATGACTGAACGTCTTTTGGAAACTTGTAGGGCCATTTTTCTTCTTCTCTTTCCCACTAGCTGGTTTCTCTTTGTTACCAAAGGTGCATGCATTGTTTTTAGGTAGTGTGGAGTTAATGTAAGGGGAGGAGTGTTTCTTTCTTTCATAGCTTTGGAATAATCTACCGCACAGGGCAGACAGTTTTGAAGATGGCCATGTTTAAAGTCCATCAGAGAAAACTACAGTCAAAAGGAAAGCCAGGGAGGCCAGAGTTCCAGTCACAACTGCCCCCACTACCCCCTTCCTCCCACCAAGATTACTGTCTTACCTTTGAACCCAAGGATGTCTCTTATGGCTCCAGTTTGCTGACTACTGTGAAGGGAAGGATGGTTTGGAATCATACTATAGAGTCATGGGCTCTAAAGTACGTGTTATTGCTAATGATTGGTGTTGGTATGTGCAGGGATTTTCCACTCATGGAATTCTCCTACTCATTTTGACCTCTCTACCATTCAGCTTGTATTGCTCATTAATGTTCACTCCATTTCTTCATTTAGACAGCATAGGACTCCATCCAGCAGACTTCCTTCACTGTGATCTTGCTTCAACTCCATTTATTACATTCATCATGACACAAACTTTTACCAGCTCCATTTCTGGCTGCTTGAGATCCAAACTACTCTATTGGCCTTTGGAGCTATTCCTCCTCTTGCACCTTTATCTTTGACCAAGCCTCAGTGCCACCTTTTGTTCCAGTAAGGACATCTTCCTCCCTACCCCACAGAGAGGCCACGCTCAAACATTCCTATCTCTTGGTGTACGTTTTCTCTTACTCTGGGATATCCTCTCCTCACCCTTCATTTACTGAAATCCTACTCTTCCTCAGAATACTACTTCAGATTTCTGTTTCCTTCCCTTTCTCTCTCTCTTTCTCCTCTCCTGCCTTCCCTCCACAAACTTGGAGGCCTACTATAATGCTAGGTGTTGTTCTGGGTCCCACAAGTACATTAGTCAACTGAACAGACAAATTTATTCTTTTTTTTTATTTTTATTTTTTGAGATGGAGTCTCTCCCTGTCACCCAGGCTGGAGTGCAATGGTGTGATCTCAGCTCACTGTAACCTCTGCCTCCTGGGTTCAAGCGATTCTCCTGCCTCACCCTCCCAAGTAGCTAGAATTACAGGTGTGTGCCACCATGCCTGGCTAATTTTTTGTATCTTTAGTAGTGATGGGGTTTTACCATGTTGGCCAGGCTAGTCTCAAACTCCTGACCTCGTGATCTGCCTGCCTCGGCCTCACAAAGTGCTGGGATTACAGGTGTGAGCCACTGTGCTCGACCAAATTTCTTCTTTTCAAGAAGTTTAGACTACCTCCAGAAGCCTGACTATAGTAATGGGATTCCCCACTGATCTTCCTGAGCTTTCAACACTTTCATTGTAGTATTTATTCTTAATTTCATGTCCTTATAGTATACAATAACATAATTTCTGTACTATATAATTATATATCTTGTGCAATTATGTAATATGAATTGTTATGTGAAATTTTGAAATGTATATTTGGATCATGTCTTCACAATTAGATTGTAATTTCTTGAGAACAGGGAACTTCATACTTCAGAAATCCTCAGTTTATCCATTACAGCCCCTTTGCAAGGGACCAAAAATCCAAGGCAAAGTGGTTTTTTTGTTTGTTTCTTTTTTATATATCTTTTATTTTATTTATTTTATCTTTTTGAGATGAGGTCTTGCTATGTTGACCAGGCTGGTCTCAAACTTCCGGCTTCAAGCAGTCCTCCCATCTGGGCCTCCCAAAGTGCTAGGATTACAGGTGTGAGCCACCATGCCTGGCCTAGGCAAAGTGTTTTAAGCGAAAATTGAATGAATTGACTTGTGTCACTGAAAGGTCCAGGGATAGGGCTGGCTTCTCATCGTGACTTCATTCAGATACTCATGTTTCCTTCTCCCCATCTCTCAGCTCTGCTTCTCTGGGCCAACTCCATTCTCAAATGGGCTTTCCACTCACGGTAGCAAGATGGCAGTGGCAGTGTCACACTCTCTTTGTCCCCAGGTCTTCCATCTCCCAGCCAAGGCCTGGATTTGAGAAAGCACACTATCTTTGGAGAGGGCAGGGGTGGGATCAGTTTTACTGAAAGCATGTGGACCGAGAGTGGGGAAAACATGGATATAAGGAATGAAAAACAATTATTTCAGAAACATAATAGCTATTTGTTGGTTGGTTGTGCCTTATGTATTTAGTTTTTTGAGACAGGGTGTTGCTCTGTCACCCAGGCTGGAGTATAGTGGCACAATCACGGCTCACTGTGGCCTTGACCTCCTGGGCTCAAGCAAGCCTCCCACCTCAGCCTCCCAAGTAGCTGGGACTAAAGGCATGCACCACCCCCCCAGCTAACTTAAAAAAAAATTTTGTAGAGCTGGGATTTTGCCATGTTGCCCAGGCTCATCTGGAACTCCTGAGCTCTAGTAATCGGCCCACCTTGGCTTCCCAAAGTCCCGGGATTACAGGGGTGAGCCACTGTGCCTGGCCTGTTTTGTGCCTTACTTAATAGAGTAAAGTAATGCAGAAAAAGACTATCAGTCACACTCTTTGAGGAAGAATATTTGCTGTTTCCTAGTTTACTGAAAGTATCTTGATGGCCTTTTCTTGGAAACTGACTACTCATAGGTAAGTAATGTCAGTCACTGAGGATGTGTTATAGCACATATAACACATTGAGGGTGGTGCTGTGTCTCTCTCTCTGCTCTGTGCGCATACTCATTTGTTTATATTATTATTTAACCTTGTTTGTTACTGTTTTTTTCTTCTTTCTTCTCCACTACCCTGCTAACTTTGAGGAAGAACTTTTTGTCTGTATTCCCAGAGCACCCGGAAGGCACTCAAATAGATGTTTGCAATGAGAGTAAGTAAAAGTAGGAAAGGACATTGGGAACTCAGCGACTTGGATTTCAGTCTTGGATCTGCAACTAAATAGCTGTGTGATCTTGGTCAATCCCCTTTGCTGCTCTGAGCTTTGGTTCTCACATCTGTCCAGCAAGGATTTTTGAGTCCTCCCTTTACTAAGTTCATAGAAAGGCAAACTAGCAGAGTAGAGAGCAAGACTTGGCAGGGCATTCTGGTATTTTGTTTCCTGAGGAACAGTTTTGAGAGGGGCTGATTACTGTTGTGATAAGAAGTCTTGGTAAGAGATATGGAGGGTAGCGCCTGAAAGCCTCAATTGTATTCTTATGTAACATTCTCTGGAAAGGTACTAGGAATTAATATTCCTGAGATGGCTGAGGTGACTTCATGTGTTTGTGAAGGGGCTAAAAGCAGGTGAGGCAGATTGGGTGGAAAAAGACTGGCAGTCAGACCAGGTTCCCAATGGGGAGCGCGGGCTGATCTGCTCCACGTGCTGGCAACAGAGCCTGTGGGAGATGCAGCTCCTGCCCCCTGGGTGCTGGCACATCAAGGAGAAAGGAAGGACATGCCTGTGTGACTCTCCTGAAAGATTACATCTGTCTCCTGGCCTGCCCTTCCTCCCCCATTTTCTCCTTAGAAATGTGGTATTCATGACTTAATCAGAGAAAATTCCTGAAGAAGAAGATGAATTTTGAAAGGAGGAAAGAAAGGGATCTCTGGATTGAAAGCAATAGGCTGAACACCCCCACTCCCTCACCCCCTGTACTCTGCTGACTGGTGAATTCCCTGGATGTTCTCTGAAGTGAGGGCAGTTTTCAGAGGACTGTGTCATCTGCATTGGCAGGTGTTGTAATTTGGAGTCTACATGATTGTCAGCGTGGCAGGGCCCTGCCTGTTTTTGTTAAATGATCAGTATCCTATTAGGGCTAGTTTTTCTTCCAGTTGCATGCTTATTGAGACCCTTCAGCATCTTTCTAAAAAGGAAATAAGCCTCTTTCTAAATACTAGGACGAGTATAGTTAGTGTCTCAGCTGTGGCCAAGCATGGGCAAGGAGGCAGCATTTCCCAGGGGAAGCTTCATGGGTGTGTCTGGTGATGCTGGATTTGAATTCACATATAAAAACACTCCCTGGCAGGTCTTTATCTGACATCGTTTGGAAATGGTGATCTGCCAGTGGAGTTCAATGTCATGGCCAAGCCTACGGCCCAGAGGGGCAGCTTCCAAGATTTGCTTTAGGAATAGTCAATGCAGAATGTGTTTAATTCATACACACGGGGAAATGGAAACCAAGAATCCGTTCCTCCTTTTGGCTCCTGTTTGTTGGGTTATTTTCCCCTTCACTGGCAGATGGTGCTCAACAGAATATGCTATGTGGTGGGGTTAAATTTTTTAATCTGTTTTTTTCAGTGAGATATAATTCACATACTGTAAAATTCACTCTTTTAAAGTGTACAATTCAATTTTTTAAACATATTCACAAGGTTGAGCAACAATCATCACTATCTTAATTTCAAAACAGGGAGGTTTAAATTTGTCTTGAATCTCTGCATGAAATATCAACCAGAGGTCAACTCTGATTCTCAGGAACCTTTTAAAAAAATTGGGTTCCTCTTGCAAGGGAAGCTGCAATTTTTATTCAAGTGTCATTTTTAAAAAAACATAATAAGAAAAAATGATAGAGGACATTGGATTTTTCTTAGCCCTGTTATGTGATTTCTTTCCGCTATTGATGATTTTTAAATCTTAGATCTTCAGGTTGGGGCTTATTACCACAGCTTTGTTATAATAAAGAATATTTAAAGCAGAAACAATAAGACTTTTTGTGTTCTCTTGTCCTTTCTCTTCTTTGTCAAGCCATGCCTCTTTAGACAGAGCTTAGACCTGTCTTTTCCTCCTTTGTCACCATCACCTAGCACAGTGCCTCCATACAGGAAAGGCTCAGTAAGATTTGCTGAATAAATGGGCTCTACTGGGCGCTCAGGGGAGGCTGTTTGGATGTATATATCACTCCAGGTGACTCATGGCGACCTTAGTACTTTGGCTTTGTGAATAGCCAGGGAATTCTTTTGTACCCCTAAGATATAGCTGCTTCTAGAAAGTGAGAGCTTGACTTCTTTCCATGTATTTCTAGGGAAGGAACTGGCAAGGACCCCACCATCTCCATAGCTCCCAAGTATTCTCATCCAACTGTAAACCAGATGTGTAAAGTCTTCTTGAGTTGGTATCGTGAAGCATGGTGTAAGTGGTATGAGTGGTGTGAGTCTTTGAGTGTGTACACATGATGTGCACATGCATGATCGCCTAAGCACATGAGGGAACTGTGAGGAGTTCCTCTATGTTTTTAAATTGCCTCTTTCTTCTTTCTGCCCTTTTGTTTGTTGATAGGCCAGGATTCAGAGGGGCCTTCAGCCTGGGCACATGGCCCAGGAGTGCTGGTATTCAGTGGCCCATTGTTTCCTGCCCCTTGTGTGCATGAACGGGGACTGGGGCCAGCATAGCTGCCTTCTTGGGGACCATTGTTTGTCTTTGTAGGAGCAGCAGCAGCAGCGCCTAAGGCAGCACATTTTTCCCTGGATAGAACAACTGTTCTGTCTTGGAGCTGTACGCCTAAGAGTGAGAGTAGTTAGAATTTCCCTTAATGCCTGTATGGATTCTTTGAAGATGGTAACAAGGGAGGCATCTTCTTCTTTCTGCTTCCTTTCTTCTTTTTCCTTCTTCATTCTCTTTCTTCTTTCTTTTTCTCCTCCTTTTCCTTCTCCTTCTCCACCTCCTGTTCTTCCTTCCTTTTCCTTCTTCCTCTTCCTCTTCTTCTTTTTGGCCAGTTGTGAGGGAGGGGAGATGCTCATGGTGTCATATCACAAATAAACCACACTAGCAGGTGGTATCTATTAACAGAGCCTCTTTTTTTTCCTGGATCAGGGGTGGGGATATTGCTTTCTTACTGTCTCTGTCCTCTGGGCTTCCTGGTAGACCTCAGGGTGTACTCACAGGACAAGAAAAGCACTTCCCCCTAAGCTGTCCTGTAGAGTAGATCTAGGAAGTGGGGAAGGGATCCAGTGTGGTTGTGGACAGATTGAAACAGAGCTAGCTGGTGAGTCGGTGGGCAAGTCCAAACTTGTCTTAGGGGCCTGAATCAACCCTCAGCTGGAAAGTGGAAAAGGCGATGTTCCAGGAGTTAAGAGTCATGGTCACTGTGATTTACACAGAGATACTTTCAGAGACTCCAAACTGGTGTTCTATTTCTCTTGTTTTTGTTTCTCTGACCTACTATTAACCTCTTTGACAAGTCAGACAAACCTTAATTTAGCTCCAGCTCCTGTTGCATAATTGTTGACCCTTTGGTAAATTACTTAAAGAGTCTTACTTCAGTTTTCTCCTTAGTGTAATCAGGATAATTGTGGATACCTTACAGACTACCTGTGAGAATTAAATGAGATGATACATAGAAAGGCCTATAAAATGTATTCAATAAACACATGCTCCCATCCCTTCAGGGTTCCAGAGGGAGTACCTGTGATGCAGCATATACTCTGCTGCCCTCATTGAGGCACCTGCAAAATCAGGCTGGAATTCCTTGCTGGCTGGATGTGCTTGGGGGTTTCTTATATTAAATCACATATCTCAGAGGCCTCCTATTAAGTACTTGTTCCTTGGACAGGCTAACTCTGGAGTGGCCTACTTCTGGAACTTCATGGGACTTTGCCTTGTCCTCTCTTTTTTTGGCAGAGGGTGGGTGTCATCCAACTAACTATTCCTTTGTATTCCCCTGGTGAGTGAGATTACTGAGGTAAATTCTTAAGTGCATTACAGGGGACTCAGAGGGACCTGACAGCCTTACTGCCCATCCATATCCCCTGTACATCTGTTACTGATTCAGTACCTGGAAAGCCTTTCCACCCTAAAAACGCCTTGGTTCTTTTTTTTGTTGTTTGTTTGAGACGGAGTCTTGCTCTGTCGCCCAGGCTGGAGTGCAGTGGTGCGATCTCTGCTCAGTGCAAGCTCCACCTCCCGGGTTCACGCCATTCTCGCACCTCAGCCTCCCCAGTAGCTGGGACCACAGGCACCTGCCACCATGCCTGGCTAATTTTTTTTTGTATTTTTAGTAGAGACAGGGTTTCACCATGTTAGCCATGATGGTCTCGATCTCCTGACCTTGTGATCCGCCCGCCTCGGCCTCCCAAAGTGCTGGGATTACAGGCGTGAGCCACCGCGCCTGGCACTTGGTTCTTACTGAACGGATGGAATTTAAGTAATATTAGTAAGCATTCTGAATGCCCTCTCAATGTACAGTCTGCCCACCCAATGTCTATTACTATCAGCTTTTCACTAATATATTGAAGGGGGACAGATGCCTACAGGAATAGTCTCAACAAGGGCTGTTCCCTTTAAGAGACCCAGAAATCCCTGGCAAGAACCAGATGCCTGACATAACCTCTGCAGATCTTTACCCCCAATACCCTTGTAATCAGACTCCGTAAAACACAGAACAAGAGAGCTTTGATGAGTGATGAGGTAGGCAGCTTTTCTGCACAGCCTTCTGTCTGCTTGAAACAATCCTCCGGAGCTCAGTTTCAGTTCAGGTGAGGTTACTGCAGGGCTGGTTGGCATTGGTGGTTGACAGGGAGAGAGATGAGGATGAAGAGGGTGAGAATTGCGCTTACAGATCACCTGAGATCATCTGCAAAGGACATACTGATATTTGTAAAAACAGAAACAAAAATGTAGATGGGGACAGATTGTGGAGCCTCGACTACTTTAAGGCAAAGCTAAACGCACCATTTACCCATCCTCATTGCTTCAAGAACATTTCAGCATCATAGTTCTGATCCTGATTTGCCTCTGATTTATCTGCAGCTCACGTGAAAACTCTAGACCCCCTCTCCCCATAATGATGCATTACATAGCATTACATAGCATAGACAGAAAGCATTGTTGCAACTGTACTATTTGGGAATGAATTTGGGGCACACATAAGGAAAGGCATAATATAGGTGCTCCTTTTCTGTGGGATTGGAGTCACTGTCACATCCTAATGCATTTGGAGCTGAGCAGGCTTGCAGAGGGAAAAGATGAAAGAAATGGCTCCATTCTGACTCAGATGGGGATTGGGACATAACTTCAGCAGGATACACACTGCAAGCCTTCTCTGAGCTGAAAATCAGTCTGGCTTTGTCATACTGCTTCCTATGAGTGCCAGGTCTCTTGTCAGTAACAAATGCAGTGCTGCATTTGAGGCAGATCTGTTTGCATCTATAGCTGCCTTTGCAGCAGTTCCAGAGAGAGTGTTTGCTAGCTCCATACAAGGACCCTGACCAGCCAGAAATCTGCATGCTAGAGCTTAACCAGAAGTATTTCTAGCTATGACACTATAGAGGCACTACAGCATCTATGAAGATTAAGCAACACAGATATGAGTGATATTTGTTAGTGAAAAAAATCTCTTTCCAAGTCTTCTTAAAAAATGATTTTCATTCTGTGATGTTGGAAACTGTGAAATCTGATTGACAGTGAATGGTTTGCCTGCCCAGAAGTTCTTGTGCTTCTTTTGTTTTGATTGCTACCATTTGACCTTGGGAGATTTTCTTCCTATCTCCGTTAAAATATCCTGACCTTCATCCTACTTCATGAAGATGGTAAACAACATTTTGAAATGATGGGGAAAAATGCAAAAAGTAGGAGCATGGTCTCTAAAGTCAGTCTCTTGGGGTTTGAATCCCAGCTTCACCACTTAAAAGTTTGACTTCTTCAAGACTCTGTTTTCTCATTTTTAAAATGGGGATGAGGTAGTACCTGCCTCATAGGATGGTTGGGGTGATAATTCATTTGGGCCCTCTGCCAGAAGACAACCCAGATTCTGGCTCTGTGCCACTAGAAACATAGTAATATAAATGGTAGATAGGAATGTTATTATTTTTAATAAGCAGCTTCTCATAAGTGATTCAGCAGATTCCTGGTTCACAATGTTCTTTAATGGTGTAAAAAGGGTTGGCATTTTTGGAGGTGCCTCACATCCTATGGCCAGTTTAGACTTTAGGCTTTTTTGTTCAGGGCTTTCAATTTCCCAGGGCACGGGGAATAAGTAAGTGGAAGGTGGGTGAATATTGGCATGCATGGTGGTTTATTTAGGGCTGTCTTTCTGACTGTCTTCTCTTGTTTTTGTTGTAGAGATCCGTGCTCAGCTCACAGAGCAGATGAAATGCCTGGACCAGCAGTGTGAGCTTCGGGTGCAACTGTTGCAGGACCTCCAGGACTTCTTCCGAAAGAAGGCAGAGATTGAGATGGACTACTCCCGCAACCTGGAGAAGCTGGCAGAACGCTTCCTGGCCAAGACATGCAGCACCAAGGACCAGCAATTCAAGTAGGGGCTCTGTGGCTATTACTCTCTGAGACCTTGGAATATGGGGTCCAGGGTGGAGGGGGGCAGGGTATGCCACTTAGATCCAGCTGAATTCAGGAGCCCCTGGCTTCAGATTGGTTGAAAGCCCTCAAGGACTTCTCATTTTCCAGATCAGTCTTAAGTGCAATTCAACATTTCGTAGAGATGAGAGTAGATGATGAACCATGCTAATAATAACAGCAAACTTGTTTATAGCTCTGTTGCCAGGCATGCTACTAAGGGCTTTACATATATGTTAGTTTGCTTAATCCCAACAACTCCATATGATGGTTATTGTTATTATCCCCAATTTATAGATGAGGAAACTGAGGCATAAAAAGGTTAAGGGGCTTAACTCAGGGTCTATCTTAATCTCTGTCTCTCTCTCTCTCTCTCTCTCTCTCTCTCTCTCTCTCTCTCTCACACACACACACACACTCACACTCACACACCCCTAGTAAATAGTAGAGCTGGAATTGGGCTGCAGGGTCTATATTTTTAACCATTTCACCAAACTGTCTTTAATTAGAAGAAATAAATGATGTTGAGGCCATTATATCTAAATCCCTGTCTAGGTAGCTGCTAAGGTCTATTTCTTCTACATTTAGTTTATTTTATACAGCTGGCCCATTCACTTGGTTCCCAGTGCCATTGCCCTAGTTTAGATCATCATCTTTTTTGCCTGAATGATTGCAGTATTTACTATATCTTCTATAGCAGAGATTTTCAACCCTGGCTGCATATTAGAATTCCCTGGAGAACTTTAAAAAAAATACAGAAATCTGGGCCCCACTCCAGACCAATTAAATGAGAATCTCTGGGAGTGAGGCCTGGGTAACAGGGTGGTGTAAAAGCTTCCCAGGTGATTCTAATGAACAGCCAGCATTGAGGATCACAGTCCACAGCAGGGGTGTCCAATCTTTTGGTCTCCCTGGGCCACATTGGAAGAAGAAGAATTGTCTTGGGCCACCCATAAAATATGCTAATACAATAGCTGATGAGCTTAAAAAAAATTGCAAAAAAACCTCATAATATTTTAAGAAAGTTTACAAATTTCCGTTGGGTTGCATTCAAAGCCATCCTGGCCCCCATGCAGCCCACAGGCCGTAGGTTGGACAAGCTTGGTCTACAGTTTCTCTCCATTCCAATCTGCCTGCTCCATTGTGATCGGAGTTAATCTTCCTGGAACACACTGGCGATCAGAGAATTTCTTTCTGCAAAACTTTCAATGTCTCTCCATTGTCTATGTTCTTTTTATTATGATTATTATTATTTTTAGAGATAAGGTCTTGCTCTGTCACCCAGGCTGAAGTACAATAGCGTGATCTTGGCTCCCTGCAGCCTCAAACTCTTGGGCTCTAGTGATCCTCCTGCCTCAGCCTACCTCCTGAGTAGCTGGGACTGCAGGTGTGCACCATCATACCCAGCTATTTTTATTTTATTTTAATTGTTGTAGAGACAGGGTTTCGCTATGTTGCCCAGTTTGGTCTCAAACTCCTGGCCTTAAGTGATCCTCCCACCTCATCCTTCCAAAGTGCTGGAATTACAGGTGTGAGCCACCACACCCAGCCCATCTATGTTTTTGATATCAAATTGTAGTTTCTCAGTGTCAGCTTCATCTGTACTGTTAGAAATGCAGTATCTCAGGTCCTACTCCAGTCCTACTATAACAAGATCCCACAACATAGCATGTGATTTGTGTGCACATTGACATTTGGGAAATGCTGTTCCATTCACAAAGGTGCACACTTTTTGGCTTGGTCTTTAAGCCCCTCTACATCTGGAAAGCCTCAAACAGGTTTCCAACCTTATTTCTTGTTTCTGTTCCACTATACCCGAGCCAAACAGAACATTCACTCCAGTGAGTCACTGGCATCCTGTTACTTGAGGTTATGTGGTCAGTCTTTCCATCTTTGCATGTCTAAGTCATGCCCATGTCTTAAGACCCATCTCAGGTGCTCCCTGTTCCAGGAAACTTTCCTGATTCTCCCAGAAGGAAGAAAGTTCTCCATCTTCTGAATTCTTACAGCATTTTATTTGTTCTTCTCTTAGGGCATTCAGCACTATCTACCTTCTGTTATCTTCTCTGAGTGGACTGTATAAGTTTGTTTGATCTTCTGGTGTCCCACAGTGCCTAGTATAATATGTGGTGTATAGTAGATGCTCACTAAATATTGTGGAATAAATAAATGAATGAATGAATTTGAAATTAGTGCCAAGTGTATCTTATTTTCCCCATTTTCTATTTTTGTTTATTGCCTTAATAATACAGGACACAAATTATCCTTTAAAAGCCAGCTCTGTGCAATGAAGATGGGGTTAAGGTTGAGGAGAACATGACATCTCAAAATAAGCCAGAATGAAAATTTCCTCCAGATGTTTTTTTCCTCAGAGTTTCTTATCTTTCCCAAGTCTTATTCTCTTTATGATAAGAGAATCATCTGATAAAAAAATGTTATTTTAGTATGTGATAAATGAAGACTTAGGGGAGGAATCATTTGCTTTAGAAAATGATTCAAAGTTGGATTTATTCTGTTGGTAATCTCATCCTAAATTTAAAATAGCATTTGATTTTTAGTACTGTATCATATTCTCAGCTTATGGACGTATTTGTTACAAATTAAGGTTCAGATGTGTTAATCTCCAAGTCATCTTGTGTCCGGAATTGGTGGGTTCTTGGTCTCACTGACTTCAAGAATGAGGCCGCGGACCCTCGCGGTGAGTGTTACAGCTCTTAAGGTGGTGTGTCTGGAGTCTGTCCCTTCTGATGTTCAGATGTGTTCGGAGTTTCTTCCTTCTGGTGGGTTCGTGGTCTCACTGGCTCAGGAGTGAAGCTGCAGACCTTCACGGTGAGTGTTACAGCTCTTAAGGCAGCGCGTCTGGAGTTGTTCGTTCCTCCCGGTGGGCTTGTGGTCTCGCTGGGCTCAGGAGTGAAGCTGCAGATCTTTGCAGTGAGTGTTACAGCTCATAAAAGCAGCATGGACCCAAAAAGTGAGCACTAGCAAGATTTATTGCAAAAAGCAAAAGAACAAACCTTCCACCGTGTGGAAGGGGACCCGAGCGGGTTGCCAATGTTGGCTCGGGCAGCCTGCTTTTAGTCTCTTATCTGGCCCCACCCACATCCTGCTGATTGGTAGAGCCGAGTGGCCTGTTTTGTCAGGGTGCTGATTGGTGCATTTACAATCCCTGAGATAGATACAAAGGTTCTCCACCTCCCCATCAGATTAGTTAGATACAGAGTTTTGACACACAGGTTCTCTAAGGCCCCACCAGAGCAGCTAGATACAGAGTGTCGATTGGTGCATTCACCAACCTTGAGCTAAACACAGGGTGCTGATTGGTGTGTTTACAAACCTTGAGCTAGATACAGAGTGCTGATTGGTGTATTTACAATCTCTGAGCTAGACATAAAGGTTCTCCACATCCTCACCAGAGCAGCTAGATACAGAGTGTCGATTGGTGCACTCACAAATCTTGAGCTAAACACAGGGTGCTGATTGGTGTATTTACAAACCTTGAGCTAGATTCAGAGTGCCGATTGGTGTATTTACAGTCCTTGAGCTAGACATAAAGGTTCTCCATGTCCTCACCAGAGCAGCTAGATACAGAGTGTCGATTGGTGCACTTACAAACCTTGAGCTAAACACAGGGTGCTGATTGGTGTGTTTACAAACCTTGAGCTAGATATGGAGTGCCGATTGGTGTATTTACAATCCTTGAGCTAGACATAAAGGTTCTCCACGTCCTCACTAGAGCAGCTAGATACAGAGTGTCGATTGGTGCACTCACAAACCTTGAGCTAAACACAGGGTGCTGATTGGTGTATTTACAATCCCTGAGCTACATATAAAGACTTTCCACGTCCCCACCAGACTCAGGAGCCCAGTTGGCTTCATCTAGTGGATCCCGCACCGGGGCTGCAGGTGGAGCTGCCTGCCAGTCCTGCGCTGTGCGCTCGCATTCCTCAGCCCTTGGGTGGTCGATGGGACTGGGCGCCATGGAGCAGGGGGTGGTGCTCGTCGGGGAGGCTCCGGCCGCACAGGAGCCCATGGAGTGGGTGGGAGGCTCAGACATGGCGGGCTGCAGGTCCCGAGCCCTGCCCCGCGGGAAGGCAGCTAAGGCCCAGCGAGAAATCGAGCACAGCGCCGATGGGCCGGCACTGCTGGGGGACTCAGTACACCCTCCGCAGCCACTGGCCCGGGTGCTAAGTCCCCCATTGCCCGGGGCCAGCAGGGCTGGCCGGCTGCTCCGAGTGCGGGGCCCACCAAGCCCAAGCCCACCCGGAACTCCAGCTGGCCCGCAAGCGCCGCACGCAGCCCCGGTTCCCGCTCGTGCCTCTCCCTCCACACCTCCCTGCAAGCTGAGGGAGTGGGCTCCAGCCTTGGCCAGCCCAGAAAGGGGCTCCCACAGTGCAGGGGGGAGGCTGAAGGGCTCCTCAAATGCCACCAAAGTGGGAGCCCAGGCAGGGGAGGTGCCGAGAGCAAGCGAGGGCTCTGAGGACTGCCAGCATGCTGTCACCTCTCAATCTGAATTGTTCTAATTAAGATCACATACTAGGAATAGGGTGATTTCTCCAAGTTTAGAAGAATTGATTTATTTTCTGATAAAGATGGTGCTTGGCAACATTTTTTCCTCAAATAACCAGTGAGTATTTATTGATTGACCAGTTCTGTGCTTGTACAAGGCATTGGAAAATACAAGAGAAGTTTAGGGAGTCATTATGTGGTTGGAGAGAAGATTTTGAATACAGGAAGCAATTAGAGCATAAAGCAGTAATGATCTCATTAATTGGTGTTATGTACAACATAGATCTGATGAGAGGTCAGAGATGGTTAAAGGTTCTGGAATAGTCTGGAAAGTTGTCATGAAGCAGGTGGGACCTAGGCTTGAGAGGTAGATTTGTGTGGCAGAGGAGAGAACAGCAAGTGCAGGTGAGAGGAAGCAGGAATATTTGGTGATGAGAGGGTGTAGGGGCTAGTGTGGGATCCAGCTTTATTAAAGGGAAGGTTCCTAACACATTCATCTAACTGATTTCCATTGCACATTCCTTGAACTCCTTTGTGCCTTGGAGTGTAGCAGGGAACAAACTGCTACACTTAGCACTTAGCACTTAGATGAAGAAATGGGCATTTAACAAATCACACAATTAGATATGTAATTTAAAGTTGGGGTAAGTGTTGTGGAAGGAAAGTATTTAATACAAGGTGGCACAAGAACCTGGAAGAGGGCAACTTTTCCACTTTATAGCTGGTTTACTCCAATAGCTTCCTGCCTGATCATATTCTGGGTAACAATCAGTCTACTTATTCAACAAATTACTTTTAAATACCTACTGAGTACTGTGCTCTGTGTTGATTCCTATAGGAACTAACATAAACTTAGGAATTCCTGTTTAAGCGGAGCATGGTGACTTATGCCTGTAACCCCAGCACTTTGAGAGGGTAAGATAGGAGGATCTCCTGAGGCCAGGAGTTTGAGACCAGCCTAGGCAACATAGCAAGAACCCATCTCTACAAAAAATAAAAAATTAGCTCAGCATGGTGATGCACGCCTGTAGTCCTAACTTCTCAGGAGGTGGGAAGATCGCTTCACTCCAGGAGTTGGAGCCTACAGTGAGCTATGACTGCACCGCTGCACACCAGCCTGGGTGACAGAGTGAGACCCTGTGTCTAAAAAAAAAAAAAAATCCCTGGTTAACAGGGAAAAGAGCTATGTAAATAGTATAATGTGAAAAGAGCTTTAGTAGAGATATGAGAACACAGCTATTTTCAAGAGCAGTGGAAAATAAGGTTAAATAAGTAGAGTAGACCCCAAATGATAGCCCTTTGATAGCAAGCAGAGAAGTTCAGATTGGGTGTGGCAGCATTTTAGTGGGTCCTCTGGGTTCTTAGGTGGGGAGAGAGACACGAGGAAAACAGAAGGCCAGGATGAAGGTTTTGGAGTAATCTACACACAAAGTAAGAGCAAAAAAAAAAAAAAAAAAAAAAAAAGTGGGGGGAGTGGAAAGGAAGTAGGAATATATTCAGAAGGTATTCAAGAAACTAAATAGGACTGGATAACTGACTGGATAAAGCATAGAACCATAATGGTCAGAGGTGACCCAGTGTCTCTACCCTGGTGACCTAGAAGAATTGTGGCATTCACGATAGAAGTGGGGGTGTTGAGGGAAGATCTGTTTTGAATGGTGATCCTACTTTGAACATTTTGGGTGTAGAGCAGTACGAGGCCATCAGGTATCCAGGTGGAGATGGCATACTGCTGAGGTAAGAGGTTATGACTGGGGATAGCTAGCAGAATCTTCGGAGTAAAAGTGATTGTGGGAGAGATGAAAGTATATGAATTCAGGGAAGAGAAAGAGGAGAACAAAGAGCTAAATCCAGGACCCCAGGCTTAGACAATAAAAGTTTTGCATTGGTAGTAAAAGTTACTATGAGGAGAAGCAAAAGCTACCTGAAGAGAGAGAGAATAGTTTTGTTTTTTAAGGCACAGGGTAGAAGGTAAGGTGGGAAAGTGGCGTCTGATGGAACTAGAAGTGTTTTAAGTAGAAGATCTGTAAGAGCAATTTCTTATTGATACTCTCTCATGTATAAGGTATTGTGAGAGATGCAAAGATGACTAAAACAAGCCCCAAACCCAAATGTTTTCAATCTCTTAGGGTGAAACATATGAAATTGCTGGTTTTTTTTGTAAGGCAAAATGGCAATTTCATATGGTACAGCCTGGTAGAAGAGGAGATAGAACATATGTACAAATGCATTTAATACAGGCAAGGTGGTGAGAAACTCAATAAGAGAGGCTCAGGCAACATCCTACTTTCATGCATAATTTATTCCTAAAAGTGTATACAGAAGTCAAATGGTTGAATGTCTAACTACAGTTTTATGTGGGGTAGGTAGGTTCTATTATTATAAATAAGTGTATATGTGAAATTCCAAATTATCCCTCACCTGATATATTTTTAGCATTGTATACCTTGTCTTTAGTTCTGTTTGTTTTTCCACCATTAAACTCATGGCCTGCCTGCTCAAGTTCAGTGAATACCTAAAGAGTCCACGTAGCTGATGAGTTCTGCCCTTATCTTAGTAGTACAGTGATGAGACCTCTACTTCTCAATGCCTCAATGCAACATTAGTAACAGCACTTTTGTTTTTCCATTTCCACTCATTTTTGTGTTGCAAAAGATAACCAAGTGTTAAAATGTGTGCACAGCACAAGCATTGCTGTGCAGAGACAACCATCCTGCTGAAACAGAATTGGTACCTGGCAGTCAGCAGCACTAAGACAAGCTTGAAACATTTGCTGGCAACTGAAAATTTGACATTGGCATAGGAAAGGCATCTTAGGCATGTCTGATTTGGTAAAGATATAAGTTTGGCTGATGTAATAGACCCCAAGTAATAATGGCATACACAAGATAGAGGTTGATTTCTCTCTGATGTCATAGTCTAGGTGTTAGCCATCCAGGGCTGTCAGGCTTCTTATTCCATCCCGAGAGTGTTATCCTTTTCTGTATGACCCAAGATGGCTCACTGCCACCATGTTCTCATTCCAGCCAGCAGGAAAAGGCAACAGGACGAGGGGCAGGTATGGCCTTATTTTTTAAAGGTGCACTCTGGAAGTGGCACACACAGCTCTTCAACTCATATCTGACTGGCCAGAACTTAGTCACATGGTTATGCTGAACTGCAAGGGAGGCTGGGAAGTGTAGTTATTGTTCTGGGTGACTATAAAGTAGAGTTTCTCTTAATATAGAAGAAGGGGAAATATTGGGGGACAATCAGCAGCATCTGCCATGGTGTATGAAAGGACAAGTGTAGGAAAGACCATGGCCACCCATCCATACAGAGTGCCACAGGTGCACAAAGAAGAGAGATTTCTTCTGATTGGAGGACTGGAGAGGGCTTTAGGGAGGTCAAGTTCAATGGATGGGAGATAAAAAAATTAAAGTGCCAATGCTAGGCATTGATCCTTTAAGCTTAATACAGTTGAGACAATGGAGAAGTTGTAGAAAGAAGGTGAAAAGATGGGAAAGGAAGCATTTTAGATAGAGCAGTATTAGAAAAGGCTAACAGAAGTGAGAACAAAGGCTGATGGATAACTTATCTGTTTTGCTGAAGAACAGTAATTATAAATGTGATAGTGAAATAAACCTGGAAAAGATAGGGGCCAGAAGATTAAAGAGGTCTATGAATGCCAGGCGACAGGGTTCGGGCTTTATTCTGTAAGCATGGGGGACCATTGATAGTTTTTGAGCAAGGAACATAATTATGGCTGTGCTTTCGAAGGGTAACTATGGCAACGATGCATATGATCAATTGGAGCAGAGAGACTGGAAGGAGGAGGACCTGTTAAGAAAGGAGTCCAGTGGTGAGGTTAATGTGGGCTGAAACTGAGGTCATACCCTTGGAAATAGACAAGATGGGGCCAAGTGTGAGGACAAGAATCAATGGAATTCAAAGAAGCTGGGACAGAGAAAGTGCTCTTGGTTTCCTGGGTCTCTGGAGTGACAATAGTACTGTATTTTCATTCAGTCGGTGAACTGTAGCCTTGATTTTGCTGACTCTAGGACTGGTCCCAGAATAGTTCATTCTCTGCCCAGAACATCTCAGTGGGCACTCATCACCTCCCCCGGAGCTGTAGCAGCTGTTGGGCTAGCAATGCCATGAATTTGTCTTCCTGTACTGCCAGGAGAGCAGCTGCCAGCAGCAACTCTGAACAGACCCATCTCAGGGACGTGGAAACTATTCAACTTGGGATGCAGCAGGTTGGCCAGGGCTGAATTCAGTCCACATGGATTCATCTCACCCTTTTCCAGGCCACTTTCTTACCCTGGCTGGGTTTCAGCCACTCATACTGCGTTAGGTTGGGTATTTTCTTACAGTTCTAAGTGATTGCATTTAGGGATGGACGCTGCTGAACTGCTTTCTTCATCTTTTGGACACCTCCTCCCCTGGAAGCCATTACGCTGTCAGCCTTTGGCTTTGCTTCCTACTCTGCTCTGCTCCTGCTCACCTTTTGTCCTCTCCCACATTGCGCTCAGTGCAGATATCCTCATTAAAGCCTGTACAGTTCTGACTCCATGGCAGCCTGACCCTCTGGTTCCATCCCTCTCCTTCTTTCTCCTTCCCCCAGAGAATGAGAGATGCTGCAGATAGAACTGTAGCGATTATTTGACCCTATGTTATTCTGCTTTGTTTAAGACAGGTAACATGGCTTTCCCCATCCCTGTGAATTGTGGGAAGACCCTGCTAATGTCTGAAATTCTGTCAGCCTGGTTTGATTAAGAGCAGTGGTAAAGTATTATGCGAGGGTAGGAAGCCTTTCTAGGGAAGATGTTCTTGCATTTTCTTTGGCTCCTTGAAGAGCATAAATGTATTCCTATGCGTTGCTGAGCCTTTGATTGTCTCTTTTAAGTGGAATCTGTGTTAATATGGCCCAGCAGGACTCTAATTGATAATGCATTGGCTGTTTGTTTGTTTTTTTTTTAAATAGACTTGCTGTAAATTACCTTTCAGTCATAGCTCACTTGGTTTTGATCTCCTGCTTTTAATAGCTCATTTTTTAGGTAGCTTTTTTTTTTCTGTTGAGTTTTTAGAGCAATACTTCTACATTTCTGTCCTGCTGTGTTCCTTGCAGAGACCTTCTGCTATTTTATAACCCACTGTCAGTATCTTTTCAGCGTTTCTCCCAGCTTCTTTCTCTCCTCAACACATATTTGTTGACTATTTTAGAGGTTTTGTTCTAAACTCTTAGAGGACAGAGATCCAAAGAAATAAAAGGAGTAGTTCTTTCCCATATGAAATTATAATCTAGTCAGGGAGAAATTAAATTCAAATACAAGAATACAAATCTTCAACATAAGGCTATATGTAGTAAGTACTAAGTATATGCTGCAGAAGAGATGAGGCTCAGTTGATGTAGACAGGAAACTTCAGTAAGGAAATGAGATTTGAACAAAGCTTTAAAGAAAATGGCTCTTGAGAGGGAGGGGAAGATACTCTAGGAAAAAGGGGCACAGCTAGAAGAAAGAACAAAGCACTTTTGAGGTACAGTGAGTAGACTGGTTTAGCTGGGAGAATAAGTGGATGTGGAAGAAGTGGACAAAGGTAGATGGGTTTGTATTGTGGAGGGCCTTGACCCTTGATTAGGGATTTGGCTCTATGCAATAGACACTGGAAACCACTGATGGTTTAAATAAGTATGAATTCTGATTAAGGAAGATTAACCTAGTGGTAGTTTGCTAAATGACAAGAAACATGAGACCAAGGAAACCAGTTGCTGCAGTAGATCATAAGGATCTAAATTAGGTTGGGATGGTAGGAATGAAAAGAAGGGGAATTTATCCTTCTGTCCATTTAGCAAATATATATCTTCTTACCATGTGCCAGACACATGCCAGATACCCACCCCTGTACTCCTAGAGCTTACAGTCTAGAGACAGACGGAAAGCACCTGGTGCAGGAAGAATCTACAGGAATTGCTGACTGATGGGATTCAGGTTTCAAGTGAGCTTGGAAGCCATAAAAGAAAGAGGTCTGTAAAGTGTCTTTTTGACTTGGGTGATTGATAAATTAATGGTATCTTTAAAAGAAATAGAGAGGGGCTTTTTTGTTTTTTTTTTTTTGTTGTTGTTGTTGTTGTTGTTGTTGTTGTTGTTTGGGTTTTTTTTTAGATGGAGTTTCGCTCTTGTTGCCCAGGCTGGAGTGCAATGGCACGATCTCAGCTCACTGCATCCTCTGCCTCCCAGGTTCAAGCTATTCTCTTGCCTCAGCCTCCCGAGTAGCTGGGATTACAGGCATGCGCCACGACGCCAGGCTAATTTTGTATTTTTAGTAGAGACGGGGCTTCTCCATGTTGGTCAGGTTGGTCTTGAGCTCCTGACCTCAGGTGATCCGCACACCTTGGCCTCCCAAAGTGCTGGGATTACAGGCATAAGCCTCTGTGCCCAGCTGAAATCTAGTGTTTTTTAACAGAAGTTAGGAGAAAGAATTGTTTTTGAAGGAGTAAAATATGAGAAATTTGGTTTTGGATTTTAAGTTTAAGGTGTTGGAAGAGTATTGAAGCTAAAATTTCTAGTAGTTGACAAAATGAATGGCTGTATGCAGGGCTAAAGAGATTTTTTGGCTGTTGGTAGAGATTTGCACACGTGCACAGAGGGGATGGTTGAAACTGTGGAAATATTTGTGATTTCCAATAGTAAGAGTTTAGAAGAACAAAGGGGAAACTTCCTTTGTATCATCTGTGATACTCAGATTACAGAGTGTATAAAGGAATTTAAATGATATATTTATTTGTGTATCATTGAGTATACATTTTGGGAACCTAATTATGTATCAGGAATTGGGTTTAGTACTGGAGATAGAGAAGAATAAGACAATCTCCTATTTTCACTAATATTAAATTAGCAGAATATCAAGGAGGTAGACATAGAAAGTAAACTTTCTTGTTTGGCTGGTTATCAGTTGTGTCACTATTGGAAGTGATGTGAGGGAGCAGGGCCTAGGTATCTTAAGAATTTGGTAGACATTCAACCTGCAATACTCCTTTCAGTGGGAGGTTAGTTACACAATTAATTAAAGAAAAATTATTGTAGAGTCTGTGTTCTCGGCTTCAGGCCCAGTATTTGAATGTGCGCCATCTCTGTAGTTACATCACTACTGCGGATGGGTTCCTCCCCTGGAGTTGAGTTCAAAGTCATTCACCAGTCTCACAGGATAGCATTGGGTTGAAAAGCATAGAGTCAGTTGGCCATGGAAAATGTTATAGTTGTGGTTGCAAATCGGAAAAGGGTGGAAGACCAGAAGGTTCCTCATTGACTTATGGAGTGACCTTGAGAAGGAAAGTACCAGGAAACATGAAGCTCCCGGGAGGGAAAACCCCTGACTTCCTGGGACCAGTGCATCACTCACTCATTTTGGACATATTTGGGAGCTGTTTGTTCCCTCAGGAAAGATTTTGCCCAGATGTAGCATCTGGTGTTGCAAGGGTTGGCTTCCCTTCTCCATGGCTCAAGATGCCTTTGTTCAGAAATTAACAGAAGGTTCTTTGGTGTGTTTTGCATGGGCCCAGTTCATGTAGAACCTTAGGTCATTGTTGAGTCCTTTTTGGAGGAAGAGTTGGGAGGACTTCTCACACATGGGTAAAGCAGAATGGAAGAGACGCAAGAAGGCCATTTGGGAATCAGCAAGACAGGGTGATCCAGTCTTTGGAAGAGAGAAAGAATTCAGTTAAAAGTTCTTTGGGAAGCTTTGTGACTTTGTGTGGGAAAAACCAGAGCTTTGAGCCAGAAAAACTTGGGTCTGAATCTTGTCTCTTCTACTCCTAGCTTGTGACCTTAAGCAAGTCACTTAACCCCTGTTAGCCTCAATTTCTTACCTGTGAAATGTTGACAGTAATACTTACCTTGAAGGATCCTTCTAAGGATATATATAATGTATATACAGCACTAGCTAATGTTTGTGACTTAATGGATGCTCAATAAATGGTAGCTGATATAATTATCAGGAAAAGTCAATCCTGATAGTTAAGATCAGCCACAGAAGAGTCAGCCCTGATAGTTAAGATCACAAGTTCTGGGAACCAGATTTCCTGGGTTCACAATCCTGGATTTCTCCCACTTACTTGCTGTGTGATTTTAGATGAAAGGTTTTAATCACCTCAGTATCCTCGTTTGCAAAATGAAGATAATATTCATAACTACCTTATGGAGTTGTTATGCTGGTTAAGTGAATTAATAATATGTGAAACACTTAGGACAGCTTGGCACATAGTAAATGTAAATAGTAGCAACTATTATCCCTATCCTCAGGATTTGGGCCTGAGCACAGCTGTACTGGGTAAAACACTGGTATATTAGATACACTAGTCATTCCTTGTGCAGAGTTAAGTATTCCTAAGCCTGGCTGGGTAATATGTCAGTTTCCATTTTCTTCAGACCCCTGTGGGCCCTCATGAATGACAAATTCATCCCCTACCCTGATTTTTATGGTATAGCTACATTGGGCAGGACATAGGCAATTATGTGACTCTGTGTAATTGCATGGTCAGTCCCTATAAAAACTCAGCAATTGTATGTTTTGTTCTGTAAGGTGTCATATAGTTCAACCTTGGTGGGTTACTTTTAGATCCAGGCTCATAATCATGAAGAGGAAGACATTTGTCATACAACCACTCTCTGATTTTCTCGTCCTCTTGGAGTTAATAGTTAGCCCTATTGCCAAATTGCTGAGTTTCTATAAAGATATACTGTTGAGACCCACAGGTCCCAATTTTGACTTGGGCAAATAAAAGAAGGCCAGTCCTATTCAGCCTCCTGCAGTATCTACCATCGAGGCCAGCAGGCCAGTGCAGTACAAACCTTAGTCATGAACATAACAGTATGTGGTTTACTGGGTTGTTTGTCTCATGAGGCCAAACAGAAGCTCCCAAGCTTCTGCATAAATGGCTTTATATCTTCCTTTTAGGGTAGGGAATGATAAGAGGGCAGGTTAGAAGCAAAATATGCTTTTATGAGCAATTGGGAGGATGTTGGAGACTCCTGAGAGTTTCCTGTGTCTCCTAGGATTTGCCACTGGAATGTCAGCAGGCCATACCTCAGGCGTTCAGCTCCATGGAGCAAAGACAGTAGTGATCACGTTCCTTGACAACAGTGCTAGTGTGCGGGGAGCTTTTAGTTTTCCTTTTCTCTGCTCCTGTAAGCCCCATAATAATTCTGTAGCAGACACAGGAAGCAATGTGTCTAACTACTACTAGGCAATGTGTTCTTGGGATTTTTAATTCTCAGGAATTCGCAGCCAATTAAATGAATTTACTTTGATCCAGTTCTCTTTTCAAGGCAAAAGCTGTGTCATCTTATTGGGAGCTGACTGTGTTAAGTGGGAAGGGTTTACAAGATAAGAAGAAAAGACAGTCTCTGCCATACGTGTTTTTATAATTGAAATGGGGGAAATCGGGCAGGCTGAGAGAGAATAATAAGAACACATGTGCACAGGAATTTAAAAATAGCACCCCATTTAAAGCAGGTTCCAGTAGTCACCAGGAAAAGAAGAAAGGTGGAGTACTCAGGAGGGACTTGTACTTGGTTCAGTCAGGGAAAGGTAAAAGATAGTATAGTTATGTTCTCAATTAGATTTGTTCCCTGGTTAATTGAAGTAAAGACTTTAATATCTAATTCCTACACTGCACAGAAGTATCACACATTGAAAAGAAACAGTGTGACATGGGAAGGACTCACTGTTAACGAAAGATTTAGAGAGAATGAAAAAAAAAGTAGGATTTGGGTTTTTCAGAGTTGAAATAGGTTCATCTTTTCTGCTAGCTCCTCCTTTTATACATCTCCACTGTCGTTGCTCCTTGGGTTTTAAATTCAGGGAGAATCAATGAGCACAGTTCTGCGTCTTAATATATTTAGGGTGCAGCTGGTTAAAGAGCCAGGATTAGAAAATGAATCGAACAAACTAGGATTATCTTCAACAGTAGGATGCTGAGCTGTGTTTGCTGATTCCTGCTTAAGCAGTCGGGACAGGGCATCCTTGCATGAAATTCAGACATCCCTCCCTGGCAGCCTCTGTGGTAAAGTAGAGGTTGCAGAACAAGTCTGGCAGCTCTCAGCCCGAACCCTTGTAAACAACAGATGTTCATAACTAAGTTCTAGGGTGGGGGTAGGGGTTATTGTTGATGCTTGAAATTCTTTGAATTTATAGGCAGCATCTCAGGGATTTAGCAAAAGGAGGAAGTTATACAGAATTGATTTCTGCAGTGTACAGGTAGAAATGATGCCTCATGGATTTCCTTGAAGACAAAGCACAGGCTATTGTGTGGACTCTAAAACAGAGCAAGGTGAACCCAGGAAGGCAGGCACAGTTAAGAAAGGGTTGGCTTCTTACGTGTATTGACTTCCTCCCCTCCTTCTCCTCTCTCACTCCTTTTTATACATTGACTGGATTTGTCAGTCTTGTTCTTGCTCCTGTTTTCTCCGGTAATGGGTGGAAATGTGTGTCCTTTCTTACCACAGAGTCCTAGATACATGTGCATACAAATACACAGTGTATTAGGCCATTTTTTGTGATGCTGTAAATAAATACCTGAGGCTGGGTAATTTCTAAAGAAAAAAGGTTTGATTGGCTCATGGTTCTGCAGGCTGTACAGGAGGCATGGTGCTGGTGTCTGCTTCTGGTGAGGCCTCAGGAAGCTTACAATCATGGCAGAAGGCACCGGGGAGCCAGCATGTCACATGGTGAGAGTGGGAGTGAGAGTCGGGGGAGGTCCCAGACTTTTGAACAACCAGATCTCTCGTGAACTAAGTGAGCATGAACTCACTTATCACCACAGAGATGGTGCTAAACCATTCATGAAGGATCTACCCCCATGACGCAGTCACCTCCCACCAGGCCCCACCTCCAACATTTGGAATCACATTTCAACATGAGATTTGGGGGGGGACAGACATCCAAACCATATCACATAGGAGGAAAAACACACAGGAAGAGCACACAGGTGCACTTCCCTTAGTGCCTTCTGAAGGACGCAACTCAGGTTTTTATGATATACTGATTAACGGGTTATTGTTATGGGCTTTGTCTTGGATTTTAACCTGATACTTTCTCAGTGTTGGTTTTGCTAGATGTTCATTACTTCATTAAACAGAGGTGCCGGGTGCGGTGGCTCACGCCTGTAATCCCAGCACTTTGGGAGGCCGAGGCGGGCGGATCACGAGGTCAGGAGATCGAGACCATCCTGGCTAATACGGCGAAACCCCATCTCTACTAAAAATACAAAAAATTATCCGGGTGTGGTGGCGGGTGCCTGTAGTCCCACCTACTCAGGAGGCTGAGGCAGGAGAATGGTGTGAACCCAGGAGGCGGAGCTTTCAGTGAGTCGAGATCGCGCCACTGCACTCCAGCCTGGGTGACAGAGCGAGACTCCGTCTCAAAAAAAAACAACAACAAAAAACAGAGGTGAGTGATGAGAATATGGCTTATGAAGACTTCAGTGCTGCCTCTTCTTGATCCCCATCCCCTAGTCCCCAAGCACACATACCAAGTTTCCAGCCAGATGATAAGTGCTTAGGAAACCTTCTACTTTACAGCATAGTTCAGGGAAGCCATAATAGAAAAAATATAATACATCTTTGGTAGGCTTCCTTGGCACCAAATTGACGAAGACTTTAGAAAGGTTCTTATCGTACATCAGATGAAAAAAAGCGATTTACCAGATCTGGGAATGTTTTTGAGCCACTCTAGCAAAAAACAACTGGCTTGAAAATCTTTGATAAAATCGCTTATTCTTTTGGAAGCTAAGAACATCTTTGTACAATTTTTTGTTGTTGTTGTTTTTTGTTTTTTGAGATGGAGTCTCTCACTCTGTTGCCCAGGCTGGGGTGCAATGATGCCATTTCGGCTCACTGCAACCTCTGCCTCCCAGGTTCAAGAGATTCTCGTGCCTCAGCCTCCCAAGTACCTGGGATTACAGGTGCGCACCACCATGCCTGGCTACTTTTTATATTTTTAGTAGAGATGGGGTTTTTCCACGTTGGCCAGGCTGGTCTCGAACTCCTGACCTCAGGTGATCTGCCCACCTCGACCTCCCAAACTGCTGGGATTACAGGCGTGAGCCACTGCGCCCGGCCCATCTTTGTACTATTATTCCTTCTGGAAAAGAAGTCCACTTCTGGCTGTTTTGTCCATTTGTACGAATTTGGTGAACACCAATCCTGGTATGTGAGGTTCACTTAATCTTTCAGCAAACATTTATTGAACATTTATTCTGTGCCAAGAGTTGTACAAGGAATTAAATATACATAGAAGAATAAGCTACCATTCTAGCCCATGGGAGTTATTACTTAATGTGAAATATTTTAAGTTTGTTTATATACATTTGTATGTGCTCTGATAAGGCGTAGACTTCCAGGTTGAGGAGACAGAATTGTTGGGTTATGAGTCACCCTGTTAGTCACCTTTATTATATGTGAATCAGTAATAAACACTTGACTTCATTCTCATCGCTAATGACCAATAGGTTCTCTGCAGGTTTGGGGTCACAAAGAGGTGTAGGATCCTGTTCTTTCCCTCAGGAAGCTCATGGTGTCATGTGGAAGACAGAGAGTTTATGGGAAAAAGATAACACAAAATAATATACACTTACTGCCAAAGGAGAGATGGGAGAAATGATTTCATTTTTCTTCAGAATGCAATCTGTAAACAGTTTTAAAATTTTGCCATAATGTTAGACTTACAGAAAAATTGCAGGAATAGCACAAAGAATTTTTGTATACTACCATTTTATCCAGATTGCCCCAAAATGTTAACATATTACTACATTTGCTTTATACTTCACCCTTTTCATACTCAATTCTCACACACATATTTTGTTTTTCTGAAACACTTGAGAGTAAATTGCAGACATGATGACCTTTTATCCATACATACTTTAGGGTGTATTTACTAAAAATAAGGATGTTCTTTTGCATAATCGTAGTGCAGTCATCGAAATCAGGACATACAGATTGATACAATACTATTATCTAATCAATAGACATTCAGATTTTACCAGTTGTTCTAAAAATGGCCTTTTTTGGCAAACGAAAGTCCAAGATTATGCAATTCATTCAATTGTCTTATCTCTTTACTTTCCTTTAATGTGGGATGATTTCCAAGTCTTTATATTTCAAGACATTGACGTTGGCCCCGTTATTTTGTAGAATATCCCTTAATTTGATATTTCTGGCAATTTCTGATAATTTCCTTATTATTAGATTCAAGTCACACACTTTTGGCAGGAATACCATAAAATGTAATGTCACGTTCTTCTCAGTGCATCATATCAGGAAGCACTTGCTGATGATTTGTGCCATAACTGATGATGTTAAATTTGATCATTTGGTTACAGTTGTGTCTGCTAGGTTTCTCCACCATGAAGTTGTTCTATAAGCTTTGTAATTAATGTATATATTGTGGAGAGATACTTTGAGACCATGTAAATATCAGCTTACCCTTCAACTCTTATACTCACTAGTTTTAGCATCCATTATAATTTCTTGCTTGAATCACTTTCTATTATGATGGTTACCAAATAGTCATTTTTCCAGTTTTCATCATTCCTTCTACATTTATCAGTTGCAATTCTACTGTAAGGAAGAGCTTTTCCATCACCCCCACTTTTTGGTCTGGTTGTTGGTTTATATCAGTGTGGACTTGTGGATTATTATTTTATTCAACAGGTTATAATCCTTTACCATCTTTATTTTAATGTTCATATTGTTCTATATTTGGCCAATGGAGTCCCTTCAAGCTGGCTTCTGTGTCTTATTGATATGTCCCCATCGTTCTTTGAGCACTTCCTTACTTGGTGGCACAACAAGATGTTCCAGGCTTAACTTGTACTTTCCTTGCCTTTACTGTGGAGTTGACCATTTTTTCAGAGAGCCTCGGTTGCTTTTAGTGGGAAATGGTATTTAGAAGCCATGGATGCTAAATATGCTCTTTGTAACTGAAGTACCATTATTTATAGTCCCTTTCAGCAGACAGAGGTAGTAGATATATGTATGTACACATAGACACATACACACACACACCCATGTACTTCTATAAATAGCTATTTCTTTATCTGTCTGTATATTTATATATATTAAAGCCTATGAGATCATATCAGTATCTTTCATTCCAATCCAATACCACATGTTTTATTTAATTTTCTCCCCTTTCCTGTTCTCTGAACAGTGAGAAACCTGGTTCCTATTATCCATAACACACATTTTCACTTAATTGCTCAGTCCTAGAGTGTACAGAAAGTTGTTTCAGAATTACTAACCCAGGCTGGGCGCGATGGCTCACACCTGTAATCCCAGTACTTTGGGAGGCCGAGGCGGGCCGATCATGAGGTCAGGAGATCAAGACCATCCTGGCTAACACGGTGAAACCCTGTCTCTTCTAAAAAATACAAAAAAAAAAAATTAGCCGGGCATGGTGGCAGGCGCCTGTGGTCCCAGCTACTGGGGAGGCTGAGGCAGGAGAATGGGGTGAACCTGGGAGGTGGAGCTTGCAGTGAGCCGAGATCGTGCCACTGCACTCCAGCCTGGGTGACAGACCGAGACTCCATATCAAAAAAAAAAAAAAAAAAAAAAAGAATTACTAACCCATGCCTCTGAAAAAGAAGACTACTGACTAGATTTTAATACTGGTTTAGAGTTCTTTTTGTTATTAGCCTTGAGGGCCAAGACACAATGTTCAAAAGTTAGCTGACTAGTTCTTTCTTTCCTATCTTAGTCTGTTTTATGTCGCCATAACAGAATACCTGAGTCCAGGTAATTTATAAAGAAAAGAAGCTTATTTGGCTCACGACTGTGGTGGCTTGAGAGTATAAGAATGTGGCATCAGCATCTGCTCAGCTCTTGGTGGGGGCCATGTGCTGCCTGACAACATGGCGGAGAAGCTGAAAGGCTAGGGAATGAGTGAAAAGAAAGCAAACACTAGGAAGAAGCTTGCTTTACAACAACTCACTCTCTCAGGAACTAATCCAGTCCCACAAGAGTGAGAACTCATTTCCATGAGAATATTAATCTTATTCATGAAGGATTCTTCCCATGACCCAGACAACCCCCAGTGGTCCAGCCTCTCAATACCACTTGCAATTGCAATCAAATTTCAACATGAGTTTTGGAGGGAACAAACCAGATTCAAACCATAGCATCCCTCAATCTCCAGACCTTCAATGTAGTTATATTATTTGTTTGAAATATAATTTGGTTTATTTATTTGTTTGTATTTAATGTTTTCCTCTCCGGAATGGGGTCTTGACATTTCTCACTGCCAAACCTTTTCTCTTGACTAAAAAAGATGGCGCAGATTCAGGAGAAGTGAGAGACCCATGTATCCATAGATTAAGTCAGGGCTTTAGCAGAAGTCAGTGATGGGGACATAGGCCAGACATGCACTGAGAACAAACCAACCATTTTCCCCTACTTCTGGACCAGCCCTGTCTCTAAGCAAGCCATCTTATGGATTGAGACCCTTGCCAGTTTCTCCTAAGCCTGCTCCTAGGTTCTCCTTGCCATTCTCCCTGATCACCTCTTTTGCATTTAGTGAACCAAGAATCCAGCATCAGCATCAGCATCAGCATCAGCATCAGCATCTGCTCAGCTGTAGGCCATGATTGTCTGTACTGTTTACCAGCAGCTCATGTAATATGCTTGATGTAAGACCTTAGGATAATGTTGATCTGGCCTTTCAGACATGAAGCCCCGGGGCACTGCACATTGACACCCAAACTTGCAAACTTTTACGTCCTTTTGCGAGACTGTTTGCTAGTGCCCTGTTCTGAAATCCTTGAAATTTCTCCTCCTGGACTTTCTTCAGTTACATGCTTTGGCCTCTCTAATAGCTCTTTTGCATCAATTCTGATGACCTGGCCATTTTCTCCTGTCTGTCTGGGAATGGCTTCCAGAATCCCCTTTCTCTGCCCCATTTAACCCTCTTCCTCCATCTCCCACACACTCATTTTATTTCTCTTTCCTCCAGACACATATAACCTGGTCAGTGCTGCTGATTCCAGCTGTTCTGAATCTTGTGTACAGCTTAAGTTCAAAAACAGATGGGCCCAAAGTATCCTAGATGCTGTGCCAATTTCCACTGCATGAAAACAAATTACTGAAAAGCATCAGGAAATTTTAGAATAGTTTTGGGGTTTGATTCTCTATCTTCTCAATGGTCCTTCCTCCCCAACTCTTCCATTTCTCTTCACCGTCCCTGTCCCCCCATTATACCTTGCCACTTTCCATCTCTTCTTCATATTCCTCACTTAGCAAAGGCTGGTTTTTAAAACCTTTATTCTCATTTTTACTCTTTCTATGTACTGATAGGTTTAACCATCAGGATGGGACTGTGTTGATAATCAAGCTATGGCTGTTGGTTGTTTTTCTAGACGTTTATACCCTTTTAAAATCTTCCATCTAGGACTAGGGACCTTATGTCCTATGTCCTTTTCATATAGAGAAGGTAAGGCTGGGGCCTCTGTGTCTGTGGGTACATTTGTAGGTCAAATAATTCACCAGCTTGCAAATAAAGTAGATATTCTTCTATTGACTTTATCACTGGGGGGTGCACAATTGTGCCAGTGCCATTGTCTGCCCTTGTCGGGAGTGAGTAGACACTCCCTGTAGACAGGGAGTGTGTTCCTTGGAAAGCAGTGACATTGGACCCACACCATTGCTTTCAGAATCCTCATTCTGGGAATTTGCCAACTGCTTTCTCCCAGTGTTCTGTAGGACATTGTTTAGCTTTGGCATTCCTAGTCACCCTAAAAATAAGAGGAAAACAATCATCGTAGTTGGACCACTTATCTTACAGGTATATAAGGAAGACACTGGGGTCATTTACAGAGCATGGGGAGAAAGCTGTTGGCATGGTACAGTGGTTATTGGGTGCCCACTGTGAACAGACATTGTAGGAACTGTCTTCAAGAGAAGCCCTTGAGGGATAGGCTTCTAGAAGTTCAGGTACATGCTGGATTTATCTATGCAAATTATAATGTTTCCCCGCTTCCCTCCCTCCCTCCCTCCCTCCTTCTCTTCTTTAGAAGAGAATCCTCAGATTCTCAAAAAGTATCAAGCAGAGTCCTATGGATGGTAACTGAAAGAAAAAAAGAAAAAAACGATTCTCAAAGGGATCTGGAATACGTAATTATCTCCCATAATTTAAGACCATTACTCTGGAGCAGTGACTTTAAAACATTTTGATCATGAATCTCCATATTTTATACTACAAGCTGGAATATACTTATATACACATAAATAGCTGAGAACAATACTTTCACAGAACAATACTTATGTTTGCTTTGTGTGATGTACTCTGAGATTTTCTACTTTGTTCTGTTATTCTTTTTTTTGTTGAGATGGGGTCTCACTCTTTCACCCGGGCTGGAGTGTAATGGCGCCATCTTGGCTCACTGCAACCTCTGCCTCCTGAGCTCAAGTGATCCTCCCACCTCAGCCTCCCGAGTAGCTAGGACCACAGGTGCACACCACCATGCCCAGCTAGTTTTTTGTATTTTTGGTAGAGACAAGGTTTTACCGTGTTGCCCAAGCTGGTCTCAAACTCCTGACCTCAAGTGATCTGCCTGCCTCAGCCTCCCAAAGTGCTGGGAATGCAGGTGTGAGGCACTGCATCCAGGCTACTTTTTTCTGTTATTCTCTTCTACTGTTGCCTACTTAATTTTTTGAGAAATGCTAGTTGGTGACCTATACGTTGATTTTTTTTAAACCTCACTAATGGGTTGAATCCCACAGTTTGTAAAACATTGCTTTAAGAGCATTGTTTTTTAAATTTTTTGGTGTGCATAAAATTACCTGACATGCTGATTTGAAAGGCAGATTCCTGGGCATCAGTCCACGAGTTGTAATCTCTGGCAGACGAGCATAAGAATCCACATTTTAAACAAGCATTCCAGGTGATTCTGATGCAAGGTGATTTGGGGTCTTGAAGCCTCACACTTACAGAAACTGCTCTCTTTTGCATTTATGAACCTGGCTGTTGAAGGCTTCAGATCACATGCTTGGGGATGGTAGATACTAGTGGGGATCATCTGACTCCAGACTGGGAATCTTCTCGTTACAGGATGACCCCAATCACTTAGGTTTACTTCTGGATCTTGATAATTCCTTGATAGTCCTCTTTTACTGATGTCTCTTATGGCCCTTAAGAAGGCAGAGAAGGGGTTAACTGAGGCCACAGAATAGAGAGAGTGAAGGAACTGAAGGGTCATTTTACAGAGTGACTGGGGTGTGGCCCAGTCCTCCAGTAGGTGCCCAGAGCCAGTCCAAAATTAGAATGGGGTGGGATTCAAAACTGCTTTTCCTATTCACTTGCCTTTCATGTGTAACCACATGCAGTGTGTCAACATGCTTTCAGGCGCCGTTAGGCAGCAGCAGTTTTGCTCCCTCTGGGTTCATGGACCCTTGGTATTCCTGTTATGTGTTGTCTTAGAATAGCTCTGCGCTCTGGGGCTCTGAGCATTGTCCATTAACTCTTTCAGCACCAGCCCTTTGAGATGCTAAGGGCTTTTGAATGAAATGTAATAACCACCACAATGAAATAAGAAAACGGTTACTAGTCAGGAGACCTGGATTCTTGCCCTGCTCCACCACTGTCTGTGTGATCTCAGGCTCCCTGAGCCTCAGTTTCCTCACTCAGACAATGACAGGCTTGGTCTAGACTCTAGACCATCTTGAAAGTCCCTTCTAGCTCTGAAATTCCATGATTCTCTTTTTGTACACTCTGGCCTTTTCTCTTTGCACATGATTCTTTCGTTTAAAGTCTCAGCTACATTAGGCACAGAAGATTCACTGAGTTTGGGAATTTCCAGAGAATCAGATGATAAATTAATAGCAATAAAATGTATTCCTGGCCAGGTGAGGTGGCTCATAATTGTGAGCCTGGCACTTTGGGAGGCTGAGGCGGGAGGATTGCTTGAGCCCAGGAGTTTGAGGCTACAGTGAACCATGGTCATGCCCGTGTACTCCAACCTGGGCAACAGAGCAAGACCCCATCTCTGCAAAAAAAAAGTATGGGCCGGGTGCGGTGGTTCACACCTGTAATCCCAGCACTTTGGGAGGCCAATGTGGACAGATCACCTGAGGTCAGGAGTTGGAGACCAGCCTGACCAACATGGAGAAACCCTGTCTCTACTAAAAAACACAAAATTAGCCGAGCGTGGTGGCACATGCCTGTAATCCCAGCTACTCAGGAGGCTGAGGCAGGAGAATCGCTTGAACCCAGGAGGCGGAGGTTGCGGTGAGCCGAGATCGCACCATTGCACTCTAGCCTGGACAACAAGAGTGAAACTCCGTCTCAAAAAAAAAAAAAAAAGGAAGTGTTCCTATTTAGTATACTAATGAAGTAGGGAATTTATGAAACAAGTTTATTATAAAAGGAATTTTGAGATGTATTTGTCTTTTCAGACATGATTCTAGTCACTTTGTTTCGTGGGTATGAATTCATTGTGTGGGCTGTTGAGTAATGATAGTTGTCATAATTATAAGAAAAGATGTTGATACTGATATATAGTTGTAGAACACTTTCATGTTTATAAAGTTTGTTTAAGGGCATCACCTTGTTTGATTGGATCTTCACAAAAGTCATGTGTGTTAGGCAGGGCAGGTCTGCTGTCCCTGCTTATCCCATTTATTTATTTATTTATTTTTTATTTATTTATTTTTTTAAAAGATAAACAGTTATTCATTTTTGTTTAAGACATCAGGAGTACTAATAAAGAACCAACTGGTAAACTGCTGATAATTCCATATAATATATCTAGCACTACAACTACACTGAATCATGCTTTTTTTTTTTTTTAATACTTTAAGTTTTAGGGTACATGTGCACATTGTGCAGGTTAGTTACATATGTATACATGTGCCATGCTGGTGCGCTGCACCCACTAACTCGTCATCTAGCATTAGGTATATCTCCCAATGCTATCCCTCCCCCCTCCCCCCACCCCACCACAGTCCCCAGAGTGTGATATTCCCCTTCCTGTGTCCATGTGATCTCATTGTTCAGTTCCCACCTATGAGTGAGAATATGCGGTGTTTGGTTTTTTGTTCTTGCGATAGTTTACTGAGAATGATGGTTTCCAATTTCATCCATGTCCCTACAAAGGACATGAACTCATCATTTTTTATGGCTGCATAGTATTCCATGGTGTATATGTGCCACATTTTCTTAATCCAGTCTATCATTGTTGGACATTTGGGTTGGTTCCAAGTCTTTGCTATTGTGAATAATGCCGCAATAAACATACGTGTGCATGTGTCTTTATAGCAGCAGGATTTATAGTCATTTGGGTATATACCCAGTAATGGGATGGCTGGGTCAAATGGTATTTCTAGTTCTAGATCCCTGAGGAATCGCCACACTGACTTCCACAATGGTTGAACTAGTTTACAGTCCCACCAACAGTGTAAAAGTGTTTGTATTTCTCCACATCCTCTCCAGCACCTGTTGTTTCCTGACTTTTTAATGATTGCCATTCTAACTGGTGTGAGATGATATCTCAATAGTGGTTTTGATTTGCATTTCTCTGATGGCCAGTGATGATGAGCATTTTTTCATGTGTTTTTTGGCTGCATAAATGTCTTCTTTTGAGAAGTGTCTGTTCATGTCCTTCACCCACTTTTTGATGGGGTTGTTTGTTTTTTTTCTTGTAAATTTGTTTGAGTTCATTGTAGATTCTGGATATTAGCCCTTTGTCAGATGAGTAGGTTGCAAAAATTTTCTCCCATGTTGTAGTTTGCCTGTTCACTCTGATGGTAGTTTCTTTTGCTGTGCAGAAGCTCTTTAGTTTTATGAGATCCCATTTGTCAATTTTGGCTTTTGTTGCCATTGCTTTTGGTGTTTTGGACATGAAGTCCTTGCCCACGCCTATGTCCTGAATGGTAATGCCTAGGTTTTCTTCTAGGGTTTTTATGGTTTTAGGTCTAACGTTTAAATCTTTAATCCATCTTGAATTGATTTTTGTATAAGGTGTAAGGAAGGGATCCAGTTTCAGCTTTCTACATATGGCTAGCCAGTTTTCCCAGCACCATTTATTAAATAGGGAATCCTTTCCCCATTGCTTGTTTTTCTCAGGTTTGTCAAAGATCAGATAGTTGTAGGTATGTGGCATTATTTCTGAGGGCTCTGTTCTGTTCCATTGATCTATATCTCTGTTTTGGTACCAGTACCATGCTGTTTTGGTTACTGTAGCCTTGTAGTATAGTTTGAAGTCAGGTAGTGTGATGCCTCCAGCTTTGTTCTTTTGCCTTAGGATTGACTTGGCGATGCGGGCTCTTTTTTGGTTCCATATGAACTTTAAAGTAGTTTTTTCCAATTCTGTGAAGAAAGTCATTGGTAGCTTGATGGGGATGGCATTGAATCTGTAAATTACCTTGGGCAGTATGGCCATTTTCACGATATTGATTCTTCCTACCCATGAGCATGGAATGTTCTTCCATTTGTTTGTATCCTCTTTTATTTCCTTGAGCAGTGGTTTGTAGTTCTCCTTGAAGAGGTCCTTCACATCCCTTGTAAGTTGGATTCCTAGGTATTTTATTCTCTTTGAAGCAATTGTGAATGGGAGTTCACTCATGATTTGGCTCTCTGTTTGTCTGTTGTTGGTGTATAAGAATGCTTGTGATTTTTGTACATTGATTTTATATCCTGAGACTTTGCTGAAGTTGCTTATCAGCTTAAGGAGATTTTGGGCTGAGACGATGGGGTTTTCTAGATAAACAATCATGTCATCTGCAAACAGGGACAATTTGACTTCCTCTTTTCCTAATTGAATACCCTTTATTTCCTTCTCCTGCCTGATTGCTCTGGCCAGAACTTCCAACACTATGTTGAATAGGAGTGGTGAGAGAGGGCATCCCTGTCTTGTGCCAGTTTTCAAAGGGAATGCTTCCAGTTTTTGCCCATTCAGTATGATATTGGCTGTGGGTTTGTCATAGATAGCTCTTATTATTTTGAGATACGTCCCATCAATACCTAATTTATTGAGAGTTTTTAGCATGAAGGGTTGTTGAATTTTGTCAAAGGCTTTTTCTGCATCTATTGAGATAATCATGTGGTTTTTGTCTTTGGCTCTGTTTATATGCTGGATTACATTTATTGATTTGCGTATATTGAACCAGCCTTGCATCCCAGGGATGAAGCCCACTTGATCATGGTGGATAAGCTTTTTGATGTGCTGCTGGATTCGGTTTGCCAGTATTTTATTGAGGATTTTTGCATCAATGTTCATCAAGGATATTGGTCTAAAATTCTCTTTTTTGGTTGTGTCTCTGCCCGGCTTTGGTATCAGAATGATGCTGGCCTCATAAAATGAGTTAGGGAGGATTCCCTCTTTTTCTATTGATTGGAATAGTTTCAGAAGGAATGGTACCAGTTCCTCCTTGTACCTCTGGTAGAATTCGGCTGTGAATCCATCTGGTCCTGGACTCTTTTTGGTTGGTAAACTATTGATTATTGCCACAATTTCAGCTCCTGTTATTGGTCTATTCAGAGATTCAACTTCTTCCTGGTTTAGTCTTGGGAGAGTGTATGTGTCGAGGAATGTATCCATTTCTTCTAGATTTTCTAGTTTATTTGTGTAGAGGTGTTTGTAGTATTCTCTGATGGTAGTTTGTATTTCTGTGGGATTGGTGGTGATATCCCCTTTATCATTTTTTATTGTGTCTATTTGATTCTTCTCTCTTTTTTTCTTTATTAGTCTTGCTAGCGGTCTATCAATTTTGTTGATCCTTTCAAAAAACCAGCTCCTGGATTCATTGATTTTTTGAAGGGTTTTTTGTGTCTCTATTTCCTTCAGTTCTGCTCTGATTTTAGTTATTTCTTGCCTTCTGCTAGCTTTTGAATGTGTTTGCTCTTGCTTTTCTAGTTCTTTTAATTTTGATGTTAGGGTGTCAATTTTGGATCTTTCCTGCTTTCTCTTGTGGGGATTTAGTGCTATAAATTTCCCTCTACACACTGCTTTGAATGCGTCCCAGAGATTCTGGTATGTTGTGTCTTTGTTCTCGTTGGTTTCAAAGAACATCTTTATTTCTGCCTTCATTTCGTTATGTACCCAGTAGTCATTCAGGAGCAGGTTGTTCAGTTTCCATGTAGTTGAGCGGCTTTGAGTGAGATTCTTAATCCTGAGTTCTAGTTTGATTGCACTGTGGTCTGAGAGATAGTTTGTTATAATTTCTGTTCTTTTACATTTGCTGAGGAGAGCTTTACTTCCAACTACGTGGTCAATTTTGGAATAGGTGTGGTGTGGTGCTGAAAAAAATGTATATTCTGTTGATTTGGGGTGGAGAGTTCTGTAGATGTCTATTAGGTCCGCTTGGTGCAGAGCTGAGTTCAATTCCTGGGTATCCTTGTTGACTTTCTGTCTCGTTGATCTGTCTAATGTTGACAGTGGGGTGTTAAAGTCTCCCATTATTAATGTGTGGGAGTCTAAGTCTCTTTGTAGGTCACTCAGGACTTGCTTTATGAATCTGGGTGCTCCTGTATTGGGTGCATATATATTTAGGATAGTTAGCTCCTCTTGTTGAATTGATCCCTTTACCATTATGTAATGGCCTTCTTTGTCTCTTTTGATCTTTGTGGGTTTAAAGTCTGTTTTATCAGAGACTAGGATTGCAACCCCTTCCTTTTTTTGTTTTCCATTTGCTTGGTAGATCTTCCTCCATCCTTTTATTTTCAGCCTATGTGTGTCTCTGCACGTGAGAAGGGTTTCTTGAATACAGCACACTGATGGGTCTTGACTCTTTATCCATTTGCCAGTCTGTGTCTTTTAATTGGAGCATTTAGCCCATTTACATTTAAGGTTAATATTGTTATGTGTGAATTTGATCCTGTCATTATGATGTTAGCTGGCTATTTTGTTCATTAGTTGATGCAGTTTCTTCCTAGCATCGATGGTGTTTACAATTGGGCATGTTTTTGCAGTGGCTGGTACTGGTTGTTCCTTTCCACGTTTAGCACTTCCTTCAGGAGCTCTTTTAGGGCAGGCCTGGTGGTGACAAAATCGGTCAGCATTTGCTTGTCTGTAAAGTATTTTATTTCTCCTTCACTTATGAAGCTTAGTTTGGCTGGATATGAAATTCTGGGTTGAAAATTCTTTTCTTTAAGAATGTTGAATATTGGCCCCCACTCTCTTCTGGCTTGTAGGGTTTCTGCCGAGAGATTTGCTGTTAGTCTGATGGGCTTCCCTTTGAGGGTAACCCGACCTTTCTCTCTGGCTGCCCTTAACATTTTTTCCTTCATTTCAACTTTGGTGAATCTGACAATTATGTGTCTTGGAGTTGCTCTTCTCGAGGAGTGTCTTTGTGGCGTTCTCTGTATTTCCTGAATCTGAACGTTGGCCTGCCTTGCTAGATTGGGGAAGTTCTCCTGGATAATATCCTGCAGAGTGTTTTCCAACTTGGTTCCATTCTCCGCCTCACTTTCAGGTACACCAATCAGACGTAGATTTGGTCTTTTCACATAGTCCCATATTTATTGGAGGCTTTGCTCATTTCTTTTTATTCTTTTTTTCTCTAAACTTCCCTTCTCGCTTCATTTCATTCATTTCATCTTCCATTGCTGATACCCTTTCTTCCAGTTGATCGCATCGGCTCCTGAGGCTTCTGCATTCTTCACGTAGTTCTCGAGCCTTGGTTTTCAGCTCCATCAGCTCCTTTAAGCACTTCTCTGTATTCGTTATTCTAGTTATACATTCTTCTAAATTTTTTTCAAAGTTTTCAACTTCTTTGCCTTTGGTTTGAATGTGCTCCCATAGCTCAGAGTAATTTGATCGTCTGAAGCCTTCTTCTCTCAGCTCGTCAAAATCATTCTCCATCCAGCTTTGTTCCGTTGCTGGTGAGGAACTGCGTTCCTTTGGAGGAGGAGAGGCGCTCTGCGTTTTAGAGTTTCCAGTTTTTCTGTTCTGTTTTTTCCCCATCTTTGAGGTTTTCTCTACTTTTGGTCTTTGATGATGGTGATGTACAGATGGGTTTTCGGTGTGGATGTCCTTTCTGTTTGTTAGTTTTCCTTCTAACAGACAGGACCCTCAGCTGCAGGTCTGTTGGAATACCCTGCCGTGTGAGGTGTCAGTGTGCCCCTGCTGGGGGGTGCCTCCCAGTTAGGCTGCTCGGGGGTCAGGGGTCAGGGACCCACTTGAGGAGGCAGTCTGCCCGTTCTCAGATCTCCAGCTGCGTGCTGGGAGAACCACTGCTCTCTTCAAAGCTCAGATGGAAATGCAGAAATCACCCGTCTTCTGTGTCGCTCACGCTGGAGCTGTAGACCGGAGCTGTTCCTATTCGGCCATCTTGGCTCCTCCCCCCTACACTGAATCATTTATTTTGAGCCAGGGCTTGAAGCAGACAATCCAAGCATCCTTCTAAACTATCCTCAGTCTTGTCAACAGCTGTTATCTTCAGCTTCTTCAAGGTATCACTGAGATTATCCATGTTGCTCCCCGAGGGTGAGGAACCGGCGGGGCGAGGCGAAGGTCTCTGGTGCAGGCGGCGCGGCTCTGTGTCCTCCCTCTACCTCCGTCTCTATTTATTTATTTTTTAAGAGACAGGTCCTATGTTACCCAGGCTGGTCATTTACAGGCACAATCATTGTGCACTATGGCCTCAAGCTCCTGGGCTCAAGCGATCTTCCCACCTCAGCTTCCCGAGTAGCCAGGAGTACAGGCACGTGTCACCATACCTGGCTTCCATTTACTTTTTAAAACAGGTGAAGAGATTTTGAGACCCAGAATGCATTTGTGACTTGCCCAAAGTTACCTGGCTAGTAAGTGGCAGAGCTAAGCCTAGACTCTGTGTCTTAAGCATAGTTCAAGGCGCTTTCCACAGAGTGTAGATGGAGTTTCACATTGTTCATCCAGATTCCTTAAGGACCTGAACTCGCTAATTTGATCTACTAACCTGGAAATTGACTAGGGCTTCTCTTATACCACTCAGCCCTTTAAAGTTTTGCCAGTAAAGTATCAACATGGTTAATAATATGCTGTAATTTAGAGTACACAAGCCAATGGACATACAAATTTGGTCATTCAGTAGCCACCCAGAGAGTGAGCACAGATACACACTGGAGCAGCTGATTTGGCAAGATTGGTGGAGGCTGAACATATTAACTAGTCATTAAATGAATCATGGTCTTTCTGTCCTCAACATTTACAGGATTGCTTTGGCTCTGGCATCTGTTGTTAGTCAATACTGATTAAGGACCCACCTATTCTTGGTGATAGGTGTTCATTAAACATTCTAAATATACCCTGTCCTCAAGAGAATTCCTTACTGGGCCTGGGGGTTGTTCCTCCTGCACCCCCACACAAAAAGAGACTTCCTTCTAATAAAGGCAAGATAAATATCCAAATAACACATGAGAACTGATAATGACACATGCAGCCAATCTGATGACTGTGTAGACTTCATTCCATTTAGATCTATAGTTTCACAGAATCAAGAATTTTATTTTTTTTCCCTCCTTTTCATTGTTGTTATGAGCCATGTAAGGGGACTCATTGTCCCAGGGACGGGTGTTTGGGAGGGGGAGATCTTTATGGATACCCTTTCTTCTCAGTGGCTTATTGCTATTTGGCATACTACAGTACAATTTGCTAGCCAGGAGGAGTTTCTGGCTGTAGATCAAACTTCTCCGCTCATGCCTGGTGCCAGAGAGATGCTTGCTCTTAAGGGGGTGGTTACTGCTTTGATAAGTGTGTGGATTTCTGAGTGACGTCATTCCACTTTGGCACAGACAGGTATTTATTTCTCTAGAATGAACTACCAGGGGTGAGCCAGACTGTCTGCCTCAGTCATTTCCCAAGGTTTCATTTATTTTAAAAATCTGCTAACACATCTGTGTGTATTTTTTTTTCTCTGTATGTTTGTCATGTGCTATAATTACTTATAGGGCTTCTGGTGACATCTTAATTAACTAGAGAAGAAAAAATCAAAGATATAATTGTAGAGTTGTTCACAGGTTTTTCTATGGACTTTGTGGATCCAACTGTCAACATGATATTGATGGTTACGAATTCTTTTTAAGCTGAGAAACGTATAAATTTTATGTTCCTCGGTCATTGATCACACCTTTGTTCTGTCTTTTACCCTTGCTATGGTGTTTTAGTTTAACTGAGTGAATGAGTCAGCTCAGGCCTTTGATGTGATCACAGCCTATTTTGGGGGGCTTTCAGGGAGCATATTTAATACCTAAGTGCATTTCTAGGCCCTTAGTTCTATGGATTATATTGGGGTGGCATTGTAGCATGTAGATTGTACCAAGAGGGTTTAACAGCCTCTTTATTCATTCCTCCCTATAGTTCTGGGAATGCTAGTGCTAACACATGGGATGTAAACAAAGGGAAGGTCCCAGGTCTACAGAAGCTATAGAGAGAGCTGGTGGGCAGGCAGATTTTCTAAGTCAGCCAAATCAGGGTTTTGCAGTGGGTTCATCCAAGCCAATGTACACACAAGCCACAAGACCAGGATAAGATGTGGGTTGTGGCTGATGCACAGTTTAGGAGCAGGAAAGCCATGTCTTGGATCCAGGAAGTCTGCAAACATGGGAGAAGCAGGTCAGAAAAAAGAATGTTGATCCTTTTATTCCTAGAATAGTGGCTAGCCCATAATAGGAGGCTCAATTAATATTTGTTAAATGAATGAATGAAATAAGAAGACATCAGGGACTCAGAGAAGGAGCCTGGACAATAAGATATCAGAAACTAGGCAAGAAATGTGGATGGCAGAGATTCAAATCTTGTGTAGACCCCCGTGTCTGGTCTTATGGGATCCATAGATCTATCTTAAGAGATATGAAGACCCTCCATTTGCCTCCTTTCTGCTGTGAGCACCGTGCCATAGGGGTGGTTGAAAGGAAGGCAGAATCTCTCACTTAACATAAATTGATGGAGACATTTCCAGTTAGTGTCTACGATAGCTTAAATTTGGGGGCCATTCCTAGTTCTCTGACCTAACCCACAAGAACCTTGGTCCTATAATCATTCAGGAAATCGTGATTAAGCACTTAATAGATGTCAGACATGGTGCTAGTCCAGTTCTCTACTTCAAAGCAGATTCCTAAGGTCCGGCTCTTGGGCATGCTGTTCTCTCAAGGGTGTGGTTCTGCTCCATGGAACTAATCCAGAGCCACAAGAATCTTATTTTCATACAGTCCTTCCCCCAAACCTGATTATAGGGGACAATTTAGGCTATTTTGAGAAGGTGGGTCTACCACTGCTTGAATCCTTTCTAATCATCTGTCTAGGCTACCGAAGACAATTTGTGGTACTCACTTGTCCCTGAAAATTTGAAAGTTCATTTCTCCATATGTAGACTATATTATTTTTGCCTTTGGCACTTTTCTCTGTCTCTGAACTCTCCTCCTCTGATCTCATTGCTGGCAACGCTGAAGCCAAAGCTGTGATAAGCCCAGAGAAGTGTGCCCGCCCCCTGCCTGCCCGTCTGTCTTTGAAAGATACCTTCAGGCTGCCGCTGTACTACTGGGTCACAAAACCAGCATCCACCATTACAGGCAGAATCGTTTTCAAGTCATTTCCTACCTTGGTGATTTTTACCCCCTCCTTCTTTTAACACCTTCCCCAGCAAATCCAATCCATCCTCTGGCTTATCTGGGTCAGCAAGGGTCTGATTTTATGCATGACACTGTCAGACCATAAATCCACTGCAGCTTTGCCTCTCTATCCAGCCTGCCTGCTTCTGTCAGCATCAGCAAAATGCATAATAGAGAAAATAAGCCAGAAAGGCTAATAACACTCATCTGAATAAAATAATCTCTTTGGCTGCCTCAGTTCATTTCATTTTAATCAAGGTGCCAGGAGGGAATTTAGGTTAAAAAATCCAACCTCCTTCTTGTCACAAGTTCCCTGTCCAACCATCACTTAAATGATTCCTTTTATCATGCATGTACCTTTTTTTATTCACCACATACTTGTATGTTCAATAACATATATTGAATGATGTATTTAACTCTTTAAGTTTTGTCTATCATCACAGATAGGTCTGTTTTTAAAAGCGAGAAATTATATTCTGCTTAGATGTATTGATAGTTGCCATCTCTCTATGCAGATTGGCAGGTTTGATAGGAATTCTGAGACAGGGGATGGGAGCTTAGTATAAGTTGCTGAAGCATCTAGGGTTTGGGCAATCTGTGCTCCCTTTGGATTCCTTTCTGTCAACCTCAGCACACAGTTCCCAGTGTGGAATGCAGGACTGATTGTTCTACCTTGTCCCTTAGGGAAAGGACAGTGGGAGATTAAAATCTGCTCTCCTGTTGGTATCTCTCTCACGTCTTCCCAGAGCCTTACGGCTGCTTTGTTAATTGCCTGTTGCTGCTGTCTTACTCAAACCATTATTTGCTGAAGGCTGTGCATTTTCAGCAGGCAGCAATCTTGGCCCTGGCCCAGAGCCGGGTGAGAAGCATGTTGGAAATTGATGAAAGCTGAGTCCTAGTTTGTTTGGAAATAAAAATAATAATATTTCTTCACATTTGTATAGTGCTGAACTATTGGCATAGTTCTTTTGCATCCATCATTTCATTTGATCCACACAACAGCCCTGAGAGGTGAGCAACTTAGAGACTATTGGCCCAAAAGGAAACACACCTCGTTATAGCAATGCAGAAGCTCAAGCTATATTCCAGCAATGCCAGCCTCATGCCATGCATTCCATCTGCACAGCCATGAACGTAGCAATTATTAATTAAATGGCACCTTAGGTCAGGAGAGCGTCTAGGATTTTACAGCCATACTTTGAAGATCTTTGAGGAGTGAGATGTATACCAATAGGGCACGTGTCCATTTTATAGATGAGATGATAAAAACCAAACAGAGGTGATATGGAAAAGAACCATAATAGAGAGGCCAACTTGGACCTTTATAGACTTGGCTCTTCACCATGGATATTTTAGAGAAATCCCTTTAAGCGCTTGTTGCTAAGTTTGTTGAACGTCCATAAATAGTCCAAGTTGAGGGAGAAAAGCTGGGCTAATGTCTTCGAAGCTAATGATTCAGCTATGCAGGTTTATCTCTTTCAGTGCATTTACAGTGATAATGTCTCCTGCAGATGTACAGGCAGCATGTGACTTTCCGGGTCTCCTTTCGACTCCAGAGTCATTCCCTCTCAGGTATAGTATGATGTTTTCTTGATCTTCCTCCTGAAAAACATTTTAAGTAAGAAAAATACTCCTAGGTATTTTGTCTGCTTTTTAGGGATTAGTGTTTGAGGAGGTTTGCAGCTGCTCAGCACATTCCTAAGGGATGCAGACCCTTTCCTTTAAAGGCCCAAGTATTATACAACCTAAGGCTCTGGGGGTGGGGAAAGTAAAGAGACTGTGCAAACAAATGATAGATGGAAAAGATATAAAGACAAATTTCAATCTCCTAACCAAACGAAGTTCCCTTGGCTTCAGCGGTCCCAAATAAAATGAGGCTGCAAAGCTTCTGGAGCAGGAAACCACTCTAGCAGAGCCTTAATATGCTCCCTATGAAATCACGTCTCGTTGCCGTGCTTATTTTCCAGCCTGAAGTGTGTTTCATCTTTGTTCGTGTTGGCTGGGAAAATTGTCTGTATATTTGTGATCCCCTCCTCCCACTTTCTCTCTACCTTACTTGCTCTACCACTACCCAAAAATAAATAAATGAATTAATTGAAACACCTCAGTTGAAAGGAAGAATATGTCTGAGAAAGCTTACAGACTCAAAGGACCAGAAATATTGTGTGAAAAGCTGCATTAATAGTAGGAGAGGCTGAGAACTCCTGGAAGAAACAGCCAACAGGATCTAGTGCTGGTTTTTTAAGCATAGACTCCTTTTTTAAAATAAAAATCTTGCATAGAGCCTCAATATATGAAACAGATCAAAGCAGTATTTTTATTGGTATAAATCTGCTTTTAAAGTACAAATTTATAGAGTACTTATTATACTGTCAGTCAATGAGAACAATGAGGCTGTTTTTATGAACTAAAAATATTGAGATCAGGATTATGAATCAGTTATAGTTTTATATTCATTTCAGCATCTGGTTTTGGTTTAGGTAGTCCAATATCAAGAAAATTCTGATTAGCATAGATAAGTTATTGTAATCTTGAGCTTTAAATTGATTTAGATGGAAAAAAGAAGATATTTTTGTTTTAAAGTTGAGTCACTATCATCACCTAGCAGCTATTCCCCTTCATAAATATTAATTGGATAAGCCCCAACATGTATAATAGGCATCGCAACAACTGATGATGAGATGGTATGATATTAAGCATGTTGATTTTCGCTACCCAACCACGGTCTCACATGAACCCAGCCTAGGCCCTTGAGCCTTCTATGGCATGTGATTGAACCTTGCTGCTGTGTGTCAAGTTATAGGCTCACCTGTACAGCTTTATTGGAGGAGGCACACACAGGCTTGAATGAAAAAATAAACCTATGCAAAGCTACATGTATTCTAATTAATAGCATATTGTTCAGAAGTTCCAAGGCATACAGTGATTCTTTCTTCCAGGGTTTACATAAAACAATGCTAGCAGCCTGCGAGACATTGCAGTGGTATCTAATGCAGGGAAACTGGGTCCTGGGTCTCTTGCTCATGTCAGTGAGGGTTGCTCATTTGAATGGATGTGTCACCGTTTTTTAAATTGAAATGTGATTTTCTGCTAATTCCAGAGTATCTCAGAACACAGTTTAAAAGCTCCTGCTCTCTGAAACCAATACTAATACTGTAACTATCGCACAAAATGCTGTAAGGATGGAAATAAATACATGTGAAAAGTACTTATAGCACCTTGCAAGTTCTTTTTTCTTTTTTTTCTTTTGTTTTGAGATGGAGTCTTGCTCTCACCCAGGCTGGAGTGCAGTGGCATGATCTCAGCTCACTGCAACCTCTGCCTCCGGGGTTCAAGTGATTCTCCTGCCTCAGCCTCCCAAGTAGCTGGGATTACAGGTGTGCACCATCCACACTGAGGTAATTTTGTATTTTTAGTAGAGATGGGGTTTTGCCATGCTGGCCAGGCTGGTCTTGAACTCTTGGTCTCAAGTGATCCACCTGCCTTGGCCTCCCAAAGTGCTGGGATTGCAGGCGTGAGCCACACCTTACAAGTTCTCAATAAAACTTATTAGCATTAAGTGGTAAGGCATTTTATTTTAAAAGATTTCTACTTCCAGCCATCCTGTTTATTGACCCATCTTTGTTCAGTCATCTTTTCTTTTGAGGACACCTTGGGGATATGTGCTCTGCATCCTTTCCCATGGTGTTAGGTTGATTTTGCCTCCTCTGCTTCCTCTTTTGATCTGCGGTCTACCTTTCTGAGCTAGCTGGCCTTTTGTTTGTACCACCATTAAAGTTCTACTTTACTATAGGTCTTTCTTTGTCTCCCTTACTATATTGCAGCATTTGCACTTTTATAACCACTAAAGCACCTAACACCATGCCTTGTTCATTTAAGATACAAATGTGTGTACATTTGTGGAATTGAATTGTGGCATTATTTGTGTGTATGTAAAGTGCTATAGGGAAAGAACCAGTATAGATCCCCCCCAATCCATCTTCTTCCTTAAGAAATAGATTGAAACCAATTGTCAATGTAAAGTCTCATGAGATCTGCCCCTTTAAAAAGCATGCTTACTGAGGACATGGGTATCTTGCCGAGAGACACCACTTGATTAAAATGTAAATTAGGTTATTTAGAATTTTGTAACTGAAATCTAATTGGAATCATTTTGAAAGTTTTCTTGCAATGGAGACATCAGATGCTATGGAATGCATGTGTTCAAATATCTTACCATTTTGAATTTAGGATTGTTTCCAGTTCACTTTTTTTTCCCCAGATACTAAACATTTTGAAAGGAGTAAATTAATTATGTGTCTCTCTTCCTCTCAGCTGGTATATTTTTGATTTCCATAGAAATCTTTCAGTTTCCCTAAAAAGGTAAGTGTTGTCACAGTGATTGGCACGCTTAAGAGTTAGTGATTTTGGCTACAGAAGAGTGATGCCTGGGGCAGGGGGTGAGTGGTACCCGGATACAGGTTTAGAACAGTTTCAATTTGGACTCTAATATTAATTGGTTTGAAGTAACTTCTTGGTTGGGTTAGACAGATATTTGATTTGTCTGATGTGTTCTGAAGTCCAAGTAAGTATGGCATGATTATTTGTTAATAGTTACTACTATAGAATTGGAAAAGCCTTCTAAGTTGAACTTCATGGTTTACAAATCACAAGTGCCTGGTCTTTAGTGCTGAATGGAGGCAGTACTGACTCAATAACCAAGCTACTCTCAACTCACTTTCCTTGTAGTAGGAGTCTGACTGGAGCGGAGAAGAGAGGAAAGGGGGAAAGAAACAGATAGTTATTATTTGCAGTGAATGAGAGTACTCGCTTTGCAGTTATAGGCTTGGTTTGAATTCTGGAATTGCCACTTTTTAGCTATATGACCTTGGGCAAAGTGTTTAAAAATTTTTAGTCTACTTTTCCTCATCTTCCAAATGTGGTTAATAACACCCACCTCATCAGGTAGTTGTGGGGTTTAAGTCAAACAACATGTATAAAGGGCCCAGATATGTGTACAGTATCCCTTGATAAATAGTACTGCAAATTATTCCTACTTTTGTTTCTCTCCTTAAAGAAATCCAACTTCCAAATGTAGAACTTTCTGTTGCTTAAGTTAATGCTGAGTTGGTAATCAATAATTCTTTTGGATCACAATGTTTTCATTAGAAATGAGCATCTAGGGCCGGGCGCGGTGGCTCACTCCTATAATCCCAGCACTTTGGGAGGCCAAGGTGGGTGGATCACTTGAGGTCGGGAGTTCAAGATCAGCATGGTCAACATGGTGAAAACCCATCTCTACTAAAAATACAAAAGTTAGCTGGGCGTGGTGGCAGGTGCCTATAATCCCAGCTACTAGGGAGGCTGAGGCAGGAGAATCTCTTGAAAGCGGGAGGCGGAGGTTGCAGTGAGCCAAGATTGTGCCACTGTACTCCAGCCTGGGTGACAGAGTGAGACTTTGTCTCAAAAAAAAAAAAAAAAAAAAAAAAAAGGGAATGAGCACCTTGGTTTAGCACTTTACTGCTCCACTCAAGCTGTAGACATTTTAGGAACACATGTTCAGGTATGGTTTGTGTTCTTGATTGTATGGGACATGAGATCATGGCTCAATAAATGAAATCAAAACTTCCTTAGATGTGTTCTGTGGAACTCCAGAGTTTTCAGTAACATTTTAATGGCATATGTCTCCAAATTTGCCTTTATTAAATCCTACAATGGATACATTTGTGGGGATTTTGTAGTGCTGTAGTGATTTTTGTGTCTAGACAAAATCTCTAACTTTGGTTTCTAACCCTAGGGACAAACCAAATGACTTAGTGGCTAAAATGATGGACTTCAGAATCACCTTAGACCTGGTCTAGCCAGACAATGCAGAACTGTTGTTCTAGTCCCTGGCGCCCTCTTACTTGTTGTGTTAGTCTTACTCGCTGTAGACAAGTGACAACCTCTCTGAGCTTCAGTTTTCTAATCAGTTGAAGGGGGATAATGGTAGTTCTTTCCTTAAAATGAAATGATAGAGCTTAGATGAGATGAGATAATACGTATAAAGCATTCACCAAGTTCTTAGAACATAGTAGGTGCCTAACAGATAATCCTGTTTCTCCTTGTACATCCCCTCTTCCCTCCCTCTCCTTCTTGTCCTTATTTTCTCCTTTTTTCTCCACTGAGTTTTTAGAAAAGGAGAAAACTAGAGAGGTGAGCTTCAGGAAAAATATCTTTATTTCTGGATTGGCTTTGATTGCTGTGATTTTAGGACACGGACTATAGTTGTAGATGTTGCCCTGGCTGCGTATCAACAATGACTTCTTTTCCTTGATGTTTCTTCACAGGAAGGATCAGAATGTTCTCTCTCCAGTCAACTGCTGGAATCTCCTCTTAAACCAGGTGAAGCGGGAAAGCAGGGACCATACCACCCTGAGTGACATCTACCTGAATAATATCATTCCTCGATTTGTACAAGTCAGCGAGGACTCAGGAAGACTCTTTAAAAAGGTACAGAGATATTTCTTCACAGAGGTTCTTGGGTGGAGCAATGACACAATTTTTAAAATCCTATTAGATATTATGTTGATTACCTGGGTGACAAAATTATCTGTACACCAGACCCCCATGACATGCAATTTACCCATGTAACAAACTTGCACATATACCCCCCTTGAACCTAAAATAAAAGTTGGAAAGAAAAAATAAAAGAAAGAATATCTTATTGGCCCACTTCATAGGCTTTCCACTAGTCATTCCCTACCACATACTTGTGGAGAAAAAAATTATTTGAATTGGCATTCCTTTCTTCCTTTCTGAGCTGAATTAATAGTAGCCTTGGGAAAGGAACCATTTGCAAGGTATAAACCCAGGGCTGGTACTATAATTCATAATCTGCATCTATTAACAAAAACTGTGTTTTGGGAAGTTTTCTTAAAGTGATTTTTGAAGCTGTTGAGCTTAAGGGGCCAACACTGTCATTTTATGTTTTCCTATTCTAGTTCATTTAGCAAACTCATATACGTTTATGTTTTTAGTTTAGTTTTCTTCCCAGGGTCTTATCTTGGCCAAGGTAGACTCAAAAGTGTGGTTATTCTTATCGTGGTATGTCTTTGTCTTTGGGTCTCTGAATGCTTTCGGAACTCAATTGTTATCGTACTTCCTTGGGTATAGGTTGAACAATTTGACAAAGGAAAACTCAAAATAATCATGATAATCTTAAGGACCCAATTCACCTTACCTGTCAACGATGGAACCAGCCTCTTGAAAATCCAGGAAGCTCTTTTCTAAGCTGTCTCAGCTTGAGCTCAAAGTGGAATCATTTATTCATGAGGTTGGGTTACAGACAGCGGTGAAGGCCCCAACCATTGTATATGATATGTCATGTCTACCATTCAAGCATTGACATCCCCGGAAGACTTTCCAGAAGGCAAATAATCTTCCTAAAAGTTATAGGTAGAAAAAGATTATAGAGGGCTATTTAGAATTCATCAGTTTCCAGGTGACAAAATCCATTATTAAAATTTGAAAGTATGAGAGAAAAGACTGGTAAACAGGACTGTAGTCGATACAGTCAAAGCTCTTGATCAGCTTTCCAGTTCTCAGGAATTTTTCCAGATTTCACTAGATCTGGAATTAATACCCCATTTTTTTTCTGTAATTACCAGCCTGATCAAATAACTGATTTGGAATCTTCCATCTACCTAATTGCATCCGTGAAGGTGCTTTCCCTGTGTCTTAGAGACAGAATATTGAGGGTACAATCATCTGACGACGAAAAGAAGGCAGAGAAAGATAACTCCTCCCAGAGCTCACTGGCTATTATTAGTAGCCCGGCTGTGCTGTGGTTGGGGCCACACCTCATTTTGGAGTGAGGGTACTTCTCACCATCTCCTCCATGGTTTCCAGCATCAGCTTCAGCTTGGTTGTCATTAATTTGAATTATTCTGCAATACTTGGTGATGCATGTGTGTGACTAAAATTAAAACCTATTTAGGTGAAATTTTGACAGCTCGTCTCTATGACCTTGACAGCCACTTAGACTATCTCAAGAAGGAAAGGGCTTGACTGATAGTTTCCTCCTCCGTTTTCTTTGTTCATCCGAGAAAACAACTTTTATAAGATCTGTTCACCTAGCTAGACTTCACTCAGTCTCTCAGCTCCCTTTTTACCAAGCCTTAGAAGGTTAGAGAAAAACCAGGCTAGATAATTTAATAGCCTCTCCAGATCTCAGAGATGCTTATACTGAAGGCAGCCAGATAGCAAAGTCACGAGTGTTCCTGGCTCTTCAAGTGCCCTATGCATATTTCACCAAAGGTAGGTACATGGCATGTATACAAGGTGTGGGGCATATGACATCCATGAAGAAAATTCGTCTGTGAATGATATTCCTAGCCATGGGCTCAGGGTTGACTTCCTTAAGCCGTGTATTACTATGCTAGAGCGTGAGGAAGAACTTATTTCTCATAGGACTGTTTATATATTACATTTCACTGAAGAAAAGTATGCCTATTATAATTTAATAGCTATATGCATTTTCACAAACTGAATTCACACTTGTGTAACCAGCACCCAGATCAAGAAACAGAACATTTCTGTACCCTAGAAACCCCCTCATATTCCCTTCTAGTCATCTCCCCACCCTAAATCCCCAAGGATAACAACTGTCTTGACTTTTAACAGCAGAGATTAGCTTTGCTTGGTTTCATACTTTATATAAGTAGAATTGCACAGTATGTACTCTTTTTTGTTTGGTTTCTTTCAATATTATGTTTGTGAGATTTATTCATACTGTTGTGTATAGTTGCAGATCATAGGAATTTCTCTTGATCTTTGTAACTTTGGATCAATTAAATTGTAGTTGATTAGAGACATGCCCAGGGTTGTTGAATGGCCAATGATTACTATCCCACAGGGTGAATAATCTCTTTTCTCCCTCCCTTGGGGCATTCCCATGTAGGCAGAAAACTCTTAAATTAGGAGCTGGTTGGCAGATCATAAAAATAGATTGAGCCAAGCACCATGGATCATTCCTGTAATCCCAACAACTCAGGAGGTCAAGGTGGGAAAATGCTTGAGGCCAGAAGTTCAAGAACAACCTGGACAACATAACAAGACCTTGTCTCTAAAAAAATTTTAAAAGTTAGCTGAGCATGGTGGCCTGTGCCTGTAGCCACAGCTACTTGGGATGCTGAGGTGGGAGTATTGCATGAGCCCAGGTGTTTGAGGATGCAGTGAGCCGTGATCATGCCACTGCTCTCCAGCCTGGGCAACAGAATGAGACCCTGATAGTTTGAGGATGCAGTGAGCTGTAATCATGCCACTGCACTCCAGCCTGGGCAACAGAGAGAGACCCTGATGGTTTGAGGATGCAGTGAGCTGTAATCATGCCACTGCACTCCAGCCTGGGCAACAGAGGGAGACCCTGACTCCTAAAAAAAAAAAAATTGATTCATTCTCTTTTGGCTGGGTAAAGAGCCTCTCTGCTTTCTAGTAATGGGCAAACAAACATTCTTCATACCACACCCCAGTTTTTTAACCTCTTTTGTTTAGAGTGTCCTTGCACATGAATTAGAATCCTACTGGTTAAGATATAGTATCAGATAAGAGTCCTAAGGAATGTCCTCAGCCATTCTGTAGTTACATGAATCTTCCCGGGGATTTGCTTTGTGCTATCAGAGGAGATGCCTTTTCCAAGTGACCCTTTCTCTTGGGCCTAGCTCTGCTCTTAACTCTGAGACCTTGGACAATGACTTCTTTCTGTGCCTCAGTTCCCTAAACTTTAAAAAAAGAGTGTGGTCTATGTGATCTCCATGGTGCCTTCCAAATTCAGGATACCACTGTTCTGTGACGATAAGGGGATCCTACACTGGGGGCTTCCTTCTGGTTGTTAGGTTACCTTTGTTAAATTGTGATAGGTAAATTTTAATCCCACAGATAAGGACAAACAAAAGTGGATATAGGTGTGGAGAGGGCTAGCTTAAGCAAATGAAGACCAGATTTCTTGAAGAATGAAGGATTATTTCAGGTGCTGATATCTACAATGTCAGCAATAAAGAAATACCAAATTGGGATCCAAATACATAAAATAGATATGTTTTACCAGTAAATTTGGTTCCAGTGGCAAAAGGACCCATTTCTCTGGGGACATAGGCTTAGAAAAGATACCTTAATTTGTGGTATGGCTGTACACACCTGTGCTTTATGTGAATTTGGGTCTGTTTGTCACTAGCAAAAGTCAACATTTTTAAAAATCTTTTTTTAATCTATAAAACTTAATGATTCACTGCAAAAATTATGATAATAGAAGTCATTATATTTTGAACCTCTATGTGCCAGGTATCGTGTTAAGCACTTTATATGTATTATCTCCTTTAATCCTTACCGTAATTTTATAAAGTAGTTACTATTGTCATCATCGCTGTTTTATGAAGGAAGAAACTATGGCTTAAAGAGATTAAGCAGGCCAGGCACAGTGGCTCAAGCCTGTAATCCCAGCCCTTTGGGAGGTTGAGGTGGGAGGATCGCTTGAAGCAAGGAGTTCAAGACCAGCCTGGGCAACATAGCAAGACTCTGTCTCTACCTCCCTCCCCCACTTAAAAAAAATTAGCTAGGCATGGTGGTACACACCTGTAGGCCTAGCTACCCAGGAGGCTGAGACGGGAAGGATCACTTGAGCCCAGAAATTTGAGGCTGCAGTGATCTATAATCATGCCACTGTACTCTAGCCTGAGTAACAGAGCCAGACCCTGTCTGTTTAAAAAAAAAAAACAAAAAACAAAAAACAAAAAACAAAACAGAGGGCTGGGAGCGGTGGCTCACGCCTGTAATCGCAGCGCTTTGGGAGGCCAAGGTGGGCAGATCACCTGAGGTCAGGAGTTCAAGACCAGCTTGGCCAACATGGTGAAACCCCGTCTCTACAAAAACACAAAAATTAGCCAGGCAAGATGGCCAGTGCCTGTAATCCCAGCTACTCAAGAGATTGAAGCAGGAGAATCTCTTGAACCCGGGAAGTGGAGGTTGCAGTGAGCACAGATCATGCTGTTGCACTTCAGTCTAGGCAACAGAGCAAGACTTCGTCTCAGAAAAAAAGAAGAGAGAGAGAGAGATTAAGAAAAACGAAATGAAGCTAACGTTTAACTCCAGTCACCTGGCTCTAGAATCCAACATTTTCATCTACATACTGTATTAGGATTCTCTAAGTATGTTGTACAGAGAAGAGAAAATCCTGGATTTTCTCTGTTTCATTGAATTCAGATATTTCACTTAGTTATAGAATTAACCTAATTTTTCTTTTGCACATAAACCTTCAAAGGGTATGGAGATGTTGAACATCAACATTGGATTGTTTTTCCTACCTGGGGTTGGGGCAAGCAGCTGGAAGTTGGGAATGAAATAGGGCAGCATGTTTACACTCCTCAGGGGCAAAATATCTCTGCCCCCTGTAAGAGGGAAACAAGGACTCATTAAATGTGAGAATTGGCCCCAAATCTGGCTCACAGCTAATTTAGCTAATTTAGGGATGTCAGGGTGGCTGCACAATTGGCCCCTCTATGCTATTGAACCCCCTTAAGGGAGGCTCCTTGCTAGCCCTCTGGTTTGTGGTAATGTCTGCTGGGACATATTTTACATTTTGCATGAAGCCATGTTGGAGATTCCTTTAGCTAAATATAACATCTGGAGAAAGTAGCCTCCTGTTCACAGCTTAAAAACAGACTGACTTTGTCTAGGACGAGAGGGAAAATTGAGCCCGTTTGGTGCTCCTGACATCTCCTTTCATGTAATGAAAGCTCAGTCTGTCTAACCTCTGTTGGAACCAGGATTTGGGCAAATATTATTGCTGCCACCTTCATTTGTTTAATGCGGTGGCTTCAAAAACCATGGGCAAAAACTGCCAAGTTTGACTCCCATCTCCCTGTGGTCTCCATGAGGGGCATGTTCTAAAGAAGCCCACCAAGAACAGAAATAATTTTTCCCACTTGCTTAGTTTAAACTGAAATAAACTTGGGTGTGCTTTTTCCTACAGGAGAGAGGATAATCCTGTTTTCTCTTTTTACTTAGCTGGAACACACTAAAAGTACCTCTGACTTTGCTTTCTCAAATCACTGTTTCTAGCCCTTCACAGCTGCTCACACTTAAGCTTGGAAGCTGGTCAGTTCAGACAGTGCTAAGGCTCAGTTGCATCCTTGTTTTTACAGCACTGCAGTGAACTGTACTCCTGTTTTGCTGTTAGGACTCTTAAGTTTCTATGGCAAAAATTTAGGTTAAATTGAAAAAGCCAAGTCAGATTCCCTATAGACCAGTAGCTTTCAACTTTGCCTGGGCATGAAAGTTACTTGGGGAGTTTTAAAAAAATCTTTGTGACCTTGAATAAACAAAGGTTTCTTAGAATATAAAAAGCATGAACCATAAAATTTTATAAAGGATAAGTCAGACTTCATCAAGTCTTGGACTTTTGTTCCTAGAAAGACTTTATTTACAAAATGAAAGACAAGACGCAGACTGGGAGAAAATATTTGTAATATGTATCTGACATGGACTTATATCAGATTATAGAATAAAGAACTCTGAGAACTCAGTAATAAGACAAACTACCCAAATTTTTAAAAATGGAAACAGGTTTTAATAAACATTTCACTAATAAAAATATACAAATGGCTAATCAACACATGAAAATATGCTCAATATCATCACTCGTGATGGAAACGCAAGTTAAAACTGTAAGAAGATATACCATACATTCACTAGGATGGTTAAAATTAAAACATCTGGCAATACCAAGTGTTAAGGAAGTTGGCCAGAACCCTCATATGTTGCTAGTGAGAGTGTGAAAGTGGTACAACCACTTTGGAAAATAGTGGCAGTTTCTTATGACATTAAATTTGTACTTGTCATATGACCCAGTAATTCCAGGTATTTATAGGCATCTACCCAAGAGAAATAAAAGCATATGTCTAAACAAAGACTTGCACCTGAATATTCATAAAGCTTTTGTGATAGGCTGAGTAATGCCTCCCTCAAAAAAAAAAAAAAAAAAAAAGAGGTCCATATTCTAACCTTTGGAACCTGTGAATGTTACCTTATGCATGTAATACTTTGCAGATATGACTAATTTAAGGATCTTGTGATGGGGATATTATGCTTAATTAGCTGGGTGGGCTGTAAATGCAATCACAAGTGTCCTCATAAGAAGGAGATTACAGATAAAAGAGAGGAAGGTCATGTGATAGAAGCAGAGGGAAACAGAGTCATAGAGAGAGGATGCTATGCCACTGGCTTTGAATATGGAGGAAGTGGCCATGAGCCAGTGAATACAGCTCTAGATGCTGGAAAAGGCAAGGAAACGGATTCTTCCTGAGAGCCTCCGGAGCAGAAGCAGCCCTGCTGACTCACTGGTTTCAGCCCAGTGAAATTGGTTTTGGAGTTCTGACCTCCAGAACTCTAAGAGAACAAATGTATGTTGTTTTAAGCCACCATGTTTGCAGTAATTTGTTACAGCTGCCTTAGGTACTTTATTCATAATAGCCCAAACTGGAAACAACCCAAATGTCCATCAACAGATGAGTGGAAAAACATATTGTAGTGTATCCATATATCAATACTACTCAGCAATAAGAAGGGAAATGCTGATACAATATAAATGAGCTCAAAAAACATTATGCTGATAAAAAGAAGCCAAGCACAATGAGTACATTCTGTATGATTCTGTTTCTATAAAATTTTAGAAAAAACAAATCTGATCTATAGTGATAGAGAATAGATCATTGATTGCCTTGGGGCCAGGATGGGGATGAAGGATTGACTGCTAAGGGACACAAGGGAGTTTGTAGGGTTTTTATAGCCTACATTATATAACATTTTAAACAATGCTTTATAACATTTTTATAATGTTACATAATCTTGACCATGGTGGTACATTAGACAGACTTTATCATATTATACACTTAAAATGTGTACATTTTATTATGTAAATTATGCCTCAATAAAGTTGATCTAATTTAAAAAATACCCATGCCAAGACCCTACCCCAGCATGATTTAGTCAGAATCTCTGGAGTAGGGCCTGGGTGATTGTTGCCTACAGCTAGGGCTGAGAATCACTGCTGCACTGTTTTCCATCTTGGGGAAACTGCAGAGCACAGAGAATATCTGATGCCCTAAGATCCTGTCTATCTGTATGTGAGCCATGTTTGCCTCTGCAACAGACAGTGTTAAAGCATCTAGGCTAGTTTCTCTAGGCAACCCATTGTGGTTTCCTACTTTATTCTTGGAGGGTGATGAAGGGTGAAGTTAGCTTCAGATAAATAAATCTGGTGACAAAGGGTGAATCTGGCTTCCTTCACACTGCAGGAAGTGGGGAATGCAAGAAGAGTGCTGAGGAAGGAATGTAAGAGGCTCAGTTAATACTTTTCTCCAGGGTCTTGGAGATGTTAAACGTGTCCTTTTGCCATTAGTGAATCAGTCACAAGAGAATTGCCACAACAGTCAGATTTCTTTTGGCACTAAGGAAATGAATCTGGTAGTTAAAAAGGATAAATGAGATTTAAAACTAAAAGCAGTGCATGTTACCTATCTGTTTGGTATCCGTTTGGACTGAGATAGGATTTCCTATGGCGTGTCTTGAGTCCAGCTGTTTGGCATGTGTGAGAAGAGTGGATGATGAAACTGTGAGAAGGCATTTTGGGTGGTGTGATGGTCATAAATAAGAAGAGGAGAAGTGGTGACCCACAATGCTGGTATAGTTGAATGTCCCTGGTAAGTGCTGTGGATTGAATGAATGGAGGAAAAGAATGGTTTTCCAAAGGTTGTGTCCCTGTGCTCTGCCCCCTTAAGAAAGGGTTTAACTCTTTGGGAGAAGGAGTAGATGAGTGATTTAACCCTCCCTCCCTTCCCCGTCTACCATATCCCTCCTGCTCGTCTGAACTCAGTATCTGTGATTGGACTGAATTTCCTCCACATTATAGCATGGTCACTAACAGCGTTTGCACAGTGCTTTACAGACAGCTGTTCCAGTTGCCCAGTTTATCTTGTTGGTAGCAAAAATCTGTTCTAATTAATTGAGCTTTATTCTCTCATATCTGATGAAAAGATCCTCTTTGGAGAAAAGAATAGAATGTGAAGCTGAGCTTATTTGAGTAGGGGATGGAAGGCTGCCAGCTACTTCAAAGGTATCTCTGCTGATAAGGGGCGTCAGGTTTGCTGCCAAAGCCAACACCGAGGGGAGCTTTGCAGCTCGTGCTGTTGGGGGTGTTTTAGCTTTGGTTTCTGTGACACTGGGTCAGCAGCATCTGTGTGCTCTCCCTTGAGGCTGCTCTCTGGGTGGTCCAGGCTTTTATTTAGACTTAGGAAGGTGCAGCTCAAAGGGAATGTGTGCATCAAAGATGTCTGTAGTCTTTTGCTTAGGTTAGTTTGTGTGTTTGCCTTTTTGGTGTTTTAGTTCTTAGGTATCTGCCTTTTCTAAAAGAGCTCAAGGTGCTATATTTAGAACTTTCAAAAGTATAATAGTACTTCGATTTGTATAAATCAAAGGATTATTAAGGGAATCTGAAGACGAGGAATGGAATATGGGAAATGGAATATGGGAAAGAGAGGTGCAGTAGACAAAAAATAAAAGTGTCCATATGCAACCTTGTATTGGAATACTACCCTAAATTAGGAGATTATACAGTCAATAAGTATTTTAGTGAATACTGCATGCACAGCATTATGCTGCTAGGTGCTTAAAAGAGCTTGAAAATCAAATTGAGGAGTAAGATTTGCCTCCCAAGGGAGCTTGGGGTTTTTGGTTTATTTAGGTCTCTCAAAACTTTCTGTGGGATGATGATGATGACAAAGTAATAATAGTAACCTTTCGTAAAATTCACACTGTGAATACCTCCCACTGTAGTAGGCCCTAGATGTGTATTTTCTCTGAACCTTTCATCTATTTTTGCAAAGTTTTTTTCCTAAACTATTTATGAAAGTATAAAATACTTAGAGAAAGTACACATATTATAAAGTGTACAGCTCAATGAATTTTTACAAACTGAATACAGCTATGTAATCAGCACCCAGATGAAGAAAGAATGTTACTAGTATCCCATGAACCCTCCTTCTCTCCACTTCAAGTCATTACTCTCTGAAGGGTAACCATTATCCTGACTTCTAACACAATATAAGTATTTGCCCATTTAAAAATTTGTTTGTGTAAATGGAATCAGATAATTTTTTTCAACAACTTGAATATGTAATTCACTTGCCTTCTGGCCTCCATTATTTCTGATGAGAAATCAGCTGTGGTTCTTAGGTTCTTATTATTGCTTACTTGTATGTAATATATCATCTTTTTGTTTGTTTGTTTGTTTGTTTGTTTGTTTGTTTTAAAGAGATGGAGTCTCTGTCCCCCAGGCTGGAGTCCTGTTGCATGATTACAGCTCACTGTAGACTCAAACTTCTGTGCTCAAGCAATCCCAGTCCTTCCATCTTGGCCTCCCAAAGTGGTGGGATTACAGGCGTGAGCTGCCATGCCCAGCCCTTCTTTATTTGGCTGCTTCCAATATTTATTCATTATCTTTGGTTTTTAGTTCTTTGATTATCATAAGAGTGTAAGCGTGGTTTTCATTGTATTCCTTTGGCTTGGTTAAATATAATATCCAGACAATCCCTGATCTGTCAAATATCTAATTTGTAGAAATTGTAGGAAAAATATCAAATTTTTCCTCAATTTGAGAAAAATTTTTGGCAAATATTTTTTTCTGTCCCATCTCTCCTTCCTGTTTTGCTTTGTTATCAATTGCATGTATGTTAGACTACTTGATTCAGTCCCACAGCTTGTTAATGTTCTGTCCATTTTTTTCAAATTTTTGTTTTCTGTATGCTTTAGTTTAGATGATTTCTAAAGTTTACCAATTTGGCTGGGCATGGTGGCTCACACCTGTAATCCCAGCACTTTGGGAGGCCAAGGTGGGTGGATCACTTGAGGTCAAGAGTTTGAGACCAGCCTGGCCAACATGGTGAAACCCCGTCTCTACTAAAAATACAAAAATTAGCTGGGCATGGTGGTACATGCCTGTAATCCCAGCTGCTCAGGAGGCCGAGGCAGGAGAATCACTTGAACCCGGAAGGTGGAGTTTGCAGGAGGCTGAGGCAGGAGAATCACTTGAACCCAGAAGGTGGAGTTTGCAGTGAGCTGAGATTGTGCCACTGCACTCCAGCCTGGGAGACAGAGCAAGACTCCATCTCAAAAAATAAATAAATAAATAAATAAATAAATAAATAAATAAATAAAACAACCAATTCTTTCTTTTGTTCACCTAAGATGCTATAAATGCCATCCAATGAATTTTTTTTATTTCAGATTTTTTTTTTTTTTTTTTTTTTTTTTTGAGATGGAGACTCACTTTGTCACCCAGGTTGGAGTACAGTGGTGTGATCATAGCTCACCCTACCCTCAGACTCCTGGGCTCAAGTGATCCTCCCACCTCAGCTTCTCATGTGTCTGATACTACAGGTGTGTACCATCATGCTTGGCTAATTTTTTTAGAGATGGGGTCTCGCTGTGGTGCCCAGGCTAGGCTTGAACTCTGGGGCTCAAATGATCCTTCCCCTTCAGCCTCCAAATTATTGTATGGATATTTTTAAAACATAGTTGGCAATTACTTAAAAATTCTTGTTTGCTATTTTTAACATTGACATTATCTGTGGGTCTGTTTATTGATTTTCCTCTTGACTTTTTTTTACATGCCTACTAATCTTTTATTGCATATTGGACATCATAGATAATATGTCATAGAAACTCTAGATGTACTTATCTTCCTCTGAAGATTATGAAGTTTTATTCTAGGAGGCTATTAAATTACTGGTTGATCACCTTGATCTTGTGGGGGCTTGGCTTTATACTTCATTACAGTGGGTATATTTTGGTTTTGCCCTTCGTCTTAGAAAATACTGTATACTTAAGGCATGGCCTTTCTGGGGTTTCCATGGGAAACCCAAGATGTTTATCAAGCCCCTCTAACTTGGCAGGCTTTGAATGCCAAATTCTATCTTCCTTACAGTGGGCAGCACCTAAGACGACCAACTATCCTGTTTGCCTTGGGCTGAGGGGGTTCCTAGGACATGAGACTTTTAGTTTTATCTGTTCAACTGTTGATGGCATTTGGATAGTTTTCAGTTTGAGGCTATTATGTATGTTATAAATAATGCTGCTATGAACATTATAATGGGAAGTTATTCTTTCCAGTGTATGGTTGAACCTGGTCACAAGCCAGGCTTTAAGAATAGTGAATTCAAAACCTTTTCTCTCTCTTTCTCTCTCTCTCTCCTTCTCTCCCTCCTCTGTCTCTCTCCCTCCCCCCCTTCCTTCTCCCCTCTGCCTTCTCTTCCCTCTCCTTTCTCTCTTCCTTTTCCTCTTTCCTTCTCCCTCTCCTTGTTTCCTCCCTCCCTTCCTTTTCTCTATTCTTTTGAATAATCTTTTAAATTTTATAGTAGATGTATGTTATAGAAAATTTAAAAATACAGAAAGCAAAAATATGATATAAAAAACAGATTTATTGTACATACTATTTTGTAATCTACTGTTTTAGTCAAGACCTTCTCCTTTACATTTCAATAAACTTTTGTCTCATCTAATACCCAGGCCATGTAAAGATTTAATTAATTACTCAAAAAATCTCTTTGACAACTAGTTTGTCCAAGCCAGTATCTAATGCACACAGTTTTATGTCCCTTAAGTGTACTTTAATCTAGTATTATTTTCTTTCCATGAAACTGATTTGTTGAAGAGACCAAGCCAGATGTCCTGCAAAATCTCCCATCTTCTAGATTTGTCTGGTTGTTTACTTGTGTTGTTAAGCTTCTGCCCGTATCCCATATTTCCTGTAAATTGGAAGTTGGTTCTAAAGGTCCAAGTGGATTCAAGTGACTTAGAATGCATAATAAGTGATGTTAGTACTTCATGTAGCATCAGAGCAGGAAATACATAACATCTAGTTAGTCTACCGATAGTGATGCTAATATTGGCACCCTCTAGAATAGGGCTGTGATAGTCTGACCCTTCCATTTTCTAGTTACATTTTTTAAATCACATGATAGAAACCTGATTGTAAGGTGTTATTCATGGTGCCAGCCTACAAATATTGGGTGCCAGTTCAGTCATTCATCTGATAATTTTAGTATCAGTTGATAATTTTAGACAAGTTACTTTTTGTCATCTCTGTACCTCTCTTACTTGACTATAAGATGCCTCTCTGAGGCTGGGCACAGTGGCTTATGTCTGTAATCCCAGCACTTTGGGAGGTGGAGGCAGGTGGATCACCTGAGGTCAGGAGTTTGAGACCAGCCTGACCAACATGCTGAAACCCTGTCTCTACTAAAAATACAGAAATTAGCCAGGCGTCGTGGTGTATTCCTGTAATCTCAGCTACTCAGGAGGCTTAGGGAGGAGAATCACTTGAACCTGGGAGGCAGAGGTTGCAGTGAGCCAAGATTGTGCCATTGCACTCCAGCATGGGTGACAGAGCAAAACTCCGACTCAAAAAATAAATAAATAAATAAATAAAATAAAAATGCCTCTCTGAGAAAAGGAGAGGATTGTTAATACAGCTCATCAGGCACCATGCAAATAGTAGTTTGTAAAAACGTATTAGTCTTGGGAGAAACCACACACACGAATAGTGTGCAAGCTGACAAGGTGTCAATTTGTTATTATTAAGAATCACAGCAATAATTTTTTTAAAAAAAGCATAATTCTAAATGAATGCTAACCATGCCTAGGGACTGTGCTAGGTGTTTTACATGTATTAACCTATTTAATCTCATCACAACGACACTTTGAGATGAGTACTGGTTTTATCATCCCCATTTGTAGATAAGAGCATGGGCAAAGGGTTTAAGCAATTTACTGAAGATTATACAGCTGGTTGATGGGAGAAATGGGATTCAAGCCTAGGCAGTTGGCTTCCCCTGATCTCTTCACATCATCATGCTCTGCTGCCTTGCATGTAGGAAGGTGGCAGTCATATTGGTAAGCTAAAGAACCAGTGCTTGTGCAGGGAATTAATGACTCATGCATTCTGCAGTCATACGTTGCTGTGCTTCTGTCAGGTCAGAATTTCCATTGTGCTATTCTGATTCTGCTTCTTGCCCAGCTTGTCCAGAGAGAGAGTAACACCTTTGACTTTAGCCTCCCTTGTTGCAGGACAGGCTTCTGTTGACTCCCCTATTTATCTTTGTCAAGACTTTTCCTTTGAATTCCTCCCTGCTTGTCTGAGCATGATTTTTATTTAAAGTGAGGACAAAATTTAAGTTTTCCTCCTTTTGACACAGCGTCTTCAGTTTTTTTTCATTTTCATCTTCTTTCCTTACAATACTGGACTTTCTCTGGTCTTTTAGTTTTTCTACTAGATCCTACCTTTCTTTGCTTTTAAGCCCAGCCCTTGGGGTTTTTTGTTTTGTTTTCTTTTTCTTTTTTTCCTTTTTCTCTGTTCTCTACAAATCATTTGGGTCTACATCCAGCTTCTCCCAGCATTTACTCAATATGAAACTTCCAGTTATAGATTAATTTGAATTCTTTGCACTAATTGTTTAAAAGACCATAGGAACCTCAGACCATCCCTCTTCATGGTCTCAAGAGCTCCCAGAATCATCCTCTTGGTAAGCTAAGTAGTTATTAGTAAGGCCCAGGGACAGGACTGAGAAGTAACATCTTCTATTTTTTATTTCAGTTTTCCTTTAATTTGGAAGCAAACAAACAAAAAACCCTTCAGCTTAGGGTTTTTTCAATTGTTAAAGTAATACTGAGCTTCAGTTAAGGCTATGAAAGAAAAGAAAAAATTTTAAAAAGTAGTAACGTGTTTTTTTCAAGATATTGTGGGTAAAAACATAATAAAAAGAAAATAATAATTACTTGGAATCATGATTAACATTTTGATGTATTTCCTTCCAATCTTTTTTATACACATTTTTTTTAAAAATGAGAGTTACATTATATATTAAGCTTAGTGTAATTTTTTTCATTTAACATTTGGAGAAGCATTTTTATCATGTCATTGCATCTTCTTTTAAATGTTGCCTATATGATCATACAGCAGTCTGTAGTCTGGCTGTCCCATAGCTTTTTCATATATTCCTTATGGTTCTTTGGCTATGTTGTCTTTTTTTTTTTTTTTTTTTGGAGATGGAGTTTCTTTTTTTCAGGCTGGAGTACAGTGGCGTGATCTTGGCTCACTGCAACCTCCGCCTCCCGGGTTCAAGTGATTCTCGTGCCTCAGCCTCCCGAGTAGCCGGGATTACAGGCGTGGGCTACCACATCCAGCTAAGTTTTTTGTGTTTTTTTAGTAGAGGTGGGGTTTCACCATGTTGGCCAGACTGGTCTTGAACTCCTGAACTCAAGTGATCTGCCTGCCTTGGCCTCCCAAAGTGCTGGGATTTCAGGCGTGAGCCACCACGACCAGCTGGCTGTTGTCTTGACTCTCCCCTGGACTATGTTCTTGTACATCTAGAAGCAATTAAAAATCTCGTTGTCTTTTTGGAAATCACTTGTTTTTAGGATGACTAGGTAGCCAAGGCTTTCATTTGGAAATACCCTACTTCCATTTAATATAAGGTAAGGAGAGAGGGTTTTTCCCCCTGCTGCTTTCCCTTTTTCTTCCTCTTCTGTCTTGCTCATTGTCTTAGAGCTTAGTTGAGAATCAGTGCTACGCCTGAGCCTGGGCCCTGGCTGGCTCAGTGGAGTTCTTTCACCATGCTGAGTTTCACTTTCCTCATCTTTACACTAATGAAATTACTCATACCCTCACTGTTCCTTCTCAGAATGCTATAGGCATCAGTAAAACCTGGGAACAAAGTGCTCTGCAAAGTTATGTTATGGTCAGAAGGTATCTGGTTGTGTTCATGCAGAAGAGCGTGTGTCTTGTGCCTTCGCCCAGCTAGGGTGGTCTTTGCAATCTCTAAGCTAATCTTTTTTTAGCGGTATATTATCATATAGGCTAGAAAGGAAATACAGAGAACAAACTGGGCGATCCAGTCTCCAACTTTAATCATCTCTTCTCCAAAGCCAAGATAATCCAAGCCATCTGACCACATAAGCATTGCATCCCTTCCTGCCTTGCCTCTTCCCATGACCTTGTTTTTCTTTTGATGTTCATTTTGAGGGTGGAGAGTAGAAAAAGCATTCTCTTTTTGCTGCTCTCAGAGTCAGTGGTCTTTCTGGACCTTTAAGTTCTCAGGCAAGGAAAACCACATAGTCTACCTGAGCTTTCAGGGACTGAAGGAAAAAAAAAAAGTATTGCTTTACTCAAATTCAGGACCACAAATAACCACTACCAACCCATTCAGTTGAGTTTAATAATATTATTTTATTGTCTGTAATTGCTCGGTATTCAAGTTGGCAGTATAAAAGGCCTGCAGAGCAAGCTTAAAACATGGTTCAAGATCTTAGATTTCTTACATCTCAGGTGAAAGACAGACCATAGACTCCCAAAGCAGGTTACAATTTAGATAGCAATGTAATGAGTCGTACAGACAATTTGTTGTCTATAGGATCTTGGAAAAAAAACAGATTCATGAAAAGTAAGTCAGGAGAGCTTCATAGAGGGGAAAGAATTGGGCCGATGTTATTTTAATTACCTGCTTCCAGGATTCTCAATTAGCCATCTGTTTCTTATCTTACAGAAATATCTTTTGAAGATTTCCATATTATCTGATTCCAAGTTCCTTTCCTGCCTCTTTGTCCCCATTAGAGATGTCACTCATGAGGACAGTCTGACAGCAGAGACTTCCTTTTGACCAGCAATGGGAGAAATATGTGGAAATAGCCTGAAGCCTGAGTATAGAAGGCTTTGAATGCCAGTCCAAGGAGTTCAAACTACAGGTCAAAGAGAGCCATTGACAATTTTAGGCAGGGCAATGAAATCTTGAAAACCATGATTTCCAGTGGCATTGGCAGCAGTACTCAGTGTGGTTTAGCATGGAAGAAACTATATAGGAGCCTGCTACAATAATTCAGAGGGATAATAGAAACTTGGATAATGACAATGGGAACTAAAAGAATTAGATTTACCAGAAGGCAGAGGAAAGACATTATAGACAGGACTGAGTGGCCTGACATGAGGTGGGAGGAGGTCATTCAACTTAGTCATTCAGCAGTTCACTTAGTCATTCAGCAGATATTTACAGTGTGCCTCCCATGTTCCAGGCACTGTGCTAGGCACTGGAATATAGCAGATAACAAAAAGTTCTTGCCTTCATGGAGCTTATATTCTAATAGTTGAAACAGATAATACATAAAAAAGTAAATATATAATATATCAGATGATGATAAAATGAAACAGGGCAAAGAGGATGGGGTACAAGGGATATTGCTCTTTTATATAGGGTGGTCAGAGACGGCTTCACTGATAAATTGGCATTGGAACTGATTCTTGGAGGAAATGAGGGATTTTGCTGTTTAGCTCTTTGAGGAAGGTATTTCAGGCAGAGATAATAGTGCACATCTAAGGCCATGAGATGGGAATGCGCTTATCTGGTTTGAGAAACAGTAAGGAGACCTTGTACAGAGTAGGCAAGAGGAAGAGTGGTGGGAGATGTGGTCTGGGGCAGCGAGCAGGTTTCTTCAGGAAGGGCCTTGGAGGCTACTGGAGGACTGGAGAGGCATGATACAGTCTGACTTCTGTTTAAATGGGATTATTCCAGCTTCTGTGTGAAGAGAGTGCTTTAGGAGGAGTAGGGTGGAAGCAGCAAGGGAAGACCAATTAAGGGAGCTTCTATAAATAATTAGGGCAGGAAATCATAGTGGATTGAAACAGGGTGGAGCTTTGGAGATGGTGAGAAGTGGTCAAATTCTGGGATATATTTTGAAGATGGAGCCAATAGGATTTGCTGCTTGATTGATATGGTGTATGAAAAAAATAGCAGTCAAAGATGACCCCAAGCATTCTGGCCTGAACGATTCGAAGTTGGAATTGCCATTTATTGAGGGAAGTGTGTGGAAGAGCCACTGATTCTAGTCAAGCCCTGTAATTCATGAAGAATCTGAGAGCCAATGAGAAGTAACTTGCCTTAGTTTACCCAGTTAGGTAGTAGTTGAGATGTGACTGAAACTACCAGGTCTTCTAAATTCTACTCACTGCTCTGTCCAGTACATACCATATTTCTGACTTCAGCTTTAGACATGGTAAAGGGAAGGTTTAGTGAGGGCAAGAGCTAGAAGAAGACTTGAAAATTAACCACACAAAAGACCAGTTGAGGTCATGAAAGGGTATTCAGAGTAAAGGGTAGTTGAGGCCTAGAAAGAAGACTTTGAAGAGCTAGCAAAGAAGAGAGAAGAACAAATTAAAATGGGCAAAAGGAAAATGAGAGTAATATGGCTCAAAGGACTTAAGAGAGAAGAAGACTCAATGATGAGTTCTATGAAGGGGTCAGGAAGAATGGGAACTGAACAAATGTCATTAGATTTGGGTTTTAGAATCTTGGGAAACTGTGGTGCCTACAACTTAACCTCCTTTAAAATTTTAAGCACTTTTCTTGCCGTTTCAGCTAATAAGGAGAAGGAATATAACAGGGTAAGCCTGAGACAGAGAATTAAAAACAAATTTACTTCCAACTCCTGCATTACCTTCTTGTGAATCCTACACAAAAATTTGACTTTCCCAGACTCCCATGTGCCCATCTATAAACTGAACAAGAAGCATACTTCTTGCCCACTTTGCCTCCTGGAGATCCTGTGAGGATAACAATGACAAAGGATAGGAAACTGCTTTGGAAGAGAAATGTTACATAAATCAAGATATCCTTTTCTAGCTGACTTTAAGTTTTTAATTTAAGAAAAATTCTTGAAAGAGTCACAAAAAACTTTACTTTAGAGATACACTAAATGCAGGACGTGTTGACTGATAAAATAGATATTCTTCTTGGAAACAATGGAAAATACTTCAGTATCATTTTGATTAAATCTTGCTTAATAACTGTTCATTAGACTCATATCAAATCCTGTCTTGGCTTTGTTATTTAATTTAATTTAATTTTGTAGTCATTGTTACCCAACCACAAAAGAATTACCCCTGTGCTTAAGGCCACACAGATTTTTCAAACATTGATATATCAGCATTGGTCCTTCTGATGAAACACAAGATGAGGTTTTCCCTGCTGAGTGTCAGGCAGTCTGTCTCAAGCTGCAGGCTGAAGCCCCAGTGGAATCTAATTCCATCCTTCCAGTCCCCTTCATACGAAGAGTGGGAAATAGTGGGAATGGAAATTAATTGTACCTGCTGGCATTATTAAAGTTATCAGTGCGTATCCCCTCTTGGGCCAGGAAGATTAAAAAGGCTGTTGTAATCAGAGCAGATGATTTCTGACACACTGGATGGGCTTCCTCCCCAGGTTAGATGTAAGGAAGTGATCTGAGCTTGTTGCCTCTGGCCTGATACCACATAGCTCGGGGCTATGCAGTGTCTGCCTCATCCTCCCATCAGCCCTGGAGGAAAGCCAGGATCCTGCTCTCTGAATCAGAGATCTCTTAGTTGGAAAATCAGGCCTTCTCACTTAAGACTAGTGTATTCTGGCTGCGCATTCCTCACAAGATGTAGTCAGGTTAGGTTAGACCTTAGAGTCACACCTTGTTCAGGTTCAACCTGAGTGAAATAAGGAATTGAGGTGCTGCTCCCTGGTGATTCAGCTCGTTTTAGCAAGTGTTTATTAAATGCTTTCCCCAAGCACCACACCAGGCCCAGACAATTCTGCCTGTACACATCCTGTGGTATTTGTTGGTTGGAGGAAAGAGGCTCTTGTAGTTTATGAATTAAAGAAAAAAAATTCCTGATCTGGGAATGAGAATCTTATCCTACGTTTCACACTGACTCACAGCCTAACTTTGACTGTGAATGCCGCCTAACTTTGTAACCTGTCTAGGACTTAGTTTTCTAATCTGTAAGATAATGGTTTGGACTAATCTCTCTAAGATTTATCTCTGAAATTCTGTAATTAAGTGAGGGAATTTCTATGAAAGTGCTTGGCAAACCATTGGGCTATTATGATAGTTCTAAGTGGAAACATTATGTTTCCTCAATACACAGTGAATTGAGTTCTGACTCTCTGGGGCAGATAGATTTCTGACTTTCTGGGCCATGTGTTGAAAATATGAAGATGGCTGACGTGGCCCCTGATATTGAATACAGTGTCTAGTGGGAGAAATAGACATGCACATAAGCTATGATGATACAGTGTAATAATGGGTTCTTGGGTGGAGGGAAATATGAGGTGAGGTTTGCCTTATGATGTCCTTTGTATCTTAGGAAGAATGGGAGTGTAGGAGAGGGGAGCATAGGGGATTTCTGGGAGATAAAACCATTTATGCAGAAAGCAAGGAAGTATAATAGGTGAAAAGCGTTCCGGAACTACAGGTGGTGTGGGTGAGGATGGCTGCACACAGGTCCCTTGTAGGGGAGTGGCAAGCGATGAGGCTGAGGAGGTGGGCAGGGCCTTGCCTGCCACATCAAAGGGCTTATACCCTGAAGCCAGTGAAGCAGAAGCCCCTGTAATGTTATTGTTTTAACTTCTTATTTTGAGATAATTTCAGACTTAAAGAAAGATTGCAAAGTAGTCCAGAAATTCCTCTGTACCCTTAACCCAAATTCCCCAAATGTTAAAATCCCATCTTTCCAATATTTGGGGGCGAGATTTTTAAAAAATCTCGTATAATCACAGTACAATGATCAAAATCAGGAAATTAACACAGAGGTAATACTATAATCTCTCAATCTTACTGAAATTTCACTTGTTGCCTTGCTAATGTCCAATTCAAATTTCTGGTTCAGGGTTCAGTTTAGGATCACACATGATGTCGAGGTGAACTGTCATCTTAGTATCCTCTAATCTCTGACAGTTCCTCTGTCTTGCTTTGTCTTTCATGGTTTTAAAGAGTTCTGGTCAGTTATTTTGTAGAATGTTCCTCAATTTTGGTTTGTTTGGTTTCCTCATGATTGGATTCAGTTTAAGCAATTTTGGCAAGAACACCGTAGAAGCGATGTCATATTTTTCTTAGTGCGTTATATCAGGAGGCACTTGCCGTTGATTTGTCCCCATTACTGATGGTGATAATTTTAATTACTCGGTGAGGATGGGTGTCCCCTTTGCACTGTAATAAATGTCTTGTGAAGATACTATGTAAATATCCTATTTCTCCTCATCCTTTGCTTACTAATTTTTAGCATGCTTGTTAACTGAAACAATTCTACTAGCGGATTTTACCAAGAGAGTGCCATGGACAGATTTGCCTTTTAGAAAGATTACTCTGAAATGTTTGGATGTGAGAGAGATGTGAGAACAGGGAAAAAGTTACTACAGTAGTTCATTCAAGAGCGGGGCCCTGATCTAAGGCAGTGAGAGGAGGAGTAGAGAAGACAGAAGAGCCATTTAGGCTATGTTTGGAATCAATAAGCAGGGTTTACATTTTGTGCTATAGATTTAAATGCTGGAAAAATTCTGAAATGGGGGGAAATATCACATTTTTTATAGATTAACAGGCATCTATATAACCTCTGGGTTGCTCTTTTTTTTTTTTTTTTTTTTTTTGAGATGGAGTTTTGCTCTTGTTGCCCAGGCTGGAGTGCAGTGCGCGATCTTGACTCACTGTAACCCCCGCCTCCCAGGTTCAAGTGATTCTCTTGCCTCAGCCTCCCGAGTAGCTGGGATTATAGTATGTGCCACCATGCCTGGCTAATTTTTGTATATTTAGTAGAGACAGGGTTTCACTATGTTGGCCAGGCTAGTCTCGAACTCTTGACTTCAGGTGATCCACCCGCCTCGGCCTCCCAAACTGCTGAGATTACAGGCATAAGCCACTGCACCCGGCCCTGGGTTGCTCTTCTAAGAATAGCTGACTTTATTAAACATATTGTAGGTTTCATTAAATGATGTTTCACAAGGTGTTGCTTCTCCTGGACCAAATTCCTGTTGTTCAGCTGAGAGCTATTTCTAATCTCCAGTGTGGATGTGCTCATCATTTGGTTATAGGATGTGAGCAAATGAGATGGTGTTCTGCGTAGCCCAGAGGCTGCTTCCATTAGCCCTTTCCCCAAACTTTTGCCACTTTCAGGCTTAGCAGTATCCTCTCTTGGGTTCAGAATGCCTGCTCTTTGCCCTAATACAAAACCTAGAGCTGTAGGCCATGTTCTTATGATTTGACAGTATCAGGGAAGCATTTCTTATTGACTTTTCCAGAGAAAGAGAGAAAATAAGCAAGCCGGCAACAAGACAGAGGGGAAAAGGGAAGTGGCTCAGTTCTTACTTTAAGAAACAACATGGAAGATATGTTTGTTGATTTGAGGGTGGTGAATTTTTGCACTATAGCTTTGTGAGGGAGCTGGAAAGAGCCTTTCAGTTTTTCATGACTGGGAGTTTAATTTGGTTTATAACATTACTTAAAGATAACTTTGAAATTGGTCTAAGAACTTAGGGTTGTTCCTGACCCCAGGTCAATGGCCTACTTGACCTAGGCGAGAGGAGAAAGAGTTAAGGATAGGGAGTTGAGCTTTTTGCTCCAAAATCTATAGAGGGTACACCCCTCTTATATTCTGGAGTCTTACTGGGTTTCTGAAAATGCCCTTGTGGGTCATGAAACATAGCCCTTTGAATATTTTTCTGCCGCTGCTGATGTGAGCTGATTAAACTGGCAGGCAGATGATGGAAGGAATAGTTACATGTCCCAGGCGGGAGGTCATGACAGTTGGATCTGTGGTTGACAGAAGAATTTCAACACACATTCAAATCAGCTCCTAAGATAGATTGTCTGAGTTCCCTGGGCCTGCCTCATGCCCTCCTCAAATGCATTTGACTCCTTCTGGCCCGTAATACTCACACTTCAAATGTTTGGCTTGGCGTCCACAAATCAACTCAGGGCCGGGGTAGGGGTACTGATGAGCAGTGATGCCCTCTTTGGGAGCTACCACAGCATAGGAAATGAACATTAGACCAGGAATCAGGTAACCTGGTTGGGGACCCAGGGCTCTAGATGGTTTATTTTTTTATTTTCCTTATTGGTTAAATTCCCTACCGCAGTTTTGACATTCTCTTCTGGATACTGACTGTGGTCTAGAGAAACAGCTAAGGAAGGCAAATCTGAATTAAAATCTGGTTCTTGGGAAAGAACTGAAGTTTTCAGATTTTGCAAAATTATGGAGAGTGCAGACTAGGAGAAAAAGGACAGGCATAGTTGTGACAAGGAGCTATTTTTTCTAGTTCTGCATTCTAGAAACAGTACTGATGAGTCCAAAAATATAGAGATAAAATTTTGTCTTTTTTCTTGCTTTAAAAAAAAATGCTTCTAAATGTCTACATACTTGCCTAAGAAAATATTTCTCAACTCCTCCAGAATATTTAGGGTTAACTAAAAATTATAAAAACATACCACAGAGCTAGTCCACTCTTTATGCCTAGGGTTTACCCAAAAGGTCTGCATGCTCTGGCTTGGAGACCCTGACCCCATCTCAACTTGCTGGTTTCAAGTCTACATATTTGGCTGCAAAGCCCTAATGCCAGGAGGAATGCGGAACTGACGAGTCCACCCCATCTACAAGCTAGAAGGACATCTTGATTAAATTAGTGTCAAGGGCAGTGGAGAGAAAGGCACAGTGACACAAAGGGTGTTTTGAGGAGCCCTGTAGCGCCTGTGGAGAATGAATGTTCTTGTTAAATATGGCCGTGACCTGCAGCTCCACACATGCCAGAGACACAGCTCAATTGTCCCCAGGATTTGGGGGGTGGGGACGATCATGGGGAGAGGACAGCCTGGCATGGAAAGGCAGGAATGCAGGAAGGCCTGTTGTTGTTTTCTTTTTGCGATAACTACAGCAAGCAATTCTTTGATCATGGTCCTTGTGTTTGGAAGGGATCAAGAAGCGATTTCCTTTCCCCTGGGTGTTTGAACCTTTGCTCTGCTCCTTGCTTCTCTGGGTATTAAGGGGACTCCTGAAAGCCCCCATTGTCTTCAGCCTCTTTCCACCCCCTTCCTTGGGGCTCCCCAAGAAGATTGTTGCCTGAACTCTGTAGGGCAAGAATGAGAAGCAGTGCCCCCAAGACAGTGCCTACCCTTGTCATTTACCCACCATCCTCATCTCATTTATCCTTAAGTCCCAAGACCAAAGCAAAGAACACATGGGCTGTTGAAGGCTTCCACAGGACTGCCCTGGTCAGTGGGAAAGCAGTAATGCTTTCTAGCTGGGTAACCCCTTGGCTGAGTTCCATCTGCACTGTGGCCAGGGTGCGTGGTGAGACATGCTTTTGCCATTTGCCCTTTGAACTGCCAACAATCCCAATGTAGCAAATGGGATTTAAAGCAAATCTAAAGCTGATTGAGTTTTAGATTTCTTTCCTTTAACCAGAATATTCTAGCAGCTTATTTTTATAGTTCTGCTTATATGATTCTCTTTTTAACAGATGGAATCACAACCTTTTCTGCAGAATATATCTGATGAATTTAAAAACTGATACATCAAGAATATTCTTTTGTATATGTCTTTCTTGCTGTGAAAATTTATGGCCTTTCTTCCCCCTATCTTCGCTCTGTAATTATTAGGTGCTTACTATATGCAAGGCATTGTATAAGATTAGGAGAATACAGATAAGACAAAATAGCATTGAAGGAGTTTATGAGTTCAATTCCAACTTCACCAATTAATAGTTGTTCTCATGGACAAATTTTTTGACCTCTCTAAGCTTTAGCGTCTGTAAGTACTAAGTGCTTTTTGTGCAGAGAGATGTAGAGAGGTGAAATTTGAGCTGGATTTTTAGTGAATGAAAATGATTTCAGTAATTAAAGATGAAAAAGTACGGAGTTTGTGAGCATGGAGGGGGAGCTGGAGTCAAAGGATATTCCATATGGAAGAACAGGCTTCAGGATGAAGGAGAGCACCGGAATGTGTGAGGACTCTTCAGAGGGTGGTGAGTAAAAATAGTTTGGCTAAATCAGAGTGTTAATGAGGAGAGCAGCTTGAAACAAAGCCGAAAAGAGCCTCGAATGCCAAACTTGGAGTTTGAACTTCATTCTGAGAGCACTAGGGAACGATGGAAGACCTACTCATAGGGAAATGATAAAATATTGCTGCTATTTCTGAAAGACTGGGCCTCTAATTCCAGGACAGGGTAATAAGAGCCTGAGATGTGGTAGCAGTGACAGGAGGAATGAAAAGAAGGAGACAGATGCCAGACATATCATGAAGGAGAAATGAACAGCGTATGGCCACTTATTGGAAAGAGAATTCGAAGTCAGTGATTACTTCTTTCAATTTTTTTATGCTAGTGTCACTTAGGAAAAGCCAGTGTGCTGTTACAGAATTTGAGGTGGCTGGTGAAGCTGACATTTTCACATGTCTCACGAACTAGATGCCCAAATCTTTCTCAGACCCCAGATGGCCCCATATAGAGCTTTTATACGTGCCAATTTTTAGAATTTCTTGTAGAGTTCCTCCATTTGGTGGTCACCAGAGGATCTCTGAGATTAGTATCTGGATTCTTAATCATTCAGCTAATTTCAGAGATGTCCTTTATTTGAGGTAGATTTAACCTCCTTTTTCTGTTTGATGGAGTGTGGTTTTTGAAAAGTCCCTAAGGAAGTAATGTGAAACCATACTTGAAACCTCAGGCTTGCTTCTCTCTTGTTTTACCAGAATGCTTTGGTTACCACGTCCTGGGAAATGAACAACTTAAAACGTAAGTGTGGCAAGCCTTCACTATCACCAGTATCTGTTCATTGTATCAAACAAAGCATATTTCCATTCTTATTAGGTTTCCAGAATTGCACTGGGCCTGGTGAGGGCTACAAATAAACATAAGATAATCTGTTTTCAAAATTTAAACTTAGAGTTGTGCTTCTAGAAATGGAAGCTTTTCTAGAAGAAAATTCAGACCAATCCTTTTGCTTCATGGGAGCTGCTTTCCTTGAAGAGGCTTCTGCCATTTTAGAAAATATTACTGAGTGTCAAAAAGCTGAGCAGAGTGTTTAATAGACTTGTAGGGCTAGCAGGACAAATATGGAAATTTAAGGCCCAGGGGCCCAGGATGGGTAGCCTTGGTAAAATTCCCCAGGCTTTGAGACACCAAAGGGATACAATTAAGAAGGAAAGATAAGCCAGAAATAGACTAAGGCAGTTTCATAGAGACTGAAGCCTGGATTCAAATTATCTTAACCTCTAATTGGATTAAGGTGATTTAGGATAGCCAGTGGCTAGAAACAAATTTAAATCCTCTCTAGAGGAAGATACTGTGGAAGATACTATCATCCTAGACCTAATATATCTCTCATCATTTTTCATTATGATGTTTGGCACTCAGTTATAAATAATTAGGCCTATGAGGAAATAAGAACTGTGACCAAAAGCTAAGAGAAACAGCTAGACCCACAGGAGATCCTAGTAATGGTGTTAACAGATGCAAACTTTAAATTAACTATGTTTAATATGTTTATGAGATTAAATTATAAAAACAAACCTGGAAATAATAAAAAAATTAACTCAAAATGGATCAAAGGCATAAATGCAAGAGCCAAAACTATAAAACTCTTAGAAGAAAATATAGGTGTAAGTCTTCGTGATCTTGGATTAGGCAATGATTTCTTACATATGACACCAAAGCACAAGCGACAAAAGAAAAAATAAATAAATTGAACTTCATCAAAGTCAGAAACCTCTGTGTTTGAGAGGACACTGTCAAGAAAATGAAAAGACAGCTATAGAATGAGAAAAGGTATTTTCAAATCATATATCTCATCAAGGTCTAATTTTCAGAATATATAAAGAATTCTTACAACTCAGCAACAAAAAGATGACCAGTCCAGTTTAAAAATGGGCAAAAGACTTGAATAGGCATTTCTCCACAGAAGATACACAAATGGCCAACAAGCACATTTTTGACACTGTTATTTATTGGGCTACTGCAAATCAAAACCACAATGAAACACCACTTCACACCCACTAGGATAGCTATAATTTTAAAAAGGAAGAAAGAAAAGGAAAGAAGAGTTTTGGAGAGGGTATGGAGGAATCAGAACCCTCATACATTGCTGGTGAGATTGTAAAATGGTGCAGATGCTATGGAAAACTGAAAATTCCTCCAAAACTTAAGCATAGAATTAACCTGTGACCCATCAATTCCACATCTAGGTGTATACCCAAGAGAATTGAAAACATATGCTCACACAAGAACTTATACACAAATGTTCATAACAGCATTATTCAAAATAACCAGGCTGGGCACGGTGGCTCACGCCTGTAATCCCAGCACTTTGGGAGGCTGAGGTGGGCAGATCACGAGGTCCGGAGATCGAGACCATCCTGGCTAACATGGTGAAACCCTGCCTCTACTAAAAATACAAAAAAATTGGCCAGGCGTGATGGCAGGCACCTGTGGTCCCAGCTACTGGGGAAGCTGAGGCAGGAGAATGGCGTGAACCCAGGAGGCGGAGCTTGCAGTGAGCAGAGATCGCGCCACTGCACTCCAGCCTGGGCGACAGAGCGAGACTCCATCTCAAAATAAATAAATAAATAAATAAATAAATAAATAAATAAATAAATAAATAACCAAAAAGTGGAAGCAACCCAAATGTTAATGAAGTGATTTATGGAACAAACTTAAACAAAGTATGGCATACCTATACAATTTAAACAAAATGTGTCATGTCCATACAATAGAGTAGTATTTAGTCATAAAAAAGAAGGAAGTGCTGATACATGCTACAATATGGATATACCCTGAAAACATTATAAGTGAAAGAAGCTAAACATAAAAGGCCACATATTATATGATTCCATTTATAGTAAATGTCCAGAGTATGCAAATCTATAGAGACAGAAAGTAGATTAGTGGTTGCTAGGAGCTGGGGGAAGGAGAGATGGGGAGTGACTACTAACAGGTTTGAGTTTTCTTTTGGCATGATTAAATATTCGGGACTTAGTGGTGGTGGTTGTACAACCTTGCAAATATACTAATAGCCACTGAATTGTGTACCTTGTAGTGGTGAATTGTACAGTGTGTGAATTATATCTCAATAATTTAAAAAATCAAACAAATTTTAGTACAAAAAATGCAGTAACTAAAAGAGCTCAATGTGTAGATCAAGTAGCAGATTAGATGGTGCTGAATAAATAATTAATGAACTGAAACGTCAGAAAACAATGCATACTGAAGCTCAGAGAGATAAACAGATGGAAAATACAGAAAAGAGCATAAGAGACTTATGGGATAGGGTAAGTAGGCCTAACATGCTTCTACTTGAAGTCTCAGAAGAAGAGAACAAAGAGAATGGGATAGAAGCAATATTTGAAGAGATAATGGCTGTGAATTTCCCTAAACTATAAAAGACTTCAAGCCACAGACTGAAGCATTATGAGCCCCAAACAGGAGAAATACAAAGAAAATACAAACAGCTAGAGGTAAAAAAGACGTATTATCTTCAGTGGAGCAACAGCATGGTTGACAGCTGACTTCTGGACAAAAGCAATGGAAAGCAGATGACAGTGGAATGAAAGTGTAGAAAGGAATACCCTTCAAAAATGAAGGTGAACTAAAGATGTTTTCAGACAAGAAAAATATGAGAAAATATATCACCAGCAGACTTGCACTAAAAGAAATACTAAATGGCATTATTTAGGCAGAAGGAAAATGATCCCAAATAGAATCTTAGAAATGCAGTAAAGAATGAGGAGCAACAGCAACTATATATAAGAATATAGATTGGCCGGGCACGGTGGCTCATGCCTGTAATCCCAGCACTTTGGGAGGCCGAGACGGGCAGATCACGAGGTCAGGAGATTGAGACCATCCTGGATAACATGGTGAAACCCCATCTCTACTAAAAATACAAAAAAATTAGCCAGGCATAGTGGCGGGCACCTGTAGTCCCAGCTACTTGGGAGGCTGAGGCAGGAGAATGGCGTGAAGCCGGGAGGCAGAGCTTGCAGTGAAACGAGATCATGCCACTACACTCCAGCCTGGGCAACTGAGTGAGACTCCGTCTCCAAAAAAAAGAAAAAAGAAAAAAAATATAGATCTAAGTGAATAATCACTGTTAAAAACAACACTAATAATCATCTGTGGGGTTTTCCTTTTTTAGATGTGTGGGTGGGAGGGACAGAGTCTTGCTCTGCTGCCCAGCCTGGACTGCGGTGGCACAATTATAGCTCACTGCAGCCTTGAACTCCTGGGCTCAAATGATCCTCCCACCTCAGCGTCCCAAGTATAACAGCTGGGACAAGAGGTGTGTGCCACCATGCCTGGCTTATTTTTTATTTTTTGTAAAGAGAGGGTCTATCTGTTGCCCAGCCTGGTCTTGAACTCCTGGCTTCAAGTGATCTTCCTGCCTTGGCCTTCCAAAGTGCTGCGGTTACAGGCATGAGCCACCACACCAGGCCAACCCTGTGGGGTTTTAAATATGTATAAAATTAATATAAATGGCAACAATGAAATCAACAATAGAATCTGTGTCTGGGTGGGGGTAGGGAAATGGGTTTAAAGATATTTTCAGAAAGTGGTAAAAGTAGTAATTTGTATTAGGTGTTGGCAATTCAAGGATATATGTTGTAATTTTTGGTAACCACTCAAAGAATAGTATTGTACCAATCTAAGAAAGGGACAAATTCAGTTAATAAAAAAGTAACTCAAAAGAAGGAAAGAAAAATTCTGGGGAGGGCAAAACTATAGAGATACAGAACAAATCAATGGCTTCCAGTGGTTAAGGGTAGCGGAGAGTTTGACTCTAAAGGTGCAGGATACAAGAGGTTTTTGGTGGGTGATGGAACTGTTCTGTGTCTTAATTGTGGTGATGGTTAGACAACTCTGTGCATTTGCCAAAGCACATGGAACTGTATGCCAACAAGAGTGAATTTTCTGAATGTTTTGTAAATGGAAGAAAAAAAGAAGGTAGGAAAGGAGAGGAAAGAGGAAAATAGAAGAGGCAGGACAAATAGAAAGCAATTAGCAAGTTGGTGGGTTTAAACCATAATATAAGGTGTAAATTGACTTATGCAAATTAAAGACAGATTTTTAAAAAGCAAAACTAGAGTGTATGTTGCTTGTAAGAGAACAGATACACTTTAAATATAAGGATAAAGAAAGATTTAAAGCAAAGTGATAGGAAAAGATAGCTACAATAAAATCAGGCCAGGTAGATTCCTTTCTTTCTTTCTCTCTCCTTTCTTTCTTTCTTTCTTTCTTTCTTTCTTTCTTTCTTTCTTTCTTTCTTTCTTTCTTTCTTTCTTTTCTTTCTCTCTCTCTCTCTTTCTCTCTCTCTCTGCCCCCCCACTTCTTTCTTTCTGTCCTTTTTTTTTCTTTCTTTTTTTTTTTTTTTCTGAGTCTTGCTCTGTCACCCAGGCTGGAGGGCAGTAGTGCAATCTCAGCTCACTGCAACCTCTGCCTCCTGGGTTCAAGCAGTTCTCCCACCTCAGCCTCCCAGATAGCTGGGATTACAGGCATGCGCCACCATGCCCAGCTAATTTTTGTATTTTTAGTAGAGACAGCGTTTCACCATGTCAGCCAGGCTGGTCTCAAACTCCTGACCTCAAGTGATCTGCCCACCTGGGCCTCAAAAGGTGCTAGGATTACAAGCCTGAGCCACCGTGCCCAGGCAGTCCAGGTAGATTTCAATGCAAAAAGTATTTTTCGTTATAAAGAGAGACATTTCCAGGCTGGGCATGGTGGCTCACTCCTGTAATCACAGCACTTTCGGAGGCCGAGGCAGGCAGATCACTTGAGGTCAGGAGTTCGAGATCATCCCGGCCAAAATAGTGAAACTCTCTGTCTTTACTAAAATACAAAAAATTATCCAGGCATGGTGGTGAACACCTGTAGTCCCAGCTACTTGGGAGGCTGAGGCAGGGGAATCACTTGAACCCAGGAGGCGGAGGTTGCAGTGAGCCGAGATGGCGCCACTGCACTCCAGCCTGGTGATAGAGTGAGACTCTGTCTCAAAAAAGAAGAGAGAGAGACATTTCCTAGTAAAGACTAAGTTTCCAGGAAGAAATATATACTTAATAACATAGGCTTAAAATATGTAAATCAAATGGGACAGAATTAAAATGGGAACTAGATAAATCATCACCCTAATGAGAGATTTAACACACCTGTCTCAGTGAATGATTAAACAACTAGACCAAAAAAGTCAGTAAAAATACAACAAACTTGACCTAAATGACATATATGGATACTGCGCCTGACAACTGCGGGTAGATACACATTCTTTTTTTTTTTTTTTTTTTTGAGACGGAGTTTCGCTCTGTCACCGAGGCTGGAGTGCAGTGGTGCGATCTTGGCTCACTGCAAGCTCCGCCTCCCGGGTTCACGCCATTCTCCTGCCTCAGCCTCCCGAATAGCTGGGACTACAGGCGCCCGCCACTACGCCCGGCTAACTTTTTTTTTGTATTTTTAGTAGAGACGGGGTTTCACCTTGGTCTCGATCTCCTGACCTCGTGATCCGCCCGCCTCGGCCTCCCAAAGTGCTGGGATTACAGGCGTGAGCCACCGCGCCCGGCCAGATACACATTCTTTTCAAGTGTACGTGGAACATTTACAAAGTTTAAACCTGAAATGGGGAGGAAAAATCGAAGAGCTTAGGGGAGAAATTAGAGCTGGAGATTGGAAATCTCCATTTCCAAAGTCTACCTTCTTTTTCTCACAATTCCATGATTTTTCAGTAGGAGTGGGGTACTGGCCAAGAGGGAAGGTATCCTCCCCCAAGAATATTGATTTTTCTTTTTTCAACTGTATGTAGGCCATGACTAATGGGAATGGCTACCCATGTGTTTACTGTGGACAAAGACAAGAGGCTTCAAACCACCATTGTAGCTGACGAAAGCTGATACAGGCTCAAATCTTCATCCCAGTCCCTAGGCAATGCATTCTAATTTCTGTCAGTAAAGGGCTCTACTCATTCTCCCAAAGTTGGCTTTGTGCTCCTCTTAGGTCCAACCCTGGCACCTGAGGTGTCAAGAAAATGCTGTCTTCATAACTCACTGGAGCCTCTTCCTCTCGATTCTAAAGGCTACTCCCAGTGTTCTAAAACTACACAGATCTCTCGATGAATTGGCTTTGCTGCTGGGTTCCTCTTTCTTAAAAGTATTTAATCAGCGATTTTCCCAGTGCCCCAGGCATTTCCTGTACGAGTGCTGCTGACTGTTTTACTTCCTACCAGGCTGCCCTCCTCCTCTTGGCATTCACACTTCCAACTTTCAGATGAGCTCTATTAACTCCTGTTCTTCCAGCCTCCGCCTGGCTCAGCCATCTGGGAGCCACACAGGCATTCTTTCCATCCCCCAGCTCATAGATTTCCTTATTGTAGAAGGGCATATGTTTTCAAGTACCTTATCATTCTGGCTCTTTCCCCCGATTCTCTCCCAGTTCCAAGCCATTGATTGTTTTTCCTCCTTAGTTCATTTTACAGCTGCTGAGAGATTTGAGCTCTCGTGTTGCCTGTTTGCTTTTGTGTCTTTTGTCCCTTATGTCCCAGTCTACTCAAGGTTACCCACAGTCACCTAGATACCATTTCTACTCTGTGCTTTTAGTGTCCTGCTTGGGAAATGGGGTGATCACTCATCTTCAGAATGACCTCAAGAAATGCTTTGGCATGAGAGATCAGGGCCTGAAGACATTACGCCCCCAGCCAAATCATTATCCAAAAGGGTAAAAGATGGAAATTTGCCAAGACAAAGATCACAGTGGTAGTTTAAGAAATGAAAGCTTAGATTTGATTGTCTGTTTTAAGGGATGTTGTTTTGAGTTTATTTTCTTAGTATTAGGATAGGTCATTCAAAGAGATTGGAACAACCATGGAAGAACATTCAGATTATTATAGGACTGTGTTTCAGACTGGGAGAGCAGAGGGCCGTTATCCTCTTCCTGACCCCACCCTGAACTCCCCTGAACTCCCACCCTTGTCCCGAGTATGCCTGTCCCTGACAAGAGACTTTGGTCAGGGACCAAAGTGAGCTTTGTTAGTGAGCATTCACAGAGGGTAGGAGCTGAGTCCACGAAGTTCACATCATGCCAAGGAATGGATTTCCTCCCAGGGCCACTAGCATTACTTGTGGGTTATCAAGTGTTACTGCTCACACATTCCAGAGCTTCTAGAAAAGCCGTAAGGAAATGGCTTTCAGAAAGCCATTTCTGTCCTAGAGGAGAGAGGTCCTGGATTTCACTGAACCAGAACTTGATGGGTGGTTTTGGTATTCTGTGACCTAGGTAGTGGGGAGCCCCTTCCTTTGGATGTTTCCTTTATGCCCACAGTCGAACCATATCCTAGTTGTACAGCCAAGAAGGATCTTTTCTGTTTAATCTATCTGGAGGAATAGAAGGTAATTGTATCCTCCTTATTTTCATTCTGCCACCCCTACCTTCATCATTTCTTCCTTTCTGCTAAGCACTTTTTATCATCTTTCTTTGTTTCGTTTTGGGAGTTTTGTTTTTTTGTTTTCTTTCCTCAGGAAAGCTGAATTATTTCTTACAGAGTCATTTAGTTCTTACTGAAACTGGGGAAGAAAAAGATTATGCAACAGCAGGCATAAGGAAAAACAGAGAACGTTCTTCCCTTCGGGCCCACAGAGCCCATTGGAGGAATTCAGCTACAATCCTGCCTGGGAAGTAGTTTCCAGGACCTTCGCAATTCCACATAGCATCTTTAACATGTTTGAGAGTACGTAAGGAGGCAGCATAGTGCAGCGGAAAGAACACTCAAGTGAGTGTTGAGGGGGCTGGATTCTAATATTAATATTAGCCAACATTTATTGAACAGGCTAGGTGCTAGATTCTGTTTAAAGCACTTTATGTGGATTATCTCACTATTCTTATTATCCTATTTTACAGATGTGGAAGCTGAAGCATAGAGGGTTTAAATATAATTTACCCAAGGTCATCAATTGGGGAGTAGAAGTAGGATTCAATTCCTGCTCCAGAGCCTGCATGTTCAGCTCTCTTTTAATACTGCATGTGGTCCTTGATAGGCTACTGACCCTGGAAAAGTCATTTCAACTTTTAGGGCTCATTGGTGAACCATAACCAAAGGGAGCTCATTGTGGCTAACCTCTGATGGAGTTTCCACTTTTAATAATTTATATGATGAAATGCAGCTATATTGTTTAGTTCTTGTCATTATGTGAAAGCATAGTATTTAAACTTTGATCTCATTGATTCAGCAACTGATTATTTTATGGCCACTGTGCACAAAGCAATGGGCTGGGTACCACAGAGGATTCAGAAAAATGCTTAAAAAGGTAAAACCTATCTCTTCCATTAGCTTTAGATGGTTTCATATTGTAGTTGCTTTGAGATTTTTTTAGACTAAGTTTTTCAGATAATTAAACAGGAATCAAATTCAAAAACTATTCATATTCCAGAAGAGGAATCCTGAAACAGGTATTGGGCCTTAGACTAGTCAAGTTTCTGACATTTTCTTTTAAAATATAACTTGTCACTAGGATAGTTTATATCCATTAACTCCTGAGTGAAGGAGCTTCTGGTGAAATTGTTTTTTATGGTGCTTACAAGCTCAAGGGGTTCTTTAAAAATGGAATGTGACTGCTTTGGGAGTCACTAATACTGAAGCTGGATCATTATAACCTGAAATATCCATTAGTAACTTAGAAAGACAAACCCAAAGAAAAAGAATTTACTATGTAATAGCTGGATTTTTTGAAATCAGATTTTTTTTTTTTTTTTTTTTTTTTTTTTGGCAAGCTAGATTCAATATCTAGCTTGCTGTGGAATTAGGTTATGGTGTGGAAACCTCTTGGCTGGGACAGGAAAAAAAATTGATCTTAAACTAAAAAAACTAACTTAAGATATTCCATTTCTAGTAATACCTTTGAGATTGGAAGAATTGCATTCTGATGGGCCCAGACGTTAGATTAATGTCCATCTTTCTCAACAGGTTGTAAACTTTTAAACTTTCTGTTTTGCATTCAGACCACAAGTGCCTGACACTTAATAAATGTTCTATAAATATTTGCTGATGGACTCTTTATTGCTTACTCCCTAAAATCCAGCCATTTCTCCCTTGCCAGCATTCAATAATTGAACCTGCTTTGAAACATCTGATCAGCCACTTCAAGACGGCAAGTTATTTTAGCTCCTGTCTAACTAAGTTAGTGGGCTCCAGTCCTTAAACCACTATTTTCTTTATTAATTCCTCAAGTACAGACTTTTGTATGTAACCAGTCTTCTTAAACCTGTGTATAATGACTCATTAATGAGTTGTAAAATAAATGTAGTGAGTTATGACCAATATAAAAAAATAGAAAAGGCCAGGCACAGTCGCTCGAGAATATAATCCCAGCTACTCTAAGAGGCTGAGGTGGAGGGATCTTTAGGCCAGGAGTTTGAGACCAGCCTGGGGAAACATCACGAGACTCCATATCTGAAAACAATTTTTTTAAAAATTAGCCAAGCATGCCTGTTACCAGCTACTTGGGAAGCTGAGGCAGGAGGATTGTTTGAAGCCAGGAGTTTGAGACCAGCCTGAGCAAACTCAGTGAGATCCCATCTCTACAAAAATTACAAAAATTAACCAGCGTGTTTGTACACATCTGTCGTCCCAGCTACATGGGAAGCTGAGGGAGGAGGATCACGTGACAGTTGAGCCCAAGAGTTCAAGGCTGCAGTGAGCTATGATCAGGCCACTGCATTCTAGCCTGGGCAATAGAGCAAGACCTTGTATCTAAAAAGAAAGAAAGAAAAGAAAAAAAGAAGATAAAAAAATAGGAAATATCATAGTGGACAGCACATAAGTAGAGGTGAAGCCAGCTGGACTTCCTCAGTGGAGTGGGGACTTGGAGAACTTTTCTGTCTAGCTAGAGGATTGTAAATGCACCAATCAGCACTCTGTAAAAACGCACCAATCAGCGCTCTGTGTCTAGCTAAAGGATTGTAAATGCACCAATCAGCACTCTGTAAAAATGCACCAATCAGTGCTCTGTGTCTAGCTAAAGGATTGTAAATGCACCAGTCAGCACTCTTAAGAGCTGTAACACTCACCGCGAAGGTCCACAGCTTCATTCTTGAAGTCAGTGAGACCAAGAACCCACCAGAAGGAACCAACTCCGGACACATAAGTACTTTTATTATAGACACCTATTATGCTGTATTGCAATAAAAAATGTATTTTTTGAACATCCTAGTCTACCTATCTTCAGAAGGCAAAAGCACCTCTGGTGTCCCTGTTGTGGTATCTCCTAGCCTACCTCTCTATAAAAGTTTTGCAATTAAGTATATTTGTGTTTTATACATCCTTGGGCTTCTCATAGTTTAAGGTCCTAACTGGAGTTCAGTCTTTCTCAGAGCCGTCTCATGGTATCCTCACCGATGAATGAATGCTGAATAGAAAGAGCCCTGCTTGCATATATGCAGGTAGTATGGTGGAGGGGAAATCTAGAAGTCATTTCTGAGCTCTGACCTGCTGGATCATCACCCCCTGAACCCCCAGAGCCTCGGCATACAGCCTCACACTGTACCACCTATTTTGGTGGCCCAAGTTAGCTGAGAGAGAGGACCAGACACAGTGCCCACCATCACCTAGCACTGGCCCTGCTACCAAACAGTCATTCCTTTTAGCCCTCTCCTCCCCACCAAAAGCATTTCAGGCAAAGTGCCAGCTCCTGAAATGTGGCCTCTTTGAAGTGGTTAGTGAATGCCCCTGAAACCACCACCTTATGTATGGTGGTGCTTCTGCTGCCAGAGCTTAATACAGGGTCATGTTCCTTTCCTCTGAAATCTGTAACATAAATTCAGTTTTAAACTGGATTTTTTTTTTAACAGTTGGTCTCTGAACAATCTTTAGGGTGGGGAGGGGATAGTAGTGGTTGTTGGGGAGATATGTGCCCTTGAAAACTGGATTCTTTTTTGGAAAACTGCTGACACAGGCTAAATGGCAGAGAACTAAATGGCCCTACTGTTCCTACCTGCTGACAGGCTCAGCCTTGGGATGGGGCTGAAATGAGCTCTCGCCACATGGCAGAGACATGCCTTCCTCTTTTTATTCTTCTTTCTTACAAATAGGGGGTACTTTTGTGCCTGTCAAAAAATACAGCTTTGAAATGTAGATAACCAATTAACAACAGTCCCACCCCCAACTTGGAAAGCACATGAGTGCTGATCTAAATAACTAGAGAATCGGTAACAAGTAACCTCCCTATTGAGAACAGGTCTGAAACCTCTTTCATAATTGGTGTTCTTTGGGAAACGCTAATAGACAAACCCATCCAAGCTCAGGAAATGTACTGATTTAAAGAGGTCTAAGGAAGAGTGACCAGCCCAGTGGCCAGGCATCCCGGATGCCTAGGATCCTTATGTTTCCGTACATATCTGCTGTTACATCCTTTCTGTGAGCAAGGAGGCTTTGGAACATTACAGTCTTGTCTTGGGGAGATGAGATGACACAGTGCATTTCAGTTCTGTTTCCAATGCTGTTATCTGTTGGAAAAAGGAAGCTTTCCTACCCATTTTGTCAGCATACAACTGGTAGAAGCTGTTGCAATCTCATTGTCTTCTGATCAGCCCCTCGGCAGCAGTCAGAGTGGAGGCCAGTGAAGCACTCTGGCCAAATGGTTGTGGTGAGTTTCAAAATAAGAGATCCCAGCCTGAGCACACCATCACACTTCCCATCCGATAGAACCAGCATTGTTAACTGTACCACATCTCTATTCTAAATTTAGGCATCTTTTTTTTTTCCAGGCAAAGATTACTATGCAAACATTTAAGAGAAAAACTTTGTCCAAAGTAATTTTTTCCCCCAACTTCTATTTGGTTTCCTGCAATGTTGAGATGACTCATTCTCTTCCAAGAAATTTTAAAGAAAAGAGATGCAGGCTGTATGTTAGTACACAAAGACTGCTCTGTAAATTCTTTTTCTTCCCTGTCTAGAAACCCCTTGCCTTTTTATAGAGAACGGAAAAGCTCTACAGTCTTCATTGTCATGTACTCGGCCTCATCAGGTTTTGTTGTTCCCAGGAATAAATGTCCCCCTTGTCTTTGGGTGGGGCCCCCTTGTGGCTTACCAGCTCTGTCAACCCCACTGCAGTGGCCAGCACGGAAGCCCTTCCTGGGGCCACGCTTTCCCCCAAAGGCACACAGTTAAGGTTTCTGAAACAGAGAACGAATGGCCTTTTATCATCTGTGAAAGGAGAGACACTGGCAATTTCCTGCCTCTGGCCTAGTGTCAGAATTTCTCCTGATTGCTAGAGGCTGTATTGCACATTTTAAGTGGGCTCGCTACACATGTATTCCCAGCCCAACCCTCAGCCAGAGGGAGCAGTAAGTCAGATCACTTCAGCAGCCTGTTCAAATAAACAGGGATAATAGTTGAGTGGTCCTCCCAACTCATCAGTACATGAAAGGAAACATCTGCCTGGGCTTAATTGCTGTTTTTTTTGGTTACACTTTTCCCTCCTCTTCTTCCCCCATCCCCCACTCTGGGGCTAGGTTATTTAAGTCATGGGTAAGCAACAGGGTAGAGGAATAGGAGCTTTCTCCTTTAACCTCTGCCATTCAAACATAAGGAGGAGTTAAGAAACGATAGGCTGGCAGGGGGAGATGGCCCGGAGGCAGGAGGGCAGGGCGGTGGGAAGTGATACTCATGGTCACTTCCTGACCCTGTTGCTGACTCTGGGGCTCAGAGTGAGTCATGTTGCCTCACTTCACCTCCTTGGGCCTCTGTTGCTTCAGTGGAGCTCAGCTTTCCTCTCAATGGAAAGGACAGGCTGGTATGTGAGATCACAGATGAAAGGCATTCCCTCTTGTGGCTTCTTCCAGCAGTTGAGGTCATTGGATGAGAGACCCTGGAATGATAAATTTAAGACTGGCAAGATCCCCTGAACCCGTCCATTTTGTAGAGCATCTGGGTCCCCGAGGAGAACTTGCTCATTATCTTCTAGCCAACCAGCCATACACTAAAGGGAGGGATGTTTGAAGCTAATATGGACTCTAGAAGCCAGGCAGAAGATCATGTAGAATCATAGAATGGCAGAGGTTGGAAAAGACTTTAGAAATGTTTTAGCTGAAGCTTTTCATTTTATAGAAGGGAAAACAGAGGGCCAGAGAGGTTAACCAGGTTGTCCAGAGTTACCTCTTTGGTAATGCAGGAGCCAGGAATAGAAAGAGAATCTTGTGATTGCTAATTTAGGGCTCCTTCCACCCCTTTCCCCACTATCAGATGTAAAAATTCATGCTTACTCATGACAGAGGCCACACATAGGTTATATTCCATAATGAATACCTTAATAGAAAAATGGGCAGAGAACACCTTAATAAGAAAATGGCAGATTATAAAAGAAAAATGAAAATGACTGATAAACATTTTTAAAAATGCTCAGGCTCATTAGAATCAAAGGATTGCAAATTACAATAGGATACCACATCAAATTGTCAAGACAAAAAAATGTGAAATAAACATTCATATATGCTATTGGTGGTATTTTAAATTGGTACCGTTTTTCTCAAAGGCATTTTAGTGGTATAAATGGTAGTCTTTGACCCAGCAATGTTATTTCTAGGAAAAAATAATGAAAGGTGTGTGCATTAGATCATATACAAAGTAATGTGATATGGCATTTTTTATCACAAAAATTTAGAAGTGAAGTAAATGTCCAAGAATGGGAGCTACATCAATAGAACGTATTATAATGCTATAGAACAATAATACATGTGGAAATGTTTACAACATATGTTTAAGTGAATAAGTTACAAAACAGGATTTATAATGCAATCCCAATTTTGTAAAACTAGAAAAGATTAGAAAAATACATAACAACACTTAGAGTGGTGATTTCTTAGTGGTAGGAATTTAAGAGTTACTTTTGTTTTCTTTTTTGAGGTTTCTAGTTTCCTTATTATAATAAACATACATTACTTTTGTAATCAGAAAAAAAAGTATTTTTTAAGTAGAGATGTATGTACCTTGAAAAAAAGCAAGATCTTAAATGATTGTGTATCTGACATGAAAGTCCTTCCTTTTTTTGCCTGGGAGCTAGCAGCTATGGTGGGAGGGATGGGAAACAGTATTATAACTTCTGTTAGGATGGCATTTTGATACCCGAATTTCTGGTAGGAAAGATCTAGAAGGAGCTGGCAAAAGATAAAACAAGGGCTTTCCCTCTCAATGACCCATGCTGCCAATCAGTTTTAGCTCTCTTAGGTTTGGCATAGAACACTTAGTATAGAAGGTGTGACAATTTCCTTCCTGCTTCCTCCTTTCTTTCCTTTCCTTTTCTTTTCTTTTTTTTGAGACAGAGTCTCACTCTTGTCACCCAGGCTGGAGTGCAATGGCGCAATCTCGGCTCACTGCAACCTCCACCTTCTGGGTTCAAGCAATTCTCCTGCCTCAGCCTCCTGAGTAGCTGGGACTACAGGCGTGTGCCATCAGGCCCGGCTAATTTTTGTATTTTTAGTAGAGATGGGGTTTCACTATGTTGGCCATGCTGGTCTCGAATTCCTGACCTCAGCTGATCCACCCACCTCGGCCTCTCAAAGTGCTGGGATTACAGGTGTGAGCCACCGTGCCCAGCCCTCATTGTTTATTTCTACTGCTCTATGTAGTTAGATGTCAGCCCTGGGTGGCAGCAGCAAAGAACCCAGGAGCCATCACTGCTCAAGATTAACTAGTTGGAGACCCCTTAACATATATTTTCAGCATCTAGTAACAGCTAATCTCTCAGGCAGTCAATATTGAGATACCGCTGCCTTGTGAGTTTTGGGTAGAAATAAAGCAAGTAAGAAATATAGTTCCATCCTGCTTGGAGTTTTCTATTTAGTTAGGGACTTTGAAGTCCCTGAATGTTTATATACTTTTTCCTATTTCATCCCATTACACATCTTACTTTCCTTTGAAATCTTCTGGAATGCTTGACTGCAAGTATCTGAGAAACCATGTTCCACCTAACAACAGTTGCTAGGTAGGATGTGGCTTTCAGGCCTGCTCTTTGGGGACCAATAGAAAAACCAAAGGCTACCACCCTTTTTCCCTCTACGCAATTGCCTTTGCTAGGCTATAGAGAGGGCACATTTCATTTTATTAAAACTCTTTGAGTAATCTGACCATAATTGGGTCTGATTGGAGTGGTTATCTGATTTGCTGGGTTAAATAATGGGCCTTAATTGAGTCTGGGTTATTTGTAGAGCCAGTGTGGCTTTTGCCTTCGTTGCTCCCTCCTCTCTCTTCTGTTTCCCAATTAACCTTCATTCCTCTTTCCTTGCAGAGTAAAGAAGTCGGCCAGCAGCTCCAAGATGATTTGATGAAGGTCCTGAACGAGCTCTACTCGGTAAATCAGATGGGTTGCTTGGCTCTTTAACAAGCAGAGGGAAGCAGCATTTGGCAGCTTGCAGCCATAGTACATCAGCAACAGAACTGAACTGAGGTTGAGGACAAGTGCATGGTCCCCACTGGGGGTGACCCCACCCATCTCTTTTTTCACACTCGTCTTTTCAAAACGGAATGAGTCAAAAAATACTTCCTCAAAATAAGTTTTCTCCTCAGCTATGCAAGCTCACCCTGGCTTTATTTGGGGCATAATTACTAGAGACCAGCCAAAGTCTAGGTCATTGGCACAATGGACCCCGTTAGCAGCAAACCAGGGACCCTGAACTAATGGCAAGGAACGTAGCCTGCATTGCACTATTAATATGTGCCTGTCGGAAAGGCTTTATTGTTCTAGGTTTTTCATCAGATCTTGGATTGATGTATGGCTTTGAGACTAGAACAAATGCTCTAGAGGGCAGCACAGAGTCCTAAATGCCCCCAGTAAGAGGGACCAGTTTGAGCAGAGAGAGCTTTGCACTGGCTTCCTGGAGTTTTATAAAGCCAAACCTCAGTGACGAGGCAGGCTGCGGGCTTGGAGAAGAGAACACAATCTGTTCTGAGATGACTGGCGCTTCAGGCACATGATGCCTGTGGCTGGTGCGTGTTAATTCATGCGCAGAGAGGTGGTGGTGGTGGTTGTTCCCCAGCCATGTTTTTCTAATTATAATGAAAACAAACACACACTCACACACATACACACCAAGGAAATTCCTGTTGCTATACAGGGAATACTTAAGTTATACAGCTAATGCCTTTCAGGGGCCCCTTCTCCAGCTTGGATGTGCCAGCCTACTATGTCATTCTCCAGGGTTTCTCCATCCTGTTTGAAGGTGATACTGATTTCTGATGTTTACTTGCTTATTTGCTGCATTTTTTCTTTTCTTTTCTTCCTTTGTTTTTTTTTTTTAATTCACAGAACAGGCAGTGGTGACATGCATGACAGGCATTTGGGATCAGATGTTGCTGATCCAGAAGCCTAGGTGTGGCCATTTTGTCATGGCAACTGTTAAGCAAGTAAATAGGGTAGAGTAGTCATCTGACTTATCTCCAGCGATGTTCAGTTTGTTTTGAATTTCTACTCTGTGACACTTCTGCTCTGAAGCCAAGCATAGATAGATGGTACCTTTCGTTCAACTCCCAAGTTTTCATTTCTCTCAAATGAAGTTAAGAGGTTTTTAAAATAGAAACACATCGATGTGAGCCATTTTCAGACTGGATGGGTTTCCTGAACCTTGTCTTTTTAATGCTTTACTTCTGCTCTTTTAGATCAATTTCTAAGCGCCAAGAAGAGCTATTACTCCTTTCTCCTAGCAGAGAATTCTCTAAGATAGAAAATGACACATGTAGTCATTGTATAAATTCTTTTATTTTCCTGTAAGCATCTTGACCCTCTACTATTTGCAGCTGTTTCTGGGGAGGAGTAGTTTGGATAACCAACAAACCTTGCCACTTCTTCAGTGGGACTCAAGGCAGCAGAAGAAGACTACTGTCTAAGGATCTGTTAGCTTTTACCCAGGGTCCTATGTCTCTTCATATGCTGTGCTTTAAAAAAAAAAAAAATAAGTGAAAGGGCGTAAGCTGTGTTTGAGTGAGGAAGAAAACCTTGGAACTTATTTCTCTGGTCTGCAGAGGGCCGAGCTGCTACCTCTGACTGCAGACTTAAGACAGCCCAATATTGGCCAACTACTTTACTGGCCATTGTGAGGCCATGGTCAACATAGAGCATAACATCTTCCCATTGATGTTCAAACTGAGAATTGCCTGAGTGTGGTATCCCCTGCCATAAGGTGAGCTGGAATACACCCTCATAATCTGTTAAAGGCCAAAATTAAAATGTGATGTTTTCCTCTAGTAGGCAATGGAAAGAGGGAAAAAAGAGTAGAGGCACTAGGAAGTTTCAGAGAAGTCAAAACATTCTGGTCCAAATGGAGTTTTAAGCAGAGGGAGTTTTACCCCGAGAGGACATTTGGCAATGCCTGAAGACATTTTTGATTGTCACGACTGGAGGAGTAGAAGGTGCTGCTGACATCTAATGATCTAGAGGCCAGGGGTGCTGCTAAAATCCTACAGTGCACAGGGCAGCTCCCACAACAAAGAATTATCTGACCCACAATGTCAATATAGAGACATTGAGAATCTTCTGACCCACAAGATTGAGAAATGCTGGTCTAGTGACTAGAGTCTCCTGAATTAAGCAGCCTAGATTCTACCCTGTCTTGACTACTAGCTGTATGAGCTTGAGGGATACCCCAAACCTCTATGACCTTAGTGTCTGCATACACTCCATGCACTGGTATTTCTATATCCTAGGGGGTGGAGTAGTTGGGTGAGTTATACTTCCTGAAATATTAGGCTATAGCTAAGGATCAAATAGGTTTCCAGAGTCTGTAGGCCATTAGAAAGTTCAGTGAGCCAGGCTCATGCCTGTAATCCCAGCACTTTGGGAGGCTGAGGCAGGCAGATCACGAGGTCAGGAGATCGAGACCATCCTGGCTAACACGGTGAAACCCTGTCTCTACTAAAAATACAAAAAAAAATAGCTGGGCATGGTGGCGGGTGCCTGTAGTCCCAGCTACTGGGGAGGCTGAGGCAGGAGAATGGCTTGAACCTGGGAGGCAGAGCTTGCAGTGAGCCGAGATCGTGCCACTGCACTCCAGCCTGGGCAACAGAGCGAGACTCTGTCTCAAAAAAAAAAAAAAAAAAGAAAAAGGAAAAAAAGAGAAAGTTCAGAGAATAGCCGGTCACAGTGGCTCATGCCCGTAATCCCAGCACTTTGGGAGGCTGAGGTGGGCGGATCATGAGGTCAGGAGATCGAGACCATCCTGGCTGACACGGTGAAAACCCATCTCTACTAAAAATATATTAAAAACTAGCCGGGCATGGTGGTGGGTGCCTATAGTCCCAGCTACTCAGGAGGCTGAGGCAGGAGAATGGCATGAACCCAGGAGGCAGAGCTTGCAGTGAGCCAAGATCGTGCCACTGCACTCCAGCCTGGGGGACAGAGCAAGACTCGGTCTCAAAAAAAAAAAAAAAATAGCAGTTCAGAGAATAGAATTATTTCTTCTGGAGATTAAGATAGGTTTAGGACTGGTCTGAATAAGGCACCATGGGATTACGGTGACTAACTGTCCCTCTTTGCCTAGTACTGAAGAGTTTCCTGGGACATGAAATTGTCAGTGCTGAAACTGGAAAAGTTCTAGGTTAAAAAGGGTTAATTGGTCACCTTGCATGGGAGAGTGGTTTTATCAGGTGGGAAGCTGGGCCTGTTACATGCTAGCTTTGGGAAGCTGCTTGCTGTATGCACACCTTTGAGGAGTCAAGAAGAGAACAAGGGAGAGTTTCTTAGAAGGAGCTTTCCCATTATTTGCTTGTCAGGAAGGCAGGGAAGGGCCTCTCATTTCAATGACGTTGTAGGCAATAGAAGTTATTTGGGGTCACTGGAAAAAGGAAACCAAGGATATAAGAAACCCACCCAGTTTTTTCATGTCCTTCACATCTGCTCCTAATGCCCATGAATACCTTTTTTTAGGGGACTAGTTATCCAAGGGTTGGTAATTTTAGTACCTTTGAACCTTGATGATCCAAGGAGCAGGACCCAGGTGTTCCCAAATAAAGATGCCTTTGGGCACCGGGCCCAGAATGCCGCCATGAGTGGCCAGCTGCCCCTCTGCACCTTCCTCTTTTCTGCCTGAAGGGCCTTTGATTTCCCTGACTTGGCATTCTGTGCTGGGGCCTGCTTCCCACAGCTGCTATTCAGAGAGCAATCCTAGCGAGCATTCTTCTCCACGTGTTTTCCCCCCATAATGAGCTGGCTTGTATGTAAGCCATGGCATAAGTGGTTTTCATTTTCTGACTGATGCACCGGGAATGCCTTTGAAGTCAGAACACACTGCTTCCCAAAGAACTCTGGGATTCTTTGCCTCAGTTGTACTCAGAGGTCGTGTCTGGAAAAACCCAGCAAACCCCCACAGGAAGGAGTGTACATGGAGGCACTGAAGCCAGTGTGGATTGGCTGAGTATGAAGAGTCAAGGAAGCTCTAGAATTGAGAAAAAAGAGGCTTTGGGACACTTTGGGGCTGTTGTTATTCCAGAGGCCTTATGCTTCTGTACTCCCCCTAAATTTATATCCCCTTGGCTTGGAGCATCGGCTGTGTGCTGGCAGAGCTACTTCAGACTGGTATTTAGCACCTGTTCCCTTGAAACAATGGCACTTAATAGTCCCTCAACTCTGCTTGCCTATTTGACTCTGGCACTAGGCACTAGGGAGACAAGAACAAATAAGAGATGTTTCTGACCTCAAGGCGTTTAGTTTTAATAGGGAGAGACAGAAAAGTAAAGCATCAAGTGAAAAATGAAGTGACAAGAACTCATTTACATGTCTACACAGAGGACAGGGATGAAGTCAGGCTCCTTGAAGAGATACTTGAATTGAATCTTTATTGCCAAGAACTCTTTTCTTGTTCTCTACATGTTCCCTTTTTTGTTGCATCCAACTTTTGTTTCATGATGCAGTATCGTTTTATTTCTCATTTATCTCTCCAGGGCTATTATGGATATATTGTTTTCAAACTTTTCTTCTTGTTGTATAATATTTCTTCTAAATTGCTAGTTTTGGTCTTGGTCTTTCATATTAGACATTTCCTTTAAATGCCTGGTCATTCTTAGCTGCCTATTCACATTTTAAAGTGAGGCACTAAAAGATTCTATGTCAGCTGTGGCCTTCACAGTAGGGTGTTCTAACTGGGCTGTGTCCTTGTGGAAGCCCCAACTTTAGTATTTCTAGGTCTCTTATCTTGGATGGTCAGATTGCTGAGAGATCACACTTTTGATCTCCCACTCATGTCTGGGAGCTGAGTTGTGAAGAGGCCTAGACCATCTCAAAATTTAACATAGACTTCAGCTAATCCTCCTGTTGAAGTTCAGTATACCCGTATCCTCAGCTGAACCTTGTATCCCCTAGTCCATGGACCCTCTCTAACAGAATAAACCTCTCATCTAGTCTTCCACTACAATGGGAGAGGGGATCTTGGGGCCTCACTGTTCTCAGACTTCCTTTTTTTTTTTTTTGAGATGGAGTCTCGCTCTGTTGCCCAGGCTGGAGTGCAGTGGCGTGATCTCGGCTCACTGCAAGCTCCACCTCCCAGGTTCATGCCATTCTCCTGCCTCAGCCTCCCGAGTAGCTGGGACTACAGGCACCCGCCACCACGCCCAGTTAATTTATTTTTGTATTTTTAGTAGAGACGGGGTTTCATCGTGTTAGCCAGGATGGTCTCAATCTCCTGACCTCGTGATCCGCCCACCTGGGCCTCCCAAAGTGCTGGGATTACAGGCATGAGCCACCATGCCCGGCCTGTTCTCAGACTTTCAATAGCTTATTTTGTGTTTAGCTCTACCTTCATCCCACTGCTACTTATTTCTCTTCGGGCTTCTGTGATATAAATCTGGCTGCTTCCTGGCTCACTCTGGTTTTGGTTTAGGACTCAAGTAGATGAGTTACTGCTTGCCTACCCGCTTTTCGGCTTCAGCTTCCATTCTTTTTGTTTTTCTCAATTTATACCTAAATGATAATCATTTTAGAACCTTTTTTTTCCTATTATTTTAGTGTGGCTGTCAGAGGGAGCAGAGCTAAATATGTGACTTCAGTGTTTAGTTTTTCAAAGTAAAGTGGAATGTTCTTTGCAGAACTGAGAATTTAGACTTTTCAGTTTTTCCCCATAGTTTGCATTTGCCTATCTATATATAGATAGAAGTATGTATATGTATATCTTTATGTATACATATCTATATATACATATATGAGTAGCTATATGTCTAAGACATAGATATATAGATATACATATATTTACATATGTATATGTACATAGATATATATATCTAAGTCCTATCTTGGCTTTCTCTAAGTCCTATCTTGACTATAAATATATATTTATAAATATATATTTAACATGTATATCTGTATCTATATACATTTCTAAGTCCTGTCTTGACTTTCCTATTTTTTCAATTGTTTTTGCATCACTTATTTAAGCTTCAGCTTCTAGGTACCTCAGTTTTCTCTTGAGCTGGAAGGCACTAATAAAGCTTCTCCAGTATTTACCCAGAAGAGAGATTCAGTGTCATTCAGTCATTTGGGCAACCACTTTGTAAAACTACCATTGTGTATATGACATATTTCTCCACTGTGAGAAGAAAACACAAAAGAAGTAGAGCTTAGCGTGAAGAATGTATAGTTTCTTAGGCAAAGTAGCGTTTTACTCTCTTTTAACAAGAAAGTTCTTTAAGTTTTTTAGGGGAAAGTAACATTGTAAATTGTTGATTTTTGTTACTTCATTTGTTGACTTGGTAGTGCTATTCTTTGACCTCTTTTTTATCTCATGTTTATTCATAACGTTTTCTCTTTATCATGCACCTTCATGAAATAGGAAATCACTTTCAAAAAGAAAAAAAGCACTCACTTTTGTAACTTCTCACTAAGCTTTTGAATCCCATGGTCAGATTCAGGTGGAAAAAGAGAAAAAAAAGAGGAGCCTCCTATCTACACTTCTTCAGCTGAGATAACAGATGCCTCTTTTCCACTTCTTAGTTAACCTGGAAAGCTGGGGGTCTGTTCGAATTACTTAGAAAGGCTTTTAAACGCCATTAGTTGTTAAGTATTTTTTCTTCTGTATAGAAAATATGAAGAGTATTATCCTGGTAAAATTTACGGGAAGTAGTGTTAGGTTCAGAATGAGGTGAAACTGATTTAAAACATTCTGCATTCAAAATGAGACATAATTTAGACTCTAATGTACTTTGATTTTGTCAGTGTCCCAGTATTCTTTATTCTTTCGTCTGCCTCTAGCTGATCGTAGGGGCTAGATTAGTATACCCACAAAGTCTTTCTAAGCTAGATTTTCTCAACGTCAGCACCATTGACATTTGGGCCAGATAATTAATTGTTGTGGGGGCCGTCCTGTGCATGGGATGTTCAGCAGCATCCCTGACCTCTAACTACTAGATGCCAGTAGCAATCCCCAAGTTGTGACAATCAAAAATATTTCCAGACACTGCCACATTTCCCCTGGGGGCCAAAATAGCCCCAGGTTGAGACACTTCTCTAACTCAGGTTCATACACGGAACCAGTTTCTCTTTTCAGGAATATCTTGACCATATTTAACCTTTCCTCCCAACCAGTTCAGCTCCAGTCCTATCCAGAGGAGAGTCGGTGTTGCTTAATGGCTAAGAATGTGGTCTTTGGAGTCTGACAGACCTGGGTTTGAATCCTGATTCCACCATTTACTCATTGTATGACCTTGGGTATGATAGTTAATCTCTCTGAGCCTTATTTCCTTATCTTTAGAAATAGAAATAATAACAGTGTCTTTCACAGAGTTATTGTAAGAATTAAATGAGGTAATGTACGTAAAGCCCATGGTACACAATGTTTATTAAGTGGTAGATATTAATAATAATATTGTACCTTTGCACTCCTGTGTTACACACACACATGCACACACACACACACACACACACACGCACACACACACCCAACTTCTACTCTCTAATTCTCCCTCTCAAAGAAATCTTATGGCATCACACTTTCAGCACTCGTGAACTCCCTGTGTGGAAACAGAAAGTTCCCACAGAGTAGAGCAGGCACTAGGTGGCTGGAAGTAGTATGTTTAGTAGGATTGGAAACAAGCTTGAGTTCTAGGCTTCCTGGCTTCCCTGTTAAGAGAAAGGATTGGACTCCTAGATGGTTGCTTTGATGGAAAATCATCCTTCACCTTTTATACTACTTCCCTCCTGTGGCAATTCCAGTTATACTTGATATGGATTTTATTCCTTCCCAGACTCTTACCTGAATTGTTTTGAAGGCTTACAGTCTTCATAGGGTTGTTGTCTAGATTGTGGAATTGTCCTAAGGATGAAATGAGAAAATGTGTTGTGTGGTACTTGGCATAAAGCCAGGAATATACTAAGTGCTCAGTAAATGATAACTGGCATTGCAATTGCTGCTGCTGCTTTAGTTGCTGTGAGAGGGTGTTTGATCTGGATAAAGCAGAACAGACAGATCCCCAGAATGCCAGGCCAGTAAAAGGAGCTTTTGGAAGCTTTTCCTCTTCCCTATTTTATATCTGAAAGGTAACAGAAAGCATAGGCTACTCCATAGGCTGCACTGCCCTCTTCGGGGTTCCTGACCAGCCCAGAAAGGCTTTGCCCTTGGGGCCTGAGAGTGGTGGTGTTGTTTCCCATCTACTCAGTATTATGAGGTGACTAAGTGATAGAAATCACCTGGCCAATATTAAAGAGAAGTGATTACAAATGATAATGAATAGAAATAAATAATACATGATGGATAGACATTAAGTTATTTCAATAAGAGGAAATGTTGGCTCAGTTCACATATTGCTTTCCTGTGCTTTGGAGTGGTCTTTAATCTGTGTTTGCTGAACCAAACACTTCTGGATTTTTCCCTTAGGGGTGTGAGGATATTGCTTCATGGGGGAGAGCTCCAGCTGAGTCTGTTAGTCTGTAAAGCAGAGAAATGACACCCTTGGCTTGACCTCTGGGGGTGGGGGTGGGCGATGTCTTGCAGGTCATGAAGACATATCACATGTACAATGCCGACAGCATCAGTGCTCAGAGCAAACTAAAGGAGGCGGAGAAGCAGGAGGAGAAGCAAATTGGTAAATCGGTAAAGCAGGAGGACCGGCAGACCCCACGCTCCCCTGACTCCACGGCCAACGTTCGCATTGAGGAGAAACATGTCCGGAGGAGCTCAGTGAAGAAGATTGAGAAGATGAAGGAGAAGGTATGTAGGCTCCCACAGCTGTAGATGCTGGGAAGCAACATTCGGTAAGGCATGGCTGATAGGAATTTCCCAACAGTCACTGGGAAGAGCAGACGAGGAAGCTCTGGGTTCTTTTAGTGCCTAATGACTGAAAATGAGGCCTTGCTCTGTGCCCTGGCAGGAATACTAGGTATTGGAAGAACTGGGCACGTGGGTTCCAAGTTTCTAGCCTCTAGCAGAAAACCAAGAAACAGCAGTCACCTTTCCCAATCCATTTTCCAAATAGAGCTCAATATCCTATTGCTTTGGAGGGGTTGGGGGTGACTGTAAACCCAGGATTTGGTTTCAGGTATCAGGTGTTCAGGGGCAAGAGTAGTGGTACCTCCTTCAGAGTGGCATTGCAAGAATGAAGAATGATATTTGAAGATAGAATCAAAGTGGGGCACACATCTTAAGTAGGGAGCCTCATTAACCTTTCCTGAATTGATCTACATTGTGCCCTTGAATCTCATTAAACAGAATTAGAACCCAATTTAAGGCAGATGCGCATAGGGAGTAGCAACACAATTGTAGTTCTTGAATACACTGTACTTTTATCTTTTAGAGAACAAGCCCCCCTTAAAAAAAAAAGGTAAAAGTGAACTTCTGTTTCCTTTTCAGCGCCAAGCCAAGTACACGGAGAATAAGCTGAAGGCCATCAAAGCCCGGAATGAGTACTTGCTGGCTTTGGAGGCAACCAATGCATCTGTCTTCAAGTACTACATCCATGACCTATCTGACCTTATTGATGTAAGTGCTTAAAGCCAAGGGCCTGAGGGCACCTCTTTTCTGGTTTCAGAATACTCGTCAGACATTCCCTGATACTATTGTTCAGGAATCTGGTGCATTTTGAGAACAATTAGGAAGATAGCAGCCATGATCCAACAGGGTGCTTGCCAAGCACCAAGTGAAACACTTCACACTTATTCAATCCTAACTGGAATTCTGGGAGGAAGGCATTATTATCTATATTTTTACAGATTAACAGAGAGTTTAGATGACTTAGTCAGAGTCAGTTAACAAATGACAGAGGCAAAATTTGCACCTAGGCCTGATGACTCAACCCAGGCTCATAACCACTACACTCGTCTATCTGCCAGGAAATACTTTCTTCCTTTTTTTTTTTTTTTTTTTTTTTTTTTGAGATAGAGTCTTGCTTTGTCCCCCAGGCTGGAGTGCAGTGGTGCAATCTTGGCTCACTGCAACCTCCATCTCCCAGGTTCAAGCAATTGTCCTACCTCAGCCTCCCCAGTAACTGGGACTACAGGCATGCATCACCATGCCCAGCTAATTTTTGTATTTTTAGTAGAGATGGGGTTTCACCATGTTAGTGAAGCTGATCTGGAACTCCTCACCTCAGGTGACCTGACCTCAGGTGATCCACCTGCCTCGACTTCCCAAAGTGCTAGGATTACAGGTGTGAGCCACTGCACCCGACCTAGGAAATACTTTATTACATCAGCTTCTCTTGCACAGAAGTGAGTGGCAAGAACTTAACTAAAGAGTTACAATGCCATCCCTTATATTTGTATAGCATTTAAGGTTTCTCGGTGTTAACTCATTTGACTCTCACATCACCATTATGGGTAAGCATTGCTGTCTCCAGTTGCTAGATAAGGAAGCTCAAGGTCCAGAGGACTACGAGACTCACTTGTCCAAGGTTATGCGCAAATTAGGGTCCTGTCAGGAAGGTATCCAGCTCCCCCTGACATCTGGCCCATTTTTAAAAATATGTGATGCAAAGGGGATTGAGGAAAGCGGTTAATAGGCACATGTGTTTTGCAAGGGGCAAGCGCAGGGATAAGCTTTTTGTTTTTTGCCTGTGAGTTATTCTTGGCCTTGTTTTTCCTGCTGCTTCCCCTTACAGTTGGGTCTTACAAGCCCTCTCACCTACAGACTCCAATCTGGCCCAGGTCCTGAGCCACACCTAAGTGAAGCTATGTAATTACACCCTTTCTCACCTCTCCTTCCAGTCATCAAAGTGAGGCATCTGGAGCCAGCCAATTTAGCATCCCAGTCTCTGGGGCTTCAAGTGTATCTCATCTTGGAGGCCTGCCATTTGTTTCAGGGTCTTGTTGGCAGCAGTTGGGCTTTGCAAAACTCTGGCCCGACCACTCTTGCTTTCCTGCCTTGGTTTCTCCACAAGCAAACCTGCCACACCTCACAACATCATATGGGATTTGGGTCCGAGTCTTGCTGTTATATCACCACCTGGGTCATCTAGGCTTGTCACTGAATTGTTCTGGAACCCAGCTTTGTTTCTCACCCACTCCCAAGCTCCTCTAGCTAACTGAAGAACTGGACTAATTCCCTGGTATTAAAATCTGGCCTCACGTAAGAGTTGCTTGGGGAACTTCTCTAAAATACAGATTCCTGTCTCCCTTTAGCCGAGGATTTTTGATTCAGTAGATTTCAGCCACTTAATGCCCTAGGTGTCATTGTCTCACTGGGTTAGTAGAGCCTTGCTCCCTGTTCTGGTACCTCTTTGTTCTCTCTGCTTGTTGATGACAATCTGAACACTGTCCTTCAATGGAGGTCAAAGCCCTAAACAAGATCCTTTCTCCTCCTCAGGGGAAGAGCTCCTCATTGTTGGGAGAGAGGCCTGTTCTCAGCATAAGGAAGAGAATCCATTCTTTCTTATGCACAATTTCTGCTATTTATCTCGCATTTGGTAAAAATTCAGACTGTGCTGTCTGCCACACCGCTGCTATTGGTTAGCCCTCTTCTCTTTTTTTGTACTCAAGGCAACTTCCCTACCTTTTTCACCAAAATACTGATCTCAGGGGAAGGGAGGGGTTACTGCTGTATCAGCCACAACCTTTGCAATCCATAGATTCTCCATCAGGTATAACCAAGCGTTTTAAAATCAGTCCAAGAAGCGAGGTATTTTGTACCTTATTTTCATCATTTAAAAAAAAAAAACGTCTGCTAAGAGCCTAATTTCACAGGATGTGGTGTGACATGCCATTGAAAAAGAGGCTGCCTTAGTACTTGGCAGGGTGTGGGTCTAGATCACTGGGATCAAAAGGCTACATAGGTAGTAATAAAGTTTCTCATGTTTCTTTTTTTTTTTTTTTTTGAGAAGGAGTCTCTCTCTGTCGCCCAGGCTGGAGTACGGTGGTGCGATCTCGGCTCACTGCAAGCTCCGCCTCCCAGGTTCACGCCATTCTCCTGCCTCAGCCTCCCGAGTAGCTGGGACTACAGGCACCCGCCACCACGCCCAGCTAATTTTTTGTATTTTTTTAGTAGAGACGGGTTTTCACTGTGTTAGCCAGGATGGTCTCGATCTCCTGACCTCGTGATCCGCCTGCCTCAGCCTCGTTTCTTTGCTGCTGTTTTGGTTGTGTCTTGTTTTAGTTTGTTGGTTGGTTGGGTTTTTGTTGTTTTTCCTGGGATATGGACACATTCATTATTTTTTTTAAAGTTGTATTATTCTGCTCTATAAATGTTCAGTAAATATTTATTTAGGGAGAAGCCACGTGCTCAGTATTGGGGTAAAAATGGATTATAGTAGTTCTCACCCTAGAGGTAGTCATAGGCTGTAAGACAACATTTTTCAAACCATTGGTCAGATCCCTTAAGAAAGTCAGGAAATCACTTTTATTGGTTTAACCTGTGTTTTCAGATGACTAGATGAGACTAGAATAAGAAAGAAAATATTAGAGTACATCACATTGGTAAGATTATGTGAAACTTTTATGTTAGATATGTATGTACACACTTGTACATCCTATGGGGGAGTGTGTGACAATAGAAGATGTGTTTCTTATTGTGAGTTGGGAGTCAAAAAAGTGTTTGTGAGCCATTGTACTATGAACAGAGGAAGATCTCAGTCTCATCTGTTAAGTTCTGTGAGAGCAGGAACCAAGAGTTTTCTTTACCTTAGTAGCCTCCAGTGCTTAATATATAGCTGAGCACATAGTGTGTTTACTGAAGGAAGAAAGGAATAGAAAGAGGAGGAAGATGATCATCTAAGCTAAGATCGGTTTTTCTTTTTGTACCTTTCAATATGGTTTTGAAGTATAATTTACATACAGTAACTAAACTTAAGTGTTACAGTTTCAAGAGTTTTGACAAATTTGTACATCTTTGTAATCTATGTCAAGATATAGAATAAATATTTTGATAAGAGATATCTTTCCATTGCCTCAGAAAGTTTCTCTTGTCTCTTCCCAGCCAGTCCCCCACCCCAAGGCAACCACTGTTATGATTTCTTTCACCATAAATTAGTTTTGCCCGTTGTAGAACTTCACAAAGATGGGATTATCCTTTTTTGTGTCTGGCATCTTTTGCCAACATGATGTTTTTGAATTTCATCCATGTTGTTTGCATGTATCGGTAGTGTCTTTCTTTTTCTTGCTGACCTATGAGATAAAAAGGGCCAAAAGGATGCAGTTAGAGCAGGACTAAGTGAGGAGCCTGGGATATTGGCATCCTGATCTTAACATTATTCATTACTTGCTTTAAGACATGGGATGAATCCTGTTGCAGTCCATTGCCATCTGTGTCATGTACAGCCTTCTGCCTCCTTCCTAGTGGTTCTGAAGCCAAATGTGTGCATAAGGCATTGAGGATAAGTGAAAAGAAGTTATTTTTGTTGATGCCATTACATTGACCAAGGACTAGCCTCCGACTTCTTTTTATAGTATAGTGCAAGATTTAAACTTCAGACTGTAGGAATCCACGTGAGGCATCTGCCACACTGGGGAAACCTTGACTTCAGGCCAAAAAGACGTTCTGAGCTCATTTGATGGCATCTAAGAACGGTAGGCTCACTGGAATGTAATTTTCCTCCCCCATACTCTTCTGGCTCTCTCAACCCAGGAGCAGATGGATGAATGAAGAACAGGGCATTGTCCTCATGCATAGCTGGAGTGTTGTAAGTGCCGTGTACATGTATGGAAGGTCTGTGACACCATGTGCACCCAAGTCGGACATGAGGGAACTTGGCTGTTTCAGTAAGAAATGTCATTAAGGGCAGTTATTTTTCTCTTTTGTGTGAACTTGAAGTGGGTGTTGTGAAACACCCATTTTTCCTTTCCAGGCCTTGTGGAGTCTCTGGGTGAAGATATCAGCTGGGAAAGGGTTAATGAGCTATCAACTCAAGTCATCATACATCTGGATGGGCTGTCATTAACTTCTTACAAAAATTTGATTTCCCCTGAGAGATTTTTCATCAAACATTTATATAACCCAGAAATGGCCAGGGGAGTCCAGCGTGGCCACAGAACTCATCAGAAGCCATGGAAAGCCTGCTTTGTCCCCACTGTGAGCAAAATAATGTGCTTCCTGTACTTATTGGGATTCTTCTTGGAACAGGATGAAATATTCAAATCTCATTTACCCAACCTTGCCAGATATTGCTTCTTCGCTGAAGGCTCGGTTTCTGGCTGTTTCCCCTACAGGTATATAGATAGTCAAGACTCTGGAGAACCTCTTCCGAATCTGCCTGGTTGGCTAGAGGTGTAGAGGAGCCAGGGGCACATTGTGACTCAGACCCTCACTCATTGGCACAAAGAAGCTACAGAATAGTTATATAAACAGAGGCAGTGCGCCAGCCTGGGAAAACTCCCAGCCTCCCTTTGGCCATAGAGTAAGCAAAACAAATGGCTTCACTGGCCCCATCTACCCACTTGACTTAGGTCAGTATTCAGCCTAAATGTTTTATTTCCTGAGAGGCTGGAATCTGTATTTGTGGTATCAATCAGTCAACTGAAATTTATTAAATGCCTGCTGTGAGCAAGGCCTAATGCTGAGGGATGTAAAGAAGAGTGAGAAGCTAGTCTGGTTGGGGTGATATGACATGGCAAGTCATAGAATGAAGAAGCGTATTCCTTGTCATATGAAAGCTGCAGATTAGTGTGGTTCTAAGTAGAGGCCAGGGTCACTGGAGTCTAGGATTGCAGGGTTGGCTGGCTTCCCAGAGGCTAAGAATTTAATTTGGATCTTGAAGATCTGGTCCAATTCCAACAGGTGAGAGGCATAGGAAACATTTAAGGAAAAGGACATTCTGGGAGCTGAAGGGCAGAGGTCAGTGGATTTGGAGCTATATTAGTATTTTTTTAAAGTGTCTACATGGTACCAAATATCTGTAAATATATTGCCTGTTAGCCTACAACAACCTGTGTGGCTGGTGTTATCCTCATTTGAGGCCCAGAAGGATTAAGTAGCTTGCTTATGGCCATATAGCTGATTTGAAGACTAATACTCTACCCTAAACAGAGAGTATCTCATTGGATTAGAGCAGATGAATCTGAAGAAGAAAATAAAGGGAGTTGATGTTGGATGGGTAGATTGAAGACAGATTACAGTTTGTTCTGGCTATTGAACCTTGCTCAAATTATTTAACTTCACTGAACCTCAGCTTTCAAGCCTGGAAAATTAAGATTATACCAACCTCATTGGGGTTATTATGAGGATTAAAATGTAGAATGTATATAAAGCACTTAGCACATGGACTGACGTATAGTAAGCATACTTAGTGAAATAGAAGCATTTTTTAAATTTCAAAACTGAGGAAGGTGGATTTTACCTTGGGGAAAAAAAATGAGAGGTATTTTAGGTTCTTCAACAGGAAAGTGCCATAATTAAAGTCACAGTTTAGGACAGTGAAGCTGACGGTGAGGGTATGAATAGGGGTAGAGGTAGTAAGAATGGAGAGGAAAGGGAAATTACCAAAAACAGGTAAAAGTTTTTTGAAGGGTAACTTTTCTCTCCCAGATTCTACCCCCTGCCCACACCCCCTCCACCCACACTCATACACTCTGTGGGCCGTGTTACTTCTGTTCATTAGACTTATAGGCATAGAGCTCATCAACAGGGTCTACATAGAGCTAGTCAGGAAGGTTTACAGGTTCAAGGGCAGCCTGGTGAGACCAGCAGCATCTCCCAGAGAGCCCATGCCCGTGCAGCGTCCTAATGAGCCGCTTTTGTCTAGCTTCCATTTGCTCTTCCCTCCCAACTGAATTTAATGTCTTTCCATCCTCTGCCTCTAGTTAAGTTGTAACTGCTGTTATTCCACTGCAGCCAGGCAGCTGCCAGGGCCTGTTGGCACTGAACCCAGAGCCCAACCCAACTGATGTTCTCACTGAGCTTCTTGTCAGATGCCAGGAAAGAGGAGGCACATCATATGCCTTTTCTTCCCCAATAGTAGCTGCTTCCAGTGTGATCATGATGAGAGGAAAAGGCTGTGGGGAGAGTTAATTTGATGCTTGCTTGTGCAATGAAATGGCAATCAGGCAGATGGCCTTACTCTATGCATAGATTCTTCTTTGAGGTTTCTTCTTAGGACCCGGACCTCAGAGCTGCTTAAGCAATAGAGAGGATGATGGATGGCCAAGGAATTGGGATCTCTGGGTCTTTTGGGAGGGATGGGGAATATTATCACAGAGTTACAGAATGCCATTGCTGAAGAGGGCCTTAGGGATTACATTTAGTCCAAGGATTTTCAGACTTTTCTCTAACAGAAGAATTCTTTCTTCAAACCAAACCTTACATAGAATCCCTAAATATTAAATAGAAAAAAGAGCAGGGTTGGCTTGGTTGAAGGAGGAATAGAAGACTCCAAGTCCTAGTAGTTGGGTTGTCCTTTTACTCACTTCTCAAGGGCAGCTTCAGTGCCAGCTCTGGTCTACTGCTTGAAAGCCACTAGCCTGGCCAAATCTGTTCATTTTACTATGGAAGAAACAGGTCCAGAGAAGGGGAGTGGCTTTTCCAAGGTTGCTTGATTCTGCGCCAGTGCTTTTTTTATACAGTTGCCTCTTTTTGCATTTTGTTGTAAAAAATCAGAATCCTTTACATGGCATGAATTTTTCCAGTAACACTTTTGCGTAGAGCTTTTTAGTCTTATAAATGCTATTTCTGTAGTGCAGGGGCATCTGTTGTCAGATGCCAGGAAGGAGGAGGCATGTCAGAAACCCTAGTCTGCAGCTAAGGCCTGTCCTAGGATGTTGGGCATTGGTGGGGATGATGACCCACAGAGTCAGCTCCCCATTCTCTCCTTCTCCCATCTAGAGTTGAGCTTGCATACATTAGCTGCTGTTGCAATACTCCTGCTTTCAGAACCCTGAAATGGCCTGGCTTGGTTGCTATATAGTGATTTAACCACAGTAAGCCTCAGTGAGTGGCAGGTTGTATTTTTATTGTTGAATTTTGTTATAATGACAACCCCAGATAAACCTGAAAATGAAAGAGGATTCTCTTTAACTCTCAATTCTTCTCATGTTTATGAAATAGCGCTTAATTAAATAATGTCATTTTATCCTTATGAGTCTTCTTCCTCCTAACCACCTCACAGCCCTGTAGGGTGTGTTTAACCGTTGAATTGGGAGTCAAGAACTGAGAACTCTCACCCAGACCTTGGAAGTCGGAATGTCAGCCGTCTTTCTACTGCACAGCCAAGCCTATTGATGTGGTCAGATCTGCCCTCTGGACCACCTTCCTTTTCTGCCAAGCCTTGGGGCTGTCCATGGTGTGCTCATGTGCCTTCTCCTTCCCACAGCAGTGTTGTGACTTAGGCTACCATGCAAGTCTGAACCGGGCTCTACGCACCTTCCTCTCTGCTGAGTTAAACCTGGAACAGTCGAAGCATGAGGGTCTGGATGCCATCGAGAATGCAGTAGAAAACCTGGATGCCACCAGTGACAAGCAGCGCCTCATGGAGATGTACAACAACGTCTTCTGCCCCCCTATGAAGTTTGAGTTTCAGCCCCACATGGGGGATATGGTGAGGCCCTTTCCCTATACCCCCACCCTCAAGGGGCTTGAGTGGACTTGTCTAGATTAATTACACAGAAGGCACATTATTCTGGGGTGGGAGAGGCCTGGGCCCGGCTTTTTGTCAGGTGGGTGAGGCACATTCCCCTTATTGAGCAAACAGTTAGTGAGTGCCTGCTGTCAGACACTCGGGCTTGGGTGCAGACATGGGGGATTAAAGCCCTCGGGGAGCTTACAGTCTGGGGAATAAGGTCGCTAAGGCTTGAGGAGGGTTCGAACTATGCATAGAGAGGGGTATCCAAAGGGGCCCAGCAGGATCAAAGAAGGTGAAAAACAGCAGGTATATTCTAAAAACTACCAACAGTTCAGGATGGTGAAAGGAAAGTGAGGGAGGGGGGCGCTCCCAGTGGTGAGGCTAGAAGAAATGAGAGCTGAGGTGGGGCCACATCCTAGAGGCTTTAGTGGGGAAGCGAGGGCTAGGCAGGGAATGCTGTGATCTTTTGGCATTTGGCAGAGTTCTGAATAATCTTATTCTCCTGAAGTTAGAAGACTGTGATGAAGTGTATAGTTTTGTTTGGGTATTGAATAAAAAAGAATGGGTACCTGCAGGAAGGAAAGGAGCTAAGATGCTATCCCAAAGGCCTGATGCTGGTTGCCCAGACAGGGGAGCATGAACATGGGGGCCTTGTTTTGGACTCTTAGCCTCCAGTGACTAGAATAAAAAGGGCCTAAAAAAGCTAAAGTGAGAGGCAGGAGAAGCTCCTGGGTTTTCATTGTTCTGAATCTTTTGGTTCCACTTGTGTGGTTGTGTGTACAAGTCAGAGTGAACCTCATTCCTGTGGATAAGAGCCACCATTTCTCCTACTGGTGAAATTAGAAGGAGGTTGTATAGGGCTTATGCGATAGAAAAGATCAAGATGGACCTTTGGGTATAGTTGGCTTTAGGAGGAGGAATTTTACCAAGACACTGTTTTGCTGTCTCTGTACTACTTCCTGTGTGTTAACTCCATTCTCAGACAGGCCATTCTCCCATGGAGGCAAGGTGACTGCATTTCCAGCCTTCCCTGGTAGGTTGAAATCTAGTGGAAAGAGTCTCTGCCTCCCTCCTCAAAGCCCCCATAAAGTTTGTGTGTCTCATTGGTTTTGATTGGGTAAAGTGCTTATGCCTGGGTCCATGCAAAGCACGTGGCCTGAGTTGTGGAGTGGGAGGTTCCCCTCACCGAGGGCAGTTAGACCAAAGCTACCAAAAAAAGGAGGAGTGGACGCCGGGGACCAAAAAACAGCAACATGTGTGCTCCTCAGGAATGATGCTTCCCTTAAGATTAGCATCCAGACTCTAGAAATCCCCACTCCAGAATGACAGCTGTGGCAGTGGAACCAGAGGATTTGCTGTCATCAGTTGGCCTCTATGGAGAGTGAGATGCTGTCCTGGAGATAGAAATGTGGAGTTGGTTTCCTTCCTTTCCTTCTTGGGGAAAATCAAACCATTTACAGTTCATTTCCATTGCTGTGGCTTAGGAAATGTCAGTGTCTGAACAGATGGAGAAGTGAGATGGCAGCATGTGCAATTAGAATTGGGGGAAGGGGTGTCACCAAGCCTCAGGAAGCCCCATTCCTCACCTGCCCTGGCTTCTGGTCAAACTTGCCTTCCAAGCACCTTCTCCAGCTGTCACTGAGGTTCCTTCCCAGGGATCAGTGGAACTTGGGGACCAGCTGAGTGGAGTGATACATTTTCTGGTGTTAGTGACTGAGTTGCCTTCTGAGCCAAACAGCTTGTCTCCATAAAGGAGGAATCCAGATGCTGGGTGCTCAAGCCCCCTCCTCCCCCTGTCAGAGCCTTATTTCCATACTCCGGAGTGCAGCTGAAGTGTATTACCTTGCACCCTGGTAGCGGACCACTGCCAAAGCATGCATCATCATCAGCTCTGCTACTTCTTAAAGGAACAGGCTTGGAGGTGGTTTTTCCCTCCATGATTCCTCTCTGCTAGGTCTGGGTTACTTTAAAAATCAATAGCTCACTCTTCTGCCAGGGCCCTCCCTTTATGTAATATAGCTGATCAGTGGCTGAGCCAGGCAGGGGCCAGGACCAGTCCTGGAGCTTGTGAAGGTTCCGCATTCTAGCCTAGCCTTCATATGAGTGAAAATAAAAAGAGATGAGAGGGTGGGTCATTCTTGGCCTCTGCAGCCAGTCTATCCCCATCAGTGTGGGTTGTCTGCAGATTGTGGAGGCAACAGGAGGGAGCTGCCTGGAAGTCGTTGAACTAGGGCCAAAGATTGGGTAGCATTTTGACCGGAAGCCTTAAAATTGGCCAAGGTCCCACACTAACTGGTGTTCTGGGGTGCACAGCACATGAATTGATGCCAAGTGCTCTCAGATGTACTAGGAGGAGGTGCTTGGCTCCATTTTTGGTGCCCTCAGAGGCTGTGGGACTCTGGATGCCTGACTGGTGACATCAGGCAGCCAGAGAATTTCACTCTTGGCGCTAACCGGTTCTGGCCACTGAGCTTTCTCCATTGTGTCTGCTTATCCAAGAGTTAGAGTGAAGTCAGCTCTCTGTGGATCTGAGAGTTGGCTCAGGCCAGCCTCTCAGCTGGGGGAAGAGGTCAAGTCAGTTGGGAGCTTAAAAGCCAATGGAGGAAAAGGTCAAGTCCCAGCCCCCTCCATTTGAAGAAAGGTTTTTTCTTTTCAAGCAAGGGAATGGTCCGTGGGCATGTGAATGTGCCCACTCTTTGCTGAGGAGGAAGGAGGCCATTTCTATCCAGATGTCTCTCTGCAGGCAAGAGGCTAAAGGACGAACGGTAACAAGGTGACAGGAGCTGTCTCCACATGGGTCCTGCCTCCCAACTCTCTCAGCCTTCTGCTCCTCATCTGTCATCCAGGGGACTGTGGATGACCTCATCCCATAACCACATCTCCAATGGGAGACAGTGGAACAGCCATTCCTTCACACAGGGGAAAGCTAATTGGCAATAATCCTTGCGGGAAGGTCAGACTCCTCTCTTACAGATCTAGGGAAGGCCTGGTAAAATGATGGCTCTTTGGAAAATGCCAAGCTCCTTCAGATTCCATACCCTCTCGGGCCCTCAAGCATAGGCAACGAACTTGTTCCTGGCTTCACGCTTTCTCATTGAATCAAAGCTCTCATGCATGGCCTGGATTTGTAAACACATGCTGGCTGCCAGCAGTGGCAAGTTAGCCTCCTGACCCACTTCTCTCCTGCTTTCACTCTGGTGTATGAAGGGGGATGAGGGAGGGGCCAGAGAGGTGGCCACTTGGACCTTTGGCAGGAAATCTTCACTGTGCCAAAGCATTGTGTTTCTGGAGCCGGAGCTGCCTGAGGCACTCTTCTCCAGCCTCCTCAGCCTTCCATGGAGCTGCAGACCCTACCTAGACCTACCCCTGCCGGGCTCCAAACAGATCCCCCTACCCATTCCTTTCATGTACTGTTTGGTCCTGGAAGAGGCTCACACAAGTTGGCTTTGGGTTTTGCTTCAACATAGAAACCACGAGCCTTATACCTTGAATATGGGTAGTTTCATTGCCAGTAATGGGAACTCTGGAACTGCCAAAGGGACTGTATCCTCTTTCTGACCTGGTGTTGCTTTCTTTTGTTAGGCTTCCCAGCTCTGTGCCCAGCAGCCTGTCCAGAGTGAGCTGCTACAGAGATGCCAACAACTGCAGTCTCGCTTATCCACTCTAAAGATTGAAAACGAAGAGGTGAGTTTCTTCCTTAGGAGGCTCAAAGCCACACTCTTAGTTTCCCTGTTGAAACTTTTGCTGCTGCCCGTCTGGGAGCAGGTGGAAGGAGCATGCAGAGAATGTCCGGGCGGCCGCAAACATTTCCTAGCCAAATGTAGGCTTGGACTTTCCCCCTCTGCTACATCCTGCCCTTGAACTCCAGGAAGTTGCTCTTGCATTGCCAAAGGTTGTGCTCTATTTTGAGCTTTTGCGAAATGCTTTTTTTCCCCTCTACACATTTAATCAAAATGGCACTTGGCAGCTGTGTGAACAATATTGTGTCTCTGAAACCACCTCCTCATGCCTAGCTTTTTCCAGCATGTTCAAACAAACAGAGGCCTTTGACTTTGACACTTCAAACATCTCCATCCTCTTAGGAAAGGGTGAGTTTCTTCTGGGCTCAGTGTATTTGCTTTCAAAAAGCGGTTCAAAAGGGCGGGTGATCCAGCTTTCTGTTGAGCTCAGATGGCTTCTTACCTTGTGTCTCAGTAAGTCTTACTTTCTGCAGGAAGATCAGGAAGAAGTAGGGATAGGTCACTTAGTTTGCAAATGAGCAAACAAGTTCATCAGTTTGTTGAAGGTCATGAAACAGAACCTGGGGCTTTGCAGTACTAGGCCCATCACACATTTTAATTAGCTGTTTGTATGAGGGGGTTGGTTTAGATTTATTTTATTCTCTTTCCCTTAAAACTTCTATTACAATATTGTTATATAATATTATAATAATGCTAATATTAAATTTTAAAAGTAAACATTAAAAGATCTGGGTCAAGTACATAGCATGAAGGGTTGTAGTGGCTTTTAGGTTTTCACTGTAGAGAGTAGCATGCTGTAGCAGAGTCCATGTGATGTTTACCTCTCACTTAGCACTGTCCAGTGGGAAGCAGAGCTGCACACTCTGATGGCATCCTGTGGCCTTCCCCAGCCCACTCTCTTCAAGCTTCTCCATCACCTGCTGTTTAACAACCCACCCTTCATGCATCCTGTTGGCCCTTGTCGTGGCAGGTAAAGAAGACAATGGAGGCCACCCTGCAAACCATCCAGGACATTGTGACTGTCGAGGACTTCGATGTGTCTGACTGCTTCCAGTACAGCAACTCCATGGAGTCCGTCAAGTCCACGGTCTCTGAAACCTTCATGAGCAAGCCCAGCATTGCTAAGAGGAGAGCCAACCAGCAAGAGACAGAGCAGTTTTATTTCACAGTGAGGGAGTGCTATGGCTTTTAAAGAGCGTCAGCATGCACTGCAGCACTCAAGGGAGATTTGGAACTCAGAGTCCTTGTTAAGTGTCTGAAGGACAGGCGTTGAATATCTTAGATACGAATGTGGGCATACTCAGAGACCATCCCTACAGTTAAAGGTGCAAACATTAAAAGTTGTATATGTCTAACAGGGATCCGCCCAAGAGAAAGGATGCTCCCAAGTATACAACTAAGAAGATTTTCTTTTTTAAGAAATTTTTAACTAGCTAGTAGGCTTTCACTGGAAAGTTTCCTTCTCAGGCACAGGGGATCCTGAAAGGGGAACTTCATCTTTTAGTTCTTGGAGAGTACATACAAATATTCATAATAACACATATTTTGTTTATAAAAATCTATAATCTCTTCTAGGTGATATGATGACATTATTTTATAACTTTTATTGTTGGGAAACTATTTTTTCTAATTATTGCTAAAACTTAAAGGATGGGTAATATGCAGCATTACTATTTTGCACATAATTCCAAAACATCGTATTTTCTTATTCATGTATCTCTAGTCTTCTTTTAGACAGTTGGACCCTTTTTTCTCTTTTTTTTTTTTTTTTTTTTTTTTTAAGTATTGTTAACAATCCTTTGGAAGTCACTACTGGTCTTTGTGTGCTGCTTTTTAATAATTGAGTTATTTTGAGCTTGCCAAGTAGGATCTATTGCCTGGACTAAAATTTATTTCCTAATCTTCTGATGACCAAGAAAGGAAAAATTAAGTTTGCAGATGTGAGATGAAATATAGCCAGTGAATATGCATACTGATTCTGAATGAAAGGAATTAACTTTTCAGTCAAGAAACAGTCTGCATGCAGTAAATTGAATTTTTCCTGCAACTGGAATGATTTGTTTAATTCTTCTTTGAACACTGCCCTTTCTCCAGTAAGAACACTAATGATTTGCTAATATTTTTTAAAGAAATCTGTTTTTTTAATTAGTTAAGCTCAGACTTCCTCTTATTTTTTATCCTAGAGAAAACTGCTAAAAGGGAATGATATATCAGTACTATTCTTCTAAAACAACTTTTTAAAAATGATTATACAAAGCCAAATATGCTCATTATATAAAATTTAGAAGCAAAAAGAAGGAAATAAAAATTTTCCATAATTCTACCAGCTAGAGATAATGGTGTTAGAATATATTCCTTTCTAATCTGTTTTCTATGCATGCACAAACACATATGTGAGCACATATTTATAATTTTATTCTAAAAAATAGGATACTGCTGTACATATTGTTTTACAATCTAAGTCATATAATTATAATATTCTTTAAGCATATTTATGAGTAAAATATTAAAACCTATACAAAAAAATAATAGAATGGCATTTTAGCTCATTCATTGATTTTTATAAAATATTTAACACACTCCCTGGTTTGTAGTTAGCGTTCAATAAATGCTAAAAATTTATCTTCACCATCATCATTAATTTATTTATTAATCATTATTAAATTATTCATTGATCATTTTTTGAGGATTTACTATTGCCAGACACTGTGCTACAAGCTGGGAATGCTGACAGTATAAGATAAAGAGGGAAATGATGGGGGATGGGTCATGTAAAGGGAGAACTTTCATTTTTACTTCATATATATCTAAGCAGTTATAATAGGTTGATTTTTGTAATTTAAAAAATGTAAAAATGCATACATGCACTAGTGCATGAATGGCAGCCAGGATGAGTGGAATTGGAGAAGCATCACACACACAGTGACTTTTGTGTTTGATCTTGAAGAATGAGCGAACCAGGCAGGGAGTCGGGGAGGAGAATCGCATTCCTTGAGGAAAGAGCAGCATGTGGGAAAACATAAATGCACGCAATAACCTGGCTCACATGTTAAGAGAACTTTCTGACTATAATGAGGGATGTGTTGCTGCCCCAAGCTTCATTATCTAAGGAGTTTGTTGAACACTCTCTAGAGGCTTTTAATAATAGGATTGTTTAGCTGGTCTGTCTGGACTGGTTAGATATAACACTATTTAAATGACCCAATCTCATTACATTGTGAAGATTTCCATTTTTTAGGTTACGTAAGAAATTTTGGACCTAAAAATCTTGCATTTTAAGACAGTCTTTGTCAGAATTACTTTTTGGCTCTAAATGAATTCTGTAACATTTGTATTCTAAATTGACCTTTAGTAAAAGCAGGAATGGCCATATTCAAACTGGTAACCTCGCAAATCCTGCCCACCCTTTCACTTTCTGTCTCAATACATTGATGTCCTCTAACCCATTTCCTGTCTTATGTGGCTTTAGTGCCACTTATCAAAATTGTGTGCAAATTTCCTTGGCTAACAGTAACAGTTTTTGTCTGGGCTTGTCTAGCAGTGGAATTCTGCCTGAGTTCATCATTTTTGTGACTGGTACTTGAAGTGCATCAGATGATTAATTTCATGATAAGAGGGCTTTTTGGGGTGGTGAAATAGACATTTATGGAAAATGGGATACCCACATTAAGCAGGGTGACTACCTGTTTACCATACAACCCACACAAAGCCAATACAACTATAGATGTGCTTTATTTAGTCTGTTGCCTCTGCAAACATTGCCCGTGTGTTTCTCTATGCCCTTCAAAAACATCAGAGCAGCACATCCTGGAAGATCCTATCTTTTGTAAGTTTAAGAAGCAGCCTCTTGTCACAGGTTGACTCCTAGGTAGTGTGCCTAGTGACCAAGAGGGCTGCTAAGAAAGCTTTCTGACCACTTGTGGCTGTCATTGGACTGATTTGCCCAGATGACATCAATTGGGAATTTGAGGCATGACCTATAAAGATCAGTTGCTTGCAAGAGTCTCAGGAAAATAATTGTGGAGTTAAGAAACTTGAAGCGATTTTTAAAAATTACCTAACCCAACCTTCTCATTTGAAAAATTAAAAAATAAATAGGCCAGATATGGCAGCTCATGCCTGTAATCCCAGCGCTGTGGGAGCCTGAGGCGGGTGGGTCTCTTGAGGCCAGGAGTTCAAGACCAGCCTGGACAACATGGTGAAACCCTGTCTCTACTAAAAACACAAAAATTAGCTGAGTGTGGTGGCAGGCGCCTGTAATCCCAGCTACTCAGGAGGCTAAGGTGGGAGGATTACTTGAACCGGGGAGGCATAGGTTGTAGTGAGCCAAGATCGTGTCACTGCACTCCAGCCTGGGTGACAGAGTAAGACTCTGCCTAAAAAAAAAAAAGAAAGATTAAAAAATAAATAAATCTGCTGGGCGTGGTGGCTCACGCCTGTAATCCCAGCACTTTGGGAGGCCGAGGCGGGCGGATCACCTGAGGTCGGGAGTTTGAGACCAGCCTGATCAACATGGAGAAACCTCGTCTCTACTAAAAACACGAAAAAATTAGCTGGGCGTGGTGGCGCATGCCTCATTCACGTACATGGGAGAGTCTACAAAGTCACACGTATTCATAGGTTAAGCCACATGCTGACAAATGTCATAAGAAGACCCTACACTTTTACCTTGGCCGATCCCTCCCCTCAGTGCAAGCTCTGTGCAAGAGTGAACTTGAACTTCACTCAGTGCAAGAGTGAACACACACTTTGTGCCGGCTTTAAAGAACCCAGCACAAAGCCAGTCTGCATGGCCTACAGACATATTTTGCTGGACAATGATTACTTGCTTTTCTTTTTGTTTTTCTTGTATTTGCCTGTTTGATTGGCTCCTGACATACCAGAAAATCACTGTCAAAACATTAGCTTAACATTTGTTAAGGAAACAAAAAGACTTCGGTGACCACACCTTATAAACCAAACAGTTTTGTAAATCACTTTGGAAAATTTCACTAAAAAAAAAAATCCTTAACAATATAATAAGTAAAGAAAATTTAAAACCACAAAACATCACTGTGTTTGTAGGGGGAGGTCTGATTTACAGAGTAACCACATAGTAATTATAATTATTAGAATGTCCAGTTTTCAAAAAACGTTACAAGGCATACAAAGAATGGGAAAGTGTGGCTCATTCAAAGGAACAAAATAAAGTGACAGAAAATATCCCTAAAGAAACCCAGACATCAAACTTACCAGACAAAGACTTTAAAACAACTGTCTTCATTATACTCAAATGTCAAAAGGAAAACATAAACAAAGAAATAAAGGAATCAGAAAAAATATTAAAAAGTAGGAATATCAGCAAAGAGATAACAAATTCTGGAGTGGAAAACTACAATGATAAAAATTTAAAAATCACCAGAGGGATTTAAGAGTATATTTGCACACACAGAGGAAGCCATGAACTTGAAGAGAAGAAAATGGAAAATACTCTGAGAAACAGAAAGAATAAAAAATAAACAATGAGCACAGACTAATGAATCTGTGGGACATCATCAAATAGACCAACATTCATATTCTAGAAGGATAAATTATGTTGTTAAAAAGTTTACCATTCTTTCTTTTCACCTTTCTTCCTTCTTCCTTCCCCCTCCTCCTCCTTTTTACTTTTCTTCCTCTTCCTTTCTCTTCTTCTTTCTCTCCTTCATTATCCCTTTCGCTGTCTCTCTTTCTCCCTTTCTCTTTTTTCTTTTCTTTCAATTTTCTCAATTACTAAGAGATGTTTAAGTACCCTTAGCATGTTAGTAGATACGGTTATTTCTCCCTTTAGTTCTCTTTTGAGATTTATAGTCACTCAAATAAAGAGATAACCCAAACATAAGCGTCACAAACAGGCTTTCATACCATTCTTAATTTGGTCCTGTAATTCTTCATTGCTGTATTAATTTTCTGATGCTTTTAAGGATGTTTTATAACAAGTTGTGTAGCTTTTTCCAATGGAATGTTTATTCTGAATTATCTAATTCATATTGTAAGTATAGAGGGAGTTTAACATAAAATTATTAAACTAATATTTGTGAAAGAATGTATTTGTGCATTTAACAAATATGTTAATCCTCAGACTGTTATTGGGCAGCTGAGCATACAGGAATAAAAATAACACAATTTTTATGTGTACAATATTTATGGAATACGTTACTGGACCCAATAAATAATTTAGTTAATAACATGACAAAGAACAGAAATTGTATACACTATAGAGCATAGTAATGGAATAATGAATGATTAAAGTTATTAATATTAGGTAGAAAATGAAGGGTATCTTTGAGAGCAGAATTCAAGGAAGCAAGCAATTCGCCTTATCAGGAAAGAGTTACCTGTGGATAAAGGAGAAACTGAAAAATTTACAAGTCAAGACTTTTTGAGCAAAAACAAAAATATGACTATTAGTCACCAATTCAGTACAGTGAAAAAAATGTTGAAGAGATATCTTGGAAGTAAACCATGTTGTGGAAGAGCATGTAGGGTTTTGATAATCATGGGATGATTCTGAATTAATTTTAAATGCGATAGGAATATATGAGATAATTTCACCAGAGAATAATATGATTGTGTTTGCATTTCAAAGGGGTGTATCTGGTGCACTGTGTAGAATAAATAGGTTATGTGAGCAAATAAATTGGGAGGCTACTCTAATCCAGCAAAAAAAGGTAGTGACTTAGGTGAGAATGCTGTCAGCATGAGTGGTAGTAGTGGTGAGAAGTCGTTAGGCCATGGATGTATTTCATAGGACTGGCCAAGAGAACTGCAGCTAAATTGGAGTGTAGGGAGTGAAATAGAGAACTCAAAGATGACTCTCAGCAATGGAAGGTGACAGCTGTCACTGAAGCATGCTGATGCCTCTTATTAAGAGAGTTACTTGGGAATGGCAAGATCAAAACTTCTCACTTTCAAATTTATGGAAAATATTGTTTTCAGAACGAGTGACTTTGGGATCAGAAAGCCACCATTCTAATTGATGGTTCCACGACTACACGGGCTCACACTCGCAGGAGCAAAAGTAAATCATCACAAAGGTGCTTCTTGATAATTCTAGAGAATGGAGAATTACTGTAACATCTTTCTGATTTTAGGAGAGGTAGCAGTTCCCTTTTTAGCCTAAACGCTATTTCTTTTTAAAGCTCAGCCAAGAGACTCCATTATAATTTTCAAATGTGTGTAACTTAAATTCTCATATGAAATACCACTGTGCTTAAATTAGTCAAAACATTTTCCCCATCTACAACTCTATCTTGTCATTGTAATCATTTTCACAAAAGTGACTGCAGCTCTCAGACCCTAAAAAGAGAAAATCCAGGGTAGTTTATCTGATCTAGTTAGTTTCGAAGACAGGATCTAGAGATTATTTAATATGAAATGGGTCACCTGAAATGAAGTGTTTACTGAAAACAGCTTGGATCAGCCCAGTTTTCTACCACTGAACCATGCATTTGGTTTAAAAAACACAACAACTCTGCGGAATATCGGCTGCTTCCAACTGTGTTGAAGGTGTTAAAGAAAAGAGCATAAAATTAAAAATGATCATCTGAGGCCTTTATAGTCTCTGCTCAAGAGACTAGAGTTTTCCATTCTTAACGGAACACCCAAATATCTTAATAATTGGGCAAAATCTAAATATCAGAGATAATTTTATCTTGAAGATTGTTAAATTATAACGGTGATTCACTAGCTTGCCACGTCTCTGAGTCAAAAATTAGGTCTTTGTTTAGGAATCAATCATAATCTGCAATTTGGAAATAGGAAGATTTTAGAAGACTCAGACATTGACTTTCTTGTGTGCAAAAAAAAAGAAGTATTGAGATAAGACAAGTCTTTCCTTGCAAGGATACCTCTAATGCTCATACACCACCTCCCCTAACATTAATAGAGCTTCCAGGTCACTAACCAGTGTCAGAGAGCAGCCCACGCAACCAGAAATTCAAAAGATGTCGAACATAGGGTCAAGCTTAGAATAAGACGTCTTAGCTAATTAAGTATGCTTTTTTCCCGAAATTCATATTAACAAAATCTTGGATATGTCAGAGAATGCATTCTAAGTTCACTCAACCTAGGAGGGAGAAACATAATTTTAAATTAAGAGCTGAAGCATTCTTGTCCTAACACAAAGCAAGGAAAACGAAATATCACACCACAGGAGGGATTTCACAAATTTGCGTCAACATCAAAACCTTAAAATAGGCAAGGAGAATGCAGATTCACAATGAACTCCTGTACTTGTTTTGTTCAGAGAAGAGATGGTTCTGAGAGAATGACAGTGAACCAACCCCAGCTGGTTTAGTTGGTGCTTTCAACTGCTGCTTCTGATCAACTCCTTTAGCTAGAATAAATTGATGAGGATTTTGGCATGTGGTATTAGAGATGGTTATTAATTTTTTCCTCTTATTTGCATTGTTCAATGTAGTAAATACTAGCTGCTACTTCAATTCAAATTAATTACAATGAAATATACTTAAATGTTGAATTTTTTAGTCACTGTTGGTTCATTATTGAATATCTTCAGCTAAGATTTCCCATCTAAATACACTAAGAGGTGATTTAGTTAACTGGTCGTCCACAAATATTGAAGCTGTTGTTAACTCCTGATATATTCTCTGCAAAGAGAATATTCATGAGCCTCCTCCTGAAATCAGCAGCCTAGAGATAGTTTTATAAATTGGATACAAGTTGGAAATGTATATACTCTTTCAGTTTTTGAAATATTAGCTTCCCAGGGAAGAAAATCAAATTCATAAGATATGTTAGGACAATTTAACTCAAGATGTTCAAAACTGAAATGACATGTTCTACAATATGTGATAAAACCAACCCCTAACAAAGCAAAACAGGGATTGACCTTAAAGACCTGCCTTTTCCTCATGCCCCAGCCAATCAGTTTTCAAATCTTGCATTTTATTTTGAAAGGTCCTTATCCCCCGGTCTCTTGTTTCTAGACTTCGCACATATTTAAGTTTGTTACCTCTATCTACTGTCTTTTCTCTCTTCAAACAGTATCTATGCCTGCCAAATGTGAACATACAAAAAACAAATCAGAATATGCCATTCTGATTTAAACTGCTTATTAGTTAATACCCTCAAGATAACATCTGGGTTCTTAGCTGCAATGAGTCAAGCTTACTTACATCTTTTTTTCTCTTTGGCTGCACATTTCCTATCACATCACACTCCAGCAATACCAAACTGTGCCGTCCTTCTACCCCATCTCCACTATTTTGCCCCCCACCGCCGTGGCTTTTCGCCCCCCGCCGCGGCTTCCCCCCCCCCACCCCCCACCCCGCCTCGGCTTTTTGACCGCCGCGGCTTTTTACCCCCCGCCGCCGTGGCTTTTCGCCCCCCGCCGCCGCGGCTTCCCCCCCTCCCCCCCCCCCACCCCGCCTCGGCTTTTTGACCGCCGCGGCTTTTTACCCCCCGCCGCCGTGGCTTTTCGCCCCCCGCCGCCGCGGCTTCCCCCCCTCCCCCCCCCCCACCCCGCCTCGGCTTTTTGCCCGCCGCGGCTTTGTTGTGACCCCCCTCGCCGCCGCGGCTTTTTGCCCGCCGCGGGATTTTGCCCCCCACCGCCGCGGCTTTTTCCCCACGGCGGTTTTTTGCACCCCCCCCCCCCCGCCGCCTCGGGTTTATGCCCACCGCGGCTTTTTGCGCCCCCGCCGCCGAGGCTTTTTGTTGCCGCGGCTTTTTACCCGCTCCAGCTTTTTGCCCCACCGCCGCCGCGGGTTTTTGCCCGCCCCGGCTTTTTGCCCGCCCCGGCTTTTTGCCCCCACGGCGCCTCGGGGTTTTGCCCGCCCCGGCTTTTTGCCCGCCCCCGCCGCCGCGGCTTTTTGTTCCCCGCCACCACGGCTTTTTGCCGGTCACGGCTTTTTGCCCCCCCGCCACCGCAGCTTTTTGCCCCCCCGCCACCGCGGCTTTTTGCCCCCAACGCCGCGGCTTTTTCCCCCACGCCGCCGCGCCTTTCTGCCCGCCACGGCTTTTTCCCCCGCGCCGCTGTGGCTTTTTGCACCCCCGCCGCCGTGGCTTTTTGCCCGACCCGGCCTTTTACCCCCCCCGCCGGTGCCGCACTTATTTGCCCGCAGCGGCTTTTTGCACCCCCGCCGCCGCTGCTTTTTGCGGGCCGCGGCTTTTTGCCCCCCCGCCGCGGCTTTCTGCCCGCTGCGGCTTTTTGCACCCCGCCGCCATGGCTTTCTGCCCACCGCGGCTTTTTGCCTCCACGGCTTTTTGCCAGACCCGGCTTTTTGCCCCCTGCCGCCGCGGTTTTTTGCCGGCCGTGGCTTTTTGCCCCCCGCCCCCAGGACTTTCTGCCCGCCGCGGCTTTTTGCCCCCTGCCACCGCGGCTTTTTTTGCCTCCGCGGCTTTTTGCCCGACCCGGCTTTTTGCCGCCGCGGCTTTTTCCCCCCCGCCGACGCGGCTTTTTGCCCGACCCGGCTTTTTGCCGCCGCGGCTTTTTCCCCCCCGCCGACGCGGCTTTTTGCCCGCCGCGGCTTTTCGCCCCCCACGGCTTTTGCCTCCCCGCTGCCACAGCTTTTTGCCCCCCGCCGCCGCGACTTTTTGCCCCCCTGCCCCCCCGGATTTTTCCCCCCTGCGGACGCGGCTTTTTGTCGCCCCTCCCCCACCCCTCCCCCCCCCCCCGCCGCCGCGGCTTTTTGCGTCTTTGTGCCCCCGCCGCCGTGGCTTTTTGCCCGCGCCACCACTGCTTTTTGCACCTTTTTGCCCCCGCCGCCGCGGCTATTTGCCCCCCGCCGCCGCGACGTTATATGGTTTTTTGCTCCCACCGCTTTTTGCCTCCGCCACCGCAGCTTTTTGCGCGTCTCGGCTTTTTGCCCCACCAGCGCCGCGGCTGTTTGCCCCCTGCCACCACGGCTTTTTCCCCGCCGCGGCTTTTTGCCCCCCCCGCCGCCTCGGGTTTATGCCCGCCGCGGCTTTTTGCCCCATGGCCATCCTCAGAAGTGTGAGTGGAACAGAGTGAAGGGAAAGCTGTTTTCTTCGAAAGCTCAAAAATCTTGAACTTTCAAATAGGGATAAGTGTTATTTTTGCTCCAAGCACACATTTGAGAAATCTTCCATTTAGCGGATCTGATGATAAACCCACATTTTTGTTTGTTTTAATCTGAAAATGTATTTGTATGGTTCTTGGAAATATTTTTTTCATATAAAATTATAGTGTATCAGCTTATTTCAAGTTTTATTTACCATTTGATAATTACTCCTAAAATGTCATTGATTAAAGAAAGAATCATCTATTGCTCCAACTGCCCTTTACTAAAGGTAATTTGTCTTTTTAACCTCATCAGGCTCCTTTTAAGCTCTCAAACTGACCTTTTTTTTTTTTTTACAGATTCAATGCATTAAGTCAATTTATTACTTATGATGAATTTATTTATGTATTTATTTTCGCTATCACAAGTAGAAAAAGCCTATAAGTTGCTATGCCAAAAACCTGCCTCTAGATGGCAAACAAACCCCGCAATACACAAAAGAGAGCCAAATTCTTAGAAACCCTGGGAAAGGAAGAGGGCTACTGTCCCATTAACAACTTGGAGCCCTTAAGCCAAGAATGAGGTGGAACATCTGGGAGGAGACACAAGGGTGCGGAGTAGTGGGGAACCTGCTCTGTGCTCTGAGACTGAAAGCCCAGCCTTGCCTCTCACCGCTGCCTTGACTGTGTCCCCATCTGCTGTGAAGTGAATGGTGTCTTCTAAATTCGTGCTGAGCCCTAATTGCTGAAAACTGTAAGACATGCAATGGGGGGATTATGTGCATCTTCCCGACACCAACATGATGCTCAGGAAGGAGACTTCTTGTTTTCTCTTAGGATTCTTTTACTAACCAAGATTTTGCCTCTACTGCATATTTCCCTTTGCTGATTGTCCCTCCCTTTTGACAGAAGATGGCCCAGGGCATTCACTACTAAGTCTCAACCTCTTACCCAAAGCCCTCAGTCTAGTGTTGCTCTTTCCTTCGTGCTATTTTTGTTTCTTTCTTTTCTTGTAATCATCTTGGCAATAAAATAATCAGTTTTTTCTTTCTACCTATTAAAGATGTTACCTTAGTTAATTACAGGGGTTTCCTTCAGAATGATAAATGGTCTTTCAAAATGATGTAAAGAGATCTAAATCCGTGTGCTCCAGAACTTGAATGAAGCTCTGTCTAGCACGGGTGCCAGTGACTCTCCCAGAGTGCTCCATGCAGCTGGACCCACAGAGTCCCTCTGTGCTGTCATATCACCCACTGCCTTCTGTGAATGAGATATTCTGATTAGAATCCTGGTGGATGCTATTTGAGCCAGTGCCCCCACAACTCCTACGAAAGCCGAGGACCACAGGCCCCTGAAGACAATCACAGGTCTCTAGACTCACAGCTCATGACCGTCCTCTGCAGACACAGCTTCTCCCCGGATGGCTGAGGGTTGTCATTGGCTGTGTCCTTCCTTGTGCATGACAACAGGAGACATAGAAGGTCTGTAAGCAGCCCTGCAAGCCAGGTTCTGAGCAAGCCCTCCTGTGTGGGGCCCTCTTACCTGGACATAGGTGTGTAAACCAAAAATGAAACTCTAAGCTCCCTAACCAACTGAATGAACTCCTCCTCTCAGCCAAGCACACACCAAAATCAACCTGAAATACAATGCAGCCCATGATCGGAACGGATGATTGGATATGCCTTAACTTACCCTCTTCCCTTTAAAATTCAGGCACAACTGACCAGCTTTTAATATGAAGACAGAGACCTTGAGACTGACAAAGAAAACTCTTTATAGCAATAAGATACCAATGTGACAGATACCACGTCCTAAGAGAAATCAAAGTATTTTCCCCAAGATATTGTTATTTAATGTATTGAAAAATGCCTCTGCAAAGCTGGTTCTTGTGGGAAAAATCTACATTCTGTAGAGACTCCTTTTTAAGTCTCTTTCCTGACCCAGAGAGATTTAACTAAGAGTTTGGCACCTTTTAAGTCTACTAAGAAACAATTACAATCTATTCTCTCTGAAGCCTGCTACCTGGAGGCTCCATCTGCATGATGCAACCTTGGCTCCAAAACCCTTTTTCTAAACCCAGAAACTCCCTTGTGTTGATTACAGGTCATTAGATAAACTCTTTCAACCACCTATGAAATCTTTGAATCCACCTATAACCTGGAAGTCCCCAACATCCCCCCTCCTTCGGGCTGTCCTGCCTTTTCATGTCAAAGCAATGTACAGCTTACACGTATTGATTGATATCTTATGTCTCCCTAAAACGTGTAAAACCAACCTGTAGCCCGACGACCTTTGACACACGTTCTCAAGACCTCCTGAGGCTGTTTCACTGATATTTCTTTAACTTTGACCAAGTAAATTTCTAAACTGATTGAGACTTTTCTCAGATACTTATTTGTTTATAGGTATCACTGGATACACTTAAGGAATTGAAGAGATTTATGACATTGAGAAAAGGAGGAAGCCAGGGTGTGTGGACATAGAGAGAGAGAGAGAGAGAGAGAGAGAGAGAGAGAGAGAGAGATTGTGATGTATGTACAGGACTAACACTGAGACCTGGTTATGTAATGGTGTAGTACTGAGTATCATCCCCAAATAGTGAGGTTTCATTCCATGAAGACTATGCATGTATCTCATTTGGGAAAACAGCTTTTGCAGGTGTAAATTAAGGAGCTTGAAACAGGGAGATGGTCTTAGATTAATCAACTGGGACTTAAATGCAAACTCAAGTGTCCTAAAAAAAACAAGAGGTAGAGAGACATTTAGCATAGACTGAAGTGGAGAAGGCAGTGTGAACACAGAGACAGAGATTGCAGTGATGTGTCCACATCCCGGGAGAGAGAAGCCACCAGAAGCTGGAAGAGCTAAATCAGACTGCTCCCTAGAGCTTCAGAAGGAGCCAGAACTGATGACTCCAAGATCTTAGCCCAGTGAAACTGATCTGGACTTCTGAACTATGAGAGATTCCATTCCTGTTGTTTGAAGCTACCACATTTTTGAGAACTTGTTACAGTAGCCCGAGGACACTAACACAAATGGGCTCCAGGAAAATCCAGACTAAAGGTGTTGTGTTGGTTTGCAATCTCCTTGCTTAACTTTCTGATACTAGACGTAAATAGATTGGTGAAAAATTTTGTGATTGAAGAAATGTACATGAAACCTACAGTGTACAGAGAAGCATCTGTTAGTTATAAGATAAATACTGATAATTTTAGTTGAAAATGACATATGACTGTTAATATCTCACATAACATTCTGAGTTACTCAAGAATGCATAAAAGAGGCACTAGATACTCTTCTCATGTATGTGTGTGTGTCTGTCTATACATGGATGTACACTTCATGGTGCATCAGCTGGCGGAACCCTCAGGACACCCCTTCACATCCTCAGTGCCCCATTTCACACATGAGGAAACTGTTCATGACAGCACATGGCTGATTTGCATAAAAGTCACTTGGTCAGCAGTTGTCGAAGCTGAAATTGGAATCTAGGTCTGTCTGACCTTAACTTATGTTCCTTCCACAGAGCCACGTTCATTCCATAGAGGGACCCACCACCTATAAAACCAGAAAAGAGACAAAGCCAGAAGTGCAGGGTGGATTTCTTAACACAAGCTCACTACGACCTCTAGTCCTCATCACGCTGACACTAAGCTTAAACCCAGACCCTTCTACAGTTTTGTCTACAAAGCACAATTTGCCCAAAGCCTTTACAAACACCAACAGCCTTTCTTTCAGATATGGCAGCAGGGTCACATCTTACACGGCCCTGACCACATTTTGTCTCCTCTGCCATCCCCATCTCTCTGACTCAGTCCTCGCTTGCAGCCATGAAAAAGGATGAGTTCATGTCCTTTGTAGGGACATGGATGAAGCTGGAAACCATCATTCTCAGCAAACTATCGCAAGGACAAAAAACCAATCACTGCATGTTCTCACTCATAGGTGGGAATTGAACAATGAGAACACTTGGACACAGGAAGGGGAATATCACACACCGGGGACTGTTGTGGGGTGTGGGGAGGGGGGAGGGATAGCATTAGGAGATATACCTAATGTAAATGACGAGTTAATGGGTGCAGCGCACCAACATGGCACATGTATACATATGTAACAAACCTGCATGTTGTGCACATGTAACCTAGAACTTAACAATAATAATAATAATAAAAAGAATGGGTCTTGTACATCCAATTTGCCCTATGAATGTTAAAACAGCAAACCCGCATCCCCTTCCTCTTCTCATGTGCTGTGAGAGATGACCTCCAGGCTCTCAGATACCAAGATTGTACAAGACCTAACCCAGAGAATTACTCAAGACACTTTCTACGTAAGAAGAATTGTGGTACTAGCTCTCCTCATAGAAAAATGTTTTCTGTCTCTTGTTGAAATTGACAGCAAACACAAAAACACAGAACTACTTGGGAGAACAGAGGACAGTGATACACTAGGGAAGTAAAACACACCCCTTCCCCTTGCATTGGTTTCCTGTTGCTGCTGTAACAAATTACCACAACTTTACTGCTCCACATCACACAAGTGTATTATCTTACATTTCTGGAGGTCAGAAGTCTCAATGAAGTAAAATCAAGGAGTAATAGGGCTCTATTCATTCTAGGCTTCAAGAGAGAGAATCCAATGTCGAGCATTCCATCTTTCTGATGTTCCCACATTCCTAGCAGCATGGCCCCTTCCTCCATCACTCCAGTTTCCCTGTCCATTGTCCCAGGTCCTCTCTGGCTGTTACCTTCCTCCCTCCCTATTGTAAGGACCCTTGTGATTATGATGGTCTCACCCAGATAATTCAGGATATTCTCCTGACCTCAAAATTCTCAACCATGTCTGCCAAGTTATTTTTGACTTGTTCATAAGTAATGATCATAGATTCCAGATATTAGGACAAAGATGTCTTTAGTGGGTGTATTATTCATTCCACAAACAACTCTCATCATCCACACAATGGCCTTCCCCTAAGGTAGAATAAAAATATCACAAGGCAGATTTATGAGGCGATCGACCTAGAAAAAACATGAGACTCTAGGACTGTCTGATGTGTGGATGTCAAATCCTGGGAGATTCTGAGCCTCTGCTCTATGTGGACTCTATATTGTGTAGCCATTTGTGGAAGGCTTCTGTGATTTTGTGACCTAGAGAAAACGAATCTCTGCTAAAATCAAATCTAAGAAAGATTGGCAAAGGGAATTTAAAGATTTCCTAAATTTTTGGAATTTCCCTAGGCATTAAAACATGAGAAGTGGCAATAATTCAAACCAACGATGCCCTCCAAGAATGAGGATTTTTCCAATGCATTAGGTTGGGTCCCCTCAGTGAGAAGGATGCCAAAGATTCGCATGCAGGCAGTATATTTACAAAGTGCGGGAAACAAGCAAGTGAGCAAGGGAGGGGAGGAGGGAAAGGGAAAGTGAAAAGTGCCTCAGAAGGAGCCACCTCTGAGGATGACGAGCGCTCAAGCCCACATAGAAACACAGGAAAAATGCCTCTGTTATTCCACCTGAGAGGTGAGGGAGCTGGGGGATGTGTACACCTCCCTTGTCATCACTGATTGACAACCGTCCTAGGGGATGCTAATTCCAGGCCATGAGGTCTGCCTCATTTGCAGCCTGAGCTGCTTCCCCAGGTTCAGATAGAGCAGTGAAGGGGAGAAAGGGCCATAGAGAGTCAGCTGAAGTATAATGTCTAGAATCCCCAAGGCATAGTAACAATGACTGCTAAAATTATGCACAAAGAAAAAGTGCATTTGAATCCAGAGATGTATCTCTCTGAATCTGGATATATGGATCCTGGCAGCCTGTTTGGTAGCCATTTCCCAGAAATCCAGTCCTCTGGAAAAGCAGGAGGAGGTTTGTGCATAGGCTGCACTACCTTGGTCTGGCCATGCGTAGTCGTGCATGAGAACTACTCCCTGGAGTATTTCTCAGTCCACTGACACTGATGTAATTGGCTCCACTTCCCCTGCTGTTGAGCCAGGCCGACACGCCCTGGGCAAAGGCATCTGTGTGAAGTATTGAGGTTCAAATCAGTGCTTAAGATATGTTTGGATGCAAAACACTTTTTCATCTACATGGGCAGTGTCTTGGCAGAGGATGGAGATTCTCTCTAAATGCATGTGAGACAGGGTGGCTGGCATCTGGGTCAGGATGATGCCCTGGTGCATGGCAAGAACATGCCTTGTGCAGCAGCTGCCCTCGCTAAGGAGAGAGGCTCACTGACCTGGCTTTTCCCCCTCACCTGCTCTCCAGAAAGCCAGACTCTAGGGCAGATGCTCCTGAGACCCCAGGAACAGGCTGGTGGGGAGCGCAGCTCAGAGCATTACTCAGGGGATGTGGCCTTTGTCATCCTACTTTGAAACAATTGACTATTTGGGCCTAGATTGATACAGGGCTTCAAGTTGATTTTAATCCAGGCTCCTATAGTCAGCGCGTGAAACAGAGATTTTAGTTGAAATAATGAGACCTGGTATTACTAGTCAGCTCTCCATGCTGGAGAACCATAAGAAATTATACCAAAGGCAGGAAAGGGGATAGAATATGGGGATCATCACACCAAGAATAAGGTGCAGCCCATTTAGCCCCTGGGTCTTAAAGAGACCCATAGCTCTGGATAATGGCAGATCTATGCGTGACACAGTTATCATCTTTGTGCATCTTCAGAGAATTGTTTTTCCTTTTACTCCTAGGGACAATGTCTTAAGTTTGTTAGTAAATTCTATTGAATTTATTAAAGATGCTTCTGATAAATTCTTTTTATATTCATTTCAAACAAGAAGCAATTTCACACTGACATTGTTATTATAGCACTAAATACTTTTACACTCATCAAATTCCTTTGAGACTAACTGAAATTTCTGACAGCCCCACATTCTACAACTTTATTGTAAATTTTCTGCCAAAAATGATGCTTTCCTATACACTCCTAATACAAGTATAAATATATTATTTAATCTAGTCTTAGGTTGATTTAAAATTTTGAAAATTCACTCCAAACATATGTTCTGTAACCATATGGCCACCAATGAGAAATGCATTCTTTCAAGGTAAATCTGTGCTGCCCTGGTTTGACCTGGGACTCTGGGGATACTGCGCCCCTGTGCTGAGTTACTGAGATGAGCCAGCCCTGCAGCTGTGCTCAGCCTGCCCCATCCCCTGCTGATTTGCCTGTTCCTAGAGCACAGCCCCCTGCCCTGAAGACTTTTTATAGGCTGGTCACACCCGGTGCAGGAGTCAGCCCCAGTCAGGACACAGCACAGACATGAGGGCCCCCACTCAGCTCCTGGGGCTCCTGGTGCTCTGGCTGCCAGGTAAGGAAGGAGAACACTAGGATTATACTCGGTCAGTGTGCTCAGTACTGTCTGGAACTTCAGGGAAGTCCTCTGATAACATGATTAATTGCGACAATATTTGTTTTTATGTTTCCAACTTCAGGTGCCAGATGTGACATCCAGATGACCCAGTCTCCATCCTCCCTGTCTGCATCTGTAGGAGACAGAGTCACCATCACTTGCCGGGCGAGTCAGGGCATTAGCAATAATTTAAATTGGTATCAGCAGAAACCAGGGAAAACTCCTAAGCTCCTGATCTATGCTGCATCCAGTCTGCAAAGTGGGATTCCCTCTCGGTTCAGTGACAGTGGATCTGGGGCAGACTACACTCTCACCATCCGCAGCCTGCAGCCTGAAGATTTTGCAACTTATTACTGTCAACAGAGTGACAGTACCCCTCCCACAGCGTTACAAGTCATAACATAATCCCCAAGGAAGCAGATGTGTGAGGCTGGGCTGCCCCAATGCTCCTTCCGGTGCCTCTATCTGCTGAGGGAAGTTCTCAAACTCAGTCAGGTTTGGAAAGTCATTGGGAGATTTTCCTAGAGGAGGCCAGGGAGGTTCCTCTGAACCCTAAGCCTCTTTCACCCTCATCCCCAGCAGAAAAGATGTGACAATGCCTGTCCTGACTGAATAAAGAAGAGAGATAAGTCCAACTGAGGAGTCTGTGTTATGGGATAATCGGAATTTGTACAGCAAAAGAGAAGCTATTCTCAGTATTTCAAGGAGAAATTATTCAAGTTGAATAAATTAGAGCCTAAACCACAGTCTTTCCGAAGCCTATGGAATGTTATTCATGAAGCAGGTACTAGACACAGGGGATTCTCAGGTGCTACTTCAGAAGCCAGGGTGCACCTGCCCCTGGTGGTATGTGCTGAACACCGTGTGATGATCCTCAGTCCTGTCTGGGAAGCCCAGGTCTTCCCAGACAGGAATGCTTTGATAAATCCACTGCTAGGTAGGTAATTCTTCTGTAACATTAATAATTCGGTTTTACTTTTGGATCCTAAAGTGGAACTACTTAGAAAATCTGCAAAAATCATGCAAAGAAAATCATGTAAAATCATGATCTTTACTTAGGCACTTACAGGTGAAATGACGAGGTATCTGGAATTGCATTAAAATAGATCAAGGTGAAAAAGACTGACAAAAACATTAACTGTTAAAACTTGGGGCTATATATCAAAGACATTAGTTTCTCTATGAGTATATTTCAAATTTTCCTCAATAAATTTTTTAAAAATTCAATTTAAAATTCAAGCCACAAATAAATGCTTTTTAAAAATTTCTTAGATTATACAAATAGTGCCATAACATCAAGAATAATCCCAAATCATTCCATATACTTCAAAAGATACAAAACCAGGCTGGGTGCGGTGGCTCACGTCTGTAATCCCAACACTTTGGGAGGCCGAGGTGGGCGGATCACCTGAGGTTGTGAGTTTGAAACCAGTCTGACCAACATGGAGAAACCCCGTCTCTACCAAAAATACAAAATTAGCTGGGTGTGGTGGTGCATGCCTGTAATCCCAGCTACTGGGGAGGCTGAGGCAGGAGAATCACTTGAACTCGGGAAGTGGAGGTTGCAGTGAGCCGAGATTGCGCCATTGCACTCCAGCCTGGGCGACAAGAGCAAAACTCCATCTCAAAAAAAAAAAAAAAAAAAAAAAAAAAGACACAAAAGCAGGAACTCTTTTCCAGGAGCAATCCCATTTAGTTAAGAAAAAGAAGAAAAAAATATTCCCTAGATTCAGCCAGTTCCTTATCTCTACTGTCCTTCAGAGTCAAATTTCTTAAAAAAATAAGCAACTCTGCCAGGCGTGGTGTCTCACGTCTGTAATCCCAACACTTTGGGAGGCCAAGGAGGGCGGATCACAAGGTCAAGGGATCGAGACCATCCTGGCCAAGATGGTGACACCCCATCTCTACTAAAAATACAAAAATTAGCCCAGCGTGGTGGCACACGCCTGTAGTCCCAGCTACTCAGGAGACTGAGGCAGGAGAATGGCTTGAACCCAGGAGGCGGAGGTTGCAGTGAGCCGAGATCACGCCACTGCACTCCAGCCTGGTGACAGAGCAAGACTCTGTCTCAAAGAAAAAAATAATAATAATAAGCAACTCCATCTCTCCCCACTTCATCCTTCTCAGCCCTCGGTCCTCTGTGATCTGGCTCATGTTCCTGCTGCCTTACTGAGGCTGCTTTAGTAAGGGTACTAGTAAGCTTCCAACTGGCAACTCCAAATGACTATTTTCAGTATACAACTTACTTGGAGTCTACTTAGCATCTTCAGTTATTGAACTTCCTCCTTTAACTCACTTCCAAAATACTACTCTCTCCTCCTTCCTTCTCTATTTCTTTGTTGGCTCTTCTTCCTCTGCCTTCTCTTCAAATATTTCTACTTCCTCTCACTCCTTCTAGTTCTCTTTTCTGTTTCCACAATACTTGTTCTATCAACTACTCCTTTCACTTCATTCACAATAATACTGATGATTCCCAAGCATATATCTCTCATCATGCGTCCCCCTCACATATCTGCTCTTTAATTCTTCTTTTTAATTCATTTGATACCTTCTAAAAGTCTCTCACAATTCAGATAGTCCTTCAAGCCAGGAACATGGGAGTCATTCTCAAATTATCTTTCTCACTCACCCCCTGTCCCATCTCCAAATTTTTATATAAGCTTCAGATTTCATGGACTGTACTTAAAAATTTTTTATAGTTGATGTGTCTCTATTTCAGCAGCTACTGTGTTATCATTTCTCATCTTAGACTATTACAATCTTTCTGGCTGTGTTTACAGATCTTTCCAGTCCACCCCCACACTGAGGTCAGGAGATCTTTCTAAAATGTATTTCATACTCTATCTTGCTTAAAACTTTCAAGTGCTTAACAACTAAATGCAGTATATATTTCCAGATTGGATCCTGGACCAGGGGAAAAAAAAAGCTATAAAGATCCTTTTTAGAACATCTGAATATAGACTATATCAGATAATAGAATATCAATGTTACATTTCTTTAACTTGGTAATGTACTATAATCACATAAGGAAATGTCCTTGCTCTTAGGAAATATACACAGAGGTAGTTAGGGACAAACTAGCAAATGATTTAGGGGAAAAAATGATACCTACAGAGAGAGCAAACACAATAAAGCAAATATAGCAAAACATTTTCAATTGGTGAATCTGGGTAAAGGGTATACAAGATTCTTGCAACTCCTCTATTAGTTTGAGATCATTTTAGATAAAATATTTTTGGCTGGGCATGGTGACTCACGCCTATAATCACGGCACTTTGAGAGGCTATAGCAGGAGGTCTGCTTGAGCCCAGGAGTTCCAGACCAGCCCTGGCAACAGGGTGAGACCCTGTCTCTCTAAAAAATTAAAAATTTGTCTGTGTGGACTGGAGTATATCTGTATTCCCAGCCACTTGGGAGGCTGAAGTGGGAGGATCACTTGTGCCCAGAAGGTTGGCACCACAATGAACAATGACTGTGCCACTGCACTACAGCCTGGGCAACAGAGCAAGACCCTGTCTCAAAAAAAAAAATTTAAACCTCCCACATTCCCTGTTACATGTAAGATAAAAGTTTGAACTCCTTGGTTAGGCTCTCTGTGATCTGACTCTTGCCCCCTCTACCATTATCGGTCATCAACTGAGAGGAGGACCACAACCAACATCCTACTCTCCACACACAAAGATTACAAATTTCTGAACACACCAAACTGCTTTGTTCCATGTCAAACATGTTCTCTCTACTTCCTGCACCTTGTCTGTCTGACAAGCACCTTCTTATTTGATGCTATTCAAGCCTCACCTCCTCTTACTCTGCACTCCTTTCTACTTTCCTCTTCCAGATGAAAATAACCACTCCAGGCCACGCATAGTGGTTCACGCCACCCAGCACTTTGGGAGGCTGAGGCAGACGGATCACAAAGTCAAGAGATTGAGACCATCCCAGCCAACATGGTGAAACCCCGTCTCTACTAAAAATACAAAAATTAGCTGGACATGGTGGCGAGTGCCTGTAATCCCAGCTACTCGGGAGGCTGAGGCAGGAGAACTGCTTGAACCCAGGAGGCAGAGGTTGCAGTGAGCCAAGATCGTGCCACTGCACTCCAGCCTGGCAACAGAGCAAAACTCCGTTTCAAAAAAAAAATCTCAAATACTCGGCCAGGTACATTGGCTCACCCCTGTAATCCCAGCACTTTGGGAGGCTGAGGTGGTGGATTACCTGAGGTCAGTAGTTCAAGACCAGTCTGACCAATATGGTGAAACCCTGTCTCTACTAAAAATGCAAAAAAATTAGCCGGGCATGGTGGCATGCGCCTGTAGTCCCAGCAACTCCGGAGGCTGAGACAGGAGAATTGCTTGAGCCCGGGAGGCGGAGGTTGCACTGAGCCGAGATCACACCACTGCACTCCAGCCTAGGCAACAAAGCAGGACTCCACCTCAAAAAAAAAAAAAAAAAAAATCTCACTACTCCCAAATTATGTATTTTTAAAAATGTTTTTTATTTTTTATTTTTTTATTTTTTTTGAGATGGAGTCTTGCTCTGTCGCCCAGGCTGGAGTGCAGTGGTGCAATCTCGGCTCACTGCAAGCTCCGCCTCCTGGGTTCACACCATTCTCCTGCTTAGCCTCCCAAGTAGCTGGGACTACAGGTGCCCGCCACCATGCCTGGCTAATTTTTTTATATTTTTAGTAGAGACGGGGTTTCACCGTGTTAGCCAGTATGGTCTTGATCTGACCTTGTGATCTGCCCGCCTCAGCCTCCCAAAGTGCTGGGTTTACAGGCGTGAGCCACAACGCCCAGCCTAAAAATGTTTTTTTCTTTCCATGTCCCTGATACAGCTTTTCATCAACTTTCCCAAAGTATGAAAAGAAACACGTATTTTTCACTAAGAGGTCAACCTATTTTCAATCTCTTACACCATTCTATATGTTGATGAACGTAAGTTCTAATAAAATTTTATCTGTTTCTCATTACTCATAAATATCATCTATTTATCTAATTGCATCTAAATGCTATTTTATTGCAAATATCCCATTCACCAACTTCAAAAAGAGAAAAACAAAACAAGCATCATTAAAAACAAAGCAAGAAAGTAGCAAAATAGATAATTCCAATATCACCTATAAGTACTCAGTTATCTTAAACAAATGAACTCAGATTGTCGACAAAAAAATCCAAGGCCTATTCATTAAAGCAAATAAATAACTCATATAACATCTAAAAATCTCACTCATGACCTATTTTCCTTTACTTGTGACCCAAATTTAGTTACTGGAGTATCTTAGACACTAGCAAAATAGAAAGGTAAGACAAGCTTTTGGACAGATTGTAACGGCAGACAGCAAAGAAACAAAATACACAAAAAAAGTCTATAGGCTGGGCGCGGTGGCTCACGCCTGTAATCCCAGCACTTTGGGAGGCCAAGATTGGGGGATCATGAGGTCAGGAGATCGAGACCATCCTGGCTAACATGGTGAAACCCCATCTCTACTAAAAATACAAAAAATTAGCCAGGTGTGGTGGCGGGCACCTGTAGTCCCAGCTACTTGGGAGGCTGAGGCAGGAGAATGGCGTGAACCTGGGAGGTGGAGCTTGCAGTGAACCGAGATTGCACCACCTCACTCCAGCATGGGCAACAGAGCGAGACTCCGTTTCAAAAAAAAAAGTCTATATAGAATCTTAACATAGTCTGCTAGAACAATTTTTTTCTAAAGAAAATACATCAAATTGAATAATATTAAATGACAGGAAAAGGAGTAAACATTATAGAAACCTCCTTTAAAAATTAAAAACTATTTCAACTTTAAAATGAATGGGTATTAACAGCTCAGGGAGCACATCTGCTTCTTCAAAACAGGCAGAGTAGGAAAAAAATGTTGCTAATTTTTAAGAAATCATATAAATCAATTTTTTGATCATTATCAAACTATTCATAATAAAATTAACATATTACAACCATTCATACAAATGTTTACTACAGACACACCTGAACTCAAGCAGTATTAACATTTCAATTTATTTTAGGAATGATGAAAAAATTATTCTAACATTTAAGAGACCACCATTTTGGCCAGGCCCAGTGGCTCACACCTGTAATCCCAGCACTTTGGGAAGCCGAGGTGGGCAGATCACCTGAGGTCAGGAGTTCGAGACCAGCCTGACCAACATGGAGAAACCCCGTCTCTACTAAAAATACAAAATTAGCTGGGTGTGGTGGTGCATGCCTGTAATCCCAGCTACTGGGGAGGCTGAGGTGGGAGAATTGCTTGAACCGGGTGGTGGAGGTTGCGGTGAGCCAAGATCGCACCATTGCACCCCAGCCTGGGCAACAAGAATGAAACTCCATCTCAAAACAAACAAAAAAGAACACCACTTTTCATTTTACTGAATTACCTTTCCTGTTTAAGAGCATACTCCAACATTTTGATCCTCCTCACAAGATCCTTCTTCAAATTTTCTTGGCCCTTCCTTTCTCCCTGTAGGAAGGTAATCTGGGCCTGAGTAGGGGAAAGACAGACAAAATTCAGTTTAGACCAAAAAAAAAACAGTTTTTTTTAACTCAGTAAAGAACCTTTGGAAGTTAGAACAATTAGATGCAAAAATATTTCCTTTACACATTTCTCACAAAGCATGTAGAAATATAAAAATGCACTGACTGCAAGGGGGAAAAAGGATTTAAGTTAAAAAGGGCGGGGGGACATCTAAATGCATTGTACTTCAGGGTAGGGATTTTACAACACATAGTCCACATCAATTAAGAGTCTACAATATAAAACAACTAATACTGCCGGGTGCGGTGGCTCACACCTGTAATCCCAGCACTTTGGGAGGCTGAGGCGGGTGGATCACTTGAGGTCAAGAGTTCAAGACCAGCCTGACCAACATGGTGAAACCCTGTCTCTACTAAAAATACAAAAATTAGCCGGGCCTGATGGCACCTATAACCCCAGCTACTCGGGAGGCTGAGGCAGAAGAATTGCTTGAACCCAGGAGGCAGGGGTTGCAGTGAGCCGAGATTGCGCCACTGCACTCCATCCTGGGTAACAGAGTGAGACTCCATATTAAAAAATAAAACAACTAATATTAATACAAACAAATGCAAGGTGTACAGTACAGTTTGCTAAAGCGTTTGTCTTTTTGCCATCAACAAGATCTTTTTATAAAGCAGGAAGGGTTAAAGTAAAATCAGTTCTTATAATCCCCTTGCACAAGCTTCATCATATATTTAAATTTTATGACAGATTCCTTAAGTGACTTTATTTTGGACCTCCCCTACAAAAAATAAATTGCTCCCTTTTCTCAATCCCCACCATTTTTCTCACCCACCTTGACATGTAATCCATAGAAAAAAGAAAGTGAAAGTTGGGAAAAGGAAAATTAGAGACAATGGCCTTCTGCCCATTCCTGCCCCCCACCCCAAGGAATTACTAAAACCCTACATTTGAACATGAAACAAACTGTAAACAACTTTTAAAGTCAGTAAAACAGAGGGGCTAGGAAAGAGTAGCTCTCCAGAATATTAAAAGAACATTTACAACTGAAATACTATCTTTCACATAAGAAATTGAAACTATGTCACAAACACTAACTTGTTAAAGTGACTCATAATACCTCTTAAAAGTCACAAGGGCCTCAAAACTAGCTATAAATTTCACTATTCTCACATATACCACCACCCCCGTCTTTTATACTGACCCACTAAGACAGGTAACAATGTTATTTATGTATCTACAGTGCTTTCCATTAAGTGAGCAAGAACTTTACATTTAAGGATGACCTTGCCACATCCCTAAGGAATTGTGAGGATTGTGCAACCCAGGTTTAGCAAGTGAGCCATTAAACTTAATTCTCATTCAAACTTAGTTTGAATGACCTTTGTTTCTATTCGGTACCACAAGAAACATAAAATCCAACTTATCTAGTCTCTTATAACTTTCAAAATATAGGTAGTGTTGAGCTTTTCTTTTCATTTCAATATGCTCTTAAATTCTACATTACAATTAAAGGAAGGATTACATTTATCTTACTGAAATAAAAGTGGTCTGAAAACAATTCAATTGTTTTCAGAGGAAAAGGCATCAAATATCCACAAGACTCTTTTGAAATTATATATTCTGCAGTGGGATAATTATGTTACCTAACCAGAATAGTAATGACACATGCATTTAAAGCTGATAAAAATGAAAGTCTTGTCAAAAGGAAGTGACAGCCCAACTTGTCAGGCCAAACATGCTTTGGCATAGAACTTTATATGCTCTTTAAAATGATTTTAATAAAAATAATAAGCTAATCAATGCAATCAAACTTTGAAGGTAATAACAATATCAATTATCAATTTTGTCCTCTCGATACTCCTTGGCTAGTTTTGCATTTCTGCTAACATCATTGGTCCTGGATGATTCTGAAACTTCAGCCTACAATACCGTAAAGTCTTTACTGTATATGTTCAACTTCAAGCATAAGAGAAATTACAATTAAAAGTATAATCAGAGGCTGGGCACAGTGGCTCAGTCCTGTAATTACAGCACTTTGGGAGGCCGAGGTGGGAGGATAACTTGAGCTCAGGAGTTTGAGCCTAGCCTGTGCAACATAGCGAGACCACTTCCCTACAAATAATTAAAAAAATCAGCCAGGCATGGTGGCATGTGTCTGTGGTCCCAGCTACTTGGGAGGCTGAGGCAGGAGAATCACCTCAGCCCAGGAGGCCAAGGCTGCAGTGAGCAGTGATCACGCCACCACACTCTAACATGGGTGACAGAGTGAGACCTTGTCTCAAAAAAAAAAAGGGGGCGGGGGGGGGGGTGGTGGGGTGGTAATCAGGGCCAGGCATGGTAGCTAATGCCTGTAGTCCCAGAACTTTGGGAGACTGAGGTGAGAGGATTGCTTGAGGCTGGAGTTTGAGACCATCCTGGCCAACATGCCAAGAAGTCTCATAAAAATATTAAAAATATAAAAAATAAAGTACAATCAGATTTCTCCTTTTCCATCAGATGGATAAAGTTCAGTAATTTAATAATATGGTAGAAAACAGACATTTATATGTTAGCTGTGGTGATATAAACCAGTTTCACTTTATAGAGGACAACTGGTAATATCTGTCAAGTTTATAAATGCATATACCCTTTAACTCAGCAATTTTAGAATGTTATCCTTCAAATATTTATTTGTACATACATGAAATTATATAATACATTACTGATAAAACACAGACAAGAATATGTATACAACCCAAATGACCACCTAAAGGAGACTGGTTAAATAAATGAGTATAATTGAAAGAAAATTAGGACCTGAACTAAGACCTTTGAGAAAAGAGTAAAAGACTATGAGAATAATGTCAATCTTTTACCTTTTTTTCTCTAGAAAACTAAGACATTAGAAACAAAAAGTCTTAAAACACATTCCTACATAAAAAAAAGAATTCCTTCTGTAAAACGACCTCAGTCGAAAACATAATAATTGGTATAAATTCTTACTCTTTTAAAATAAAGATTAAATTCCAGCTAAAAATTCTCCAGATATGGCAGTATATTGCTCTTTGAATTGAACTGAGGAAGGGCGAGGGTGAGAGACATAAAAGATGAAAACAGTGAAAGGAAGAAATAAAGGGAAGGGAAAAAGTAAAAAGAAAAAGAGGAAAATAGGTCGGACACAGGGGCTCACACCTGTAATCCCAGAACTTTGGGAGGCTGAGGCGGGGGGATCACCTGAGGTCAGGAGTTCGAGACCAGCCTGGCCAACACAGTGAAACCCTGTCTCCACTAAACATACAAAAATCAGCCAGGCACTGTATTCGCAGCTACTCGGAAGGCTGAGACAGAAGAATTACTCAAACCCGGGAGACGGAGGTTGCAGTGTGCAGAGATCGCACCACTGCACTCCAGCCTGGGCGACACGGTGAGATTCCATCTTTAAAAAAAAAAAAAAAGGCAGGGCGTGGTGGCTCGCCCCTGTAATCCTAGCACTTTGGGAGGCCGAGGCGGGTGGATCACGAGGTCAGGAGTTCAAGACCAGCCTGGCCAAACCCCATCTCTACTAAAAATACAAAAAAGAAAATTAGCCGGGCGTGGTGGCAGGTGCCTGTAATCCCAGCTACTTGAGAGGCTGAGGCAGAGAACTGCTTGAACCCAGGAGGTGGAGGTTGCAGTGAGCCGAGACCACACCACTGCACTCCAGCCTGGGCAACAGAGTGAGACTCCGTCTCAAAAAGAAAAAAAATAAGTGTTATGAATAAATATGTTTAAAAACTTACAAATCATCAACTGCCATTTATCAGTACAACTAAACTTAATGATAACAGGATATATTTCTGGAGAAGAAAACTTTGGAATTATTTTCAAGGAAAATGAATGTTGAACTTCCATGATACTTTGTGTATTTTTCACAGTATAGAAAATTAGATATTCACTTCCTAACCATCATAAACAAAAAAGATAAAAATAATAGAAGGAAGATATTTTACTATTTAAGTCTGCATGACAGAAAGAAAATTTATTTTTTTATTTAATTTTTTATTTTATATATTTATTTTTTTTGAGATGGAGTCTCACTCTGTTGCCCAGGCTGGAGTGCAGTGGCACCATCTCAGCTCACTGCAAGCTCCGCTTCCCGGGTTCACGCCATTCTCTTGCCTCAGCCTCCTGAGTAGCTGGGACTACAGGCGCCCGCCACTGCACCCGGCTAATTTTTTGTATTTTTAGTAGAGACGGGGTTTTACCATGGTCTCAATCTCCTGATCTCGTGATCCGCCCGCCCCGGCCTCCCAAAATGCTGGGATTACAGACGTGAGCCACCGTGCCCAGCTGAAAATTTATTTTTATATTATTTTCAATTCTAATTTGTCAAAAGGATATATGTAAATAGGAATACAAATCTTCTATATTTAAACAGGTTTATCTGCATACGTAATATCTAATAAACAATTAAAATATTTAAAATGTACCACTTAATTTATTAAAGCCCCCCCACCCTTTTTTTTTCTTTTGAGACAGAGTCTCACTCTGTCGCCCAGGCTGTAGTACAGTGGTGAGATTTCGGCTCACTGCAACTTCAGCCTCCCGGGGTCGAAGTAATTCTCCTACCTCAGCCTCCTGAGTAGCTGGGATTACAGGTGCGCACCACTACGCCCAGCTAATTTTTGTATTTTTAGTAGAGACAGGGTTTTACCACGTTGGTCAGGCTGTTCTCAAACTCCTGACCTCGTGATCCACCCACCTCGGTCTCCCTAAGCCCTGGGATTACAGGTGCGAGCCACCGCGCCCAGCCTTATTGAAGCCATTTTAAACTACTGTGTATTCTGAAATTTAAAAGGGCTAGGATTCAAAATTGAAATAACTGAGAAGTATATTCAAAATGAAAAATACACAAAATTCTTGGGTTGGACACTTTTCAGTAGCTTTTCAGTTACTTGCTATGGAATATAAAAAGCATTCACTTTTACAAAAATCTAAAATAAAATATTATAAAACTTGATTAATTTAAGGTTCTCATCTTTTGATTTGAACACAAACTTCAAAGTAAAAGAGGAAATATATAAGTAAAAGTCAATTATATGGTTACAGTGTACAGTGAAGTTTCAATAATCTGCTTTATGTCTTAATGCCTTCTATAAACTATATCTATTCCCTCTGAAAAGCTTTGGATTATATTATCCTCTTAAATCTAGGCTGCTAGTTTTCTCTGGCACATAATCACTGCCTCTAGCCCTCTCTCTTAAAGACAGTGTCTTTATCAGGCTAGGCACAGTGGTTCATGCCTGTAATCCCAGCACTTTGGGAGACCGAGACAGGTGGATCACCTGAGGTCAGGAGTTTGAGACCAGCCTGACCAGTATGATGAAACCCCATCTCTACTAAAAATACAAAAATTAGCCAGACATGGTGGCGTGTGCCTGTAGTCCCAGCTACTCAGGAGGCTGAGACAGGAGAATTGCTTGAACCTGGGAGGTGGAAGTTGCAGTAAACCAAGATCACGCCACTGCACTCCAGACTGGGCGACAGAGCAAGACTCCATCTCAATTTAAAAAAAAAGCATCATTATCATTTGGTGACATCAAACTTTACCAACAGAATCACCCAGATGACTTGTTAAAACACAATTTTTTAGGTTCTACCCTCAGAGTTGCTCATTCAGTAGGTCTGGAGTGGGGCCCAAGAATTTGCATTTCTAGTAAGTACCCAGGTGATAATGCTGCTGATCTGGGACCACCCTTGGAGAACCACTGACTTAAACCATTTGTAACACAGTTAGAAGGCCAAAAACAAAAAACAAAGCAAAGCAAAACAAAACAAAACAAAAAGCAGGAAATAGTCTGTTAAGGAGCAAGGAAAAGAACAGTCCCAGAGGCCGGGTGCAGTGGCTCACGCCTGTAATCCTAGCACTTTGGGAGGCCGAGACGGGCGGATCACTTGAGGTCAGGAGTTCTTAACCAGCCTGGCCATCATGGTAAAACCCCCATCTCTACTAAAAATATAAAAAAATTAGCCAGGTGTGGTCGCAAGCACCTGTAATCCCAGCTACTCAGGAGGCTCAGGCAGGAGAACTGCTTGAACCTGAGGTAGAGGTTGTGGTGAGTCGAATTCATGCCACTGCACTCCAGCCTGAATGACAGAGCAAAACTGTCTCAAAAAAAAAAAAAAAAAGAAGAAGAAGCAAAGAATAGTCCCAGAACCCTCTTTTTTTCCCCAAAGTGTTGGGATTACAGGTGTGAGCTACCGCGTCCAGCCCCAGAACCCTACCCTTTTTACTCCACAGAAGTATGGAGTCTTATACAGGCCTTCAAGCTGACAGATGAGTACATACTAGCTTTTTGATTCTCTTCCAAATTCCTTATTTATGACTATACTTTTGGCAGTCTCCTGATAAAATGAAATCTACCAATGTATTTCAGTTCAATCACGTGTTTGGGAAATACCTACTTCCCATCAGGTCTAAACTGCTGTAAAGGAGAATATAGGAAAAACAAATAAAACCAAGTTTCTACCCACAATGTACTTCCAATCTAGTTAGGGTAAAAAAGCAGCACACATATGTTCACAAAAACAGCTAAGAAAAGATAGTGCAGTACTAATAAATGAGGATTCAAGTGATAAAATCAAATATTTGTATTTCTTCATTTAACAATATTAGCTAAACACCTACTTTGTGCCTGGCACAGTTATTGGTACTGGGACTAAAGTAGTGACAAAACAAAACAGAGCTAACAATCCAGTGAATGAAATATATGTTGCCTAAGACGTATGTGTACCAGTAGCATACGTTATATTTACTTAGAACCAGAAACACAGTTGCAGGCAAAAGCAGTGAATATAAAAATAAACACAAAAAGCAACTGGATGCCTATTTAACTCTAGAGTCAAGTAGAGAACTGATGTTCAACTTAAAAATTGCTTGCTTGCTTATTCATTTATTTGTTTATTTCTTTGAGACAGGGTCTCACTCTGTTGCCCAGGCTGGAGTGCAATCATAGCTCACCGCAGCCTCGAACTCCTGAACTCAGGCAATCCACCTGCCTCAGCCTCCCAAAGTGCTGGAATTACAGGCTTGAGCCACCGCGCCGGGCCTATGTGTTTTTAAGGAGGCCGGCCTGAGTGTGGTTTTCCTTGTTGAAATGTGTCTCTAAGCAGGTTCCTGGCTCCTGGACTTTCTGGGGCAGGGTTTCCACCCTGTCCCTGGGCAGCCCAGGGGCTGACCCGGAAACCGTGAATTCAGCATGCTCAGCAAAGCCTACAAAGCCATCCTCTTCTGGACAAAGTTCAGACTTCAATTCCTCTGTTCTCAGATGTCAGGCATAGAGCAGAGCCTTGTTAACCACGGTCACACTGTTTCATACTGAATTGTTACAAATTAGTACTTATTCATCCTGCGTAACTGCAACTTTGTATTTTTAACCAATACCTCTTCATTTCCTCCTGCTGATGATCAGGGTATATCCATAGATAATCATCACATTGGCCTGGTGCGGTGGCTCACACGTGTAATCCCAGAACTTTGGGAGGCCGAGGCGGGCGGATCACGAGGTCAGGATACGAGACCATCCTGGCTAAAACGGTGAAACCCTGTCTCTACTAAAAATACAAAAAAATTAGGTGGACATGGTGGGTGGGTGCCTGTAGTCCGAGCTACTGGGGAGGCTGAGGCAGGAGAATGGTGTGAACCCGGGGGAGGCGGAGGTTGCAGTGAGTCGACATCGCACCACTGCACTCCAGCCTGGGCAACAGAGCGACAGAGCGAGACTCTGTCTCAAAAAAAAAGTCTACCAAGGAGTTTTGCTTCACCCATGAAAGGAAGAAAATGGTCCAGGTAAAACGGCCATCGGGATGTAACAAAAAATTGTCAACGATCACACTCTATAGAGGTGGCTGATTTGATACAACACCCAGTGAAATTTTTGACGACAAATATTGCAGACTGCAAGAGACGCTTCTTGTTCGTAGAAATAGAAATAAAGCATGGTGTCTGCGCCTGGCTTTCTGCTGTAAGCTGAAGTACTTCATGGCAGCAGGAATTGGGCAACCCACCGTTTACACTCCACCCTTTGAAACTGGGCTGAATGGGGTGGGGACCCGCCTTTGGGGAGAAAAGCAAATTTTATTTAAGCCCCTGAAAGATGAGAGGGTTGGCCAGGCTTGGTGGCTCACGCCTGTAATCCCAGCACTTTGGGAGGCTGAGGTGGGTGGAACACTTGAGGTCAGGAGTTCGAGACCAGCCTGGCCAGCACGATGAAACCCAGTCTCTACTGAAAATACAAAATGAACCAGGCGTGGTGGCACATGCCTGTAATCCCAGCTACTGGGGAGGCTGAGGCAGGAGAATCGCTTGAACCCTGGAGGCGGAGTTTGCAGTGAGCCAAGATCATTCCATTGCACTCCAGCCTGGGTGACAAGAGCGAAACTCTGTCTCAAAAAAAAAAAAAAAATGCGTATTCCCCAGCCACTGGAAAATGAGATTTCTGAGCAGCTGGATCTGATAATTACCATGAGGTGTCATTACATGATATACACGTGCTTGGAAACAGTATATTATATGTCATAAATGTGTACAATCGTTATGGAGTTTTTTTCTTGAGACAAGGTCTTGCTCTGTTGCCTAAGCTGGAGTGTGCAGTGATGCAATCATGGCTCAGTACAGCCTCAACCTCCTGGACTCAAACCATCCTTCCACCTCAGCCTCCCCAGTAGCTGGAAATACAGGTCTGCACCAGTAGGTCCAGTTAACTTTTGTACTTTTTTTTAAGAGATGAGATCTTGCTATGTTGCCCAGACTGGTCTTGAACTTCTGGCCTTGTGATTCTCCCACCTCAGCCTCCCAAAGCGCTGGGATTACAAGCGTGAGCCACTGCGCCTGATCCGAACGATGACTCTTAAAAATAAAATAAAACTTTAGAAAAGAAGAAAATCTAATGGTGGTTTTTGTCTTTTCATTGGCTCTGTGTTACTTTGTAGCTGCAATTTTTTTTTCCTTCATTAAGTCAGCTCCAAATTTGCAAACTCAAGTGAAAGGTGAGTGAGTTTTCTGTGTATCTTCTTGGCATGGGGTGGTGAGTGTGTGTACGTGTGAGTGTGTGTGTGTGAGTGTGCTGGCTGTCTTGGCTGGCTTCGCTGGCTGGCTGGCTTGGCTGCTTGGCTGGCTTGGCTGGCTTGGCTGGCTGGCAGGCTTGGCTGGCTTGCCTAGTTTGGCTGTCCAGGTAGCTTGGCTGACTTGGCTGGCCGTGGGACATGGCTGGCTTGGGTCTCTTGGCTGGCTTGGCTGGGTGGCTGGCTGGCTTGGCTGGGTGGCTGGTTTGGCTGGCTGACTGGCTGGGCTGGCTGGGCTCGCTGTCTGGTTTGGCCGGCTCGGCTGGCTGGCTGGCTGGCTGGGCTGGCTTGGCTGGCTTGGCTGGCTTGGCTGGCTAGCTGGCTGGCTTGGCTGGCTTGGCTTGGCTCGCTTGGCCTGCTGGCTTGGCTGCCTTGTCTAGCTGGCTGGATTGGCTTGCTTGGCTGCCTGGCTGGCTTGGCTGGCTTGGCTGCCTTGGCTGGCTTGGCTGGCTGGCTGGCTTGGCTGGCTTGGCTGGCTGATTGGCTTGGCTGGCTTGGCCGGCCGGCTTTCCTTTCTTGGCTGGCTGGCTTGGCTGGCTTGGCTGTTTGGGTTGGCTTGGCTGGCTGGGGCGGCTGGGCTGGCTGGCTGGCTTGGCTGGCTGCCTTGCTTGGCTGGCTTGGCTGGCTGGCAGGCTTGGCTGGCTTGCCTGGCTGGCTGGCTTGGCTGGCTTGGCTGGCTGGAGGCTTGGCTGGCTTGGCTGGCTTGGCTGGCTTGGCTGGCTTTCCTGGCTGTCTGGCTTGGCTGGCTTGGCTGGCTGACTGGCTTGGCTGGTTTGGCTGGCTTGGCTGGCTGGCTAGCTGGCTCACTTGGCTGGCTTGGCTGGGTGGGTGGCTTAGCCGGCTTGGCTGACTGGCTTGGCTGGCTTGGACATTAAATATAATAATATATTTGGTACATTAAATATAAATTGTATACGTTAAATATAAACATCTTTTATACATCAAACATAAACATTTTATACATTAAATGTAAACATATCTTATATGTTAAATATAAACATCTTTTATACATTAAATATAAGAATACATTTGGTACATTTAATGTATACAATACATTAAATATAGACATTTTAGACATTAAATATAAGCATATATTCAGCACATTAAATGTAAACATATTTTATACATTAAATATAAATACTGTATATGTTAAATATAAATATGTATTTTCTATATTAAATATAAATATGTATCCTGTACATTAAATATAAACATATTTTCTATATTAAATATAAACATGTATTTTGCATAGTAAATATAACTATACATTTTCTATATTAAACATCAACATGTATTATGTATATTAAACATAAACATATATTTCCCATATTAAATATAAACATATATTTTTATATGTTAAATATAAATATATATTTCCTGTATTAAATATACACATATATATTAAATATAAATATATTTTTCTGTATGAAATGTAAACATATTTTAAACATTAAATATAAATATTCGTCTTAGATATGGCCCGTGTTGGAATGTGTAGTAGATTGAGTATATAATGTCTACTCAATATAAAATTTATATTTATATATGCAGTAATGATTCAAGTTGATTGTAGTTAAGAAAAACAAGCTCCAAATTCGAAAGAAATATGTAAGAAGAGAGACAGGAAGAAAAAATAATGAGGCAGGTAAATGCAACAGACAATTCGAGACCCACAAATGCAGAGCAGGCTTCCCAGACCCGGGTAATGTCTCCTGGGCTGATAGGAAGCCCTCAACCCCCCAAGTCCTTCTCAGCCGTAAACCGCCTGAGCACAGAGCCACAGGGACCGTGTTGGGGCTGGGCCTCCCGACTTCAGTTCCTCTCATTCTGTGCAAAAGGAAAAACAATTCAGAATCTACAGAGTTTTAGAGGTGTGCAGATGTGGACAGAGAAGTCCGGGCACAGTGGTTTACTGCCCAAGAAGACAGTGAGTCCCCGGAGGAATAGAAGAATATACATCATGCTAATATATGTCATCCCAGTACTTTGGGAGGCCGAGGCAGGTGGATCACTTGAGGTCAAGAGTTCGAGACCAGCCTGGCCAACATGGTGAAACCCCGTCTCTACTAAAAATACAGAAATTAGTTGGCCGCGGGGGTGGATGACTGTGATCCCAGATACTCGGGAGACAGAGGCAGGATGAACTGCTTGAACCTGGGAGGAGGAGGTTGCAGTGAGCTGAGATCATGCCATTGCACTCCAGCCTGGGGAAAAGAGCAAGATCCCGTCTCAAAGAAAAAAGAAAAAAAGAAAGAAGTTGTGAGTGCTAAGTTCTCTCTGGATTTTCAGGAGGCCAGTTCTCCAGTCCACGGTGGCCTGGGAGGACAGGGGTTCCTGAGGGTGAACAGAGCCTGTGCCCGGTCAGGTAGGATCATATGTCCCTGAAGTTCAGAACCCAGGAGCATGGGGATGGTCCTGGGGGTTCCTGCTGCACGGAGGGAAGACCCTCTTTCCACAGGGGCCCCGGAGAGCGAGAGGAAGGAGGAGGGCAGGTCAGTGAGTGTGATGGGGTCACAGTGGAGAGGGAAGCAGAAAGAAGTGTTCCCACAGCAAGACACACACAGTGTCCACGCTGAAGCTACAGAGAGGACCTCTCCACCTGTGTCTGCCGCAAAGCAGTGGGGCGTCTTCTGGCAGCCCAGAGTCACCTCCAGATCCCACCTGCACCATGCTTCCTGCGGAGACTGCCTGTCTTCCTAATACACTGTCTTCTGACCAGTCTTCCAGACAAATCACTGGTTGCTATATATATATATTTTTTAATAGCTAATATCTTACACTGATATATTTATATTATATATAAATAATTTTGTGCTTTATGTTTATGCTATATATACAGATGTAGTTAGTTATTTATGTTATATATAATATAAACATGATGTATATTCTTATATTTCTCTGGGGACTCACTGTCTTCTTAATACACTGTCTTCTGACCAAATTCTTCCAGACAAATCAGCTGTTGCTATATATATATATATGCTATATATTTTATTGCATAGAATATATTATATATTATATATTAATTATAGAATATATTATATATTATATATTAATTATATAATATATGTTACACATTACATATTATATATAATATATTATGCTATATCTTATATATTATATATGTTATATATGTATATATATTATATGTACACATATACACATACATACACACATGTATACTTTAATAGCTAATATCTTACACTGGTATATTTATATTACATATGATTATATACAAATATTTTTGTACTTTATGTTTGTGCTCTATATACAGATGTAATTAGTTGTTTATGTTATATATAATATAAACATGATGTATATTCTTATTTTCCTGTGAGGACCCACTGTCTTCTTAATACACTGTCTTCTGACCAAAGTCTTCCACACAAATCAGCAGTTACTATATATATATATAATATTTATATACACATATACACATACATACACACATATGTATATTTTAATAGCTAATATCTTACACTGATATATTTATATTACATATAGTAATATACTAATATTTTTGTACTTTATGTTTATACTATACATACAGATGTCGTGAGGTATTTATATTATATATAATATATTAACATGATGCACATTCTTGTATTCTCCTGGGGACTCACTGTCTTCTTAATACACTGTCTTCTGACTAGAATATTCCAGACAAATCACCGGTTGCTCTCTCTCTCTCTCTCTCTCTATATATATATTTTTTAATAGCTAATATCTTACACTGATATATTTATATTACATATAGTTATATACAAATATTTTTGTACTTTTGTTTATACTATATACACAGATGTAGTTAGCTATTTATGTTATATATAATATATCAACATGATGTATATTCTTATATTCCTCTGGAGACTCACAGTCTTCTTAATACACTGTCTTCTGACCAAACTCTTCCAGACAAATCAGCTGTTGCAGTATATATATATATTTATTTTTTAATAGCTAGTATTTTACACTGTGGCTCATGCCTGTAATCCCAGCATTTTGGGAGGCCGAGGCGGGTGGATCACCTGAGGTCAGGAATTTGAGACCATCCTGGCTAACACAGTGAAACCCCATCTCTACTAAAAATACAAAAATTGATTGGGTGTGGTGGTGCATGCCTGTAATCCCAGCTACTCGGGAGGCTGAGGCAGGAGAATCGCTTGAACCCAGGAGGCAGAGGTTGCAGTGAGCCGAGATCGTGTTGCTGCACTCCAGCCTGGGCAACAGAGCGAGACTTCATCTCACACACACAAAACAGCTTACACTGATGTATTTATATTACGTGTAGCTGTATATAAATATTTTTGTACTTATATTCTATATATTATAAAATATTATATAAAATTATACATGTATAATAAAATGTTACATAAAAATTTTAATATAATACCATTTTATTACATATATTTCTAAATTTAATATAATGAAATTTTATATATAATAATGTATAACATTTCTAAATTTATTATAATACAATGATATATAATTATTTTCTCATATTATAATTATACATAAGGTAATTTATTATAAATAAAATTTTATATAATCTACATTTATTATAATAAAATTTTATTACATATAACACATTTCTAAATTTAATACAATAAAATACTATGTATAATAATTTATAACGTTTCAAAATTTATTATATAATTTTATTATACAATTATACATAATTATATATAGTATATAATTGTATTTATAGAAATATAATGATGCATATGCAATATGTAATTTTATTTTTACACAGTATATATGCATAATTATGTATTAACAAATATAATAATATCAATTTTATATACTTATTTACATTAAGTTATATATTATATAAATGATGTTATATGTTATATATGTTACATATATTTTTGCTTAATATATTAAATTTAATCTATAAAATTATGTATTAGAAATAGAAGTATTTTACATATACACTACATATAACTTTATTTATATAAAAATATAAAAGTCATATGGTTAAGTTAATAAAATAATTTGTATCAATCTATTCATATAAAATATACACAATGCATATTTATATAAATACAAAGTATATAAAACTTTTACCAGTAGGATGCAAAGAGTTGCTGACCGTCTGCAGAAATCCTGAACCTCTGGAAGCAGAATAAAATCTTACCTCCCAGTCTGCTTTGAAAGGAACAGTAAAGCAGTCCCGAACCCCAAACCCACCCTAAAGGGAGATGGGGGAGTTGGGATGGACGCGTTGACCAGTGAGGACTTTCCTTTGCTGGTTTTGAGGTGTCTTAGCCCAGAAGCTAAGATGGGAAGTGATTCTGGAGCAGGTGAGCTGATCACAAGCCTGAGCCAAGAATCCATGGAGCTCATAAATAGCAGAAGCCAGGACCCTGTGCAAATCCTTCTGAAATATTCTCCATTTACTGGGCTCCTAGGGGTGGGGAAGAAAAATTCCCTGACATTTCGGCCTCAGGGAAAGAGAGAGACACCCCACTGGCCGGAAGCCTCTGCTATTTTTCAGAAGACAGCTGGGGCATCACCCTTTCCCAAATGACGGTGATTTTCAGAGTGGTTCACTTTTTGGAGAGACATTTCTGCCCTGGAGATCCATACATATTGAACCCAAATGAATATTTTTTAATAAAAAAAATTAAACTTTAGAAAGTTCAATATTGAGGCAGCTACGAGTATGAATTCCTCATTTTTCCTAAATGCATGTTGTCAAAATTTGTATTGCATTTAGTAACTACTTATGTTTCTAATGTATATAAGGTTACACAATGTTTTCTTCTTTTTCTGCTCCTCAGGGTCAGAATTTGAAATAAAAGTTTTGGAAAGAAAAAACACTCTTGTCTGTTTGTGCAAAAATAAAATAACCCATATTTTAAGAATATTTTAAAATAAATACAAATTTTGTGTGGGGGGGTTGCTTATAAGAATTCTTCATATCCTAAATCAAAGATAGATCTTGTTATTAACCAGAAAACAAAATGTGTGTGTATAAATGTACAACACTCTTACACTCACACAAACACAGGCACACATGCACACACACACATTCATGCACTCACTGATGTACTCACACAAACACAGGCATTCATGTATAAATACACACATAAGCGTGTATTTATAGAAATATAATTATGCACATACAATATATAATTTTATTTTTACATAGTATATATACATAATTACGTATTAACAAATATAATAAGATCAATTTTATTATATACTTATTTACATAAAGATATATTATATAAATGATGTTATATGGCATGTATATATCACATATAACTTTGCTTAGTATATAAAATTTAATCTATAAAATTATGTATCACAAATAAAAGTATATTTTACATATACACTATATATAACTTTATTTATATGAACTATAAAAATCATGTTTATATTAATAAAATATATTTATTTATATCAATATATTAATATAAAGTATGCACAATGTATATTTATATAAAAATTTTTAATTAAAAAATATTCATTTGGGTTCAATATGTATGGATCGCCAGGGCAGAAACGTCTCTTCAAAAGGTGAACCGTTCTTAAAATCACCGTCATTTGGGAAAGAGTGATACCCCACCTGTTTTCTGAGAAACAGCAGAGGCGTATGGCCAGCGGGGTATCTCTCTCTTTCCCTGAGGCCGAAAAGTCAGGGAATTTTTCTTCCCCACCCCTAGGAGCTCTGTAAACCGGGGATATTTCAGAAGGATTTGCACAGGGTCCCGGCTTCTGTTGTAAATGAGCTCCATGGATTCTCGGCTCAGACTTGTGATCAGCTCACCTGCTCCAGAATCACTGACACAAATGCAACCACACACTTACACAAACACACATCAACACAAAGAATCACAAAACACACTCATAGAAACACATGGACACACGAAGACATGCACACTCACACAAATGCAGGGACACACAAACACAATTACAAAAATGTGTGGGTTTTTTGCACACGTGGGTGCACATGCACATTGACATTCTCACAAAGCACACAAACACGTATACATACAAAGTCACTCATAAACAGAAACATGCAAACACTCTCATATAAACACGTGGATGGCTACTCACCCACATAGACACTCATATATGTCATACACACTCATACACACACTCAGAATCACACAAGCACACACAAACACATAAATACAGTCACACACTCATGGAAACACAGTCACAAAAAGACTCACATAATCATGTGGACACACAAACATAAAAATTCACACACTGGGGCCGGGCAAGGTGGCTCACGCCTGTACTCCCAGAACTTTGGGAGGCCGAGGCGGGCAGATAACTTGAGGTCGGGAGTTCCAGACCAGCCTGGCCAACATGGTGAAACCCCGTCTCTACTCAAAAATACAAAAATTAGCCAGATGTAGTGGCTTATGCCTGTAATCCCAGCTACTCAGGAGGCTGAGGCAGGAGAATCATTTGAACCCGGGAGGCAGAGGTTGCAGTGAGCCAAGATCATGCCACTGCACTCCAGCCTGGGCGACAGAACGAGACTCCGTATCAAAAAAGAAAAATTAGCCAGATGTGGCGGTGGGTGCCTGTAATCCCAGGTACTCAGGAGGCTGAGGCAGAAGAATTGCTTGAACCCGGGAGGCGGAGGTTGCTGTGAGCTGAGATTGTACCTTTGCACTCCAGTATGGGTGACAGAGCGAGACTCCATCTCAAAAAAAAAAAAAAGAATTTATACATTGCCATACAGATTCACACACATACACTCATATTCACAAACAGACAAATACGATAAACGCAGGGGCACACAAAAACACCATCACAAAAACACACTTCCATAAAACACAGGAATGCACGCTCACACAGAAACACGCATGGAAACACACATTGTCTTACAGACTCACAGACACACTCATCATCACATAAACAGGCACACACACACACAGCCACACAAGCACACACCCACACCCACATCAACACACACACTCCCACACGGCACACATGCGCTCACGCACACAGGTAGAACAGGCCTGCATTACCTGATAACGCAGTTAAATCAGACGTGATGCTGCCTGCTGAGGAGACCTGGAGGCTTCCCATGAATGGGCTTTCAGAAGAGAGGTCTCTGGGTGCATTTGGTGACACCCCAGGCAGTGGGGGAGACGTCCAGGCTGGAAGGCCAGACACAGCCAGCTCTGCCCAAGGATGCCACGTCCATTTGCTTCAGTAGGATATGTACCCTGGAAACCCAGCTTCCTGCCTCTCCAGGAAACCCCACTGAGGTCAGCACATCCCCCCAGGTTTAGAAGGGGTCTCTGGGTGCATCTGGTGACACCCCAGGTGGGGGGGAGACATCCAGGCTGGAAGGCCAGCCACAGCCAGCTCTGCCCGCGGATGCCACGTCCATTTGCTTCAGTAGGATCTGCATCCTGTAAACCCTGGTTCCTGCTTCTCCAGGACACCCCACTGAGGTCAGCACTCTCCCCAGGTTTAGAAGGGGTCTCTCAGTGAAATGTGGTGACACCCCAGGCAGAAGGGGGGATGCCACAGCCAGCTCTGCCCGCGGATGCCACGTCCATTTGCTTCAGTCGGATCTGCACCGTGGATACCCAGGTTCCTGCCTCTCCAGGACACCCCACTGATGTTAGCACACCCTCCAGGTTTACAAGCGGTCTCTGGGTACATTTGGTGACACCGTAGGCAGAGGGGGGACACCACAGCCAGCTCTGCCCGCGGATGCCACGTCCATTTGCTTCAGTAGGATCTGCACCCTGTAAACCCTGGTTCCTGCCTCTTCAGGACACCCCACTGAGGTCAGCACCCCCCACCCCCCACCCCCAGGTTTGTGCAGCTTCACTGTCTGGGGAGGGACACAGAAAGACCACATTCGGTGGAATTCTGGCTATAACCTTTTGTGGCCGGCAAGAAGGATCACCAAGCTGTCCTGTTACCTTGCTGGAGTGATCACTGGCTTCACGCTTGGCCCCCGTGCAGTGAGTGCCTGGGCCAGGCTCGATTCTTGGAGCTCCAGTGAAATTTGGGCTTGGAGCTCACGCCTGCACCATCCAGAAAGCAGAAGGCAGCTGGCCCGGGCTGTACGGTTCGTAGAATCAGAGAGAACACTGCTTGCCTTCATGTCTGTACCACAATAAATCTGCCAACTGTGGTCAAAGTCTCTGGATTCCTGCCCCCTCATTTTATTTTGTCTATTATGGAGTGGAAGGAGTGAGAAAGATTTTGCTTCCTATTTTGTTTTGCAAGGCGTTTCTAAGAAAAACAACCCGTGTTCTGCAAACGAGATTCTGAGTGTCCCCTGGGCGTGATGAAAACAAACTTTGGGAATCCAAGGGCCTGAGAGGCAGAGTGAATGTCATTCACATTTCCCTGCGAATGACAAAGTCACTTTTTATTATTATTATTATTATTATTATTATTATTATTATTATTATTATAATTATAGATTCAGGGGATCCATGGGCAGCTTTGTGTCCTGGGGATATTGTACAATGCTGAGGTTTGGGGTATGAATAATCCCGTCACCCAGGCACTGAGCATTGTACATTCCTGAGGTATATAATGTGTACTAAAAATAAAATGTATATTTATATATGCACTAATGATTCAACTTGATTCCTTGTAATTAAGAAAAACAAACCCCAAATTCGAGAGGAGTTCTAGAAATATATAAGAAGAGGGCCAGGCGCAGTGGCTCATGCCTGTAATCCCAGCACTTTGGGAGGCCAAGGCAGGCAGATTACCTGAGGTCAGGAGTTCGAGACCAGCCTGGCCAACATGGTGAAACCCCGTCTCTGCTAAAAATACAAAAATTAGCCAGGTGTGGTGGCAGGTGCCTGTAGTCCCAGCTACTTGGGAGGCTGAAGTAGAAGAATTGCTTGAATCCAGGAGGCAGAAGTTGCAGGGAGCCAAGATTGCACCACTGCACTCCAGCCTGGGTCACAGAGTGAGACTCCATCTCAAAAAAAAAAAAAAAGAGAGAGAGAGAGAGAGAAAACAAACAAGCAAGAAAATGCAACAGAAAAATCCGTGACCCAAAGATCTCTCCAGTTGCTGCCTTCTGCCTGAAATTCAAAGAATCTCAGGGTAGTTTTTCAACTCTTGTACCCCCGCCCCTGCTTCCTACTCTATTAGTCCTGAGGGTCTGTGGTGCTCCTTCATTGTGTCCAGGTGCAGGCAATGTTTAGCTCCCACCTATAAGCAAAAACATGTGGTATTTTATTTTCTGTTCCTGGCGTTAATTCACTAAGCATAGTGCCCTTCAGCTTCATCCATGTGACTGCAAAGGGCATGATTTTATTCTTGTTCATGGCTGTGTAGTATTCCATGATGCGGAAGGATCACATTTACTTTATCTAATTGAGCACATGTGGTATTTGATTTTCTGTTTCTGGCATTAATTCACTAAGCATAATTCCCTTCAGCTTCATCCACGTTGCTGCAAAGGGCATGATTTTATTCTTGTTCATGGCTGTGTAGTATTCCATGATGCAGAAGGACCACATTTGCTTTATCTAGTGCAGAACATGTGGTATTTGATTTTCTGTTCCTCATATTGATTCACTAAGCATAATGCCCTCTGGCTGCATCCATGTGGCTGCAAAGACATGATTTTATTTTTTTCATCACTGTGTAGTATTCCGTGGTGTAGAAGGGCCACATTTGCTTTATCCAGTTGAGAACATGTAGTATTTCATTTTCTGTTCCTGGCATTAATTCACTAAGCATAATGTCCTTCAGCTGTGTCCATGTGGCTGCAAAGGACATGACATTATTCTTTTTCATGGCTGTGTAGTATTCCATGACGTAGAAAGACCACATTTGCTTTATCTAGTGGAGAACATGTGGTATTCCATTTTCTTTTCCTGGCGTTAATTCACTAAGCATAATTCCCTTCAGCTGTGTCCATGTGGCTGCAAAAACATGATTTTATTCTTTTTCATGGCAGTGCAGTATTCCATGGTGTAGAAGGGCCACAATTGCTTTATCCAGTCAAGAACATGTGGTATTTGATTTTCTGTTCTTGTGTTAATTCATTAAGCATAATGCCCTCCAGCTACATCCATGTGGCTGCAAAGGACATGATTTTATTCTTTTTCATGGCTGTGTAGTATTCGATGCTGTAGAAGAACCACTTTTGCTTTATCCGGTACCCCACTGATGGGCAACTAGGTTGATTCCATGACTTTCCTATTGTAAGTCGTGCTGTGATGAACCTTACAGGGCCAGGCACTGTAATCCCAGCACTCTGGAGGGCCAAGGTGGGCAGATCACCTGAGGTCAGGAGTTCGAGACCAGCCTGGTCAATATGGTGAAACCCTGTCTCTACTAAAAATACAAAAATTAGCCAGGCATGGTGGTGCATGCCTGTAATCCCAGCTGCTCAGGAGGCTGAGGCAGGAGAATCACTTGAACCCTGGAGACAGAGGTTGCAGTGAGCCGAGATTGCTACTGCACTCCAGCATGGGAAATAGAGCGAGACTCCATCTCAAAAAACAAACAAAAAAGGAACTTTACCATGCGTGTGTCTTTTTGGTAGAATGACTTCTTTTCCTTTGGGTAGATGCCCAGTCTTGGAATTGCTGGTGCAAATGGTGGAGCAGTTTGGATTCGGGAGGTACATGTACAGGTTTCTTACATGGGTACAATGTGTGATGCTGAGGTCTGGGGTATGAGTGATCCCATCACCCAGGTAGTGAGCATAATACCCCACAGTTGGTTTTTTCAACTCTTGTCCTTCTACCTTCCTCTCTCCCCCTAACTAGACCCCAATATCTGTTCCCTTCTCTGTGTCTACATATACGCAACATTTAGCTCCCACTTATAAGTGAGAACACGCAGCATTCTGTTAATTTACTTAAGATAATGGCCTCCACACTGTTCACAATAGCAAAGATGTGGAACCAACCCAAATGCTCATCAGTGATAGACTGGATAAAGAAAATGTAGCACATAGACACTGTGGAATACTATGCAGCCATGAAAAAGATGAGTTCATGTCCTTTGCAGGGACATGGATGAAGCTGGAAACCCTCATGTTCAGCAAAGTGACACAGGAGCAGAAAACCAAACAGTGCATGTTCTCACTCATAAGTGGGAAGTGAACAATGAGAACACATCGACCCAGAGAGGGGAACATCACACACTGGGGCCTATTGCAGGGGTGGGGGACTGGGGGAGGGACAGCATTATGAGAAATATCTAATGTAGATGATGGGTTGATGGGTGCAGCAAACCGCTATGGCACATGTATATCTATGTAACAATCCTGCACATTCTGCACATATACCCCAGAACTTAAAGTAGAATAGAAAAAATAATAAAAATAATTAAAAAAAATAATGGCCTCCAGCTACATCCATGTTGCTGCAAAAAAAAAAAACAAAAAACAAAAAAAAAAAACCATGATTTTGTTCCTTTTCAGGGTTGCGTAGTAGTCCATGGTGTAGATGTACCGCATTTTCTTTGAGGGTGGAGGGTGGGAGGAGGGAGAAGATCAGCAAAAATAACCTGTGGCTGGGTATGGCAGCTCACACCTGTATTCTCAGCAGTTTGGGAGGCTGAGGTGGGTGGATCACCTGAGGTCAGGAGTTTGAGATCAGCCTGGCCAACATGGCAAAACCCTATCTCTACTAAAAGTACAAAAATTAGCCGGGCATGGTGGTGCATGCCTGTAATCCCGGCTCCTCTGTAGGTTGAGGCAGGAGAATCTCTTGAACCCAGGAGGCAGACATTGCAGTGAGCTGAGATCGTGCCACTGCCCTCCAGCCTGGGCCACAGAGTGGGACTCCATCTCAAAAAATAATCATAAAAATAATAATAACAACCTGCTAGGCTTAGGACCTAGGTTGATTCCATTACAAAAAAAAAAAAAAAAAAAAAAACAAAAAAAAACCCTAACTTTTTTTTTTTTTTTTTTTTTTTTTTTTTTTTGAGACGGAGTCTCACTCTGTCGCCCAGGCTGGAGTGCAGTGGCGCGATCTCGGCTCACTGCAAGCTCCGCCTCCCGGGTTCACGCCATTCTCCTGCCTCAGCCTCCCGAGTAGCTGGGACTACAGGCGCCCGCCACCACGCCCGGCTAATTTTTTGTATTTTTAGTAGAGACGGGGTTTCACCGTGTTAGCCAGGATGGTCTCGATCTCCTGACCTCGTGATCCGCCCGCCTCGGCCTCCCAAAGTGCTGGGATTACAGGCGTGAGCCACCGCGCCCGGCCAAAACCCTAACTTTTTAAAAGAAGGATCTCTCTGTTCAAAAACAAAACCAATGCCCTGTCAGGAAAGATGTTCTGTGTTTCTGGTAAAGCTGGAAGGAACCTACAGGAAGGAGTCACCCCATAAAACTAGTGGAGCAGCATTGCCTTTTGGGGTGAGGGCTGCTTCTGTTAGGCCACCAGGATGAGTGCCTTCCTGGGGAGTGTGGTTCATCCTATACCATCCAGGAAGCAATTCCTGCCCCCAAATCACCTGCCAGCTTCTGCCCTGTAAGTAAAATCCCCAGCAAGCGGGCAGCAAGGAGCTGCTTGCCTTGGAAGGCAGCTGAAGTCTCTGCCCACCACCCAGACTGTGTCCTCTGGGCAAGGCCAGGGCTTCCAGTTGGATGGTTTTCACATTAGCGGCTGCTGTTTAGAATCATCAACATTGGCCAGGCGCGGTGGCTCACGCCTGTCATCTCAGCACTTTGGGAAGCCGAGGCGGGTGGATCACAAGGTCAGGGACCAGCCTGGCCAACATGGTGAAACCCTGTCTCAACTAAAAAAAGAAATACAAAAATTAGCTTGGTGTGGCTGGGCATGGTGGCTCATCCCTGTAATCCCAGCACTTTGGGAGGCCGAGGTGGGCAGATCATGAGGTCAGGAGATCAAGACCATCCTGGCTAACATGGTGAAATGAAACCCCGTCTCTACTAAAAATACAAAAAATTAGCCAGGCACGGTGGCAGGCACCTGTAGTCCCAGCTACTCGTGAGGCTGAGGCGGAAGAATGGCATGAACCTGAGAGGCGGGGTTTGCAGTGAGCCCAGATTGCACCACTGCACTCCAGCCTGGGCGATATAGAGTGAGACTCTGTCTCAAAAAAAACAAAAAAATAAAAAATTAGCCTGGTGTGGTGGTGGGCACCTGTAATCCCAGCTACTCAGGAGGCTGAGGCAGGAGAATTGCTTGGACCCCGGAGGCAGAGGTTGCAGTGAGCCGAGATCGCACCATTGCACTCCAGCCTAGACAACAGAACAAGACTCTGTTGTAAAAAAAAAAAAAAAAAAAAAAGAATCATCAACATTGCCTTGGCCCAATCTCTTCCCAGACTTGTCAAATCTTTACCACTGGACCTCCATGTTCTAGTTTCAAAGCTCTGCTGGCCACAGTGGCTCATGTCTGTAATCCCAGCACTTTGGGAGGCTGAGGTAGGAGGACTGCTTGAACCCAGGAGCATGAATCCATCCTAGGCAACATAGTGATAATAGTGTCAAATGAGAGCCAGTGTCCAGTAATTCCCCAAATATCTGAGAATTTTCTTTTCTTTAAGTCACAGTCATCCTGGCAGAAGGCTGTAGGTCCCTTTGGGGAAGACTGGGAAAAAGATTAACAATGTAAATTTTTGGCAATGTAGCAGCGTACTTCCCCAAGATCACCCAGCCTCCCCTTCACTTAAGGGGTTGTGGGCCTGTGAACTGGCTCAAGTCTGGGAATTGATTGAGGGTTTTAGATCTGTGTTTCATTAATTTGAGTTAGTCTTTTATTCAGTTGACCTAGAATTCTTCATTTTTTAAAGAACAACTAAGACTTTGGTACAGCCCATTAGCTCTCCCTGTGGATACCGTGGACTACACAATGCCGTGGGTGTCTGTGAGTCAAGCCATTCTGACTGCTGCTTTGACACTGCTTTCCACTGTGGTGACCACACCCACCTCATCTTTGGTGATTAAGGACAGCCCATGTTCCCTGCCACCCCAGGATTCAATTATCCTCATTTTACTTAAAGATCCCAGTCCAGTGGCTGCAGTTCCTGCTGTAACATTTTGCCTACTGAGAGCACAAGCTCAAAGCTCTTCCAGGATACTGGGCTCCTCTCACAATATTCTTTCTCATGATCGTTGTGAGGAGTATGTTCCGTAGACCCTCCAGTGTGAGTGAGCAGGTCTGACATAATAAATCCAGTCTCCCTGAGTTTTTGCATACCTTTCTGTACACATAAACCAAGGAAGTTGTGGCATCTCAACTTTATGTACCTTAGGTAAACTCTGATTCTGTTTCAGCCAACCAACCAAGTCACCAAACAAATAAGCAAACAGCCAACCAATCAACCAACAAGCAAGCAAGCAACAAACCAACCAAACAACCAAGCAAGGAAGCAAGCACCAACCAACCAAGCAAGCAACCAACCAAGTAACCGATCAAACCAACCCTTGGAGCCCTTTCTAAAGCTTTGACCTACAACCCTGAGTCCAGAATCTCTGTTTAGTGGGCCAACATTAATAAATTTAGCCTAATCCAACTTTATGTTACTTCCACCATGGTGCCACACACTTAATATCCATTCCCACATATATTCTCCAGATTTCCTTCTGTATAAATTGCGTGTGTGTGTGTGTGTAGAAAGAGAGCATCAACTGAAAAATCACACAATTTTATAAATTTAGAAAGGAGAGCTTTATTTCTTATATAGGTTTGCAGTCTGCAAGGTGGCCATTATGACAGGCTGGGAAGTGTGGCCTACAGCCAAGGCCAGAGGCAGGCATTTCCAGGGAGGGAAGGAGAGGACAGGAATTTGAGCCAAATGAGTTGGCTACATATACATACTCAATAGGATATCAGAGGAGCTATATCATTTTATGAGAATACTCATAAAAGAGGTCCTAATGCATGCACATTCAATAAACATGCATGTTCATTCTGGGGTGGAGACTTGACATTTAAATGTATTATAATTAGGCCCTACACATCAAAAAGTGAAGCAGGGACATGAAGGTACTCAGCCTCTGTAAAGGCACTGCCTCCAAAACTGGCCAGAACGAGTCCATGGAGGATGGTCTCTTATCAGGAGAAAGTTACTGAAATCAGTCCCTTGTCCAGAGAAAGCTGTCATTAAGGTTAGTGGGGCAGGAGATCAGTTACTCAGCGTCTGTGAACTGGGTGAGTTGTAATTGTTTTAATCTTGCTTCTCTCACAGCCAGTGCTTGCTTGGTTGCTAGAGAAAAATAAAACCCATGTGGTAGTTAGAATCTAGTTAATTCTTTAAGAGTAGGGTACAAGACTTAACGCTCGCCTGGCATGGCCCTAGGTCCTGTTTATAATTTGAGGTCTTATTGCCACAAAGAGTCTGTTCTGTCAGTCTCATGATCTCTATTTTAACATTAATGCTGTTCAGTTGTTGGGTCTAAGCCATAAGAGGGAGGGAGGTACAGGGAGGTATGTCTGACCTCCTGTCCTGTCATGGCCAAGAACTGAATTTTAAGATTTATTTGAGGTTCCGTTGGCCAACAGGGGGTCTGTTAAGTCGGGTGGGGGGCTTAGGATTTTATTTTTAGTTTTCAAGGGAGATAAAATAATTTAATCAATTGGCCCCCGTGACTGTGGGATTAACATGGCTATGATCTGTCGGACAGACTTCACGCTGGCACCCAGGCAAAATTCTATGCTGTAGTAAATGCATCATGCACATTTGTAACAACACGTACATAACAATGTCACAAAATACTTTCACGGTGACACCTAGATTAGTATTTTATTGAATAGCTGATGATATAAACTGGCTCATTTGATGCCAAGACTGACCATCACCACCATACCAAGGTCATCACTGATCAGAGGCCTAACCCAAGGAGGGGGTCATGTGCAGACCCAGCAGTGGGGAGGAAAGATGCTGCAGAGGAGACGGATGCCCACAGAGGCCCCTGAGCAGACACAATGCTCACTAAGTGGTAAGTATAGACTCAACGTAGGCTGTAAGGTCTCCCCCTGTGCAAATGGGACCCCGTCCACTTGAGAGTCAAGGGTCTGTTTGGGTGGCAGGGATAGCCACTTCTGAAGGTAGAAAGGAAAATAAGCCACCAATTTGGTAGCTTTCTGTGAAATGGACATCGTGCTTAGAATCTCCATTTTCCCCACAACCTGGAGGAATAAGTACTGTCATCTGCATTTTGTAGCTGAAGAATCTGACTCAACAAAATTAAATTACTCGCCTAAGCAATTAGCAATTAACCAAGTCTTTCTGACTCAGAAACCCAGCTGTTGCCTGTTCATATCCAGCCCCTGTATTGGGGTCAAGATCTGGCCTGTTCTCAATGCAGCAAGATCCAGGCAGATCACACTGGACTCCCAGCACTGAATCTGGCTCGAGGGGACATCAAATTTGACTGGGTCATGGGGCTCAGGAGCATCACTCTCAAAAATAGCAGTACAGGAAGAGGCGATGGCCCTAAACAGCATTTGCAGGCAGATCCCATGTTAATCGTAAGGGTCAGGACTCTCACTTTTCTGTCTCTCTCTCTGTCTCTCCTCTAGGGCTGACCCCACATTGGACACCACTACATCCATGTCCATCACACACCACAGCTGCCTTTTCTTCTGCCTGCTTATGGGAAAGTCCCCTCCTCTCCTCCATTTTCTTCTCTTCCTGCCCTATCACACCGTGCACTTCTCCCTTTCCTTAAAGAACCACCATCAACTTTAGGAGGAGGGAAAGGGGTGGCTCTGGCAGGAAAAGCCAGAATCCCCTCTAGCCAGCAGAGAGAGAGGAATGGCTGCCTGTTTTCTCCCCCAGTCCAAGGCACTAGGTTTTGGCTAGGTTGCAGGTTCCAAGCTGCTCTCCTGCTGTGTCGGCGAGTTCTGGTCAACCTGCAACCTCCTGATGTGGCCACTGCAGTTCATCGAGTCTTCAGGGACTCCCCATGGCCTGGAGTACTTTGCCTTGCTTACACGGGAGAGGAGAATGGATTTATAGGGAACATCATCTAAATCCAACTTGACCATTGTGTGGCCACACTTGCTAGATTGCTATAGTCTAAATCTAGCATTGTAGAAAGACGGGGGAGCTTGGAGCTGCACAAACCCAGGTCTGGAACTGGCTCCTTACCTTGAAAGGTGAATGATCCTGGCAGGACTCTTAGCCTCCCTGGGCCTCAGTTTCTTTATCTGTTTCTTGCTGGTTGGTTGGGTGATGTGGGGGCTCTGTGAAAACAGCTTGTCAATACAAGCCGAAATAGGAATATTTCTCCACAGAGTATGAAGGTCAAATGAGAGAATACATTTAAATTAAATGGAAAATTAAAATGGCAGAAAAGGCAAAGTTGTATTGAAAGTTCCGAGCTTCTCTATAAGGAGCTTTTTGACTATGTAAGAATCCGGTACTCGTTCCCCCTAAATATAAAAAAAAAAGTTGAAGGAGGAAGAAGGGAGAGTGATGCATGATGGGCGAGGACTTCACCTGCTGTTGCTGGCTTTGAGGATGGAGGAAGGAGGCCACAAACCTAGAAGCTGGAGCCCCTAGAAGCTAGAAAAGGCAGGGACCCGATTCATCCCTTGAGCCTCCAGAAGGGACATAGCCCCGCCAGCACCTTGACTTTAGCCCAGTGAGATCCTCTTAGGACTTTTGGCAACCAGAACTATAAGACAGAAATGGAAGCCACTGAGTCTGTAGCTGTTTGTTGCAGCAGCAATAGAAAACTAATGCAGAGCCCAAGAAATCACTGGTGATGAGATGGGGAAGTGGGCTCAGGAGGTCTGGATCTGTGATGAGATGGGGAAAGTGGGCTCAGGAGGTCTGGATCTGTGATGAGATGGGGGAAGTGGGCTCAGGAGGTCTGGATCTGAGTTGGGGATCTGGAGTGGAAGGGGAATTCATTTGTTCATTGTCTATCCTTTTGCATTGATTTTTTTTCTATATATACATACATACATACATACATACATACATATATATATATATATATATGTGAATTTTCACAATAAAAGTTTTTTCCAAAATAAAATAAACAAAAGGGGCTTTTTGCAACCCAATTCCTATCTATGTCTGAGTCCACTTGTATTGAATGAGTCTTTCTGCTAACGTCCTTATATTTGGGTGACAATCTGAATGTCAGTGACCAATCAGAGCAGAGGCAGACCTTGGAGTGGGCAGGGCACCCTGAGGGCCCTGATTCCCGCCATGAGGCATAACCCTTTAGGTGCCAGACCACGGGGAGGTCCAGGGGTTGCAGGGGAGGGCTGTGCATCTGCAATGACTCTCAGGGGGCTCCCGGTGGTGGCAATTGGTGAATCTGCACGGTGGTGTTTCAATATTGTCACAATCCTGCTGTCTCTCATGCTCTTAAAAAGCATTTCTCTTACCTGTGACAGACTTCCTATACCTAACAGCTTGCAAAAATTTTCCAGGTTAATGAGAATAATCTCTCGGAGCCATACCTCCCTGCTTGGGGTCTCAGTTTCCCCAACTGTCTCCAGACAAGTTAGGCTGGAAGGCCCCTGAGCCTCAGCCCCTCTATACCCCTCCTGTCACCCAGACCTGATCTGGGTCTTGCACCCTGGGTGCAGCAAGACAGGGGTGGGCAGGGGCTGGCTCTGGGCCAGAGGACCCTTTCTGATGGACTTCAGCTGTTGGCCTTCCAGGGGAGACTGATCAACCTCACAAGAGTCATACGGTGAGTAGCAGTGGGCAGATCCATCCCCCTCGTCTTAGATTTATGGGGAGACAGAGAGAAAGAGGAGACACTCCAGGAAGACCTGCAGGTGGGAGTACCAGGTTGAAACCAAGGACACATTCCTGGAGGAGCTGCTGTTTGAGCCAGCTCTGAGAACAGGTGGGGACAGGACTGGAGAGGAGGAGGGGGTCCCCTATGAGCAAAGACTGGCCACCACCCCATCTAACACCCCCACAGGGCCCCTGTGGCATCCCTGTCCAGTCCCTGTCACCACCCAGTTTTTCCCTCTGGACCCAGGAATTCAAAGTAAGCAAGGAGGTCCACTGCTCCAGTTGACTGCAAATAATTACAACCTTGAGCCCAAGCAGCACTTTGGGTCCTGGTTTGGGACCATGAAGCGGCTCGGTGAGACTGAGAGGTAAGGCCAGGACAGGAATTGGGATAGTAGGATTGAACTCTCCCTGGGGGCCAGCCTCAGAAAGCCTGTGGCCATGGCCTCTTGGCCAACATCAGATCCTGTGGTCTGGCAATGCCTGGGGTACCCAGACCTCACTCTGGACAGGCCCTGGGAGGGGGCCCTGGTGAGATTCCTGGCAGCCTCACAGCCACTCTTCTGTCCATAGCTACAACATGTCATGCCAGCTGGAGGCTCCATCCCAGTTGGCTGGGAGCACAAAGGCCAGGAAGATAGACATCACCCACCACTGGGGCCAGTCGGGGCCTGAACCAGGGCGGGCAGAGGTTGGCTGCCTTGGGATATGGGTGGGCTCAGGGAGTCAGACAGCAAGGGACTAGCTTCCCATCCTACTGCTGACCAGCTCTGTGACTGGGGAGAGTCACCTTACTTCTCTGGGCCGAGTTTCCCCCTCTGTGGAGTGACACTAAATGCTCTCTCTGGAGACTGGGATCAATAGGGCACTGGTGATTGACCAGGCACTCAGCACATGCCTGGAGCACACAGTGCAGGGCTGTGGTGGGGAGGTGGCCTGAGTTCCTGGGGAGTCACCCATGTGTGCCTGCCCTTCTGACCAGCCACCAGGCCCTCAGGGCAGAGCCTACTACCAGCAGCAGCTCACACCCCGACACCAGCTCAGAGGCAGCCCCTACCTCAGCAGCAGGGACATCACGGACACTTTGAGCTGCTACTAGGGTGGCTTCCCCAGCTCCCACGTGGAGAGGGGTCCCAGCTGAGTCCCACTCACGTGGAGTCTCATGCCCATGAAAGTGCCATTCACCACTGGTCAGGCTCATGAGGCCGCATGAGAGGGGGGGTCACTGGGGAGGAGATATCGGGGTAACAGAGAGGGTGGTTGAATTTTTGTATAATAGGCAGTGCAAGTGTTTACCGTTTGGGAGGGGAAAGGTTTGTTATTATTAGCAATGCTACACTTGAATATTATACTAAAATCCACTTTCTCTATAACCTGGGAGTTGCTCTTTTGTTCTTTCTTTTCCCATCTTAATTAAAATGAGATGCAGACTCTCACGGTCCACAGTCGATTAAGAAATCTTGCACGGCCATCAGGTTATGTCTTGGAGAGCAGAGTTTCAGTACCATCAGCCTGGCAAGGAGCCGGGCCTGCTCCTCAGAGCTCCCGGGACTGTGAGAATTGGCATGTTCACAGGGCACTGTCACAGCCTCTGAAACACGCTGTCTTTAAAGACGTTTGCAGGCTGGACGCGGTGGCTCACTCCTGTAATCCCAGCACTTTGGGAGGCAGAAGCGGGTGGCTCACTTGAGGTCAGGAGTTCGAGACCAACATGGCCAACATGGCAAAACCCCATCTCTACTAAAAATACAAAAAATTAGCCAGGTGTGGTGGCAGGTGCCTGTAATTCCAGCTACTCGGGAGGCTGAGGTAGGAGAACTGCTTGAACCCAGGAGGCGGAGGTTGCAATGAGCAGAGATCACACCACTGCACTCCAGTCTGGGCAACAAGAGCAAAACTTCATCTCAAAAAAAAAAAAAAAAAAGAACACAAAGACATTTGCAAGGACCATGTCCTCACCCAGAATGGTGCCTGCCTTTCTACAGTTTTTCAGGAAGAGGAAACATTTTCTGCTTCTCTCGCTGAGGTTTTTTTTAACCACCCATTAGGAACGTACAGATTTCAGGATCGAACACTGGGATTCCCTCAGCACTAAAGGAGGAAAATTGCAAACAGAGCTGAAAGTGCAATGTGCAAAGGTCAGGCTGAGGAAGGTTCTTAGCCAGTAGACCAAGGGCAGGAAGGACACTGCCTCCTCAGTCTCCCACTTTGTGATTCTTGTCCCCTGACCTCAGAATTCCTTGTCATGTTTTGTCTCCAAGGGAAGGGTTTGAATTACAGAATTTAAGGCTAGAGTGGGCCTCGTGCAGTTAACATTAACCCTCTCTCTCCTTTGCTGGCCGAGGTGAAGTCCAGGAACATGTAGTTCTGATGTCCACTCTCTCGGGGGATCACCAGTTCACCCATCTCACCCGGCAAGCTGGGCCCTAGTTTGGTGACAGGCATCTTCCACCCACCTGGGAGGCAGGGTTCAATACTCTGCCTCTGACCTTGTTTCCTTCTTCTGCCATCTGCTTAGGCAGCCAGAAGGGGTTGTCCAGCCAGCACCTGGGCTTTGGCCCTCCTCAAGAAGGTGGAGGAAGTTTCAGGCACCTGGCTCCTCAGGTGTCTGCCATCCAGGTGCTCTTCAGGCCTGCCCAGAAGAGCTCTCTTGATCCAGCTAGAACTGGCCAGAACTGACTCACTCAGGAATGTGTAGACTTTGACATCAGGGGCTGCTTTAATTTGCACAATTTCCAAATACCTCTTTTTTCTTCTTTTTCTGATGAGTCATCTCCCTAGACTTGCATTTTAAAGAGATAGATAGTTATCAGATTCCAGAGAAGACATGGTAGAACATTTATATGTCAAAGACACAGAGCTGAGACTTTAGTTTTAGATACTATAATTTGCCTAAACCAAAAAGGAAGGTGTAGGTAAAGTTCTAGTCAAGACAGGATGGCCAGGAAAAACACCTTAAACCAAGGGACGGCTTGCTTTGCTGATTTAAGCCAATGGCTTCTTTATCATAAGACTTCCCAGTGATTTAGTCCTCCCTCTCTTCCAGTGCACAGAGACATACCCCTCCTTACAAATAAAAATGTTCTTTATAGATGGAAATTTATTTTACAAAAATGTTTCAAAATAACCAGATGAAAATCATCCTTATGCCAGAAAGACTTGGTTTTTTTTTTTTTCATTACTAGAAATGAAACAGTAAGTATTTGTTGTATTGACATACTTAGGCTTAGAACTATGTTTAACAAGAAAGCCTAATAATAGCACTGTGGTTAGACTGCAGCCTATTTTTCCAAACCATCATTTTATTATTAAGGAAACGAAGGATCAAATACCTTTCATTCATCTGATATGATCCTTTAAAACACATTCCACTAATAAGTCCCATTTGGAACAGCTGAAAATCTTTTAATAAAACTTTTTAAAGATGAGCTCATGGCTTAGTGTAAATTTCACAAGCTTAATTAGGTCAAATGGAAGGAACTCAGATGAGTAGTTGCCCAATCAGAGCCCACTATTTGTAAGTCATCAGACCCCTCCGTGACCTTAAAACTCCACTCTGACCTAATTATTGCAAACCTATATACAACAAAGTGAAAGGATTAATTTTCATTCATCAACCTCTCAATCCCAGATTTTCAAAGAAAAGACCTATGTAAGGAATACTTGCCAAAACCAGACAGGAGAATTAGAGCCTGCATACTTAAGAGTCAAATTTGTTCCACTACAGCCAGGTGGCATACAATTACATCATTTGGTTCTTCATACACTCTAGAACTGACTAGGACAGAGTTTAGCATAGAAAAACTGTAAGAAATAGGTTCTGAAACATAGAAATTGCGAAGTTCAAAAGGCTATGAAAAAAACTAATGCAAATGAGAGACTCCCCTCCCTTTGTTTTAAAGAAATAGACCCATCAGAGAAATGCAAATCAAAACCACAATGAGATACCATCTCACACCAGTTAGAATGGCGATCATTAAAAAGTCAGGAAACAACAGGTGCTGGAGAGGATGTGGAGAAATAGGAACACTTTCGCACTGTTGGTGGGACTGTAAACTAGTTCAACCATTGTGGAAGACAGTGTGGCCATTCCTCAGGGATCTAGAACTAGAGATACCATTTGACCCAGCCATCCCACTACTGAGTATATACCCAAAGGATTATAAATCGTGCTGCTATAAAGACACATGCACACGTATGTTTATTGCAGCACTATTCACAATAGCAAAGACTTGGAACCAACCCAAATGTCCAACAATGATAGACTGGATGAAGAACATGTGGCACATATACACCATGGAATACTAGGCATCCATAAAAAATGATGAGTTCATGTCCTTTGTAGGGACACGGATGAAGCTGGAAACCATCATTCTCAGCAAACTATCGCAAGGACAAAAAGCCAAACACCACATGTTCTCACTCATAGGTGGGAATTGAACAATGAGAACACTTGGACACAGGAAGGGGAACATCACACACCAGGGCCTGTTGTGGGGTGGGGGGAGGGGGGAGGGATAGCATTAGGAGATATGCCTAATATAAATGATGAGTTAATGGGTGCAGCACACCAACATGGCACATGTATACATATGCAACAAACCTGCACACTGTGCATGTGTACCCTAGAATTTAAAGTATAATAAATAAATATAAAAAAATAAAAAAAGAAATAGATGTTCTGTAAAAATATACACAATTTTTACAAATACATTTATAAGTTGTTTTTATCTTAAAAATTGGGGATATTTCATATTTATAACTAATTATTGAACCTTAAGTTTTCTTGGCCATTTCTAGGCTAATAAACTACGAATCATGTAAACTAAGCCAAAGTAGAATAGACATAAAAAGTCCTCAACACTTCAACTTCCTATCCTTCAAGAAGTATACCTCGCAAAGCTCATTTGAGAGAGGAAGAGCTTTCCTCCACCCTCTGTTTTACAGCGCTGAGGCTTCTCATCACATTTCTATGACTTGTAGCTTAAATCCATGTTACATGGTAACTGGCATTGTTAGTGCTTCTCTTTTAACACAGTAGGAATTAATCAATTTTGTGGTGTATTTAATTAATTCTATCACTAGAGGATTGTAAAATTACATATATGAATACCTCACTTTAGAGGCCACTTAATTTTTTTCCAAGGGGATATTTGACTACATTTCACTTGTGTCTTATTTAATGATTTTATAATTTAAACCCTAAATTATAAATCTAGAATTTAGAAAGTATATTTCCCCACTGGATTACATTTTTGGAAATATTATTTTATATGTGCACAAATATTACAAAATCACTGTAGACACCTGAAAACTATATTATCTTTTAAAGGCAATATTTACATTAAACTGGTATAACAAAATTGTTTGGTGCATTTTTTTCCAGTACATTTTGTATATATTACATGTTTAACCTTTTTTATTCAGCAAATAATTTTTGAGTATCTACTAAGTGCTAGGTTCTGCATTACTAACTGAATTTAAAGAGTGAAATAACAGACATGGTCTCAGACAATAAAAATTAACATTAGGTCACCTATTTATATATTTTAAAATGGTAATTATGAAAACTTTTTGAGATTTTTAACTAGATAACATTATAATAATACACTTGATGTTGTTAATATTTGCCAGTGAGCAAAAAAGAAAATAAAAAGATGGTTTTATTCAATATACACTTTAAAATTGCAGAAAATAGTCAAGTTTCTCTGCTTTGCAGTTGAATGTCTATGTGGTTTTCTCCGCAACTTGCCTTTTGTGGAGTGAAACAATTATTCTTCCAGCCCAATAAAGGCAGAAGAGTAACAATAAATCTAATATTTTAAGTGCTTCTCAAAAGATAGTAAACATATTACTTCAGAATACTGAGTTCAATAAGTTGACCTACAAAAAAAGCCAAACTGACAGTATTACTGAATAAGGAAAGGCCCAAAGAGACAAAATAATTTTTATTTTGTAACCTCGGTATGACACAACTTACCCTAACTATAAAGACCCTAAATTACCAAGATGGGTGCTTATAATAAGGAGAGTAAAAAAAGTCATTTGACTTTTAGCTTTTTTATTTCTCTCAGAATAAAAAGTGTAAAAGGAGTTTATAAGGAAGTTGATACTATAAGTTAGTACTACAATGACAGCACTTTTCAAGAAAAGACTTTTTTCTCTCTTACAAATATCATGTTAGCAGTACTTGTTTTCTCCAGAAATAATGAGGAAATAAAAACATAAGTATGTGGGTAATTAGTGTAGTTTCTTAAAGAAATGAGTTAGGCAACAGGCTAATAATGTATACTTAGCTGGCTTTTGAATGCCAACAATCATATTCTTTACAAGGCACAGAGAAGATTTTTCTGAAGAATAAGTATGTGAACCTGAGAAGTAATCACCACTTGGTAGTGACAATATGGATAGGGTGAAGGGTGTCATCAAGAAGCAATGAAAAGATACATTTGCAGTTCAATTTGAAAACCATGATGTTTAATACATATAGTAATAAAGAATACTTTCTCCTATTTCAAAATTATTTTAGAATTTAAGATAGAAGCTAAAATACCTAGGGATAATGATATGACTATCAAAAATTAAAAATTAAAGGACATTCTGAGTATTATAAGAATGAGAACTTATTACCCAATGAACAGGGGTTAATTCATTATGCTCCATATCCATTGAATTAAAAGACAGGCCCATTACCTGGATAATTTGAAAGTTTAATTTTATTTAAAAGTCTTGTTTCATTCATCAAGCTAAAGGATTAGCTCCCAGAAATATTCTAGGATTGCATATCCCCAACTCTGTAGGAAGTATAGAAAGAATGTTATAAGGGCCACCATCTAAACATTATTATGTAAATAATTTAGTACCATTCCATTTGCCCTTGTAGATTTAAAAATGTAAATGGCTTTCTCATATTAGGAAACATCACTTTTCAAAACTCAGATAAACATAGTACATTGCAAGAGAATAATTATTTTCTTTATTAAAAAAGAAATACTGGATGCTAAGTCCAAAAGACATAAATTATTTTATACTAATAACTACTAATATTTTATTCATTAAAATATAAAGGTCAAAGATTTCAAAATGATCTTTAAATGATTAATAACATGTTGATCTTTTTCTTCTTTCTGTAAACCTTTTTGAGTCTTAAAAATACTAAACTATACAAGCAATATTAAATAGTATATAAACTTGGATTAAAATATTCAAATTTACTAGAATGTGGACATTGGAAAGAATGAAAATAAACAGAAGCATAAAGCAGCAGATATAAAATTAAGAAAGCAACTAAGAGTGTTTAAAGTACATATTCATCTGTAGTCTAATGTCTACCATAAACAATGACTCTTCTCAGTAAAACACAAATTGTTCATGAAGGGAAAAAGCATGTTGTATTAGAGAATATTCAACATAATTTTTTTAGTACTAACTTGTGCCTGGAGTATTATTGGTTTTTCTATTATGAACTTATGCACTTGTTAATTTTTTTCATAAAAATTATATGTACAACTCCATTCAAAAGCAGTTTTTGGTGGGTTTTTTTTTTTTTGAGACAGAGTTTTGCTCTTTTCACCCAGGCTGGAGGGCAATGCTGCGAATTTGGCTCACAGCAACCTAGCAACTTTTGCCTCCCAGGTTCAGGTGATTCTCTTGCCTCAGCCTCTCGAGTGGTTAGGACTACAAGCATGCACCACCATGCCTGGCTAATTTTGTGTTTTTAGTAGAGACATGGTTTTGCCATGTTGACCAGGCTGGTCTTGAACTCCTGACCTGAGGTAATCCACCCATCTTGGCCTCCCAAAGTGCTGGGTATGGGCAAGAGCCACCATACCTGGCCTCAGAAGCAGTTTTTAAAAGCAAACACAGTATAACACTAAAGTTGAAAAATCTATGCTCACCCAAGGATGCCAGGTTTAATAAATTATTTATAGAATACTGCATCAAAAATAAGATAATAACCCAAAATATACCATTAAAGATGTATCCACTCCTACAACTAGAGATAATTAATCTATCTAGTAGCAAATGATACTTCAATCAGTTTCAGCATGTCTGAAATCTTTAAGGACAAAAGTGATAAAACATGACTTCATTCTTCATTAGACTCTTAGAACACCTGAAGGAAAATAATTTCTGAAGCACAAAGAAGTAAAGAGGTGTAATCTTTCAAAAAGATATTCAGTGTTCAAAATCCAAGAGTGCAATATCAGGCTGGGTGCGGTGGCTTATGCCCGTAATCCCAGCACTTTGGGAGGCCATGGTGGGTGGATCACCTGAGGTCAGGAGTTCGAGACCAGCCTGGACAACAAGGTGAAACTCTTGACTGTACTAAAAATACAAAAATTAGCCAGGCATCGTGGTATGCACCTGTAGTCCTAGCTACTTGGGAGGCTGAGACAGGAGAATCACTTGAACCTGGGAGGTGGAGGTTGCAGTGAACCGAGATCATGCCACCTCACTCCAGCATCAGTAACAGAATGAGATGCCATCTCAAAAAAAGAAAAGAGTCTAATATCGGTATACACAGATAATATACTGAATGAAACAAATAGAATAATTTGAAGAGGTATCTTGATGAACAAGGAGTCATTAGAAAGGTTGTATTCATGTCTTTGAAGGAAATTGCAATGTGAGAAATTAATACTTTGACTACTATACTAAAAGTTTATTGCTAACATGTATTGAGTTATTAACGTGTGTTAGGCAGAGTACCATATAATTTACAAGTGTTATCTCATTTATTGTAGGTAAAATGTAATTTTGAACTCTGGGAGTATAAATGAATTAGATAGAATAAAATTCTATTTAAATGGCCATCAGTAAATCGGTATCTAGGAACAGGGTGATACGGTGCCCAAGTTTTCTATTCTTACTAAATGTTGTGTTTCATTTTCAATGTTTTCTTGGATATTGCTCTTTTTTGGTGATTTTGATTTTTTTTATTTTAGAAAACTAATAAATTGACTCTTCTTGGTACTGACTCGGGTTTTATAGAAGAAAAAGTAATTAAATTATGTATATTTACCTTTGTCTCATTTTTTCTCTTTTAAATTTACTTTAATTGACATATAATAAATGTACATGTTATGGGGTACAGAGTGATATTTTGATATATTTATGCAATGCGTAAAGATCAAGTCAGAGTCATTATCATATCCATTACCTTAAATCATGTATTATTTCTTTGCAGTGAGAATATTCAAAATCTTTTATTTTAGTTATTTGAAAACACACAATAAATTCCCGTTAACTACAGTCACCCAACAGTGCTGTAGAGAACTAGAACTTCTTCCTTCTCTCCAGCTGTAATTTTGTATGTATTAACCACATTTTTCTTATACTCTTCTTTCTCCTACTCTTTCCAGGATATGGTAACCAAAACTCTACTATCTACTTCTACGAGATTAAACATTTTAGCTTCCATACATAAGTGAGAACACGTAGTTATGTGGTGTTTATGTTTCTATGCCAGGCTTATTTCACCTAACATAATGCCCTCCACTTGCATTCTTGTTGCCACAAATAACAGGATTTTGTTCTTTATTATGACTAAATAGTATTCCATTATATATGTATGTCACATTTCTTTATCCATTCATCTGTTGATGGACACTTTTGTTGATTCCACATCTTGGCTATTGTGAATAGTGCTGTAATAAACATGGGGGTGCAGGTAAGTCTTTGATATACTGATTTTCTTTCCTTTGGATATATACTGAAAACCATATGATTAAATTAATAAACACAATAAAAGCGTTTGGCAAAATTAAATATTCTTACATGACAAAAAACCTCTCAACAATTTAGTATAGAAAATATATGCCTTAAAACAGAAGGACATAAAGGACAAACCTACAACTAAGATCATACTGAGTGTGGAAAAGGTGAAAGATTTTACTGTGAACAAGAAAAAGATTTTACTGGAACAAGAAAAGGATGCCTATTCTCACCAATCATATTTCACATAGTGAAAGTCTTAGCCAGGACAATTAGGTGAGAAAAAGAAATAAAGGACATCTGAATTGGAAAGGAGACAGTCAAATTGTCCCTGTTTAAAGACAATGTGATCTTATACACGGAAAAAAATAAGACTCTACCAAAAGCTTCTTAGGGTGATACATGAAATTAATAAAGTTGCAGGATATAAATCAACATACAAAAATCAGTAGCATTTCTATATATTGATAGTAAACTAGCTGAAACAAGAAATTAAGAAAGCAATTCCTTTTACAATAGCTACAAAAATGTACTTAGAAATAAATTTAACCAAGGAAGTAAAAGATTTCGACAACAAAAATGACAAATATTAATGAAAGAAATTAAAGAAAACACAAAAAAGGAAAGACATCCACGTTTATAGATTGAAATAACTAATATTCTTAAAATGACCCACTATCCTATGTGATTTACAAATTTGGTACAATCACTAGCTTGTATTTTTAAAAGCACCTTTGTTGCATATTCTTAAGATATTCAATGACAATGCCTGGATTTAAGTTTGAGGTATTATTATATCTATTTTATACTGGGCACAATATAATGTTATCAGAGGTAACGGTTTTGATTGGTCCTAGGTCATACAGTAATATATACATTGTGATTTATAGACATGCTATCTTTTAATACTCAGGCATTTAGAAAGTTCATTTAGACAAAGTTATAAAAACTTGCTGTCCTTTCTGCCTATATCACCTAAAAATCCTAATTTAAGAGGTAATAACATTTTTTATTTGATATACAATTTATCAACACAATAAAAATCTAACAATTATCATGTGCAGAGTGTGAAAATCTCATCAGATTAAGGAACACAAAGACATCTTTTTCATATTTCGAATGTAAAACTGTTTTGGAAACTGTTATTTTTAGAAACAGTTAAAAACATTTTTTCATTAGTTTTTCATGTAAAATTGTGACAACCAGCATGAAATAACTGTCATCACAGAAGCATGGTATATTCGATTCCAAAACATATTCTTTGTAAGTTTTAATATATTTATGTATTATTTATACTTAGATTGTAACCCATAATGTACAGATATTATTTTTCCTTCAACTCTTAAGAATATTCTTAAATAATAAAATTAAAATTAATGAATTATAATTTTTGTTGCTTGGGAAAAAGAATAGACACACACGTGACAGTGCATCACTTCACCCCATCATTTCATCTCATCATTTCATCATTTCATCTCATCATTTTATCTCATTTCATCTCATCCCATCTCATCTCATCATTTCATATCATCTCATCATTTCATCAAATCTCATCTCATTTCCATTTCATTTTCATTATTTCATTTCATCATTTCATTTCACTATTTCATTTCATTTCATCTAATTTCATTTAATTCATTATGTCATTTCATATAATCTCATTTCATTTCATCTCATATTTTTGATATCATTTTTCATCTCATTTCATCTCAATTCATCTCATCATTTCATCTCCTCATCTCATCATTTCCTCCTTTCATTACAACATTTCATCTCATTTCTTCTCATCTCATTTCAATTTCATTATTTCATCTCATTTCATTATTTCACCTAATTTCATTATTTCATCTCATCTCATCTCAGTTCATCTGATCTCATTTCATCTCAGCATTTCATCTCATCATTTTTCATCTCATCATTTTTCATCTCATCATTTAATCTCATTTCATTTCATTTGATCTCATCATTTCAGCTCATTTCAAGTCACATCTATTCATTTCATCATTTCATTTCAACATTTCATCATTTCATCGCATCATTTCATCTCATCTTTCACTTTCATTTCAATATCATTTCATCATTTCATTTCATCTCATTTCATTATTTCATTATTTCATTTCATTTCATCTCATCATTTCATCTCATCATTTTTCATCTCATCATTTTTCATCTCATCATTTTTCATCTCATCATCTCATCTCATCATTTCATCTCATTTCTTCTCATCATTTCCATTTCATTATTTCATTTCATCATTTAATTTCATCATCTCATTTAATTTCACCTCATTTCATTATTTCATTTTTTCATTTCATTATGTCATTTCATTTCATCTCATTTCATCTCATTTCATTTCATCTCATCTTTTCATCTCATCATTTCATCTTATCATCTCATCAACTCTTTTCATCTTATCATTTCATCATTTCATCACTTCATTTCATCTTGTATCTTCTCATCTCATTTCAATTTCATTTCATTATTTCATTTCATTATTTCATGTCATCTCATCTCATCATTTCATCTCATCACATCTCATCATTTTATCATTTTATTTCATCATCTCATCATTTCATCTCATCTCATTTCAATTTTATTTATTTATTTCAATTTCATTTCATCTCATCAGTTCATCTCATCATTTCATCTCATCATCTCATCTCATCTCATCATTTCATCTCATCATTCATCTCATTTCATATCATTTTATCTCATCTCATCTCATCATTACATTTCATTTTATGTCATCATTTCATGTCATCATTTCATCACATCTCATCTCATCATTTCATCTCATCATTTCATCATTTCATCTCATTTCAACTCATTGCATCTCATCTCATTTCCATTTCATTATTCCATTTCATCATTTCATTTCATTATGTCATTTCACCTCATCATATTTCATCTCATTTCATCTCATCTCATCATTTCATTTCATCTCATCATTTCATCTCATTTTATCTCATCTCATCTCATCATTTCCATTTCATTTTCATTTCATTATTTCATCATTTCATTATTTCATCTCATTTCATTATTTCATTTCATTATGTCATTTCATTTCATCTCATTACATTTCATCTCATTTCATCTCATCATTTCATCCATCATTTCATTTCATTTCATCATTTCATCTCATGATTTCATCTCATCTCATCATCTCATTTCATCTCATTATTTCATCTCATTTCATCTCATCTCATTTCATCATTTCATTTCATCATTACATCTCATCATTTTATCTCATTTCATCTCATCCCATCTCATCTCATCATTTCATATCATCTCATCATTTCATCTCATCATTTCATCAAATCTCATCTCATTTCCATTTCATTTTCATTATTTCATTTCATCATTTCATTTCACTATTTCATTTCATTTCATCTAATTTCATTTAATTCATTATGTCATTTCATATAATCTCATTTCATTTCATCTCATATTTTTGATATCATTTTTCATCTCATTTCATCTCAATTCATCTCATCATTTCATCTCCTCATCTCATCATTTCCTCCTTTCATTACAACATTTCATCTCATTTCTTCTCATCTCATTTCAATTTCATTATTTCATCTCATTTCATTATTTCACCTAATTTCATTATTTCATCTCATCTCATCTCAGTTCATCTGATCTCATTTCATCTCAGCATTTCATCATCATTTTTCATCTCATCATTTTTCATCTCATCATTTAATCTCATTTCATTTCATTTGATCTCATCATTTCAGCTCATTTCAAGTCACATCTATTCATTTCATCATTTCATTTCAACATTTCATCATTTCATCGCATCATTTCATCTCATCTTTCACTTTCATTTCAATATCATTTCATCATTTCATTTCATCTCATTTCATTATTTCATTATTTCATTTCATTTCATCTCATCATTTCATCTCATCATTTTTCATCTCATCATTTTTCATCTCATCATTTTTCATCTCATCATCTCATCTCATCATTTCATCTCATTTCTTCTCATCATTTCATCTCATCATTTTATCTCATTTCATCTCATCTCATTTCAATTTCATTATTTCATTTCATTTCACTTCATTTCATTTCATCTCATTTCATTTCATCATTTCATTTCATCTCATCTTTTCATCTCATCATTTCATCTTATCATCTCATCAACTCTTTTCATCTTATCATTTCATCATTTCATCTTATCACTTCATTTCATCTCGTATCTTCTCATCTCATTTCAATTTCATTTCATTATTTCATTTCATTATTTCATGTCATCTCATCATTTCATCTCATCACATCTCATCATTTTATCATTTTATTTCATCATCTCATTTCATCTCATGTCATTTCAATTTTATTTATTTATTTCAATTTCATTTCATCTCATCAGTTCATCTCATCATTTCATCTCATCATCTCATCTCATCTCATCATTTCATCTCATCATTCATCTCATTTCATATCATTTTATCTCATCTCATTTCATCTCATTTCATCATTACATTTCATCTCATTTTATGTCATCATTTCATGTCATCATTTCATCACATCTCATCTCATCATTTCATCTCATCATTTCATCATTTCATCTCATTTCAACTCATTGCATCTCATCTCTTTTCCATTTCATTATTCCATTTCATCATTTCATTTCATTATGTCATTTCACCTCATCATATTTCATCTCATTTCATCTCATCTCATCATTTCATTTCATCTCATCATTTCATCTCATTTTATCTCATCTCATCTCATCATTTCTTCTCATCTCATCATTTCCATTTCATTTTCATTTCATTATTTCATCATTTCATTATTTCATCTCATTTCATTATTTCATTTCATTATGTCATTTCATTTCATCTCATTACATTTCATCTCATTTCATCTCATCATTTCATCCATCATTTCATTTCATTTCATCATTTCATCTCATGATTTCATCTCATCTCATCATCTCATTTCATCTCATTATTTCATCTCATTTCATCTCATCTCATTTCATCATTTCATTTCATCATTACATCTCATCATTTCAACTCATCTCATTTCAATTTCATTTCAATTTCATTACATTTCATAATTTCCTTTCATTATTTCATTTCATTTCATCTCATTTCATTATTTCATTTCATTATTTCATTTCATCTCATTTTTCATCTCATCATTTTTCATCTCATTTCATCTCATCATGTCATCTCATCGTTCATCTCATTTCATCTCATTTTATCTCATTATTTCATCTCATCTCATCTCATTTCAATTTCATTATTTCATATCATTTCATTATTTCATTTCATTTCATCTCATCATTTCATCTCGTTTCATCTCATCATTTCATCATCTCATCATTTCATCTCATTTCATCTCATCTCATCTCCTTTCAATTTCTTTTCAACTTTGTCATTTCATCTCATCATTTAATCTCATCATTTCCACTCTCCATTTCATCTCAAAATTTCATCTCATCATCTCATCTCATCTCATCATTTTGTTATTTCATCTCATCATTTCATCTCATCTCAAGTCATCTTATCATTTCATCTAAGTGAAATGACATAATGGAATCATGAAATGAAATGGATAGGATGCCCTCAGTGATGTTAAATTTAAAAATTGTTTCTTTTCATGCATGCATTTTTATATTTATATGTATTTATATTTATATTTACTAATATTTCTTTTTACTTATTTTTATTTATATTTTTACTTATTTCTTTATTCATAGACAAGGTCCTGTTCTGTGGCCTAGGCTGGAATGCAGTGGTGCATTCACAGTTCGCTGCAGCCTCGAGAAAACCTCCCACATTAGCCTCCCAGGTAGCTGGGACCCCAGGTGTGCACCACCACACCTGGTTAATATTTTATTATTTGTAGAGATGGAGTCTTGCTATTCTGCCCAGGCTGGTCTCAAACTCCTGGGCTCAAGCAATCCTCCTGCACTGGCAACCCAAAATGCTGGGATGACAGATATGAGCCACAGTGCCCAACCTATTTATTTATTTATTTAATAAGGACAAGGTCTCACTATGTTGCCCAGGCTGGTCAACTCCTGGACTCAAATGATTCTCCAAACTTGGCCTCTCAAAATGTTGGGATTACAGGTATGAGCCACCATGCCTGGCCTAAAAATAGTATTATATTTTTGTATCATATAATTTTCAATTAGGTAATATGAATATTCTGTACAGGAAATACGCCCTTAATTACATAGGAATAAACGTTTGTTACACTGAGAAAAATCTAATAGAGCTAAAAATAAATATTAATTTGGAAAGGTCATTAGATACTGATACATTCTTACGTTTATACATTCTTTCATATATTCATATATTCTTTTAACAGTATCAATGGTTTGGAGTTATGTGTACAAAACCATGACCTATATGTAATACAACTAATAACAGGCATTTACAATTCAAGGCATATTATATACAAAGCTTTAACTTCTTATCAAAATATTTTGTTTTTTTTCTTTCTGTTTTGGCAGATACTATGAACACTACATTCAACTCACAGACACCATGGAGCCCTTACTAAGCATAAAGTACTGTGAAAGGCCAGGGCTAGGACAGAACTGAGACAGGGCCAGGGATAGGACAGAACAGGGGCAGGGTCATGGCCAGAGAAAAACCAGGGGCAGGGTCACGGCCAGGGACATGAGAGGACCAAGGCCAGGGCCAGAAGCAGGGCAGAACCAGGGCCAGGGCAGGGACATGGCAGGGCCAGGGCCATGGCAGGATCAGGGTCAGCAGAAGGCCAGGGCAGGGCTAGGGTAGTGCAGGGCCAAGGCAGGGCAGGGTCAGTGTAGAGCAAGGAACGGGCCAGGGTATGGCAGGGCAGGGACAGGGAGGTCCAGGGCCAGAGTCAGGTCCAGGACATGGACAGGACAGGGCCAGAAATATGGCAGGACCAGAAAGGGGACAGGGCAAGGGCAAGGCCAGAGAAGGACCATGGAAAAAACACGGCCAGGGAGGGTCCAGGGCAAGGGCAAGGCCAGGGCAGAACCAGAGCCAGAGCAGGCCAAAGGCAGGGCCAGGGCAGGGCAAGGCCAGGGTAGGGCGGGGCCAGTGTAGGGTGAGGGTAGGGCCAGGGTGAGTTCAGGGCCAGGGCAGGACTAAGATAGCACAGGGCCAAGGCAGGGCCAGGGCAGGGCCAAAAGGAGGGGCCAGGGCCAAGCATGGCCAGTGTCAGACCTGGGGATTGTCAGGGCCAGGGTCAGGGTCAAGGCTGGGCCAGGGACAGGGCCAGAGCAAGGGCAGGGCCAGGGAGAAAGCAGAACCAGAGAGGATCCAGAGCAAGGCCAGGGTCAGGGCAGAACCAGGACCAGGATAAGGCAAAGCCAAGGCCAGGGCAGGGCAAGGCCAGGGCAAGGCAAGACCAGGGAAGGGCAAGGCCAGAGTAGAAAAGGCCAGTGTAGGGCCAGGCCAGGGTAGGAGAAGGCCATGGTAGGGCCAAGGCCAAGGCAGGGCAGGGCTAGGGTAGCACAGGGCATGGCCAAAAACAGGGCAGGGCCATAACAGTGGCAGGACTAGCAACAGGGCCAGGGCAAGCGCTGGACCAGAGCATGGTGGGGACAATACAGGGCCAGGACAGACGATGGCAAGGCAGGTCCAGGGCCATTTCATGGACTCGGTAGGCCTGGGGTCAGGCCAGGGCAGGGCAAAGGCAAGACCAGGGAGAAGGCAGGGCCGGGGCCAAGGCAGTGCCAGGGCAGGGCAGGACCAGTGCAGGGCCAATGCAGGGTGAGAGCAAGGCCAGGGCATGGAAAGGCAGGGCAGGACCAAGGAAGGGCCAGGAGAGGGCCACGGCAGGGTCACGGCCAGAACAAGGGTATGGCTGGGGTCAGGAATATGGTAGGACGAGGGCTGGGCCCAGGCTGGGACACGCAGGGCAGAGCATGATCTGTGCAAGGCACGGCCAGAGCCAGGCCATAGAGATGGGAGGGCAACACCAAGGCAGAGTCAGGGTAGATCCAGGGCTGAGCAGAGTCAGGGCAGGTCCAGAGTCGAGGCAGAGCTAGGGCCCAAGCAGGGCCATGGTAGCACCAGGGCAGAGGAGGGCAGGGCAATGCAGGACTGGGCCATGGCAGTGCCTGGTCAACTCCCGGGCAGGGCCAGAAGCAGGACAGGGCCAGGGCCAATGCTCAGGCCAGGGACAGGGCATGACAGGAAGTGCCAGAGCAGGGCTGGACCAACGTTGGGGCAGGGCAAATCAGACCAGGACATCTCCAAGTCCATCTCTGGCCCTGCCTTGGCCCTGGCCCCTTCCTGGCCTGACCTTGTCCCTGGCCCTGCCCTATCCATGCCCTGTGTGTTTGACCAGTGTTTTATAACCAGAATCCTACAAGAAACTTAAATTAGTTCTTTTTGTGCATTTTTAGTAGAGATGGGGTTTCACAATGTTGCCCAGGCTGGTTCCAAACTCCTGAGCTCAAGCCATCTGCCTGCCTTGGCCTCCCAAAGTGCTGGGATTACAGGAGTAATCTGGCCAAGTATTTAACTTCTTTATACCTGTTTCCTATATTTGGAAAATGGGGATGCTTTAAGTACCTAGCACATAGAATTATTGTGAGAATCAATGCCTCACATATTAACATATTGATAAAATTATACTCATAGAACACTACTGGAAGCAAAGATAGTATTAGTTAAAATTTAGTGATTACTGCAAATATTATTACTATTACAAACAATATAGTATAGACATTACTACTACTATAGTTATCTTAAAAATCTAAAATAAAAATTTTATGTAATAGCCCAATGTAATCTCTCCTGCTCTGTCCTGGCTCAGCCCTAGTGCCGGCTCTGCCCCTAGTCCTACTACATCCCTGGCCCTGACCCTTCCCTGGTCCAGCCGCTGCCCTGGCCCTTCCCATCTTCAGGCCTTACCATGGCCCTACCCTGGTCCTGACCCTGCCCTGGTCTGGTCCTGACCCTGGCCCTACCCCAGAGAAGGGGTATGGCAGAGCCAGGGAAGGGCCAGGGCAAATAAGGGACAGGACACATCCAAATCCAGGAAAGGGCCAGGGCCATGACAGAGCCAGGGCGAGTCCTTGGCAGGGCCAGGTTCCAGGCCAGGGCCAGGAAAGGGTCATGGCAGGGTCACTGTATGGCCAAGGTCCAGGCCAAAGCCAAGGCAGTGGCAGGGTCAGGTCTGCATAAGGGCAGGACCAGAGCCAGTGATACGGCAGGGCCAGGGCCAGGGCCAGGGCTGTGCCAGGACAGAACAAGAGCAGAGCAGGGCAGGACCAGAGCCAGGCCATAGAGAGAGTAGGGCAAATGCCAAGGCAAGGCCAGGGTAGTGCCAGGGCTGAGGCAAGATCAGGGAAGGTCCAGGGCTCAGTCAAGGCTAGAACCAAGACAGGGGCAAAGGCCGGGGCAGATCTAGGGCACAAGCAGGGCAGGCTAGGGCAGGGCAATGGCAAGACCAGGCCATGGCAGGGCCAGCCCAGGATAGAACAGGGCACAGGCAGGGCAGGGCCAGGGCCACGGCTGGGGCAGGACAAGGACCAGGACTGGGGTCCAGGCCAGGGCAAGGGTATGGCCAGGGCAGAGGTAGGGCCAGAGCCAGGGTCTGGGCAGGACCAAGGCAGGTCTATTGCAGGGCCAGGGTTCAGACCAGGGCCAGAGCAGGGCTGGGACAGGGCCAGGGCCAGAACCAGGAAAGGGCAATGTCAGGACAAGGGCCGTGGCAGGACCAGCAATGGGGCTGGGGCCAGGACAGGGACAGGGACAGGGTCAGGGCTAGGGCCAGAATAGCATGCCAGGGTAGAGCCAGGCCAAATTAGGGCCAGGACAGGGTCAGGACCAGGGCTGGGCCAGGGTATGGCCTTAAGTAGCGAAGGGTCAGGGCCAGGGTCCATGCCAGTGCCAGTGCTGGTCCAGGGAAGATGCAGGGCCATGGCCAGATCTAGGACAAGGCTGGGGCAGGACCAAGGTCTGGGTCAGGGTCAGCAGAAGGCCAGGACAGAGCCAGGGGAGGGACAGGGCCATGGTAAGACCAGGTTACATCAGGGACAAGACACCTGCAAATCCACTTCAGGGCCAGGGTCAGGGCAGGGCCAGTTCAGGGCCAGGGCCAAGACAGGGCCAGGGTCAGGGCTGCCAGGGTCATTGGCAGGGCCAGGGCCATGGCAGGACCGGGGTCAGGAGCAGGGGTCAATGCCAGGCCTAGGCCACACATAGGACCAGGTCTGTGCTAGGGCCAGTGTGAGGGCCAAGGCAGGGTCAGGGCAGGGCCAAAGGGAGGGCAGGGCCAGGGCAGGGTGGAGCAGGCCCAGGGTAGCACAGGGTTAAGGTAGGGCACGACCAACCAGGGCAGGTCTATGGTTGGGGCCGGGGCAGGGCCAGAGCCAGGGCACAGCCAAGACAGTGGCAGCTCCTGGGCAGGGCCAGGGTTAGGACCATGGACATGTCCAAGGCCAGTGCCAGGGCAACAGCAAGGGCAGGAGCAGGGCCAGGTTCATCTAAGAACCAGGGACAAAGCCAGGCCCAGAGCTGGGCCAGGACAGGTACCTGGCAGGGCTAGGGTCTGAGACAGGGCCACAGCAGGACCAGGGCCACAACCAGGTCTGTGCTATGGCCAGGTCCAACACAGTGCCCAGGTAAGGCTAGGGTGAAGGCCAAGGTAGGGCCAGGGCAGGGTCAAAGCCAGGCTAGGGCCAAGGCAGGGCCAGGGCCGGCAAGGCAGGGCCAGGAAAGCATAGGGCCAGGGCAGGGCAGGGCCAGGGCAGGGCGGGGCCAGGACAGTGCCAAGACCTGGGCAGGGCCAGGGCCAGGGCCATGGCCACGGCCTGGGGAAGACCAGGTTCAGGGCAGGAGCAAAACAATGGCAAGGACAGTGCAGGTTCTTGGCACAGCCAGGGTCCAGGACAGTGTCAGGGCAGGGCCAAGGCAGGGTCTGGGCCATGGTAAGACCAGCAACAGGGCTGGGGCTAGGCCAGTGACAGGACCAGAGTCAGGGCAAGGGCCAGAGCAGTGCAAGGCCAGGGTAGGGCCAGGCATTTCAGGGTCAGGGCCAGGGGAGAACCAGGGCAAGGTCTCAAGCAGGGAAGGGCCAGGGCCAGGACAGGTCCAGGGCAGGGCCATGACAGGGCCAGGGGCTGCGTTAGGGCAAGGGCAGGGCCACAGCAAGGTAAGGGTCAGGGCCAAGGCCAGGGTAGGGACAGGGCAAGAAATATGGCATGACCAGGGGCAATGCCAAGGCCAAGGTTGGGCCAGGGCTGACCCGGGACTGAGTCAGGGCAGGGCAGGGCAGGGCATGGTATGGCCAGTGCAGGACAGGACAAGAGCCGGTCCACAGAGAGAGCAGAGCTGATGCCAAGAAAGAGCCAGGCTAGTGCCGAGGCTGAGGCAGTGTCAGAGCATGTCCAGGGCAGGGCCAGGGCCAGGGCCAGAACCGAGCCAGGGCACAGCCAAGGCAGGGTAGGGAAGGGAAATAGCATGGCCGGGTCAGTACTGGGACAGGACAGAGCAGGGCAAGGAGATGGTAGCGGCAGGGCAGGGACAGGCCAATGCAGAGCCATGTTATGCCGGGGCCAGGACACCTCCAAGTCCACTTCAGGGCCAGGGCTATGGCAGGACAAAGACCACGGCCAGGATCAGGGCCAGGTCTGTGCTAGGGTCAGCTCCAGAGCAGGGTCTAGCGCAGGCTAGGGTGAGGGCCAAGGTAAGGCCAGGGCAGGGTCAAAGGCAGAGTAGGGCCAGGGCAGGGTGATGACACATCCAGAGCGCAGCAGGGCAGGGTGATGGCAAGACCAGGGGCAGACCATTGCCAGCTCAGGGCCAGGGAAAGTCCAGTGCAGAGCCAGGAAAGGGTCTGGGTCTGGGTCAGGGCCAGGAACAAGGCAGAGCAGGGCCAGGGCCATGGCAGAGTCAGGGCAGGTTCTTGACAGGACCAGGTTCCAGGCCAGGGCCAGGGCAGCAGCAGGGGCAGGGCCTGGATAAGGGCAGGGCCAGGGATATGGCAGGACCAGGGCTAGGGCCAGGGCCAGGCCATAGTGAGGGCAGGGCAAAAGCCAAGGGCAGGGTCAGGGCAGGTCCAGGGCAGGTCCAGGGAGTGGCCAGCACCAAGCGGGGCCAAGTCACAACCAGCGCAGGGTAAGGCAGGGCAATGGCACCACTGGGCCATGACAGGGCAAGGTCAGTGCCAGGAGAGGGCAGAACAGGCAGGCCCATGGTGGAGCCAGGGCAGGGATGGGCCAAAGCAGGGCCAGGACATGTCCAAGGCCAGGTCAGGGCCAGAACAGGAGCAGGACCATGACCATTGGCAGGGCCAGTGCCATGACACGACCAGGGTCAGGACAAGAGGCAGGGCCAGAGCCAGGGCCAGAGCCAAGGTCAGGCCAGTGCAGGTTCAGGGCAGGGCCAGTGCCAGGGCAAGACCAGGGCAGGGACAGGGTAGCACAGGGCCAAGACAGGGTCAGGATGGGACCAGAGCAGGACAGGGCCGAGAGTCCAAGTAACAGTAGGGCAGGTACAGGGCAAGGCAGGGCAGTACAGGGCCAGATCCACGGCAGGCGCAGGGCAAAGCCAGGCCCATTGCCAAGGCACCAGCCCTCCCTACAAGGCTCCTACCACCTGGCCACTGCTGCAGCCCGTCCATCGCTCTAAGCCTGACCCCCAACCCTGGCTGCAGCCGCCTGCCCTCCTAGCGCAGCCGCTCTCCTACCACTCTGGCGCACCGCAGTCTCTGTCACTGCCGCCCACCCGCAGCGAGGCGAGCCATGGTGTCGCAGGCTCTAGGTGTCTCCTCCTCCTCCTGGCACAGAGCAGCTGGGCGGGCAAAGCCAGAAAAGCCTAGGGAAAGATGTGAGGGGTGGAAGGGTTAGAGCCTCAACTTGTCATGCCGGCCACTGGGTGGCAGGGGCCAGTTTCAGCAAAGGCACTCACACCCACCCTACAAAGTCCAGCCTCTCCTTTTGGCCCAAGCTGGGCAGGAACTGGGGTCTGGGGTGGGTGCTGGAGACACCACAGCATCCAGCTCCCCACTCCACAGGAACCATTGGGCCCACTGGGGCTGCACTCCTCGGGGAGCAGGAGAAGCAGAAAAATTCAGACCCAGCCAGCCCTCCACACCCAGGTGCCAATTCCTGTTCCGGACACCTCCACGCACAGGGCCCTGTCCCCCGTGGTGTCCCCAGGGGTGCCTGGCAGCCTCTGAGGCACAGACCCACAGTACACAGGCCCAGGAACCACGGTGGGTGTGGGGGCTCTGCCATGCTCAGGATTCCCACGCAAACGCTGTGTGCCCTGCTGCACTCCAGTATGACCAAGAGTGGGTCGCCCTCTGGAGTGTGGAGTCAGGGAGAGGAGAACCACTCCTTCCTTGGATGCCAACTCTGTTGACCGACACCAGCAGTGCAGCCCCTGATAGCACCGAACTCGCCCCCGCTCCATGGCTAGCCCTGCCCTCAATAGCGCCCCCCACCTCCGTCCCCCAATGCCGCCAGTAGCGTATAACTGATAGTGCCCTAACCTGTCCTCCTCCATGGGCATTGCAGCCCCAGAGAGCACCCATAACCCACCCTCCCTGCCGTGGGCAGTGCAGCCCTGTACAGTGCTACCAACCAGTACCCCTAATGCAGGCAATGACACCCTGGATAGCGCCCTCAACCCACCCCACACTGCGAAAGGTGCAGCCCTGGATAGCCCCTGTCCTACCACTCTGGTCGTCCTGCAGTCTCTGTCACCACCACCACCAACCACAGTGAGGCAAGCCAGTGGGCCACAGGCTCTAGGACCCAGCAGCCAGGCATGGAGCAGCTCTCGCTGATGGCCGGCTCCTACCACTCTGACCACGCTGCTGTCTGTCTCCGTGGCCATCTTCTTTCACTACAAAGGAATAAAACTAGGTATCAATAAGAAAAGCAATTTTGGAAACAATACAATCACATGGAAGTTAAACACTACCCTCCTGAATAAATGACTAGTGGGTCAATGAAGATACTAAGACAGAAATTCAAAAATTTCATGAAACAAAGGGTAATGAAAACACAGTATACCAAAACTTGTTATGCAGAAAGCAGTACAAAGGCAGAGATTTACAGCTATAAGTGCCTACCATCCAAACAAAAGAAAACCTTCAAATAAACAATACATCTTAAAGAACTAGTAAAGAACAAACTAAACTGAAAATAAGAAAATAAATAAGATCATAGCACAAACAAAATTGAAATAAAAAACAGACAAGATTAAACGAAAAGTTGGTTTTCTGGAAAGCTAAACAAAATTGACAAACTTTTAACCAGGCTAAGAAAAGAGACAAGATTCAAATAAATAAAATCAACAGATTAAAAAAAGGAGACATTACAACTAATACTTCAGAAATTCAAAGGATCATAACTGGCTACTATATGCCAATAAATTGGAAAGCCTAGTAGAAATTGGCAAATTCCTAGATGCATACAACCTACTTAGGTTAAACAATGAAAACATCCAAGACCAGAACAGATTGGTAACAAGTAATGAGATTGAAGCCATCAGAAAAAGTCTCCCAGTAAAGAAAAGCCCAGGAACTGATGTCTTCACTGCTGATGGCTTCACACCAAACAATTTAAAGACCTAGTACGAATCCTGCTCAAACTATTTTGAAAAACAGGAGGGAATACTTCCAAACTTATTCTATGAGACCATTATTACTGTGATACCAAAATCAGACAAAAGCATCAAAGAAGGAAACTACAGGCCAGGATCTCTAATATTGATGCAAAAATCCTCAACAAAATACCAGTGAATCAAATTCAGTAATACATTAAAAAGATAATTCATCATGATCAAGTGGGATGTATCCCTGGGACCCAAGGGTCACTCAACATACAATGTGATACATCATATCAACCAAATAAACGACAAAAACAGTATCATCACGTCAACTGAAACTGAAAAAGCATTTGATGAAATTCAACATCCCTTCATGCTATAAATCCTCAAAGAAACGGGCACAGAAGAAACATACCGCAACGTAATAAAAACTACAGGAAAGACACCCACAGCTAGAATCATATGGAATGGGGAAAAATGGAAAGCTTTTCCTCTAAGATCTGGAACATAAGGATGCCCCCTGTCACCACTGTTGTTTAACATAGTACCAGAAATCCTAGCTAAAGCCATCAGTGCAGCCCCTGATATGGCCCCCAACCCACCCTGCCCCCTACCACCAGCAGTGTCACCCCCCCAATAGCACACCCAACATACCCAAACTGCCCCGCCTCCCCACACCATGGGCATTACAGCACCCCATAGCGCCCTCAACCCGAAACCGCCACCCCCCCGACAGCCGCACAGTGCAGCCCCGGATAGCACACTTAGCCCACCTCACTGTTGCCAGCAATACAGTCTGGGATAGTGCCCCCAACCGGCTCCCCACCAAAGGCAGTGCAGCCCCGGTTTGGCCCCCAAACCACCCCCCCCCCGCCCGGTGCAGGCAGCACAGCCCCAGATAGCACACCCAACCGGCCACCCAAGACGGGCAGTGACGCCTGAGATAGGGCTCCCAACCCGTCCCAGGCCACCCACAGTGCAGCCTGGATAGTGCACTTACCCCGACGCCTTTCTACGCTCTGGCTGGCTGCAGTGTCCATCGCTGCCACCAACCACAAACAGGGCTGCAAACAGGAAGGATTTTATTCACTGTCCATGCGGCCCTGAGTTGTCCCAAAGCGAGGCAGTGCCCCCAAGGTCTGTGCAGAGCAGAACGCAGCTCCGCCCTCGCGGTGCCACCGGCCCGCCCGCCCGGGTCTCTGCTGAGGAGAACATTGCTCTGCCTTCGCTGTATCTCCGAAGTCTGCAGAGGAGAACTCAGCTCCGCCCTCGCAATGCTCTCCGGGTCTGTGCTGAGGAGACCGCAGCTCCGCCCTCGCAAAGGCACACAGCGCTGGCGCCGGCGTGGCGGAGAGGGGGCCAGTGGCGGAGAGGCGGCCAGCGGCGGCGCGGCGGAGAGACGGACAGCGGCGGAGAGGCGGCCAGCGGCGGCGCGGCGGAGAGACGGACAGCGGCGGCGCGGCGGAGAGGCGGACAGCGGCGGAGAGGCGGCCAGCGGCGGCGCGGCGGAGAGGCGGACGGCGGCGGAGAGGCGGCCAGCGGCGGCGCGGCGGAGAGGCGGACGGCGGCGGAGAGGCGGACGGCGGCGGCGCGGCGGAGAGGCGGACGGCGGCGGAGAGGCGGACGGCGGCGGCGCGGCGGAGAGGCGGACGGCGGCGGAGAGGCGGACGGCGGCGGCGCGGCGGAGAGGCGGACGGCGGCGGAGAGGCGGCCGGCGGCGGAGAGGCGGCCAGCGGCGGCGCGGCGGAGAGGCGGACGGCGGCGGAGAGGCGGCCAGCGGCGGCGCGGCGGAGAGGCGGACGGCGGCGGAGAGGCGGCCAGCGGCGGCGCGGCGGAGAGGCGGACGGCGGCGGAGAGGCGGACAGCGGCGGCGCGGCGGAGAGACGGACGGCGGCGGAGAGGCGGACAGAGGCGGAGAGGCGGACAGCGGCGGCGCGGCGGAGAGGCGGACAGCGGCGGAGAGGCGGACAGCGGCGGCGCGGCGGAGAGACGGACAGCGGCGGAGAGGCGGACAGCGGCGGAGAGGCGGATAGCGGCGGCGCGGCGGAGAGGCGGACAGCGGCGGAGAGGCGGACAGCGGCGGCGCGGCGGAGAGACGGACAGCGGCGGAGAGGCGGACAGAGGCGGAGAGGCGGACAGCGGCGGCGCGGCGGAGAGGCGGACAGCGGCGGAGAGGCGGACAGCGGCGGCGCGGCGGAGAGACGGACAGCGGCGGAGAGGCGGACAGCGGCGGAGAGGCGGACAGCGGCGGCGCGGCGGAGAGACGGACAGCGGCGGAGAGGCGGACAGCGGCGGCGAGGCGCGCAGCGGCGGCGCAGGCGCGGAGAGGCGCTGGCGCCGGCTCTGGCGCGGAGAGGCGCAGGCCCAGGCTCCACTCCCCAGCTGTGAAAGGGTAAGAACCGAGGGTGGCTGAGACTCGGGGTTGTTCAGGGCGGGGTGGGCTCTGGACCCAGCAGGCCCGGCACCCAGGTCAGGGCTCCAGGGGAGGCCGGGTGGGCGAAGGCCAAGAAGGGGCTGGGGCTGGTCAGGAAGGGCTCCTGGTGACCGGAGCACTTTGCGTGAGCCAGCGTGGGAGGAAGGTGGGCTGGATGAGCCAGGGAGGCGCCGGGAGGGGCCTTGGCAGAGGCGACCCCCTCCGTCACCCCCAGGCCACTGAACCCTGGGTAGCGGAGAACCGACAGGGGAGGCTGCAGACAGAGGAGTGGAGGCTCCCCGGCTTTGGGGGCTCTGAGTAGAAGCATCTAGGGTGTCCCTCAAGAGGCCCCCAAACGCTTCCCCATGGTGAGAAAAGAAGGTGCAGAGAGGGGCACGGCGCTGGTGCAGAGGGGCACACAGCGAGATTTGCTGTGAGTTCTTTTATTGCCCCAAGTGTACCTCATCTTGGTAGATTTCTATTGGCTTTAAAAATGTGTGTGTTTTGCTGTTGGGGAGTGGGGTATTATACGGATGTCAGATTTTGCTGGTTGACTGTTCAGATCTTTTGTAAATCCTTGCTCCTTTTGTGCCTAGTTTCACTCTGTCACTTACACTAGAGTGCGGTGGCACGAACATGACTCACTGCAGCCTTGACTTCCTAGGGTCAAGTACTTCCCCTGGCTTAACCTCCTGAGTAGCTGGTACTATAGGTGTGTGCCGCCACACCTGGCTAAATTTAAAATTTTTTGGAGAGATGAGGCCTTGCTATGTTGCCCAGGCTCGAACTCCTGGCCTCAAGCTATCCTTTGTTTTTGCCTCCCAGAGTTCTGGGATTACAGGCATGAGCCACTGTGCCCGGCCTCTGCCTAGTTTTAACAGTTGCTAAGAGGAGGATGTTGAAGTAGATGTCTTCTTGGTGGGTTAATCCTTTTGTCATTAAGCAGTTGTTATGGTCACTTCCTCTTTTCACCCCATTGGTGAAGGAGGGGTCCCTGCCCTAAAGTGTAGGAGATGGCTGAACACGACACCTGGCGTGGATGGATGCGATTGACAGCAGTGTTTTAGTCACATATACCCACAGCTCAGAGGAGGACACTGCATGCCACACAGGGTCAGATGGGCACCGCACTCTGTAGTGGAGTGAGGGCTGCGGGCTGAGGAAGCAGGCGGGCTTGGTAGTAACAAGAGCACACGATGACCAATGGTTCCCGAGGGGGAATGCAATTGGCTTGTTTGAATAAATTCATGGGCTGGCAGACAGGTGAAGTGAAACTTCTTAGGCTGAGGTGCAACTGTTCTGGCTGATAAAAGAACTAGCCAGGTGGGGAGCCTTTCCTGTTGGGTGGCGGGGTAGGGGGTGTCTGGTAGAAACAGGAAAACCCACGGCTAGGTCTTTGGGGCCCTGTGAGGCTCAAACATGTCAAGGCAGCATAGGAAATTTTAGATCTTAAAATTCAGCGAAGACCCTCTCCAGCTCTGGTAAATTATTTTGCTTGAAGTCTACTTCATGAGATATTAATATATTCACTCCTGCTTCCTTAAAAAATTAATGATTTCACAGGATATCTTTCTCCATTCTTTTACTTTCAACCTACTTAGGTCCTTAAGTGAGTTTGAAGTTTCTTATGAACAGCATTTAGTTGGGCCATGTGTTTATTATAGGCTCTCCATCAATCTGTCTTTTGGTTTATTTAGACCATTTACATTTAAGGTGCTTATTGTTACATAATTGCTTATGTCTGATGTTTTTATTATTTGCTTTTTTGTTTCCTTTTTCTTTCCCTCCATCTTGATCTATTTCTGTATAATGTTGTTGCGTGTATCTCTTTGTATAGTCTTAAAGTGTTTGCTCTGGATGTTACAATATGTGTATTGTAATATAGTAGTCTACTGGTACCAGTATTTACCACTTCAAAGTGTGGAAACCTGCCTTGCATTTATGTCTCTTTACCTTTTCCACTTGTATAAATCACTGGCTTGAGTATTAGGTGGTGGTATAGTTTTTGTTTCAGTCGTCAAATGTGATTTTAAGAACTGTGGATTGTCTCGCATATGTATCCACATTTCTCGTCTTTCCTTTGTCCCTCCTCCCATAGTCCCATATTCATCCCTTCTGCATAAGAACTTTCTATAGCCATTTTTTTATTTTGATTTTTTTGTTTTAATTTTTTATATTGTGGAAATGACAGAACATATTTCTGTAGCCACTTTTTAGCATTTCTAAATTGACCAGTGACAAATTCCTATATTCTCTTCCTCTGAGAATGTCTTTATTTCTCTCTTCATTTCTGAAGGGTAGTTTCATGGGATATAGAATTTGCCTTTCATGTATTCAGAGGTTTTCAGTATTCGTATAATCAAACCTGATAGTTTTCCTTTTGGTTTTGAGGTTGTGTCTTGTTTGGGTGAGTCTCCTACCCATTTGACTACAGAAATGCCCTTTCATTTTAAATATCCTCCTATTATGAAACACATTTCCACATTTTCTAAATTTTTAATTTTTAGCTGAGAAATAAATTAGTAATTATTTAAGTATTAATTACTTTTATCTTGCTATTAATTATTGGTTTTATTTATTTACATGTAGTTGGCTTACATTTAGTTTAGTTTAACTTAATTACTTTAAAGTAATGTATAACTATCTGCAGTTTGTACCTCATGTTCTCACTCATAAGTGGGAGCTGAACAATGAGAACACGTAGACACAGGGAGGGGAACATCACACACCAGGTTCTATCCAGGGGTTGGAGGCAAGGGAAAGGAGAGCATTATGACAAATACCTAATGCATGCAGGGCTTAAAACCTAGATGACAAATTGATAGGTGCAGCAAACCACCATGGCACATGTATACCTATGTAATAAACCTACATGTTCTGAACATGTATCCCAGAACTTAAAGTAAAATTAAAAAAAAAATAATTAATTAAAAATATATATCTTCAGTTTGTAAACGTCCCGACAACACAGGAACAGAGTTAAAAGAGTGTGTGTCGTCCTTAGCTGCTCCCACCCCATCGTCTCCTCCCTAGCCAACCCAGCCGCCAGTCTGGCGTGCGCCTTCAAGGTTTCTTCCTAGACACTGGCAAACATAGATCACTATTTTCTGCCACATGGTATCTTTTAAACACACACGATTGTTTTGTGCAGAAACTTTCTATTTTTACCTCTCATAAGTGTCCTGTGGATTCTTTCCATGTCACTGTGGTGTGTGTGCGTGTGTGAGATTCAAGTTCAGCTTGCTAATCTTGTAGAAAGAATTACACTCCACTTCCCCTGTGCTCTGGCCCTCCCTAACACAGCAGCCCATCCCTGGAGGCTGATGGAGCCCCTCGAGCACCTGCTTACCATTTCTGTTTGTTCTGTTTATTCAGGTTTTCTGCCTCCTGCTAAGCCAATTTATACATTCCAAGAAAATCTTCCATTTCATCCAGGTGAAACAGAACCTACTGGAATGAAGCTGGCCTCCCATGGAATGAAGCTGGCCTCCCGTCTCCTTGATTTGAAGCAGCTTCTCCACGTTGGTTATTATGTCATTTTTCTAAATCTAACATTTTAAAATTTGTGCCTTTTCTTTCTCTTTTGCTTGACTTCTCAGAGGTTTTTTTAATGGTCTTTTCAAAGAAGTGGTTTTGGGTTTTATTTATCAAGTCTACTTTTATTATGGCTGTTTTAAAATTAAATACATTTATTTCTTGTTTCCCTTAAAAAAGCTTCTTGTATGTTTACTTAGTTTATATAATTTTATATGTCTTCTGTTGAAGCATATTAACAAACACTTCCAGCTATAACGTTTCCCCTGAGAACTGCTTTGGACACATCCAGAGATTTTGATAGGTCACACACTTATTGTAGTTTGTTTCTGAAAAGTTTTTCATTTTAGTTTTTATTTTCTCTTTTACTCAAATTATCATCAGCTTTCTCCTTTTATCCTGTTTCTGACAAATTAATCTGAGGATATAAATTTCTCCCTAAATGTCAATTTTGTTGAGTTTCATAATTTTAATATGTAATACCCTATTGCTATTGAGTTCCAGGCATTTTATAATTTTCATTGTGAAAACTAACTTTGTTTCCAAAACACACTTTTTCTTCTTTTTTGAGACAGAGTTTCACTCTGTCGCTCAGGCTGGAGTGCAGTAGCACAATCTCATCTCACTGCAACCTCTGCCTCCTAAGTTTAGGTGATTTTGTTGCCTCAGCCTCCCTAGTAGCCGGGTTTACAGGCTTTTGCCACTATGCCTGGCTAATTTTTTGTATTTTTAGTAGAGACAGGGTTTCGTCATGTTGCCCAGGCTGGTCTCGATCTCCTGACCTGGGGTGATCCACCCGCTTCAGCCTCTCAAAGTGCTGCGATTACAGGCATGAGCCACCATGCCCGGCCCCAAAATGCACTTTTAACATGGTCTTTGTTATTGCATGTTTCTAATTTTGTTGCACCCTGGTGAGAGAATGTGATTTGTGTAACAGCAATTCTTGGGAAAGGGGCTGAGGCTTCCTGCTCCTTTAGCACAGCTAAATTTTCCCAAACGCCATCCATGAGCTTGGAAAGAGCATTGTACTCTGTTGGGATGGGCTCAAATCTCTCTGTAAAAATGAGTGTTCTTCTGTTGTTGTTGTTCTGTTTTTTGTTTGTTTTGTTTTGTTTGTTTTTTGTCTCAGTCGTTTTGTTTGCTCAGATCTTTTGATGATCCAGATGATCTTTTAATTTATGCAGGATGTTTCTCTGCTTGTGCAGGCTGGTGGGATTGGGGACTGGAGAGAGGATAAGTGTCTGCTTGCCCAGGACTGGCAAACTGTCACTTGCCCTGGTTGTGCCTTGCCAGGAGCTCCCGTGCCTGTCTCTGAGAGTGTCATGAGCGCAGCGGTGGTAGTTGTGTGGTGGATGCATTTCCCCTGGGTTGGGGGGTGGGTGGCTGGTCCTAGCTCTGTTTGTTGTTGCCGATGAGACACAGCACACTTCTGCTTCCTGATGGATCTTGTCGGTCATTTGACTTCTTCCTGGTCTGGGCTCCTGAGCTGGCCCTCCGCAGGCCAAGCAGGAATGGAGCTGGCTGCTACAAGAGTTCCTTCACTAGAGGGCATCTCTCCTCTCTCCTCCCACACATGGGAACACAAGGGTGGGCTTTCCTCCGCCCACTGTGATCCGCAGCCCGGCTTTCCCCTCCTCACCCTCTGCTCTCAGACAGACTTGGTTTTCGCTGGTGTCTGTGAGAGGTGATTCTTCATGGTGCCAAGAATGTGGATTTTTTTGAGAGCAGGCACTCTCACAGATATTTGCACACCCATGTTCAAAGCAGCGTGATTCACAAGAGTCAAAAGGTAGAAGCATTCTGAGGGTCTATGGGTGAGTGGATGGGCAAGCGAAATGTGGTTATGCATACAGTAGACTGTTACTGAACCTTTACCAGGAAGGAGATTCTTTTTTTTCTTTCTTTTTGTGGAAAATGCAGTCTCGCTATATTGCCCAGGCAGGTCTCGAACTCCTGGGTTCAAGCTATCTTCCTACCTCTGCCTCCCTAACAGCTAGGATAATAGGCGTGAGCCTATAATATCACCCAGCCAGGAGGGAAATTCTGAGAGGTGTGCCAACACACATGAACCTTGAGGACATTGTGCTAGATGGAATAAGCCAGCCACAAAAGGACAAATACATTGCGATTTCACTTACATGAGGGGCCCAGAATGGGCAAATTCAAATACAGAAAGAGCAATGGTTAACAAAAGGAGGGAGTTGGTGTTCAATGGGTCTGGTTTCCTTTTGGGAAGATGAAGACGTTCTGGAGATGGACGGTGGTAGGGGATATGCGACAATGTGAGTGCACTTAATGCCAGTTATAACACGGGGAGCGCGTGTGCACACGGCTCTGGGAGTTCTCGTGCAGCACTCAGAGCTCAGCGTGGGCGAGGGCGTCACCCCTCTGGGGGCGTCCATGGGGCCTTGGAGAAGGGAGGCTTCAGGGCACCAGAGCAGTCTACCGGGAGAGGCCGGGCCGAGCGCTTGTTCACCCCCAGCCCTCTTAGGGAACTTTCACATGCTTCTCCCACTAGGCCTAGGCACCCCTCCCTACTCTCCCTACCCTCCTGGTTCCCTGACCCTCAGTGACTGTGTCCTTCAAGACTGAACTCCAGAGTCCCCACCCGAGGACCCGCAGTGCCCAGCCCCCGCGAGCTCGCGGGGTGTATGCCCACCCCGAGGCTCCACCGCGCCTGTGTGCTGGGAAGCCTGGCTCCATGGGACCCTCGGGCTCTGGGCGCGCTGTCGCTGCAGCTGCCAGCAGCTCCTGAGGAAGTGGCTCGAGGCCCTGGGGCGGGCCAGGCGTGCGGTGGGCCCGCAGCCCTCACACCGGCCCCGGCCGCACACAGGAGGCACAATCAGCAGAGACGTTGGACAGGGTTGGACACTGGCTGTCTCTTTCGGGCCTCAGTTTTCACGTCTGAAATAAAAGCGAGCATCCTGGCCCTGGCGCCATGCCTCTGCCGCGGTAGAGGTTTCCACCCCTATGAGCCCAGTGCGCCTTCCAGGCTCGAGGGAGAGGGAGTGTGCGTGCGTGTGAACGCGTCACACTCTTGTGTGAACGCGTCATACGCTTGTGAAAGACTGTGCGTGTGCACACGCGTGTACGTGCATGTGAACGCATCAGGGTGCCCGAGGATGCACACATGCACGTGTGAGTGTGCGCGAGTGCGTGCTCAGAGGACAGCTCTCAGCAGGCTGGGGACCTCCTTCCTCTCACCCCTGAGGGTTTTGGGGGACCAGCCCCCGTCTCCGGGTGCTATGGGATGCCCTGGGGCGAGCTCCCACCGCTGTGCTCGGGCTCCGGCTTTGTGGGGACCCGGCCTTCCCCGCCCTCACCACGGGGAGTTCCACGCAGCACCCACGAGGTGGCGCCGCAGACTCGCTATCGCGGAGCGTGGCGGCTCCCAGCAGCCTTGCCTACAGCTGTGGCCAGGGCGATCCCTCTCAGGCCCAGGCCGCTGCTGCCAGGAAGAGCAGGAACAATAGCCAGTCACGCCTGGTGATGCCCTGAAGTGCTTATGCTCCCAGGCATGGGCTGTCCACAACGTGCATTCTCTCCTTTTATGCCCCTACTATTTGGAACGCTGTATTTTTTCATTTTTATTTTTATTTTTTGTTGTAAATCTGCCACTTAAAAATACCCAGGGTGGAGCTAAAAGTACAGACACTGCTCAACTTACCCCTGGCTGCGGCCCAATAAGGCCGCTGCGAGTGGAAAATGACTGAGTCCACCTGACTACCGAATAGCACAGCGTGGGGGGGCCCACCTTGGCCTGCTGAGAACACTGCCCTGAGCCTGCGGTGGGCAGAAGCATCAACACGAAGCCTGTTTTGTAGTCAAGTGTCGGATACCTCATGTAATCATTGACTGCTGTACTGAAAGTGAAAAACTGGCCGTGTGGGACTCACACGAGGGTTTCTGCTGACTGTGGATGGCTTTTGCATCACTATAAAGTTGAAAACTGTTAAGTGGAACTGCGGTAAGTCGGGGCTGTGTGCGCTAGAGACCTGAGTTCTGCCGCTCCATAGCTGTGTGACTTTGGACACATATTTGAGCCTGAGTGTCTTCTACACAAAATGGATTTCTTAGCATAACCTACACATGTGTACGTGCCCGTGAGCGTGCACGTGTGTGTTTGCATGAACACATCTGTGTATGCACGAATGTGTGCACATTTGTGTGTGTCTGTGTAAGTCCGTATGTACATTTGTGTGCATGTCTGTGTGTGCATATGTTTGTATGTGTGTGTGCTATGCATGTGTGTGTTAAGGCCCTGGGGTGGAGCTGAGGAGTTGAGGGGAGATGCTGGGAGGGCAGCCAGCACCAGGCGTTTGTTGGCCAGGAGAGAAGCTGCCATCCAGGTGCACTCTGGAGCTCGTGCTTCAGTGGCACAATGCTTTGGGAGTGAGGAAGCTGGGGGCTGGGGCAGGGCAGTCCTGCACCTCAGGGGAGGTGCAGAGTGAGGCCAGGAGGATGGAAAGAGTGCCAGAGAATGGGGGAAATCTGAGGCATCAGGAAAGGAAGACACAGGCCATGGAGAGGGCAGCTGGGCCCTGGGTGAGGCCGGCCCTCAGGAAGGAGGTGCCACAGGCAGGGGAGTGCCCAGATGGAGAGCCCAGGGGTATGGACCCACGGGTGTATGACAGTGGGGGTACTCCTGAAACAGAGCAGTGTTATCCAACAAGCAGGGTTGGGACAACTAGTTATTTCATTTAAAAAAACAGGTCAATGTCAGTCCTCATACTGTGCTTTAAAATAAGCTCCAGATGGACTCATGTTTTACATGTAAAGAAAAGAAGGCAAAAAGAAAATAAAGAAAAGGCTTGTAAGCAGGTAGTTAATTGGAGGCAATCCCAGGATGCAGGAGAGAGGGGATGGAGCCACAGCAGGTCTGGGGAAGGGAGAGAAGCCGGCCCCGAGACCGCAGCCCGAGGACCCATTCAGGCCAGCAGTGCCTTCTGTGCACTTCCACAAGGTCACACGTTCTTCCAAAGTTGCCATCATGGAGAGATAGGCTTCCACGTAGTCTTGACTCCACTGGATTTCAGTCCTTAGGTGACTTTTCCTGTGATCACACTCAGCCCTGATACAGTCATTGCTGGGGCCTCCCCTGGCTGGACGTTCCGCTTTTGGTTCACATTCTTTCCTCCTGCCCCGAGACTGGCCATGGGCCTCCCAAAGGCTAGCTGGGAGGACCTCCCTTCCACGGCTGTGCTCTTGCTCTGCCCATGCTGTCGCCTCCATCTCCACCTCCCTCTCCATCCTCACCACCAGCCCTCGAGTCAGTGGGGAGCTTTCCACTCACCAAGCCCAGGCAAGTGCATCGCGTGAATTTCTCTTGCGCCTCCCACTAGAGGTAGAGGCGCTGTTGTCACCCTATCTGCTGAGGATATGCTGGGGCTGGCAGGGGCCACCCAAGACCAAGGGTGTCACTGTCTCCATCCTGTGCCCACCCAGTCCTGCCCCCTGGGCTCCCTTCAAATCTTTTTTTTTTTTTTTTTTTGAGACAGAGTCCTGCTCTGTCTCCCAGGCTGCAGTGCAGTGGTACAATCTCAGCTCACTGCAATCTCTGCCTCCTGGGTTCAAGCGATTCTCCTGCCTCAGCCTCCCAAACTGCTGGGACTACAGGCACCCACCACCACACCCGGCTAATTTTTTATTTTTATTTTTGTATTTTTAGTAGAGATGAGGTTTCACTATGTTGGCCAGGCTGGTCTTGAACTCCTGACCTCGTGATCCCCCTGCTGCAGCCTCCCAAAGTGCTAGGATTACAGGCGTGAGCCACCACACCTGGCCCCCTTCAAATCTTAACAGAGAAGCCACCAAAGTCTCCTTGGGTCCATCACATGGATGGGCCTCCTGGGCCCCTCAGACCCTGGGCTTCCCTTGAGGTCCTGGAGCTATGTGGGCTCCAGCTCTGGGAAGGTGGACCCCCATGCATGTGTCCTGCCGTCACTGTCTCTATGGAGTCTGGCTCACACTAAGTGAGCCATAAGGCCTTCTTCAAGGTCATCTGTCCCACTGATTTCAGACTCAGGGCGGAGTGTGAAATCATCTGTCCCCCACAGTGCACTCAGAACCCTGTCTGGACTAGGGCACACACACATGCATGCGCATATGAACACACATATGCATATGCACGCACACATGCAAGGCTGCAAGTCTCATGCACACACACATGCACACACATGCACATGCATGTTCACATGCAGAGGCACTCAGGCACCTAGAGCCTTCTCATCCTGCACTTTGAGTCCCCCCTCCCCTTGCCCATCCTTGCCCATCCTTCAAGGCCTCAGTCAAAAGCCATCTTTTACAAATTGTCTCTGGTTGACTTTCCTTTTTTTCCCTCTTAGAAGAAGCGATGCTGTCCTCAGTCATCAAGCGTTCACTAGGCGCTTGGTGTGTGCCAGGCCCCGATGTGGGTCTTGGGCATGTTCCAGTTCTCACGTCCTCAGGGCTCCTTGGTGAGTCGAGGGTGAGGAGGACACAGAGGCACAGGAGGCCATGGGGCAGGTCTGGGTGCACTCAGGCTCCAGAGCTCAGCCCTCCCTGCTGAGTCAGGGCGAGCAGGATAGACGCCTGCTCCTGGAACTCAGTGGGTGAGGTGGACACGCATGCAGGGAGGTACCAGCCTCAGGGGCTGTGGAACAGAGAAAGGGAGCTTCCAGGACATCAAACAATTCCTGGAGTGCCAGGGCAAGAGGGGAATCTGGGTGGAGGAAAGTGTGAACAGGGCAGAGGTTGGAAGTGGTTGTGGCCCCCGAGCATGTCGGAGGCGACTGAGCTGCTCCTTGACTTTGGGCATCTTTGTTCGTCTCTGCATTTGCACATTTGTTGAACAAACCTACTGAGACACTTGTTTTCTTTCCATGGTCCATACATTAGGAATATTGAGTTAGCTTCCTGGGGAACATTTTAAGACGTATTCTTAGAGAAGAAACCAGGAGGCATCCTTGTGGGACGTTGGTCCAGGATCTTGGGTGTGTCCTTTGGTCTTTTGTGGGTCAGGTTAGCAGGAATTGTGTCCTGAGGTGTTGGAACTGCAAAGTGCAGGTTCCCTCCTGCCCGCACTGATGCCTTCAGGGAATGGCCTGTCCGCTTTTCTAAGAAGAACACTTAACTCAGCCTTGGCTGACTTCAGCTACCTGTGCTTTCTCCAGCCAGGCTCTGTGTTTTGTGCTTTTACTCTCAAAACAACCCTATTATTATCCGTGTCCCACAGATGAGGATGCTGAGCCCCTGAGAGGCTCAGTAGGTGCCTGAAGGCATTCCAGCCAAGAGGTGGCAGAGCCAGGGCCAGCCTGGCCTGAGGACTCTGAAGCTCCCACAGGCACAGCTCCTTCATGCCAGCTCTGTGTCAGGATTTTCTGTGGTCATCACAGCCATCTTCCTGGTCGGCTAAGTTACAGACAGGGTGGAACTAGGATGGCCAAGCTGGAAGCAGAGCTCATTCCTGAGCAGGGCACCCGGGCCCTGCCTACGGTGCTGGGCAGGCTTCTGGTGTGGAGGGTGGGCTCAGATCCTGCTGTCCCTGTGGCTGTGGGAGGCTTTTCTAGGCACCCTCCTGACTGCTAACACCAGGAGGGCCTATGATATGGGACCGCTGCCCCATGACGTGTGCCAGGTTTCTGCACGCGACTGCTGGGAAAGGCTGGCCCTGGGCTGGGTGGACCCGCACTGCCTGCTGGCCCCTGCACCCAGATGGTGCAGCCCACACCCCTCTGATGTCCACCCATGCTCGGCTCTGGGACTTCCCTCCTTCCACCGTGTCTGACCCTGGTTGCCCTTGTTCTGCCACTGGCTTGTAGCAGCCCTTCCTGAAGCCACGTCCTCCAGGGAGATTTGATTATGTCCTGGTGTTGCAACCTCGCTAATGCAATCAGGAAGTTTTCTCAAGACTTCAGCTGCTTTGTTGGCAGCCAGGCCTGACTCTCAGCAGCTCTGCAGGCTGGAAGGGCCCAAGAGACCCCTCACCCACCTGGTGTCTCCAGCAGTGGGGAGGGCTCCGGGGCATAGCCTATTGCTGCTCTGCTCTCCTCCTTTCTTTGGGTAAGCTCCTTTGCTCTGATTTTATCTGGAATCATCGAGAGCCTCTATCTGTCTAGAAAAAGCACTTAGCAATGAGGAATCAGCACTGCGGAGAGTACTCCAGAAAGCAGCCATTTTCCATCAAGATTAGGCTCTTAATTGAAAATTTTAAGAGGAGAGGAAATTAGGGGAGAATCCAGATATTCTCTCCATTATGGTAATTGGCTGTAATCAGAGCCCAAGAGCTGTGTTCAATCCTGGGGGTTCTTCCAGGATTACCAGAGCTGTCATAGTCACCTTCACTGACCTGCACTGGAGTCAGTGGGAGGGGCTGGCGGGGTCCGGGGCTGCTCTGGCAAGTGGATCCAGGAGGGCTGGGCTGGATCCAGGGGGCTGAGTTCAGAGGGGACTCTGCTTAGCAAGTGTGAAACACACGACAGGGCCTTCCAGGCAGAGGGAAGATTGAGAACTGCGGCCGAGCGAGTGCGTCCAGGGGCCCGAGTTTAGTTGAGGGCCTAAGTTTTCCCAGCAGGGCAAGGTTGAGGGTGAGGATGCTGCAGGCCAGTTTTGTATGGCCTCAGAATGAGGACAAGAAGGGGGAGATGGGCCACAGGGATGAGGGTGCCTGCTCCCTGCAGCAGTGTGCACACCACGGCTGTGCAGAGGCAGCAGGTGGCAGGTATTGGGAAGAAGCCCTTCCCTTGTGTGTCCTAGGGGCTGGGCACAGCCTGATGGGCCCCCTTTGCTCACAGTTGCAGAAGCCCATCCATGTAGGGTCCTGCTGAACTGGCTTCCATGGGGCTGGGAAGGACTGGCCTGGCCTCTTTGCTCACTTCACCTTATGGGCAGTGTCCTGCAGGTTTCTGTGAGCAGAGCAGACAGAAAGGAGATGCCCAGTGACGTCAGCTGTCCCCCACAGAGCTTCCTGGAGCCTGGGCTCCAGGCTGAGGGTCCTTGGACAGACGTCATCTCCCTGGCTTCAGCAGAATCACCCACAAACCCACCCTGTGCCCACCCTCCCATCACAGAGAGCAGCTGCTGGAGAAGGCAGCATGAGACTTTGAAGACCTCGAGGAGCAGGAGACACAGGAGACAATGGCCAGGATGGTCATGGTGGCGCGGCTATGCCATCACTGATTTCTGCCTACCTGCCCCCTAAGTCTCACTTGCTACTACTCTCAATTTCCTACTTAATGCTTCAGAGAGCACCAGTCCTGAGATGAGAGGCGGGATGTTCACTCTCTGGGAGTTGAGATGGAACCCAGGCAGTTAGAAAAAAGTGCCACAGCCACGTGCCGAGCCTACTACTTGTCAGGAGCTCAGTGAGTCATCCAATTCCTAAAACAACTGTGCTGCATGTGCTCCACCGCGCCTGGGCGACTCGGGGAAATGGGCTGCGGGAGGCTTAGTGACCTGCCCTGGGTGACACGGATGGCATGGATGCCCTGTCCATGCACGGGGCTGTGCTAGGAGAGGACAGGATCATCCCCAGAAGCTGGTCCTGTGTCCACTGCTCACGGTGGCAGCTGCTTGGGCTGACAACGCCCCCCACCTCCTGATCAGATAGTGATATACTTGGTCCAAACTTCGAAAGTAAAAAAGTTAAAACAGAAAAATAGTCTCCTGGTCATTCATGCTCTCTGGTTCCCTTTTCATTAGTATCTCTTTCTCCTTCTATTTATGGATCTAGTTATTTAAAGCACAGATGGTGACATTCTGTACATATTCTGCATTTTGCTTTTTAAGTCTATTTTATTATGACGTACAATACATATAGAAAAGTGGAAAAAACTGAAATGAATGAATTTTCATGAAGTGAGCATTGGTGTAAACTGAGCCAGTACATTGGGAACCCCCTTCATTCTCCCTCCCAGTTACTGCACCATCCCTCCTGCCACCGGTAAATACTGCCCTGACCTTCATGGTAACTACTTGCTTTGCTTCCATTAGATATTCTATTTTTGTTTCAGCTGTGCTTTTGAACTTTATAGAAATGGATTCATACAGGGTGTATTCCTTCACATTGAGCTGGCTGTGTGCAGCATTGTGTGCAGTTGTTTCATATTGTAGCCGGGAACAGTGACTCATCTTCATTGCTCTTTAGCATTCCATTGTTTAATTGAATCCCAGTTTTCTTTTCCACTGTTGGTTGTGTTTAGATTTTTTTCAGTTTGGGGTTACTATGAAGGATGCTATAAAGAGCATTCTTGTACATGGCTCTTGTAGCACAGTGAACACATTTCTGTTGGGTGTAGAGATGTACGTATATGTGTGTGTGTGTGTGTGTGTGTGTGTATATATATATATACACCCCAAGGGGTAAAATTGTTGGATGTACATACCTTTGACTTCAGTAAATCATGCCAAACTGCTTTCCAAAGTGGTTGTTCATCTTTTTTTCCTTTTGTTTTTCAGTGGATCCTTATAGTTTGGGATTCTTCCATAATGGTACATATAGATGTGTCTCATTTTTTTAAACAGTTGCATAGTTTTCACAGCATGGACATAACATGATTTATTTAACCTGTCTTCTGTTGTTGGACTTCGTTATATTTATACTCAAACAATGCCACAATGAATAACCTTCTTCATAAGTTAATTAAATACTCGATGAAAAATACAGGTTTTTTTTCAGTTTATAAAAGTAATACTTGCTCACTGAGGAAAAAAAAATCTGTAAATTACAGAAAAACACAAAGGAAATATATCCTCTGATCCAACCAGAAAGAAAACTACTTTTCCTATGTTGTGCGTAGCTCTCTAGTTTTTTCTTTCTTTATATCAATTGGATTTTTTTTTTTTTTTTTTTTTTTTTTGGAGACAGGGTCTCACTGTGTCACCCAGGCCGGAGTGCAGTGGCATGATCACAGCTCACTGAAGCCTCGACTTCCCAGGCTTAAGTGATCCTCCTACCTCACTCAGCCTCCCGAGTAGTTGGGACCACAGGCATGTGCCACCACATCTGGCTATTTTTAATATTTTTTGTATAGATGGGGTTTCGCCATGCTGCTCAGGCAGGTCTCAAACTCCTGGCCTCAAGCCATCTGCTTGTGTTGGCCTCCCAAAGTGCTGGATTACAGGCATGCACCACCACCCCCGGCCTAATTGAATTTTTATTTTGGAAGAACCATATACCTTTATACATATTCTTTCTATGACTTATTTTCTGTAGTTGAAGTTCAAGGGTGTTTGACAGTGTGATGTGGTTATTGTTAACCTGTATGTGGGGGCATACAGATATGTTTTTTTACTTTTTCCCATAAGGCTAAGATCATCTCCAGAAATATTAATTTTTTAGACAGTGTGATTATAGTTATTTAATACTCATACTTATCAAAATATTATATGTTAAAACCAATAACCATCTGAACTTATTTGAATATAGTTTTTCCTATTCTGTTCTTAGAAATTTCAGTCACTAACAATCTTTACACTTAGAAAGTGTTTTAATTTTACTTTGATGACAGGAATAGTGTTCTTCTCAATGAAATATAGAATAGCAGCTTATAAGTGATAACTGTTTTCATTCTGTTTTTAAGAGAAAATACTTTGGTCTTTTTTACCATGATAGTTTAGTGTGTGATGTCATAAAAATGGGCTGTAGCCATTTAAATTCTTGTTCAAGTGCAGAAACTAAGAGACTGCAGTTTCTATTAAGCCATGTCAACTCCTATTAGGAGACCTTTAGTGGTTCCAGTTCCAGGGCCTTCTTGAAGAAATTGTGATACTTGTGTAAGTATATCTAGAGTTTTCTTTCCAGCATTGGCTAAGTCACATAGCTGAGAAATATGATACATGGAGAAGGTTGCTGACTGGATGAACTTTTCTACATTGAATACTTTAAATCTGGATTCTAGAATAAAATATATTGATGCATATTTGAGTTGTCAACTGTTTATGTCTTGTTCTTTTCAGCTTCAACATTGCTTTATGGCATGTGTGGTCGTTTTTCACTCCATTGTTGTTGTTTACCCAGTTTATGGGGGTTGTAATGTTTATCACACTCCTTGGATGATTTCCGAAGGTAAGATATCTGGAATGGTTTTTCTAAAAATGAACTCATTTGAAAAATGTCTTTTATGACAATTTTCAGTGGATGGAGCTGTAACAGACTATTTGTGAATTATTTTCAGTCATGTTTACACCAGAGTTGTCCACACTAGAATTATCCATTCGTTGAACTCTGAGATAGACTCCTTTTTTTTGAGACAGTGTCTCACTCTGTTGTCCAGGCTGGAGTACAGTGGCATGATCACCGCTCACTGCAGCCTTGACCACCTGGGGGCTCAAGCGATCCTCCCACCTTAGCTTCCCAAGGAGCTGGTATTACAAACATGTGCTACCACGCTTGGCTAATTTTTAAAATTTTTTTTGTAGAAACAGAGTCTCCTTATTTTGCCCAGGCTGGCAGGGGTTGGGGGCTGAGACTCTTTCTTTTGTAAAAGTTGGTTCTAAGTGACTACTTTTTAGAGAAGGTACCCTGCCTTTCAAAGACCTCATAAAGACAGGATTTGTACCTTCCAATATAGTTAAATTCACACATTAGACCATTTTATGTTGAAATTATATTAATTTGTGTCAGCTTATATTCAATGACTGTTGGCTAGATCATTCTTAAGAAATGGGAATACAGGAAGAATGGACAATTTTACCCAACTGGGAAAAAAAATTCTACCATCTTCTAATTATTCTGACTTCCTCATAAAAATGTGTTGGATGACACAATCAGCTTTTGTTTGGTGTTATTTATAGAATTTCTGCCTCCCTACAGATCACCCCATCCTGAGATCTGCTGCCTTACACAGTGGAGGCTGTTTTCTGAGTGTCGGATAACTCTGTTATTAAATAAGTGCATATTGAGAATACTCACTCCAGATGCTTAGAGGCAAGTTGAGAAGGACAAAGATAGTGCCTCCTGTCAGGTCACTTACATCAGAACTTGCAGGAAACCTGCTTTATACAGCAGTTGACAGGTGTGGAAATTGAAGCTCATGGAAATGAAAGTTAATACGCTAAATTTTCAAGGAGTTAATGAAAACTGACATTTCTGCTAAAAACAGCATGTTCTCCCTGTGGGATTTTAAAGGAAGGTCAATGGTAACTGTACAAAGAAGAAATGGACACAGTCTCATTGTTAGCAGTCTGAAAATAGTTGCTAGCACCTCCATGCCCACGCCAATGTCTCCAGCCTCTTTCAGGCACCTTGCTGTGTCTTGGAACCACTGGGAGCCCTCACAGGAGGCCCTTCGTTCCTGTATGCATGTGGTGCCACAAGCTGCTTTGGGCCCGGAGGAATCCTACACATCTCAGAACACTTCCTCACCTGACCCTGTCACCCATCTCTCCCCTTCTCATGTGCTCAGCCCCTTCTTTGACTCTTGAATTTTGAGTTTTTACAGATGTTTGGGAGCTCTTACCCTGACATGAATTTACAATTGTAATGGAGACTCAGACAACGTTGTAGATCACAGAGTGAACTATGCTTTTTAGTGTTAAATGCAATAGCTTAAGATAGAATGTTTTACTTGTTACATAAATGCTGGTTTTCTTTCAGATTTAAGGATATATACTTTTTTTTTTTTTAAGAGATAGGGTCTTCTATGTTGCCCAGGCTGGCTTTGAACTCCTGGGATCAAGTGATCCTCCTGCCTCAGCCTTCAAAGTAGTTGGGACTACAGGCCCACGCCACCGTGCATGGCTGGACACGTAAATTTGAAGTGAATGGTTAAACATCCAGCTAGCTGAAAGCATGACAGACCCTAACAGAAAAGCTACAGTGTGTTTTTGCAGCTATGAAGTGAATGGTTTCCTGGGGAAAATTGTGACTTTGTATAACTATTTTTGAAACCAGAATAAATTATATTTCACTTGCATATTCTTAAATTATTAAAATTTTCAGAAGTCAGTGATACAGAAATACTATTTTGCAATGTTAATCTGTTTGAGTCTTTGGAGAAAGTGGTTTCATTATAGGTACATGATGCACTCTTAATATTTTAAACAAATAGTTCACTCTTCCATTTAAGGGATAGCAGTTCCTTGTATAAAATGACTGGATATGTATAAAGGAATTACGTTGTCATGTGCCTTTAACCAGCTTTAGTAATTACTATAATCTCATATTTATGATCGTTTTGTTAGGTGACAGGACCAAATGAAAATATTTTATGTTTTCCCGTCACTTTAGATTTTATCATTGTGTAAATTACTGGGTTTTTAGCATTTCCTAATGTGAAGTTTTAATCATTTTTAAGTATACATATTTTTTTCTGTACCATTTAAATAAAATATTTTTATAACTTTCTTGTGAGTTTTGTTCATGCAAACTTTGGAATGACTTCTGGTTTTTAGCTATTAGCACTTTGAATTAACCATAGAAATAACAAGGGCTAACTCTGTTCTTCAAAGACTTTATAAAGACAGTATTTGCACTTTCAAATGCAAATATATCTACATTAAATCTAAACAGCATAAGCATTGTGACAGAATGTACCTCATGTTGATTGTTTTCTCTGTAAGGTGACTTCTAGTAATGATTTGACTTAATCACCACTTGTGTCTGGTTCAGATCATACCCTGCCATTTACTAGCTGCAAGACCTTCAGTAGTACAGGTTTAGTATCCCTAATTTCAAAATCTGAAACTTTTTGATTGCTGATATGGCACTCAAAGGAAATGCTCATTGGAGCATTTCGGGTTTTGGAATACAATGCAAGTATTCCAAAATCCAAAACACTTCTGGTCCCAAGCATTTCAGAGAAGGGGTAGTCAGCCTGTAATCTTTTTTCAGCTGTGAAGTGGGAACAATATCTGTCTTGTAGGGTTGTGGGTAATAGTAATAATGTTTGTAAAACACCAATTACAGTGCCTGACACAGTAGGTGTCCACTCAATAAATGGTAATGGAGAGGGAAAGAAAGGGAAAGCAGAATCTAGGATCAGGAATATCACATCCCGTCATGATGTTTGCAAAGGGGAAAGTCAGGCATGATGAGTAGACAGAAGTAAACCCAGTTTGTTGTCATGGGTATGTGAAGGTGTGGCGAGAGTGTCATTTAAAATAGGGAGCAAGGCCAGGCAAAGGCCACAATCAGGCAGCCGAATCAGGCAGTGATGAATCAGGCAGTGATGTGAGGGTCCGGCACAACCGAGGCAGCAGCCCGGGAAGGGAGGGCATTTGGATCACACTCCCTGGAGGGAGCTTGGGTGGAGAGTGCCCCAGTGTCAGCCTTCACACATTTTATATCTTTTTTTTTTTTCTTGAAGAGTATGTTTACAACATGGATAGAAATCTAAGGCTGGCATGTGTTTAAAACAATTAGTTAAAACCCAGTTTCCCAAGAGCTAATAACTGGCCAATTAGGATGGTATGAAGATTGTCCTATTACTTAAAAAAAGACTTTTTGAGACAGAGTCTTTAACTTGTCATAACATGTCTGAACAGGATCTAGTTTGAGACACTAAGAAGGATAAGACATCAGTTTGAAAAGAGACCACATCAGTGCAACATTAATTCTGCTAAAATCGAAGCAAGAACAAACATCAATTTATTATGAAGCTTGGGTGAAAAATGGTAAAATCACTAATGCTTCATGAAAAGTTTATGGGAACAATGCCCCAAAGAAATCAACAGCTTACAAATGAATAACTTGTTTTAAGAAGGTATGAGATGATGTTGAAGAGGAAGCCCTCAGTAAGAGACCCTACACACGAATCTTTGAGGAAAAAATTCATCTTGTTTATGCCCTAATCAAAGAGGACTGATGATTAATAGCAGTTAACAATAGCAGAAACAATAGACAGTGTCATAGACGTCAAATTGGTTCAGGTTACACAATTCTGACTGAAAGCCAACTTTGCACTTGATGGGTGCCAAAACTGTTGTGCCCAGATCAGTTGCAAACAACAGCAGAGCTTTCAATGGAAATTTAAACAGTGGGATCAAGATCCTGAAGCATTTGTTCGAAAAGTTGCAACAAGTTATGAAACATGGATTTCGTAGTACTATCCTGAAGACAAAGCACAATCAAAGCAATGGCTACCAAGAAGTGGAAGTGGGTCAGTCAAAGCAAAAGCAGACCAGTCAAGAGCACAACTCATAGCAACAGTATTTTGGGGCTCAAGGCACTTCCCTTGTTGACTTTCAGGAGGACCAAAGAATGGTAACATCTGCTTATTATGAGAGGGTTTTGAGAAAGTTACCCAAAGCTTTAGCAGAAAATTCTTGGGAAAATTTCAGCAGAGTCCTCCTCCACCATGACAATGCTTCTGGTTATTCCTGTCATCAAGGGCAATTTTGGGAGAATTTTGATGGGAAATCATTACAGTCCTGATTTGGCTCCTCCTAACTTCTTTTTGTTTCGTAATCTTAATCTGTAAAGGATACCCTTTTCAGTTAATGTGTAAAAGACTGCATTGATATGGTTAAATTCTCAGGACCTTCAGTTCCTTAAGGATGGGCTAAATGGCTGTAGCATGACTTATACAAGTGTCTTGAACTTGATGGAGCTTATGTTGAGACATAAAGTTTATATTTTCAATTCATTTTTTCCAAGTTTTGAAGTCCAAGGGTACATGTGGAATGGCTAGATGGAGTTCATTAATATATGCATTACTTTGCATACTTATTTTTTGTGGTGAGATTTCTTAAAATCTACTCTTCACAATTTTTAAAATGCTATAAATTGTTATTAACTATAATTACTAAGCTGTACAATAGATCTCTTGAACTTACTCTTCTTACTTAAATGAAATTTTGTACCCTTTGACCAACATCTCCCAACCCACAAATTCCACCTGCTGCCCAGCCCCTGGTAGCCACTCTTCTACTCTCTACCTATATGACCTCAGCTTTTTTAGATCTACATATAAATGAGATCATGTGACATTTGTCTTTCTGTGCTTGGCTTATGTCACTTAACATAGTATCTTCCAGGTTCATATCCATACTGTTACAAATGTCAGGATTTCCTTTTTTTTCTTTTTTGAGACAGGGTCTGGCTCTGTCACCAAGGCTGGAGTGCAGTGGCACAATCTCAGCTCACTGAAACCTGGACCTCCCAGGCTCAAATGATCCTCCTACCTCAGCCTCCCAAGTAGCTGGGACTACAGGTGCACACCACTGGGTTTAGCTGATTTTTTTTTTTTTTTGAGAGAGAGTTTCACTCTTGTTGCCCAGGCTGGAGTGCAATGGTGTGATCTTGTCTCACCCACAACCTCTGCCTCCTGGGTTCAAGTGATTATCCTGCCTCAGCCTCCTGAGTAGTTGAGATTACAGGCATTTTTAGTAGAGAAGGGGTTTCTCCATGTTGGTCAGGCTGGTCTCAAATTCCTGACCTCAGGTGATCCAACTGCCTCAGCCTCCCAAAGTGCTGGGATTACAGGCATGAGCCACCACACTCAGCCTTTTTATTTTTATTTTTTTGTAGAGTTGAGGTTTTGCCATGTTGCCCAGTTGGTCTTGAACTCCTGGGCACAAGCAGTCCACCCACCATGGCCTCCCAAAGTGTTGGGTTTACAAGCGTGAGCCATTGTGCCCGGCCATTTCCTTCTTTTTAAGGTTGAATAATATTCTGTTGTGTATGTATACAATGTGTATACATACACACATTTTCTTTGTCCATTCATTCATCCATTGATGGATGCACAGGTTAATTCCATATCTTGACTATCATTTGTGTGTTATAGATTAAATTTTTGCTCACCAGAAGATCTGTTGAAATCTTAACCCCTGGTTCCTCTGATTGTGGCCCTATTTGGAAATGGAGTCTTTGTAGATTTAATTAAGATGTAAATTACAATGAAGTCATACTGGAGTAGGTTGGGCCCTTAACCCATTATGACTGGTGTCTTTATAAGAAGAGGAAAAGAGACACAGATACAAAGGAAAGATGGTCAAGTCACAACAGAGGCAAAGATTGGAGTGATACAGCCACAAGCCAAGGAATGCTAGGGGTTGCCAGCAACCAGCAGAAACTGGAAGAGGCTGGCGATGACCCCCCATTGGAGCCTTCAGAGGGAACTTGGCTCTTCTGACGTCTAGATTTTGGACTTCTGGCCTCCCAAACTGTGAGAGAATAAATTTTCATTGTTTTGAAGCCACCCCGTCAGTGGCACTTTGTTAGACCCACCCACTTGGCTGTGCACAGTGACTCATGCCTGTAATCCCAGCACTTTGGGAGGCCGAGGTGGGTGGATCATGAGGTCAGGAGCTCAAGACCAACCTGGCCAACATGGTGAAATCCCATCTCTACTAACAATACAAAAAATTATCCAGGCATGGTGGTGTGTGCCTGTAATCCCAGCTACTCGGGAGACTGAATCAGGAGAATCACTGGAACCCAGGAGACAGAGGTTGCAGTGAGCCAAGATCACACCACTGCACTCCCGCCTGGGTGATAAGAGTAAGATTCTGTCTCAAAAAAAAAAAAAAAAAAAAAAAAAAAAAAGAAGTGAATACACTGTCTAACTCTTTTGTTCTTAAAAATACTGGGATTACATAGCTACCACCAAAGGTGACTGGGGGCAAAATGTGCTAATTGCCCCTTGGGACCTTCTATTATCTCTGGTAGTTGAGAGTGCCAGTGGGCCTCTGGCCTTGTGAAATCCTGTCAACTTCACTGGAAGAAGGGAGCTCATGTGATCATTAAAAAGGAAACAACAGGTGCTGGAGAAGATGTGGAGAAATAGGAATGCTTTTACACTGTTGGTGGGAGTGTAAACTAGTTCAACCATTGTCGAAAACCGTGTGGTGATTCCTCAAGGATCTAGAACTAGAAATACCATTTGACCCAGCGATCCCATTACTGGGTATATGCCCAAAGGACTATAAATAATTCTACTATAAAGACACATACACATGTATGATTATGGCGGCACTATTCACAATAGCAAAGACTTGGAACCAACCCAAATGTCCATCAATGATAGACTGGATTAAGAAAATATGGCACATGTACACCATGGAATACTATGCAGCCATAAAAAGGATGAGTTCATGTCGTTTGTAGGGACATGGATGAAACTGGAAACCATAATTCTGAGCAAACTGTCGCAAGGACAGAAAACCAAACACTGCATGTTCTCACTCATAGGTGGGAATTGAACAATGAGAACACTTGGACACAGGATGGGGAACATCACACACCGGGGCCTGTCATGGGGTGGGGGGAAGGGGGAGGGATAGCATTAAAAGAAATACCTAATGTAGATGACGAATTAATGGGTGCAGCACACCACCATGGCACATATATACATATGTAACAAACCTGCATGTTGTGCACATGTACCCTAGAACTTAAAATATTAAAAAAAAAAAAAGAAAAAAAGGAAGGGAGCCCATGCCCGAGGGCACCATGCCTCCCTGTCCATCTGCGTGGTACTGAATCATCACTGGGAAGCAGCTGCCTGGTCAGGACGTTTCCAGCTTTTACACTGATTGAGCCATGCCACACAGTTCTCAGGACACAGTGTGGGCAGGGGTAACATGCACCAAATGTGGTGAAAACAGCAGGCCTGGGCACCACCAGAGCACCATTTCTGACCCCTTGTATCTTCCCATCATGGAGCAGGGGTCAGTCGTAAGAAATTGGGGGCCCCGTGTGGCTCAGACTTTTGAAAAAAATCTCACTGGTGGAAGGCAGAACACAGTGTGGGTAAATCTCTCAGTTTTATTTATGTATTTATTGAGATGGAGTCTCTGTCATCCAGGTTGGAGTCCGGTGGCACAATCTTGGCTCACTGCAACCTCTGCCTCCTGGGTTCAAGAGATTCTCCTGCCTCAGCCTCCCAAGTAGCTGGGATTACAGGTGTGCACCACCACACCAGCTATTTTTTGTATTTTTAGTAGAGACGGGGTTTCACCATGTTGGCCAGGCTAGTCTCGAACTCCTGACCTCAAGTGATCTGCCTCGACCTCCCAAAGTGCTGGGATTACAGGCTCTCAGTGAGTTTTAACATTGTCTTGAGATTACAATAAAGGGGGCTGACTTTAGCCTCCAGAAACTTTCATTTCATTGCTTCTTAAAAAAATGCAGGCCAGGTGTGGTGGCTCATGCCTGTAATCCCAGCACTTTGGGAGGCCAAGGGGTGGATCACCAGGTCAGGAGTTGAGACCAGCCTAACCAACATGGTGAAACCACATCTCTACTAAAAATACAGAAATTAGCCGGGCATGGTGGCAGGCGCCTGTAATCCCAGCTACTCGGGAGGCTGAGGCAGGAGAATCGCTTGAACTCAGGAGGCAGAGGTTACAGTGAGCTGAGATGATTGTGCCACTGCACTCCAGCCTGGGTAACAGAGTGAGACTGCATCTCAAAAACAAACAAACAAACAAACAAACAAACAAACAAACAAACAAACAAAAGTGCAGGTAGCCCAGAGACAGGCATTCCACTTGATTTTCAGATAGTGACTGAGTGTTATTTATCTTTGTACTCAATGGGTTAAGGTACTGCTAGCTGCTGTAACATTTCAGACTTTGGTGGCTTAGCACAATGGAAGTTTATTTCTCACTGATGTAAGGTCCAGCTTCGGGAGGAAAAGCCACCTCACTAGTCACTGGGGAGACACGCAGACAGGCTCTTCCATCTTCAGCTCAGCCTCCCAGGTTGCTCTGGCTGTTGGTAGGAAGAGGAGGGGAGAAGGTGGAGGATTCCCAGTAGGTTTGCTGGATCCTCTCTCTGGACTGCCTTTCCAGACCCCTGCTCCCTTCCACCTGGCCATCCACTCCTAAGCCTAAAGAATGTGCAGGAGGCTGGACGTGGTAGCTGGAGCCTGTAATCCCAGTGCTTTGGGAGGCTGAGGTAGGAGGATGGCTTGAGCCCAGGAGTTTGAGATCAACCTGAGAAACACAGCGAGACCCCTGTCTCTACAAAAAACAATTTTAAAAAACTGAGCCAGGCGTGGTAGCACACACCTGTAGTCCCAGCTATTTGGGAGGCTGAGGTGGGAGGAGCACTTGAGCCCCAGAGTTCGAGGCTGTAGTGAGCTATTATCACACCACTTCATTCCAGCCTGGGAGACATAGGGAGGCCCTGTCCTTATTAAAAGATAAAAATAAAATAAAGAAAGAAAGAAGACTGTGCAGGTGTTGCCTCCTCCCTGAACCTCGCAGCCTTCCTGCAGACCTGGGCTCCTCCCAGGCCCCTGGTGGTAGCCCTGCTCAAGGGTGCTGTGCTGCTTACTCTGTCCCCACCCCCAAGCTCTTAGAAGTTGAGGGCTAAGTCTCACAGGTCACGCTCCCCAGCTTCCCAGTCAAGGCTCATTAGCTGTTTGTTTATTGCTGTTTCTCTACCTGAACATCAGCTCCACCTGAACAGAGCCTTTCATAGCTGAAACCCCAGCGCCTACAACAGAGACCAGCAAATGATTCATAGGTCAACACATACATGTGTGTTGATCAAATGAATGAATGCATGAATTGGAAGAATGATGGCGGCAAGGCAAGGTCCCCCAGGTTGACTTCTTGCCGGCCCAGGACTCCCCACCCCTCCTTTACTAGTCAGGACCTGCTATTGCAATTTGCTGCGCTTAGCGCAAAACAAAAACCTGGGCCCTCTTGTTCAAAAATTAAGAATTTCAAGACTGCAAGAGCCTTAAACCAAGAGGGAGAGGGTGTCTTCCGGGGCCCAGCCCCGGGCTGCTGCATGGTGGGATGGGGGCTCGCCCCAGGCTCGCTCCCAACTCCCCTCTCCAACCTGCAGCTGGGGGGCTGGGGTCCACCGCCTCCTGTCAGCCACGCCCGACCGGTAGAACGCTCTTCTGCAGAAACTTCCCAGACCTCCACTTAATGGCACCCGAGCAGGGCGCCCTGGCAGACGCAGTCTCCTTCCGGGAGCAGGCAGGTGCAAGGCAGGCACCGGGGCTTTGGAAGGGGCTGGTGGAGATGCTTGGGCGCCGGTTGCCCCAGGGCAGACCCTGGGGCCTCCCTCATTCCAGCTCCTCTGCGTCCAGAATGGCTGCCGCTCCTTTGGGGGAGGGTGCGGGATGGTCTCTTTTCTTAGAAAGTGGCTCAGGTCTTATTCTGCGCCTGGGCGTCTCGCAGCCGACACACAGGCACACCAGATGGACAAACAGAAAAACCCACAGAAGGCGGCCCCTCCCCCAATTCAGAGAGCCAGTGACTGGCGCTCCTCCACCCCTAACCAGACACACCCGAAAACAGACGGCCAGACACAGAGTGACCGGCACAGAGAAGACAATACAGAAATACGCAGGGACAAGGACAGACCATCGGACGCTCGGACACGGACCCAGGCAGGATCACCTGGACCTCTGGGTTCCCCAACGGAGACCCTCGGGGAAGGCCCGGAGCATAGCACGCCCCTGTGGAGCCCCGTGCGCCCCACTTGGCAGCAGCCACGCCCCCCGCGCACACCCCACTTCGGGCTGGCTCTGGAAGACCCCCTCTCCCCAGCCCCGCAACCCCGGGACTCTGGGAGGCATCTCTCGTCACCCAGCGTTTCTGAGGCGCCGGGACAGGGGCTGGGTGGGTGGGCGTCGGCGCAGGAGTGAGGGCTGCAGACGGTGGGCGGGGGCCGGGCGCGCGGGCGGAGGTGCGGGAGGACGCGCTAGTGTCGGGGCAGGGCTGGCCAGTGTCCCAGGGATCAGGAGCCGGGAGCGGTCCGCGTGGGTCCCGGAGGGGACAGATGGCTGCCCCGGGCGTTGCCCAGTGAGGGGCAGTGGGCAAGGGAGCTCGTAGAATCCCGGGTCAGCGGGGTGGGGCGCTGGGTAAGTGGACAGGGTGGTACCTTGACTGAGGACGAAGGGGCAGAAGAGGGGAGGGCGGGCGTCGGGAAGTGACAGGAGACGGGGCAGGTTGTTGGGGGCGTGGGGTAGGAATCGGAGGGGAGTTGAAAAGGGGGGTGCTGGTTGGCAGAGGCGTCGGGGCAAGGACAGGAGCCAGGAGCGCAGGCGGGGCCCGACGGCAGCCACCCCCGGGGCCAGACTTGGCGCGGGTGTCTTGAAGATGCTTGAGGGCCTGGGGTCGCCCGCCTGGCCCCGGGCAGCTGCGAGCGCCTCAGTCGCGAGGTCATCGGGGCCCGCGGCCTGCCCGCCTCCCTCGCCGTCGGCCCCGAGGTGCCCGGAGTCCCCGGCCCCCCGGAGGGGCGGTGTGCGCGCCAGCGTCCCACAGAGGCTGGCCGAGATGCTGAGCAGCCAGTATGGGCTGATCGTGTTCGTGGCGGGGCTGCTGCTGCTGCTGGCCTGGGCCGTGCACGCCGCGGGCGTGAGCAAGAGCGACCTGCTGTGCTTCCTGACGGCGCTCATGCTGCTGCAGATGCTGTGGTACGTGGGCCGCAGCTCCGCGAACCGCCGCCTCTTCCGCCTCAAGGACACGCACGCCGGCGCCGGCTGGCTGCACCGGCTGGTGAGTCCAGGCACCGGGCAAGCGGGTCTCTGCCTCCTCGCCCGCTGGCTGCATCCTGAGACGGCTCTGCCCCCTTCCTACCACTGCCGTCTTCCCTTCAGCCTTTTCTGCCTTGGTCTCTCTGTGCATCTTTCCTAGCTTTCCTATCTGCCCTTCCTTCTTTCCTCTCTCTCTCTCTCTCTGAAGCCTGGGTCGTCGCAGGAGCCTCCTCTCCGCCTCCAGACGCTTCCATCATTACAGCCACAGTTACAGAAACCTCTCCTGTCCTTCCCTGGCTTAAAGCCATACAGTGGCCCTACTGACCCCATGAGGGAGGTCACGCTCCCTCTCCTGACACTCAGAGCCTTCTAGCACCCGGCCACCGAGGGCCCGTTTCCTTTGATCCCCTTCTTTGTTCTCATCCTATGCTGGGGTCATTCTCGAGGACTTTCTCTCCTGTCGCAGGATCTCTGCCTCTGCACATTCAGCACCTTTGGTTCCCTCCTCCAGGAATGTCTTTTCCACTCTCCCACCTGCCCCTCTGCTTTCCGAGACAGGCCTCAGGCCTCACCCCATTCTCCCCGCGAAGCTTCTCCGACCCCCTTCTCTTCCCCGCTTTGCAGGTCTGACCGCACGCTCCCAGCCCGCACTGGGTTCCAGTGTTCTTGTCGACATGTCTGTACCCTCCACTCCACTGGGGAGCTCTGTGATCCCTGTCTCTCGGTCCTAGAGCCACCTCAGGGCCTGGCACAAGTGGGTGTTGAGAAAATGAGGGGGGATGAATGATGTAATGAATGCGTGGATGCAGGGTGGGGCAGAGAGGGATAGAGGCTCCTGCTGGTACTCACGGGCATTGGCTGAAATCGTCAAGATAGGAGCTCTTCCTTTCTCAAGGGGCTGCCACATCTTTTTTTTTTTTTTTTTTTTTTTTTTTTTTTTTTTTTTTTGAGACAATGTTGCTCTATCTCCCAGGCTGGAGTGCAGTGGCACAGTCACAGCTCACTACAGCCTCTTCCTCCTGGTCTCAAGCAATCCTCCCACTTCAGCCTCCTGAATAGCTGGAACTATAGGTACACATGGCCTTGCCTGGCTAAGTTTTGTTATATTTTGTACAGATAGAGCCTCGTTGTGTTGTCTCCTGTTCTCAAACTCCTGGCCTCAAGGGATCCTCCTGCCTTGGCCTCCCAAAATGATAGGATCACAGGCATGAGCCACTGTGCCTGGCTGGGGTTGCCAGTCTTGAATGGGAGACAGACATGGTGCAGGTGAAAGGGAGGAGGCCGTGGGGAGCATGCTTGTGAAGAAAGCTTCTGTCTGAGTAACCTTCCCAGGAGAAGCCGACTGCATTTCACACCACGTGGTCCAGACACATCACACATTGCCACTTGGATTCTCATATTAGACCTGAATTTAAATCTCCATTAGAGTGGGGCTTCCGTGTTCCTTGCATGCATGACCTCGGGCAAGTTGCTTGATTGCCTTCCTTACCCTGAACCCTGGTGTCGGCATCTGTAGAATGGGGATCTCACACTGGATAGGATCCAGTGATTGATGAGGTGGCTGCCCAGCACACACTAGGCCTCCTTTCTGCACTTCTTTCAAAGGTCCTGGCCAGATGCCACCTTCTTCACAAATGCCTGGCAGGAATTACTCCTCACTTCCATGGGCCACCATGGCCCTCCTTCTGTAAAGCTCTTTTGGTCCTTGTCTGTTTCTGCCTTGTATTATGACTGTTGAATATTAGCCTTATCATCCAGAAGAGATTTTAGACTTCTTAGGCTCAGGGACTGGATCTAGTTCATCTTGCTTTTGGGGAAATTTGACACCATTGCAGGGTGGCCCAAATTCCTGTTCTGAAATTGGTTGTTTTAGGGAAGTTAATGGTTTTGTGACTCTGTGAATGACAGTGAATCTGGTGCTATTTAAAACAAGGCACAAAGTGTTATTTTAGGATATTGACTTACACAGGCTAAAAAGTATTATACACATGAGCCTTTACCTGTGTTTTCCTACAGTCAAAGCCCCCTTGTTTGTTCCTCACTTCTTTTTCTCCTCCATCCTTTTTTCTCCCTTCTTCCTTCCCTCTTTCTCCTTTCCTTTCTTCCTCTTCCCTCCCTCCCTATTCCCTCCCCTTCCCTTTTCTCTCCCTTTTCTTCCTTTTTATCTTTTTTTTGAGATGGAGTCTTGCCCTGTCACCCAGGCTGGAGTGCAATGGTGCGATCTCGGCTCACTGCAACCTCCGCCTCCCGGGTTCAAACGATTCTCCTGACTCAGCCTCCCAAGTAGCTGGGATTATAGGCGCTTGCAACCATGCCCAGCTATTTTTTGTATTTTTAGTAGAGACGGGGTTTCATCATGTTGGCCAGGCTGGTCTCGAACTCCTGACCTCGTGATCTGCCTGCCTCAGCCTCCCAAAGTGATGGGATTACCAGTGTGAGTCACCATGCCCAGCCTCCCTTTCCTTATTTTTTTCCTCATTTTCTTTCTCTCTTCTCCTCCTTCATTCTTCCTTCCTCTCTTCCTTCCTCTAGCCTTCCCTCCACTATCCCTCTTCCCTCTCTCCTCTCTTTCTCTTCCTTCCTCTCTTCCTCTCTCCTCTGCTGTTTTTGTTTTTGTTTTTGAGATGGAATCTCACTCTGTTGCCAAGGCTGGAGTGCAGTGGCTAGATCATGGGTCACTGCAACCTCCATTTCCTGGGTTCAAGTGATTCTCCTGCCTCAGCCTCCTGATTAGCTGGGACTACAGGTGCACATGCCACCACACCTGGCTAATTTTTGTATTTTTTAGTAGAGACAGTGTTTCACCATGTTGGCCCAGTTGGTCTCAAACTCCTGAGCTCAGGTTATCTGCCTGCCTTTGCCTCCCAAAGTGCTGGGATTACAGGCATGAGACACCACGCCCAGCCTGGTGCATTTAGAATGTGCCTCCTTCTCCTTCTCCTCTCCTTCTCCCCCTCTCCCTCCCCCTCCCTTCCCCCTTCCCACCCTCCCCTTCCCCCTCCTCCTCCTCCTTCTTCTTCTTCTTCTTCTTCTTCTTCTTCTTCTTCTTCTTCTTCTTCCTCTTTCTTCTTTTTTCTACTCAGTCTATCCTTATCCAAGGAATGCTCTTCTTTATATTGAAGTGCAGTTAACTTCCCAGAACCATCATCCTCTTCCCTGGAGCTTCTATCATCATTCACTTATTTATCCACCATGCATCCATCCACCCATCCACACTTATTCATCATCCATCCATCCATCTATCCTTCCATCCATCCATCCATCTGTCCATCCATCCATCTGTGTTTTTTTGTTCTTCCTCTCTCTCTGCCTCCTTTCAGGTTGACTCCGAGCATTGGCGCCTGAGTCTATGGGTGAATGGTTGCACCATTTCCCAAGATTGGGAAGCCAAAGGGAAGAGCAGGGTGGGGACACAAAACCAATGACATGTTACAGTTCTCTTATGGACATGCTACATTTGAGGTGTCTTTGGGACACTAAGTAGAGAGGGAATAAATGGGCAAGGTAGAGAGAGCACGTGATAGGTGTTCAGTAGGTGGTAGCTCTTTAGACATTCAGTGAGTTGCCCCATAATAATGTAATTCAAGTGAGGTGTGTGTATCATGGAAATGGTGTTGGCTCTGGAGGGCTTGGCTTGAGGTCTCAGCTCTGTCACCTTCACCTTTCTGAGTTCTGCTTTCCTCATCAGTAAGATAAGAATCCCAGTCGACTCTCTGGGAGGAGCTGGGGGATGTTGAGAGAAGCAGTTTGCAAAGCCCTGGCCATTCCTGTGGGTTCCTCAAAGAAGCAAGACGCTAATTATTAGTGTCGAGAGGCCCCGACGCCAAAAGGAAGCACCTTCAGCCCCAACAGGGACTGGGGTTTCCTCTGGAATTCTAGCTGGAAAGACAGGTTTGACCCGGGAACTCAGCTCTGCCCTGGTGTTGGTGACAATCTTAGATCAATAGGCAGAGGGCAAGTCCCTCAGGAAAAAGACCAGTGATCCTCAAGATCCATTCTGGGGCCACTATGAGGGTCTTGCTTAACTGCATGCATTTTCTTACTTATTTCTTTTCTTAGATGATATTTCTGGTCCAATGGAAAATATAGACATAGTGTCACGATTTCAACACAAACGAGCGAATGTGGCTGCCAAAAAATCAGATGCAGGCTTGGCTTTCATTGGAAAGGAAATCAGACTGTGTGTGGAGGGTCTCATCCTCCTTGAGCATTTCACAGGCCCTTGGAAAGAGTGGCGGCAGGAGGAGCAAAAGGAGGTTCAGTCCAGAAGAGAGAAGGATGCGGAGGTCACAGGGTAGAAAGTGCTGCTGCCTTGCACCTGTCAGCTCCAGGCCATCCTCTGTCTTTCAGCAAGTAAGAGTCATTTCCTCTGGGAAGCCTCTCCCGATAGTTTCAGACCAGGGGAAGCCCCCATGTTGTATGGTCTCATAGCACTCTTCATTTTCTTTCTAGCACTAATCAAGCAGGATATTGTATTATTCAGTGACTGTTGGGGTAGCCAGACTGAGCCCCTAAAGGCAGAGACCCTGTCTGAATGTGCTTACCATTGTATCCCGAGCTCCTGGCACAGTGCCTAACATGTAGTAAATGCCAATTCCTAGCTACTGAATAATTGGATGATTGAATGATTGGGTGGATGGATGGATGACTAGATGGGTGGATGAATAAGTGAATGATGATAGAAGCTCCAGGGAAGAAGATGATAGTTCTGGGAAGTCAACTGCACTTCAATATAAAGAAAAACATTCTGAAGTAAGCACCAGGCCATGCGTGGTGGCTCACGCCTGTAATCCCAGCACTTTGGGAGGCTGAGGTGGGCAGATCACCTGAGGTCAGGAGTTTGAGACCAGCCTGGCCAACATGGTGAAACCCCGTCTCCACTAAAAATACAAAAAGCTGGGCATGGTGGGACACAGCAAATTATGAATCATTTGCTGATCTCTGTTCTAGGTGCTGGGGTTTCAGCTATGAAAGGCTCTGCTCAGGTGGAGCTGATGTTCAGGTAGAGAAACAGCAATAAACAAACAGCTAATGAGCCCTCACTGGGAAGTTGGGGAGCGTGACCTGTGAGACTTAGCCCTCAACTTCTAGGAGCTTGGGGGTGGGGACAGAGTAAGCAGCACAGCACCCTTGAGCAGGGCTACCACCAGGGGCCTGGGAGGAGCCCAAGTCTGCAGGAAGGCTGCGAGGTTCAGGGAGGAGGCAACACCTGCACAATCTTCTTTCTTTCTTTATTTTATTTTTATCTTTTAATAAGGACAGGGTCTCCCTATGTCTCCCAGGCTGGAATGAAGTGGTGTGATAATAGCTCACTACAGCCTCGAACTCTGGGGCTCAAGTGCTCCTCCCGCCTCAGCCTCCCAAATAGCTGGGACTACAGGTGTGTGCTACCACGCCTGGCTCATTTTTTAAAAATTGATTTTTGTAGAGACAGGGGTCTCGCTATGTGGAGTGCCTGTAATCCCAGCTACTCGGGAGGCTGAGGCAGGAGAATTGCTTGAAACCAGGAGGCAGAGTTTGCAGTGAGCCAAGATCATGCCACTGCACTCCAGCCTGAACAACAGAGTGAGACTCCATCTCAATAAAATAAAATAAAATAAATTAAAATAAAATAAAAATAAAACACAAAGTAAGTACCAGCTGGTGATGGAAGGGTGCGCTTTGAGAGATGTTGAGCCTCCCAGCCCTGGGCTTGTCCAAGTAGAGATCAGATGGCTTCCGGTCATGATGCATTGGAAAGCATTCTTGCATGGGATAGAATGCAGACTAACTCTGTGGGACTTTCCGCCTCTAAGAGGGGGGTTCAAGATTCTAGACTCCTAGGAGGGATTTGGGTGCCTAACAAAGAGGAGGGGGTTCCCTCTGCCATCACTAGATGGGTACCCTATGTAGTCTTTGGATTATTCTCAAGTATTGTAGCTGGTAAACTTTCTAATTGGTTCTAATGCATCAACATTTTCTTGGCGATTGAGTGATGATAATAACATCCCGCTTATAGAACTTTCTAGGTAAGGAACACTGTTCTAGGTGACTTCCATGTAAAGACTCACTTAATCTCCTCAGCACCCCTATGAGATAAGTGTTATTACTGTCATTACATCTTAGAGATGGGGAAACTGAGGCAAAGGTAAGTTAAGTAATTGCAAAATTATATATGTATATATATTTATACATGCATAAATATATATGTATATGTGTATATATACTTATCTATGTATATGTGTATATATATACTTGTATATATATATTTATACATATATATGTGTTTATATAAATCAAAATCTGTTTCATTTGGGCACATGTGTGGCTGTTATAGCTTCCTCATACAGTCGTTGTGTTTTTTGTTTTTTGTTTTTTTTTGGGACAGAGTCTCGCTCTGTCGCCCAGGCTGGAGTGCAGTGGCGCGATCTTGGCTCACTGCGAGCTCTGCCTCCTGGATTCATGCCATTCTCCTGCTTCAGCCTACCAAGTAGCTGGGACTACAGGCACCCCCCACCACGCCCGGCTAATTTTTTGTATTTTTGGTAGAGACGGGGTTTCATCATGTTAGCCAGGATGGTCTCGATCTCCTGACCTTGTGATTCGCCCACCTCGGCCTCCCAAAGTGCTGGGATTACAGGCGTGAGCCACCACACTGGACAGTCTGTCTTTTATTATATGTAGTGATAAAAGAGGAAGGATTCTTTATCCTACTTAATACATTAAATCCCGTATGGTCTGATATTAATATTGCCATTCCAACTTTCTTTTTGTTTGCATTGCCTGATTCCTCTTTGTCCACTACTTTATTTTAAACCTTTATTACTTTGTTAAAGGTGCAATTTGTGTAAAGATCATGTAACTAGGTTTTGTTTTTAATTCAATTTTCCTATTCTTGCTGACTACTTAGTGGGAGGATTTAGATCATTCTAATTTATAGAAATAATTTATGTAGTTGACTTTTTTGTTTCCATTTTTCTTTTCGATGTTTATGATGATATATTTTACATTCCTATTTCTTCCTTTTCCTCTTCCACATTTGTCTTTTTTGAGCATTTGAAAATTTATTCTGATTTTTTATTCCATTCATGGCCATTTTTTTCTTCCCTCACTCTCATAATCTGATGCATATTACTTCATTCTTTTTTTTTGAGCCAGAGTCTCACTTTGTTGCCCAGGCTGGAGCGCAGTGGCATGATCTCGGCTCACTGCAACCTCCGCCTCCCAGGTTCAAGCGATTCTCCTGCCTCAGCCTCCTAAGTAGCTGGGACTACAGGTGCCCATCACCACACTGGGCTAATTTCTTGTGTTTTTGGTAGAGACAGGGTTTCACCATCATGGCCTGGCTGGTCTTGAACTCCTGACCTTAAGTGTTCCGCCCATCTTGGCCTCCCAAAGTGCTGGGATTATAGGTGTGAGACACCGCGCCCAGCTGCCTATTACTTCATTCTTATTTGAAAACAAAATATTGAACATTTCCCTCAGCAAGCCACACTGTGTCCCACTCCAAGATGTTCACTGCTCCCACTTCCTCTCTACCTAATGGGATGAGATCTTTAGGATACGTTTGCCTCCCTATTCCTTTCCCTTCTTCCCTCTCCTTCTTTTCCATTTATTTACCTTGAGGGCTTTCAAAGGTTTTTCTTTGTTCCCTATCCAGTCCTTTTCCAACTTAGGTTTTTTGTTGTTGTTGTTGTTGTTTTGTTTTGTTTTGTGTTGTTTTGTTTCAGATGGAGTCTCGCTCTGTCACCCATGCTGGAGTGCAATGGTGCAATCTCAGTTGACTGCAACCTCTGCCTCTTGGGTTCACACCATTCTCCTGCCCCAGCCTCCCAAGTAGCTGGGACTACAGATGCTTGCCACCACGCCAGACTAATTTTTGTATTTTTAGTAAAGACGGGGTTTCAGCATGTTGGCCAGGCTCATCTCGAACTCCTGACCAAAGGTGATCCATCTGCCTCGGCCTCCCAAAGCGCTGGGATTACAGGTGTGAGCCACTGTGCTTGGCCGAACTTATGGGTTTTGTAGAGATAGTTAATAGAATTTCGCCTCAAAATGTCTATTCTGTATGACAAGTCTTTATAGGGTATGTAAATTACACATCTCAGGCAGTTTATCCATTTGAATTTAAGTTCTTCTTTTCTCTCCTATTAATCTAATTATCTATCTCCATCTGTCTCTCCATCCATTATACCTCCACCCTCCTCTAGCCTTCCACAGAGTTGATTGGTCACTATAATTTGCTCTCCTCCTCATCTTCCCCTCTTTTGGGGACTCTCTTCCAGTTCACAAGCTCCTTGGTTAAAGTCCTTTGTCAGACAAGTTATGTGGATGACAGTTTTCTCTGTTCTCTGTTCAACAATCACCTCCTTTCCTGCCCATGTACCTTCAACCTCAGTCCCCTTTTCTGCTTTACTTTTCTTCATGCACTTAGCACTTCCTGACATTCTTTATGTGTTTACTATTTACCGGTTTATTTTTTGCCTTCCCCACTAGATGTGAAACTCCTCAAGGGCAGATACTCTATTTTATTGACCTTTATATCTTCAGTGCCTGGGACAATGCCTGGCCCATGGTTGCTGCTCAATAAATAGCTGTTGAAAAAATTACATTTTGTATACTTCAAACATCATTCTGCCTTTTGCCCTGACACATGGGCGACATCTTAGCTGAGAATAAGGTTTTTGAGGTGCAGTCCTTTCCTTGTGGCACATATGTCCACTGTCTTCTGGTTTCCCAGGCTGCACAGAGGAAGTCTGTTGCCAGCTCATCTCTCTGATATTTTGTGCACACCCTAATTTATGCAATATTATACTCGTATATTTTTGTTTCTACAGCAATCTCCTATGTCTGTCTTTGAGCCCTTGGCACAATGTCTCATGCATAGTAGGAGTCCCCAAGGTGTTTGTTGTATAAACAACTGGCTGAATGAATCCATGGATGAATGGATGAACACAGGAAGAAAGGGAGGACTGAAAGAGTATATTATTGAACACTTGGCATGTCAACCACAGAGATGGTCTAGACCAGTAGTTTTCAAAGCGGGGCCTAGATCAACAGTGGCAGCCCCACTTGAAAACTTGTTAGAGATGAAAATTTTGGGGCACCACCCAGACCTACTAAATCAGAAACTCTGGAGGTGGAGCCCAGGAATTTGTGTTTTAACAAGCCCTGCAGGTGATTCTGATGCAGTTTCCAGTTTGAGAACCACTGCTGTAGACCATCCGCATTTTCTGTATGGGAATCCTGAGGTTGGGAGCAGGAAGTGACTCATGTATTCTGTGAGTGTCCAGGTCTCCGTACTTTCAGGCCTGTACTCTTGCCACTCAACCACGCTGCCTCACCTGATCTTGCTATGTTTTTTGTAATTAAAACCAACCACGTATTTGTCAAAACATTTCAAAGCACTGGGATTGAATCTCCACTCTTACAACGTTTCCGATTTCATTGGGGTGTTTCCAGGATTAAAAATGTGAGTTAGAGTTGTTTCTATAAGGCTTTGAGCAGTGGAAAAGTGCCAGGCGATTGCATTACTTTTCAGAGGAGGCTTCTCAGGCTGGGGCTGTAACGTTATAGCCCAATGTTATGGCTCATGCCCTCCTCTCTGCTCAGTGCCTTAATGCATGTCATACATGATCCAGTTTCCTCCTGTTGGCAGGAGCAAATGTGTAAATGGCAGTCATTGCTAGCCCAGGAGGGAGATGAGGAACTCTGACTTGATCAAGCACTCATGATCATTGCCTTTTTCTCACTAATTTCTTCATTTGTCACCAAGTGTCTTTTTAATGTATTTTGTACATTCCTTTCCAGTCTTTTTTATATGCAAATTTTTTATTAGTTTGTCTTTATGTTTTGGGCAAAGCCATGCTCATTATACTATCAAAGATTGCTTCCTTTCCTCAGTACACCTAGCACAGGCCCTTCCTCAGCTACTACTATAGAGCCCTTACCCATCTATTTTTTTTTTCTAATATACTTTCAGCCGGGCTCAGTGACTCATGCCTGTAATCCCAGCACTTTGGGAGGCTGAGACAGGCGGAGCACTTGAGGCCAGGAGTTTAAGACCAGCCTGGCCAGCACACCTGTAATCCCAGGTACTTGGGATTGAGGTTGAGGCACAAGATCACTTGAACCTGGGAGGTGGAGGTTGCAGTGAGCCAAGATCGTGCCACTGCACTCCAGCCTGGGTGACAGAACAAGACCCTGTCTCAAATAAATAAATAAATAAACTTTCCATTTTAGAAAAGCTTTAGATTTATGGAAAAGTTGCAAAGACAGTTCAGAGAATTCCTGTATACCTGTATGACCTGCACACTCTGCACTCTTATTTCTTATTATTTCTTATTAATATATATATATTTTGAGACAGAGTTTCACTCTTGTTGCCCTGGCTGGAATGCAATCATGCAATCTCGGCTCACTGCAACCTCCACCTCCCGGGTTCAAGTGATTCTCCTGCCTCAGCCTCCGGTGTAGCAGGATTACAGGCATGCACCACCACACCCGCTACTTTTGTATTTTTTAGTAGAGATGGGGTTTCTCCATGTTGGTCAGGCTGGTCTCGAACTCCCAACCTCAGGTGATCCACCCACCTCGGCCTTCCAAAGTGCTGGGATTACAGATGTGAGCCACTGCACCCAGCCAGCTGCACTCTTATTCTTTAGAGAACAGGATTTTAGGATTAGAGAACTGAGATTTTTGAGTAGAGCAGTGACATTCTTAGATTTCTCCTTTTTGAAAAAGCTTCTGGGAGCATTCTGTTGACTGGACCAGGCTTCGTTGATTGTGTATCATTTGTCAGACTCTGGGCTATGGGGTGGGTACAATGATGAACGGGACACAACACCTGCCTTCTAGTTTTACCTTCGCAGCTCAACAGTAGAATTTGTTTATTTATTTAGAAATAATTATTATGTTATCTTTGGGTAGAGATGGGGTTGCTTAGGCTCTTGGCCTCAAGTGATCCTCCCGCCTTGGCCTCCCAAAGTGCTGGAATTACAGGCATGAGCCACCATGCCTGGGCTAGAATTTATTTTATTAATATATTTTTAATTATGGTAAAACATGCATTTATATACATAAAATTTACCAACTTAGCAGTTTTCAAGTGCACAGCTCAGTGGTGTTAAGCACATATGCACTGTTGTGCAACCAACCTCCAGAACTTTTTCATCTCGCAAAACTGAAACTCTGTCCTCATTAAACACTAACTCTTCATTCTTCCCTCCCTCTAGCACCTGGCAACCACCATTCTATTTCTGTCTATGAATTTGCTTACGTTTGATACCTCATATAATGAAATCCTACAGTATTGTCCTTTGGTGGTTGAGTTTATTTTACTTAGCATAATGTCCTCATGGCTCATCCATACTGTATCGTGTGTCAGAATTTCCTTCCTTTTTAAGCTGAATAATATTCTGTTGTATGTCTATACCTCATTGTGTTTATCCATCCATCTGTTGATGGATGCTGGGTTGCTTCCACCTTTTGGATACTGAAAATAATGCTGCTATGAACAGGAGAATACAGATATCCCCTCGGGTCCCTGCTTTCAATTCTTTTGGGTATATACTCAGAAGTGAAAATGCCAGATCATGCCATAATGGTATTTTCAATTTTTTGAAGGCCCTCCCTACTGTTTTCAGTAGTAGCTGTACCAATTTACATTCCTACCAACAGAGCACTATTTCTCTATATCCTCACCAATGCTGGTTATTTTCTATTATTTTCTTTTTTTTTTTTTTTGATAGTAGCCATCCTGATAGTGTGAAAGTATTTTGTAGTTTTGATTTGCATCTCTCTAATAATTAGTGATGGTGAACATCTTTTCATGTACTTGCTGGCCATCTTTATGTCTTCTTTGGAGATATGTTTATTCAAGTCCTTTGCCAATTTTTAAATTGGCTTTTGTCATTGTTGATTGATCGATTTTTGGAGACAGAGTTTCGCTCTTGTTGCCCAGGAGTGCCATGGCATGATCTCGGCTCACTGCAACCTCTGCCTCCCTGGTTCAAGGGATTCTCCTGCCTCAGCATCCCAAGTAGCTGGGAATATAGGCATGCACCACCATACCAGGCTAATTTTTGTATTATTAGTAGAGACAGGTTTCACCACGTTGGCCGGACTGGTCTCCAACTTCTGACCTCAAGTTATTCACCCTCCTCGGCCTCCCAAAGTGCTGGGATTACAGGTGCGAGCCACTGTGCCCAGCCCATTGCTGTCAATGTATAAGAATTCTCTATAAATTCTCTCATAGCAGCATTATTTTCAGTATCCAAAAGGTGGAAGCGACCCAGCATCCATCAACAGATAGATGGATAAACACAGTGAGGTATAGACATACAACAAAATATTATTCGGCTTAAAAAGGAAGGAAATTCTGACACACGATACAGTATGGATGAGCCATAAGGACATTATGCTAAGTAAAATAAACTCAACCACCAAAGGACAGTACTGTACGATTTCATTATATGAGGTATTTAATGTAAACAAATCTGTATATTGTGGATATTAATGACTTATTAGGTATATAATTTGCTAATGTTTTCTCCGGTTCTGTGGGCTGTCTTTCCACTTCGTTGGTAGCATCCTGTGATGTGCAAAAATTTTTCATTTTCATGTAGTTCATCTTATTTATTTTAATTTTTGTTGCTTGCATTTTTGGTGTCCTAGCCAAGAAATTATTGCCAAAGCCAATGTCATGAAGCTTTCTCCCATGTCTTCTTTTACAAGGTTTATACTTTTATGTTTAGATCTTTTATCTGTTTTGAGTTAATTTTTGTATATGCTGTAAGGTGAGGGTTCAAATTCATTCGTTTGCATGTGGACATCCAGTTTTCCCACATTTGTTGAAAAGACTGCCCTTTTCCCATTGAATGGTCTCAGCACCCTTGTGAAAAAATCATTTGACCATATACATAAGGGTTTAATATGTAATATAATTTATTTTGAAATGACATCAATGTATATTAATGGAATGTGTGTGTTTCCACTTCCCCCTTTATCCCACATTTAGGTAGTATCACATTGTTTGCAGTCATTACCATCATCCTGGGATGCCTTAAAATTAGATACTTCATTGGATTTTCAGAATGTTTATCAGCCACTGAAGGAGTTTTCCCTGTCACCCATTCAGTGCATACTTTGTTGCAGGTAAACCACTGATGTTTATTCATGTTGTCTCATTCCTGTGAAGTGTATCCCAGGTTGTGTAGAAACTTGTAACATCAAGACATGTGGCAAGTGGAGACAGTGTGCACAGCTGTGAACTGCAATGAACTGAGGTGAACTGAAGTCTATCTTTGAGGCTTAATTCTTCAGCTGCCTCCATTGCAAAATAAAACTCTGTGTCCCCATGGCCATTTTTGCAGGGATCCTATGAGGCAGAACTTCTAATGATGAAGAGTCAGGAAATTCTGCCAAGCCAGGGTCTACAGTAAAAGCTTGAGGGAGTTTTATTTTCTGGGTATGTAACAGGTTTATTGAGAGAATTCACATGGCATATAATTCACCCATTTAACATGTGGAATTCAACGGTTTAGTCTGTTCATAGAGTTATGCAACCATTGCCAAAATCAATTTTATTTTTTAAAAAAATTTAATATTCTTCTTACATAGAAACCTTGTGCCATTGCAATGCCTCCTCTGGGTCATGGAAGCGCTTTTGTTTTCTCGTTTGGGGATTAAAGTCTTAGAAATGTATAAGGATTTTTTCCCACAGCATTGGTAAACTTGGTATGGCTCAGAAGGAAGGATTTGATAAATATAATTTAAATACATAGCTTAGGGTCAGAAAAATCTCATGGTTGAAAAGAATGTTAGATGGGCTTTCAGGGTAGTGTTCGCCCTTGGCAGAAATCCGTGGTAATGTTATCAGAGTCAGGATCTGAATTGTTGAATTGTCAGTCTCATTTTTTTTTGTTTTTTGTTGTATATGTTTAAGGTATACAACATGATTATTTGATATTCCTATCCATAGTGAAGTGATTACTACAGTCAAGCATATTTATGTCTGTCATCTCACATAGTTGCCTTTCTTTTTTTGGATGTGGTAAGAGCACCTAAAATCTATTCTCTTAGCAAATTTCCAGTATACAATACAATAGTATTAACTACAGTCTTCACGTTGTCCATTACATCTCTAGAATTATTCATCTTACGTATTTGCAACTTTGTACCCTTTGACCAAAATCTTCTAATTTTTCCCCTCCAACTACCATTCTACTCTTTATGTTATTTTGTTTTTATTTATTAATTTAATTCAATTTTAGAGACAGGGTCTTGCTCTGTTGCCCAGGGTAGAGTGCAGTGGTGCCATCACGGATTACTGCAGCCTTGAATTCAGCTCAAGTGATCCTCCCGCCTCAGTCTCCCTAGTAGCTAGGACTACAGGCCCACATCACCATGCCCAGCTTCTACCATCTGTTTTTATGCATTGGATTAAAAACGTTTTTCTAGATACTACATATAAGTGAGATTATGCAGTATTTTTCTTTCTGTGTCTGCCTCATTTCACTGAGCACAATGTCCTCCAGATTTGCCCATGTTGTTGCAAATGGCAGGCTCTGCTCTCATTTTTTTCTAACGAAGAAGTTGGAGCTCAGAGAAGACAAGTGACTTGCTCAAAGTCACTGTGGAGACACAATGATTATTTTCTTCCTGACAAGTCACCCTGGAAGACCATGAACTTGTTCTGGTGATACTGCCATTGCTGGAAATATTTTTGGATTTCCAGTTTGAGAAGGTTCTTTGGAAAGTTTTCTACCTCTAGAAAACCAGGGATGACATGTTTAAAACTTCATCTTTTATCCAAAGTGACCGTCAGCTTGTACCCCCAGCTGACTTACCAGACAGCACTGGATGACCTTAGAGTGTTTCTCTAGATCAAACACATTCTCAAACAGTGAAGCTAACAGACAGAACGTGCCCAGTGAGCCTGGAAACAGTTTAGCTCCATGGTGGCATGGTGGGATCACTGGGGAGCTTGCTGAGGGGCTCATTTGGAGGGGCTGCCTTGCACTTGAAAGCTGTTATGAACTGAGTCATATCCCCTGTGAAATTCATATGCCGAAACCCTCATTCTCAGTACCTGAGCATGTGACTGTATTTGGAGATAGGGTCGTTTAGAGGAGATTGAGGTTAAATAAGATCATTAGGCTGGCCCAAATTCAATATGCCTAGTGTCTTTATTTTTTATGTTTTTGAGACGGAATTTTGCTTGTTGCCCAGGCTGCAGTGCAATGGCATAATCTCGGCTCACTGCAACTTCCGTCTCCTGGGTTCAAGCAATTCTCCTGCCTCAGTCTCCCAAGTAGCTCGGGTTACAGGCACCTGCCACCATGCCCAGCTAACTTTTGTATTTTTAGTAGAGATGAGGTTTCACCATGTTGGCCAGGCTGGTCTCGAACTCCTGACCTCAGGCAATCCACCTGCCTCGGCCTCCCAAAGTATTGGGATTACAGGCGTGAGGCACCGCGCCTGGCCCTGGTGTCTTTATAACAAGAGGAGAGAAGGACACAGACACACACAGAGAGACAGCCATGTAAAGACACTGGAGGAAATTGACCATCTACAAGCCAAAGAGAGAGGCCTCAAAAGGAACCAACCCTGCCCATACCTTGATCTTGGATTTCTAACCCCAGGACCCTGAGAAGAGAAATTCCTGTTATTGAAGTTGATGATCTGTGGTCCTTTGTTATGGCAGCCCAAGCTGATCAAAGATAACTGGCTGCTCATTCCAGGGGAGCCAAATCCCGTGAAGACAGAGCCTTATAGTGATACAGTGACAATGTGGAAAGCTTTCGTGAGGCCAGAACGAACTGCATTCGTTCATTCATTTTTCTTGTAGTTCATCTTTAAATACTGGACGAACATTGTTCTCAGCATGGGGAATACAAGGCTGTAAAGTCTGTGTCACACACCATGGGGGTGTCAGTTAGGTGAGAGGCAGTCCCCAAAACAGTGACAACGCTGGGCTCAGTGCTTTGACCAGAGTGTCCCAGAGCAATGAGGGAGCACAAAGGAGGGCATTTTGGCAGCTTGGAGTGACAGTCAATTTCTGCCAGGGAAGGTCCCAGAACCGTTTGTGAGAGAGGGAGGAGCACAGGGTTAGTGGGTCAGAGGCCACTGGAAGAGGGTGTCTTTGGGACATGCAGTCTTTCCTCACAGTGGGGTAGCGGGAGGATGTGTGGGCACAGGCTGGATCCCTGTTTGGTGTAGGGCTTGTAAGCTTGCACTCTGGTCAGATTGCATGACTCTGGCTCTGACCACAGCTGTGTGACTTCAGGCAAATTACTTAACTTCTCTGGGCCTCATGGGTCTTACTTGCAAGCTGAGGACAATCACAGTACCTACTTCATGGGCTCGTTGTAGAGATTAAAGGCACATGTGTATGAAAAGCACTTGGCACAGGGCTAGGTGTGCAGCAAATTCTTGGTCAAGGCTGACCGCCACCTAGGGGCTTGGGCTTCACCTCGAGGGCAGTGGGGAGCCACTGAAGGCTTTAGGCAGAAGAATGACTGGGACAGATATGAATTTTCAAAATATCCCTCTTAGTTGGTGGGTTGGAGATCCTAGCTTTCTAATTTAAGGCATTTTATTGGCCAGGCAAGTCAATGAATTAATCATTCTATACCTGTTGGACACTTACCATGTGCTTTTGCTACATTAGATGACTGGCGAATGGAAAAAAGTATATATAACAATTAGGCGCTGTTCTAAAAAACAGAGCATTTATTTTAAAATTGTGGCAAATACTGAAAAACCTGTAGATATCAGGATGAAATCGCTTTTGTCAGACCCAGGCAAAATAGGCCTGGGAAGGCGCTAAGGAGAGGGCACTTCTGTCTACGTGTCTGAGATACAAAGTGTTTCCAAAGACTTTCTAAAAACCCTTCATGCATCTCCTGCTTTGAAGAGGTTGGACATTACTAGACATTCTTTAGGACTGCAGTAAAGCAGATAAGATGCTCTTGGAAGAACACTTGTCCAGCACTGGCATCTCCACCAATGAACTGATGACAACTCTGGCTTTGAGCCTCTAGAACCGATGAACTCTTTTTCTCTGTGGATTATGTAAATCTCTCTTTGCTAATAACAGCTCCTCCTTACCCTTCCCTCACCGAATGCGCTGGTGGCTTGCCATTCCATGCATTCTGGACTGTAATTCCTATTTCCAAGTAAATCCAACATATTTAGTGATAATTTTCTCTAGTGTCTTTTTTTTTCAGGTTGACAATCACATAACATTTACCATCTTAGTCATTTTAAGCGTATGGTTCATTAATGTTAAGTACATTCACTTGTTGTACAACCAATCTGCAAACGTTTTTCATCTTGCAAAACTGAAACTCTGAGCCCACTACACAACTCTCTATTTCCTCCTCCTCTGGCTTTTGGCAAACTCTGTTCTACTTTCTGTCTTTATGAGTTTGAATATTCTAGATGCCTCGTATGAATTGAACCATACAGTATTGGTCTTCTTGTGTCTGGCTTATTTCTCACAGCATAACGTTCTCAAGGGTCATCCATGATGTAGCCAGAATCATGGCTGAGAAGGAGCCGTGTATTTGTGTGCACATGTCTGTCTCACCCTATGGTGCCTGAGGCTCTCCCAGGGCTGCTTGAGAACTGAGTCCTTGTGTTTTTCAGGTTTGGGGTGATCCACTTGGTGTTCACCAACCTGCTTCTGTGGGCCAACGGCGTCCTCAATGAGTCAAAGCACCAATGAGCACAAGGAATGGCTCATCACTCTGGGCTTTGGGAACATAACAACAGGTGAGTGCTGAGAGAGGTGAGTGGCCCCTCTGCCATGTTGGAATGTCTTGGAAACCTGCAGAGTCCACAGTGTTCAGAGATGGAGTGCAGGTTCCAAAGAACTTCAGGCCCACCAAAGTCAGCATCAGCCAGACAGCCCCCTGTTGTTGAAAATCTTCCAAAACCTGAATCTCTCATAAGTGATGTGTACTGAGCATAATTAAAGGTTTCTTCCATGACTCAGGGACTTGTAAGACCCACGGTGATCATTCTGATGGCCATTTCTCATGGTCCAGTTTGCCGCAGAAATAAATGTCTTTGTTTTCAACTACAGAAGATTGATGGTTGCCTCTGCTTGTGTTTTTAATTAAACCTCTACTACCAGTTCTTTCTAGTAAAAGTATGGCTTTTAAAAATTCATAAAAGTCTAATGGTAGGTTGTGGTTAATAGGCTGTGGTTCATTTAAAGTTTTAATTTAACTGTAGTTGGCTTATAATTCTAGCTCATGTCTGTTCTACCTTGTTCCTATTTGAGAGCCTGTTGGGTTAATCTTTATATTTTCATCTAAAATCCTTTAGCATTTACAATATGTCACTTCTATATGAGAACATTCAGGCTGAGGGGAATGTGGGGCAGGGAACTGGGTGTCTCAGGTTTGTTCCCATCATGTACAAGCTGTGTGATCTTTAGAAGACATTTAATCTCTCTGAGCCTCCCTTTTCTCATTTGTAAAGTGAGGGTATCCAAATCACGCACTTGCAAAGATCCCTTCCAGCTTTAACATGCAGCAAGTCTGTGACAGCTGTGTGAACCCAAGCTGTCCTGGAGAGCCACTTTGAACCTGTTTTGTCATCAGTGGGGTGGAGACAACGAAGTCACCACCCCCAACCAGCAGGCACTCGGTGTTTGGGCCTCATGTCCTCCTTGGTATCAATATTAGTAGCAGCAATGACCACAATAACAAAAGTAAATTTTTATTAAGCATTTGCTGAGTGCCAGCCACTGTTGTTGGAAATTTACACATGTCATTTAATTTGTACCCCCACACTCTCTGGTAGGCTATATATGTGTGTATGTGTGTGTGTATGTATATATATATATATATATATATATATATATATATATATATATATATATAGTTGTTTGTTTTGAGACAGAGTCTCACTCTGTCGCCTAAGCTGGAGTACAGTAGCGTGATCTCGGCTCACTGCAACCTCTGCCTCCCATGTTCAAGTGATTCTCCTGCCTCAGCTTCCTGAGTAGCTGGGACTACAGGTGCATGCCACCATACCTGGCTAATTTTTGTATTTTTAATAGAGACGGGGTTTCACTATGTTGGCCAGGCTGGTCTCGAACTCCTGGCCTTGTGATCCGCCAGCCTTGGCCTCCCAAACTGTTGGGATTACAGGCGTGAGCCACTGCGCCTGGCCTCAGGTAGACAATATTAACCTCATTATATGGATGAAGGCATCAAGCCACGGAGAAGTTAGCCCAGGGTAACACAGTGAACATGTGATACAGCCATGATTTGAATCCTAACAATCTGGCTTCAAGGCCCTCTGTGAAAGATGAGGTTGGATTAATTTTCTAAAAAAGGACTCTGTCAGCTGTAACATTCTGTTACTCTGAACTTTTCCTCCTGATTTCTTCCCTTGTCTTCTGCATAACACCGTATTGAATTGTAAGTGCTAGGGAAGCCCTGTGTGAATTGAAGATTATTACTGGGGCAGTGACTCACACCTGTAATCTGAGCACTTTGTAATCCTAAGGCAGGAGCATTGCTTTAGCCTAGGAATTTGAGACCAGCCTGGGCAACAAAGGGAGACCCCAGCTCTGGAAAAAAAAAAAAAAAAAAGCCAGGCATGGTGGCATGGGCTCGTGGTCCCAGCTATAGCTACATGGGAGACTGACGCAGGAGGATCACTTGAGCCCAGGAAGTCAAGGCTGCAGTGAGCTGTGTTTGTGCCACTGCACTCCAGCCTGGGCAACAGAGGGAGACCCTATATAAAAAAGAATAAAAAAAGAAAAAGAAAATTTCATAGTGTTCTGTGAAAGTAAAATTAATGCTACGATATAGTTTTTCTCAGATTTTTTTTTTTTAGACGGAGTCTTGCTTGTCGCCCAGGCTGGAGTGCAGTGGCATGGTCTCGGATCATTGCAAGCTCTGCCTCCCGGGGGTCACACTATTCTCCTGCCTCAGCCTCCTGAGTAGCTGGGACTACAGGCGCCCACCACCACGCCTGGCTAATTTTTTGTATTTTTAGTAGAGACAGGGTTTCACCGTGTTAGCCAGGATGGTCTCAATCTCCTGACCTTGTGATCTACCTGCCTCGGCCCTCCAAAGTGCTGGGATTACAGGCATGAGCCACCACGCCCAGCTGCTTTTCTCAGATTTTATAAGTAATATATACATATCATAAACTAAAACAATGACAAAGTGTGAAGCAAAAAAATCCACAACACTTACCCAGAAATGCAGTAAATGCTGTGAATGTTTGGTTATTTTTTTGTAGTGTGCCATTTATTTATAGTTGATTTTATACTATATATTTGATCTTTTTTTATTGCAAACTTCAATAAGAGACAGATTTTACACTGTAATCCAAACACGCACATACTTATGTGTGTATGCTTGATGAAATAATACTTAATTTTACTGTATCAGAGATGCTTCCAAATTTTATCGGAGTTGATTCCACTCCATTCTATCCTATTCTAGTCCACTGAAAATTATTTCTGCTACAAAAAAGTTGGTTGCTACCTGATTTTACAGCCTTGTACTGGGTTGTGACTTGCATTAAAGAAATATACAGTTTGTTCTTACTTTTTTCCATTTTCCTTGAAACGAGATTACTTTCTTAATATTAAAACACATCCTGGCTGGGTGCAGTGGCTCATGCCTTTAATCCCAGAACTTCGGGAGGCTGAGGCGGGCAGATCGCATGAGCTCAGGAGTTCAAGACCAGCCTAGCCAACATGGCGGAACGTTGTCTCTACAAAAAATATAAAAATTAGCCGGGAGTGGTGGCATGGGCCTGTGGTCCCAGCTACTCAGCAGGCTGAAGTAGGAGGATGCTTGAGCACAGAAGGCTGATGTTGCAGTGAGCCAAGATTGTGCCACAGCACTCCAGCCTGGGCAACAGAAGGAGGCTCTGTCTCAAAACAAACAAAAAACAAAACAACCCCCCCCATACCCAAAACCATAAAGCACATCTTAATTATAACGTGCAGTGGCTGTCTACTATCTCATTGTTGGGATATACTAAAATTTACTTAACAATTTCTAAGTTGTTGGACCTTGAGCTGTTCCTCTCTCTCTCTCTCTCTCTCTCACACACACACACACACACACACACACACACACACACACACAATTTTACCTGACTTTTTTTTAAATTATTTTTTGAGACTGAGTCTCGCTCTGTCACCTAGGCCGGAGTGCAGTGGTGCGATCTCAGCTGACTGCAACTTCTGCCTCCCAGGTTCAAGCGATTCTTCTGCCTCAGCCTCCCCAGTAGCTGGTATTACAGGCTTGCCACCACACCTGGCTAATTTTTGTAGTTTTAATAGAGATGAGGTTTCGCCATGTTGGCCAGGCTGGTCTCGAACTCCCGACCTCAAGTGATCCACCTGCCTTGGCCTCCCAAAGTGCTGGGATTACAGGGCTGAGTCACCACTCCTGGCCTTACCTGACTCTTTGATTACATTTTTTTATTTGTCCCTTTGAGTAGAAGGGTAGAATGGAAAGAATGGAATTATGGGTCAGAGACTGCATCGCCTTCAGGGCTTTGGTGACCTGTTTCGTCATTTACTTGCAGCATCTGCCTTCCTGTGATGAGAGGGCCCTCCATATGACAGCCAGCTTCTCTTCCAGAAGGTGGTGCCCGTTTACTTTCCCCGCACTGATATCGGAGAGCACCTGTCTCCTGCATGCTTGCTAGCACTGGAGTCTTAAGAGGCATATCTTTTGCTAATTAAAAGGGGTATTTTCTCCAGAAAGTATTTTTTAAAAATAATCTTAAAAAATCACACATGTAAATCATCTTCACAGAGAAAATTTAGAAAATACAGGGAAGCAAAATCTAGAAGAGATTAAAAATCATCTGTCATTTTTCCACCCAGAGATAACAATTGTTGACATTTTAGTTTGTGTCCTTCCAGGTTTTTTCCATCTGTCTGTGTGTGTGTGTATCCATCTATCTATCTATCATCTACATATCTATTTTTTACAACAATAGAGTCATCTTCTCTATCCTCTTTGGCAACTCACCAAATAAATGTGATTTAGGTAATGAATATGCTTTGGGGATACTCAGGGCTATCAAATTAGCCATGATATTAAACGTGATAATAAGCCATGACATGAAAAAGCTTGTAATCCAGTGGGAAGACCCAAGCCTGAATCCACAGTGGAAACAGTTTTCTGTGCTTTTCTGCTTCCCCTTGCACCTGCTAATAGCCCCCCTGTGTGATCAACCTGTCTCCCCTAGTTTTAGATGACCACACACCGCAATGTAACTGCACGCCCCCAACTCTCTGCACCACCATCTCCCACGGGATCTACTATATCTACTACCTCTACCCCTTCAACATAGAGTATCAGATCCTGGCCTCCACAGTGCTCTACGTCCTATGGAAGAACATCGGGCGCAAAGTTGACAGCCATCAGCACCAGAAGATGCAGTTCAAGCCTGATGGGGTCACAGTGGGCACAGTCCTGGGCCTGACCGCGCTGGCCGCCACCATTGCCGTGGTGGTGGGTGGTGTACCTGATTCATATTGGGTGCTCCAAGACCAAGAGCAAGTCAGCACTCATCACGTTCTACCTGTATGTCATCACCCTGATGAAGCTTATGGGGGCTGCGGGGCTGGCTGGAATCCGGATTTACAGGACAGATGAGAAGTCACTGGATGAGTCCAAAAATCCGCCCCGCAAACTGGACTCGGACCTCTTGGTGGGCACTGCCTCAGGCTCCTGGCTTATCTCCTGGGGCTCAATCTTGGCCATCCTTTGTGCCGAGGACCACCCCCACTACACCTGGTACAACCTGCCCTACTCCATCGTGGTGATCGTGGAGAAGTACATCCAGAACCTCTTCATCTTTGAATCCATTCACCGAGAGCCTAAAAAACTCTCTGAGGACATCCAAACCCTTCGGATGGTCACAGTCTGCAATGGCAACACCATGCCCCTTGCTTCCTCCTGCCTCAAGAGTGGAGGTGTGGCCGGAGACGTGGCTCCCTGGGGCAGGGACATGCCACCAGCAGCCAATGGAAATGTGTGCCTGAGAGAAAGCTGTGACAAGGAGGAGAAGCACGAGGAGAGCAGCTGGGGAGGGAACCCAAGCCCAGTCCACCTTCCTCGTTTCTTACAGGGCAACGCCAAGAGAAAAGTCCTGAGGAATATTGCAGCCTTCTTGTTCCTCTGCAATACTTTGGTAATCTGCACCAAGTTATTCTTATTCTTTTAATTTTGCTGTAAACTTTCATTTTAGGTTCAAGGGGTACGCATGCAGATTTGTTACATGGGTAAATTGCGTGTCGCTGAGGTTTGGTGCACAAATGATCCCGTCACCCAGGTAATGAGCATAGTACCCGATAGGTAGTTTTTCACCCTGCACCCCACTTCCGACCTCTCCCCCAGTAGTCCCTAGTAGTGTCTATTGTTCATATATTTGTGTTCATGACTACCCAATGTTTAGCTCCCACTTATAAGAGAGGACATGAGGTATTTGGTTTTCTGTTCCTGTGTTAATTCACTTAGGATAAGGACTCCATTTCTATCCAGGTTGCTGCAAATAATGTGATTTCATTCTTTTTTTAAGGCTGCATAATATTCCATGGTGTAGAGCTACCACATTTTCTATTTATTTTTTTTTTGAGAGAGGGTCACGCCCCATTGCCCAGGCTGGAGTGCAGTGGCATGATCACAGCTCACTGCAGCTTCGACCTCCTGTGCTCAAGCAATCCTCCCATCTCAGCCTCCTGAGTACCTGGGACCACAGGCATGTGCCACCACACCTGGTTAATTTTAAAAACTTTTTTTGTTTTTGAGAGAGAGTTTCACTCTTGTTGCCTAGGCTACAGTGCGATGGTGCTCACTGCAACCTCTGCCTCCCGAGTTGAAGTGATTCTCTTGCCTCAGCCTCCAGAATAGCTGGGATTACAGGCACCTGCCACCACAGTTGGCTAATTTTTGAAAATATTTTTAGTAGAGATGGGGGTTTCACCATGTTGGCCAGGCTGGTTTCGGACTCCTGACCTCAAGTGATCCACCTACCTTGACCTCCCAAAATGCTAGGATTACAGGTGTGAGCCACCATGCCTGGCCAAAACTTTTTTTTTTTTTTTTTTTTTTGTAGAGATAGGTTCTCACTGTGCTGCCCAGGCTTGTCTTGAACTCCTGCGCTCAAACAATCCTCCTGCCTCAGCTTCCTAAAGTGCTAGTATTACAGATGTGAACCACTGTACCCGGCCATAATACATTTTCTTTATCCAGTCCATTATTGATGGACATCTAGGTTTCTCTTGCCTTTTTAAAATAAGGAATGGAGGCAGCTTGTAATAAAAATACTGTAAGTATAAAATTACAATATAAGGCTGGAAAATAGACCTATATTCTACAAATCTACCTACTAAAGACTTGCTGTGTGCTAGGGGCTGGGCTAGGTACTAAAGATTAAAGTGGAAAGACTCAGTCTCTTTCCTCTAAAAGGTCTCAGTATAATGGGGGAGGGAGACAATGAGCAAATCTAATATAGTGAACAGGACAAGTGCTGAGATGGGCTTGTGCAAGGTGTACTAGGAGCAGGGATCCAGAAGGACTTCAGTGAGTAGTGGGTGCTTGAGGTGAGGCCCAGTGTCAATCAGGAGTGCTTTTAGTTGCAAGTGACAGGCAATTTGATTCACAGTGTCTTCAGTCTTAACAATGTTTAATTATCTCATGAGAATTCCGGAGGTTGGCTGCTTGGGGTTGGCCTGGCAGCTGAACCATGTCATCAGGCATCCAGGCACTGTTCATCTTGTCACTTGGGTGGTGTGGTGTTTGTTGTGACATGGTCATGAGATGGCTGCAGCTGCACCAGGCATCACATCTGGGTTCAAGACAGAAAGCAGTGGGGAAGGGCTGGTGCCAGACAATGTCTCTCATGTGGGCACCCCTCACTGCAAGGGAGGCTGGGGAAGTAGAGGGTTTGCTTCCCAGCCTCTCTGATGGAAGGTAGCAAGGGAGAGGAAGGTGTACAGTCACTCACCCATCTGTCTGCATCAGCAAGGAATGACTGGAAGTTCACCAGGTTATCAAGGCGGGGAAAAGCATTTCAGGCAGAGACACACAATATGTGAAGACACAGAGGCAAAAGACACCATGGCATGTTTTGAGAGCACCAAGTAGTTTGGCATAAATTCCATGTGTGTTAAGCAGAGTAGCAGAATGGGAATTAGGAGAGAGGGCCCAGGTAGGTGGACTCTGGCTTGAGCAGGGCTTCCTAGGCCTGGCTGGAGTCTAGTCTTTATGCTGAGGGCAAGGGAAGACTCTCTCAGATTTGTGTTTTGGAATGATCCTCCCAGTAGCTGTGTGTAGCAAGGATGGAGACAGATAGGGCCAGAAGCAGAAAGACTGGGAGAGAAAGCCCTGCAACAGCCCAGGCAGGAAGGGGAGGAGCTTGAACTAGGGCAGTGATGGAGGGATGGAGAGAAGAAAAAGGAATAAGAAGCATTGTGTGCTGTTGGGATTTTTTTAAAGACACATAAAGGAAGGATGGTGGGGGTCAGTAAGAAGGAGGGGGAAGCAGCCTTTGCCACCGCATGAGTCTCTGCAGTGATGGTGACTGGTGGCTGGAGGGGAGTGCCCCAGTCCACAGAGGTGCCTGCCCATCACTCTGGGTGAAGTCAGCTCTGTGCTACTAGCCTCTGTTATCAAGCCTGCTCCCTGTTGCCCCAGCAGCTCAGAGGCTTTTGAGCTTCCTCCCCTGAATTTCAGATGGTGCATACGGGGTCTGCAGCTTTTGATATCACCCTAAGAACACAAAGTTGGGAAAGTAAGTCCCTTCTAAAGTCAGAATGGCTGTGTGTCTGCCAAGCAAACCTGATCCACCCTAGCCTTGGATCACCCAGGTTCCTTCAGTTTGCTAGGCAGTGAGGAGGGGCTCTGAAGGTGGAAGGCCCAGAAGAGTTTGGCTGCAGGGAGACCATCTTCTCCATCTAACAGACATTTGCCAGGCACCTGCTGTATGCCAGGGACTATGTCAGGGGCACAGCAGTGAGTCAAAAATTGAAAGAGTTAACAAGAGAGATAGATACTGTAAGCTGCATTTTTTTGAGGTGCTTATTCCAAAATGCAAATTCTTATAAAGTCAGAGCTAGTTCTAGAATCTTCCTCAAGTATATGCTTTTTGTACATATCCTGTGATTAATATTAATATACATATATTTTGAGATGGAGTCCTGCTGTGTTGCCCAGGCTGTAGTGCAATGGTGCGATCTCGGCTCACTGCAACCTCCGCCTCTTGGGTTTAAGTGATTCTCCTGCCTCAGCCTCCCGAGGAGGTGGGACTACAGGCATGCAACAACCATGCCCAGCTAATTTTTCTACTTTTAGTAGAGACAGGGTTTCACTAGGTTGGTCAGGGTGGTCTCGAACTCCTGACCTCAGGTGATCTGCCTGCCTAGGCCTCCTAAAATGCTGGGATTACAGGCGCGAGCCACTGCTTCTGACCTAATATTTCTTTTTAAAACTAAGTTCTGAAAAGTTGTCTTTCCCTGGTTGCCTTTTTGGTTGACCACTGGGTGAAATACTTGGCTTGCATTTTTGGACCCACTTGAAGAAAGATAGCACTGTCCGAAATACCAGAATCAAGTGGCAATTCATGGTCTGTCAGGACCCGAAAGCCAGACCCAGGGCCCAGTCCAAGGAGAAGGGTGGGCTCCGTCTCTTCCTCCCTGTGCTTGGCCCATGATGCCCCCAGGCACTGGTTGGGTTCTGGGGGGTTGAACCAGAGGATGGAAATCATCGCAGGGTGGAGTCTTAGGATACCCGTGCTGGCTCATGGGTGGCACTTTGAAACCTTGTGGTTGACCCCAGGTGGTGCCAAAGGCATCTGGCAGAGAGCAAGAGCTGTCTTCTCCAGCATCGGGAGCCAGTCCAGAGGCCCCAGCTGCAGGTGCTGATGTGCATGTCCAGGTGGAGTGGGCTCCACTCCAGAGACGGACATGGAAATGTTAGTTGAATTTCCAGGAGCCGTGGCACTGGAGACAACAGAGGGTGGTTGTGGTGACCGGGAAGGGCAGGGTGCTGTGGGAGATGGGTCAGGGAAGGCCTCTTCTAAGGAAGGGTGTGGATGGGGCTGGGATGAGAGACTATCAGGGCAGAGCTGCAGGTGTGGGGAAGGGACGGATGCAAGGCAAGGCAGGGCTCACTGGACATGACCTGGGAGCACAGAGCAGAGGGCAGAGGGGAGACCACACAGGGCCTGCGAGCCAAGACTCAATCCTAAATGCAACAGAAAACCATGGAAAGGTCTACACTGAGAGTGACGGGATCTGACTCATGCTTATTTTGTTATATTTTTAATTGTGGTAAAAAACTCATCAAATAAACTTTCCCATTGCACCCACTTTCAAGTGTATAGTGGAGTAAAGTACGTTCACATTGTGCAAACATCACACCATCCATTTCCAGGTTACTCTCGTCTGGCAAAACTGAAACTCTGCCCCCATTAAATATGAACTCCCCATTCTCCCCAGCCCCTGACAACCACCGTTCTTTCAGTCTCTAGGAATTTGACTCCTAGACTCCTCATATAAGTGAATTTGTGGAGTATTAGTCCTTTTGTGATTAGGTTATTTCACTCATCATAACATCCTCCAGGGTCTCCAGGTTGCAACTCGCAAAGGGTGACAGACGCCAAACATGACCCCTGCCTTCACACTTGAGTTCCTGGGGAGATGGTGATACTATGTTGGAGATGGAGGAGGACTCTGGAGGAGGGGCAACCTTGGGAGCAGTGGGTGGAGGTCAGTGTGGAAGGAAGAACCAGAGTTAAGTAATGAACGTGTTCTGTTTCAGGTGCCTCTGTGGCATCCAAATGGACGAACCCAGTAGACAGATATTTTGGTTTTCTATTGCCGTGCAATGAACTACCACTAATGTATGACAAAAGCAACATGCATGACTGTTTTTGTCCCATAGCATTTATTGTGACTCGTGGCTTTGTGGGTTAGAAATTCTGGCAGGGCTTGGATGGGCAGTTCTGTTCCTCACAGCATCAAGTGAAGTTGGTGAAGCCTTGGCCAGAAGCTCCGTGGTCTGGTGCCCTGGGTGGGGGTGGCTGGGAGGCTGGGCTCAGCCAGGACTCTTGACTGGGGCATCCACAGGTGGGTCTCCAGCATGACGTCTCAGGGTGGTTGGACTCCATGCGTGATGGCTGAGGGCCCCAGAGCTGACCCTCCAAAAGACTGAACTGGAAGCTGCCTGTCTCCTAAGGCCTGGGCTTGGAAACTGCATGGTGTCATTTCTGCCATATTTTATTAGTCATGTAGTCACAGAGTCCATCTAGATTCAAAGAAAGAGGTCATAGGCCACTTCTCAATAGGATAAGTAACAAGAATTTCCAGCCAACTAAACAGCACATATAAAGATGTGGATTTCAGAAAAGAGGTCCCATTTTCCTGCCTTCCTTTCTTCTCCCTTTTCCTCCCTGTCTCCCTTGCCCTTCCTCTCACCCTTCCTTTAAAAGGTGTCCCTTAAGTACCTACAGAGGTACAGGGACTGCTATGAATGGTGAGGGTACAGCAATGACCAAGATCTCTGGTCTTCCTCTTATGGGGCTTACAAACCAGGCAACAGCAGGTGAAACCATCAACTGAGCAAGAAAGACACCTTATAGTGTACCCGTGTTAAGCAGAGAAGTGGAAAAGGAGGGTGTGGGAAATAGCTCTTGGGCTGCCATTGTAGATCAGATGGACCAGCTTAGCGGGAAGGCCTCGCTGAAGGGTGACACGAGACAGGAAGGGGTTGGCCACGCATGTTCAGGGCAGAGGGAACAATGGCTGGTATAAAACCCCCAGTGGGAGTGAGCGGGTCTGGTTTGAGAAACAGGAAGAAGGGTTGCCTGCAATGTGGGTGGGGTGAGTGGAGAGAAGCGTGGGTGGTTAGAAATCAGCTAACAGAGCACTTTATCACTCCGTGCGGGAGTGTAGAATTTATTTTAAATATTTTGGGAAGACTTTAGGGGTTTAATCAAGGTAGGGACAGGATCTGATTTCCATATAATGTAAATCTGGTGGCCGAGTGGAACCCTAGTTCGAGCTGGGAGACCAGGCACGGGGCCACCGCCATGGTCCAGGTGAGAGAGGCCAGTTGGACAGGTGGAGAGAGAGAGCCACAGGTGGGCTGAAGATACTGCTTTGGAGGTGCACAGTGGAGATGCGCTGAGGGACTGGATGGGAGGGGGCATGGTTATGAGAGTAGGAGGGAGATAAGGTTGACACCTGGAGCCTCGATGGACCACCTGGGAGGACGATGTAGCTGAGCAGATGGAGAAATGGGGAAGGTGGGTTGAGTTTGAGATGTGTTTTAGACACCCAAGTTGCCACCGGAAACTATGAGTCTGGGGTTCTTGGAAGTGGTCCAGGCTGGAGATTGAGACTGGGAAGTCATAGGCCTATAGCTGGTATTTACAACCAGGGACTGGGAGAGAGCCCCAGGGTTCATGTGTAGAGAGAATAGAAAGGGACCCAGGAATGAGCCCTGGACGCTGGCTAACATTAAGAGGCAGAGCAAAGGATGAAACAGCAAAGGAGACTGGGAGGGACCCGCCGAACAAGTAGGAGAGCTCCTAAGAGTCACAGCAGCCAGTAAGCAAAGCAGAAGAGAGGGGTCTTGGTTCCAGGGCCCCCGTGGTGTATACCAAATGCACAGATGCTCAAGTCCTATACTTGCATGTAACCTACCCATCCTCCCGTACACTTTAAGACATCTCTAAATTACTTAGAATACCTAATACAATTTAAATGCTATGTAAATAGTTGTTACATTGTATTGTTTAGAGAATAATGACAAGAAGAAAGTTTGTACCTATTCAGTACAGACACAACAAACCATTTTATTTTTTTAATTAATTTATTTTTATTTTTTGAGACCGAGCTTCACTGTTGCCCAGGCTGGAGTGCAGTGGCATGATCTTGGCTTACTGCAAGCTTCGCCTCCTGGGTTCAAGGGATTCTCCTGCCTCAGCCCCCTGAGTAGCTGGGATTACAGGCACATGCCACTACACTTTGCTAATTTTTTGTATTTTTAGTAGAGATGGGGTTTCACCATGTTGGCCAGGCTGGCCTTGAACTCCTGACCTCAGGTGATCCACCTGCCTCGGCCTCCCAAAGTTCTGGGATTATAGGTGTGAACCACTGTGCCCAGCCTACTTTTTGAATATTTTTGATCTGTGGTTGGTTCAATCCACAGACACAGGTCCCTGGATACAGAGGTCGGCTGTATATACCAGGGAGTGTTCTGTATGGAGATACAAATGAAGGCTATGTGTCTCAGTTACCTATTGCTATGGAAGAGACCACCCCAATACTCAGCAACTTAAAACAATGTACATTTATGATTTCATAGTTTCTCTGACTTATGACTCCAACTACAGTTTTAGCTGAGTATCTCTGCACAGGGCCATTCCCAGGCTGAAACTGTTGGCTGGGGCTGCATTCATTTCAAGGCTTGACTTTCCGAGAGGTGGCAGAGGATTTGTTTCCAAATCTACTCATGTGACTGTTGGCAGGATTCAGCTGTGGCTTGTTGGGCTGAGGGTCTGAGTTCCTTGCTGGCTGTTGACAGGGGTACTCCCTGGGCCCCTTGCCGCATAGGGTGCTTCGCAGCATGGCAGCTCTGCCACCTGTCTTTCAGGAGAAGATGAGCAAGAGGGATAGCAGGTCCTTTTGCAACCTAATTTCAGAGGTGACTTCCTGTGTCTTTTGCCATATTTTGTGAGTTGGAAGTGAGTCATTAGGTGCATCCCACACTAAAGGGGTGGGGACTCCACAAGAGGGTGACTGCAGGAGCTGGGGATCATTGAGGGTCATCCTAGAGGCTGCCTGCCACAGCCAGGGAGTGGAGGAAGCTGAAGAAGGGTGCAGCCTGAAGCGGGAGTGAGGAGCCTGACAACTCAAGGGGTGGCAGAAAGGGAGAGAACTGGGACAGAGAAGAGCCTGAGAAGCAGGGAACAGTGTGTAGGTTCTGTGAGCAACACAAACAAAAGTCACTGCTTTCAGTTTTGCAAACTTAATTCTCATCTAAGCCCTCTCAGACACGTGTTAGAATTCCCATCTTTCAAATGAGGAAACTGAGGCTGGGCGAGGGCTGTAGAGATGGAGAGAGTTGGATGGGTTCAAAGAGCACTCATTAGGGATGGATTGCAGGGAAGGGTGGGTGAGGAAGTGAGCAGGATCATGGCAGACATGGATTTGGTGGTTTCTGTGGAGATGGGAAATGCCACGAGGTCTCCTTATTGTTCTGTCAGGGGTGACTCAGTCCCCGTGCATCAGGGTCAGCTCCCATGAGGCCTGGGACTTGAGTGGGGCCTCCGTGGTGGCTTGGAAGCTGCTCCCCACCACAGGCCATTTTCTCTTCTCTTGCAGCTTTGGATACCTCCCGCTTTTGGCTGTCGACCTGAGTATGACAATGGATTGGAGGAGATTGTCTTTGGCTTTGAACCCTGGATAATTGTGGTCAACCTGGCCATGGCTTTTTCTATTTTCTATGCAATGCACGCAGCTGCCTCCCTCTTTGAGGTCTATTGTAAGATATAGTCTGGGTCCACAAGAGACTAACAAGTGACTAACAAGAGTGAGCTAACAAGAGTTCATTGGAGCCAACTGGGAATGGCCAGGTTGGACAAATATTGCCTGACAAACATGAGAAGGGCCACCTTTTGTCTGCAAAGATTGTGCTTCCTGTGGGCTGGAACTGCCCATCACCCCTGATGAATGTAAACAAGTTAGATCAAAATCCATAAGGTGGCTGGAATCTGTCCTTGGTTAGTTAAATGCTAATCAAGCCCAAATTATTTTATTGCCTTCTAAATGATTTAGAAGAATGTGATTCTGGCTTGGGAAACAATCTATCCAGTTTGTTTTTCATAAAAAGCATTTTCTTTGTGTCATTTATCATGTGACTCCATACAACCTTTTCCTGACCACCTGCATAGTAATTTATACTTTAAAAATTTATCCTTCTCAAAGCCTATGAATTTAGACACAATCACTATTGTTTCTGAATAGGTTTAATTTCTTGAAGTTATTTTTATCAGCTGGATAGAAATTTGTATACAGACCCATATAAAAACACATTTCTTACCTGAAATGTTGGCACATTTTTGTGATCATTTTCAAGTATTTTTAAAAAGAAATTTCACTGTTCTCTCTTTCACTGTAAATACACACATGTTTATTGTAAAAAATTTGGATATTTCAGAAAAGTAGAGAGAAAAAGTCACCTACGATGCCATTGTTCAATTAACAATTACTTTTAATATCTTGGTGTATTTCTTCCGACCATGTTGATGAGATTCTTTTTATTGTCATTATTATACCTTTGAATGGTGATGTAACATATTTGATTTTGTATTCAGTTATTTTCCTACTTAACAATATGGCATAAACCTTGCCCCCATATTGTTATAAGTTCTTTATAAATATCATTTTAATGCTGTATGATAGTCTATCAAGTGAATGTACCTTAATTAACATAGTTTCCTATGGTTGGTTTTACAGTGTTTATAACTTTTTGCTTTTATAGGTAACTCTGCAAAAATCAACCATATTTGTGAAGCATTTCCTATATTTAGAATTGTTTCTTTAAGATATGGAATTACAATTAGGATGCCTAGTCCAAAGATTAAGTTTAGAAATATTTCAAAGGTGCCTAAGGAATATTGACATTTGGGAGGCCTTTGTATAGTTTTTCCACAGCTATTTTAAAATAATAATAAAATTAATTTTCTTAATGTAAGTATTAATGTATCTTTTCATTTGAGTGTATTTTTTTTCAGACAGTGCAGGCAATGGGACAGTAATAAATACAAAGTTTTTTTTTAACATGACTAAAGTACACTTATTTTAGAAAAAACTAAAAAATAGGCATATATACTAAAAAACAAAGGAAAGCATCATCTATACATGTCCCATCTAGAGAATCGGTTCTCCAACTGGGGACCTTGTTCCTTGAGGGGACATTTAGCAATATCTGAAGACATTTTTTAATATTTATTTTTTATTAAAATTAAAATAAATCTAAATTATACATAATATTTATACATACTTACAGGGTACATGTGATATTTTGATATAAACATATAATAAATAATAATCAAATCAGGGTGACAGATATTCATACCCTCAGGTATGTATCTTTTTTGTGTGTTAGGAACATTCTAATTTCACTATGTTAGTTACTCTAAAATATACAATAAATTGTTGTTAACTATAGTTGTACTTTTGTGCTACCAAACACATTTTTGATTGTTACACTACTGCACCCAGGGATACTGCTAACACCCTACAACACACAGGACAGCCCCACCACAAAGTCTTTGGGCTGATTGTCAATGGTGCTGAGGTAATCTAGAGGTAATTGCTGTTAAGTATTGTTATCTAGGTAGCTATTAGTACACACACACAGGCTGGACATGGTGGCTCACGCCTGTAATCCCAACACTTTGGGAGGCCACAGAAGGATCGCTTGAGGCCAAGAGTTTAAGACCAGCCAGGGAACACAAACATAGTGAGACCCTGTCTGTACAAAACACAAAACAAAAAACCCAGGTGCGGTGGAGTATGCCTGTAGTCCCAGCTACTCATGAGGCTGAGTGGAGAGGATCACTTGAGCCCAGGAGTTTGAGATTGGGTAGTGAGACAAGATTGTGCCACTGCATTCTAGCTTGGGTGGCACAGCAAGACCCTGTCTCTAAAAAATAAAAATTAAAAAAATTATATATATATATATATATATATATATATATATATATGTATATATATATATATATATATTTTTTTTTTTTTATTTTTTTGAGACAGACTTTCACTCTTGTCACCCAGGCTGGAGTGCAATGGCATGATCTTGGCTCACTGCAACTGCCGCCTCCTGGGGTCAAGCGATTCTCCTGCCTCAGCCTCTGGAGTAACTGGGATTACAGATGCCTGCCACCACGCCCAGCTAATTTTTGTATTTTTAGTACAGACAGGGTTTCATCATATTGGCCAGGCTGGCCTTGAACCCCTGACCTCAGGTGATCCACCCACCTTGGCCTCCCAAAGTGCTGGGATTACAGACGTGGGCCACCGCACCCAGCCGATAATTTTTTTTTTCAAAAGTACGCATACATCGACACCCACACCCACATGAAGGCGGTGTTTTTATGTATACTGCGTTTGTATGTAACTTGCTTTTTTCCTCTTGATACACCAGAGTGCTTCTTCCCTATTTTGGGTCCCAGGCATCGATGCTCTGGCTTTAGTGTGCCTGAGACTCATCTGGGGAACTTGTTAGGATTCCTGCCCTCCAAGCTGGAAGTGCAGATTCAGTCTGGAGGGGGGCCCGGAAGTCTGCACTTTCATGAGCATCTCAGGGGGTGCCAACTCCCTTTGATAAGCATCTCCTTGGACGTCCATGGACCCCAAGCTAGGACTCCTGAGTAAGTTTCCTTGACATTGCATATCCATATGCAGTATGATTTTGGGTGGATTTAAGGTACATTCCATGGAAGGATGTACCATTCTTTATTTTTTCAAACGGTGATGTTGGACATTTAGAGATATTTAGGTGGTTCCTTTTTTTGGTGCTACTGTAAACAATGCTATGGTGATCATCTTTGTAACTCAGTCTTTGAGGTCAGAAACTATCCTCTGGAGTGATTTATGCTGACTAAGCAGTGACTGAGCAGGAATACAGGTTTCCCCATTTTGGTTGGCATTACCTTTACCCCTGTTCTAAGCACATTAGAAAAGCCCTGAGGCCTCAGCTGTGGGTTTTGGGCTCTTCCAAGGAGACAAAGGAGCTATCATAATGCTGGGAATGATGGATCCAGGCTGTGGGGATGCTATTGTGGACACAGGGCAGCATCAGAGCTTGGAAAAGCCTGCATGGCTGGCCAGGCTCAGCGTTTCCAAGAAAGGATCTAAAGATGGATGAAGCATCTCCTATCCTCAACAGGCAGCCTCAGGGATGGCTATTTCAGCCAGGTGCTTTTTACCTCCAAGTAATTAAGCATCCTGACTCAACCAGCGTAGGTGGCAAGGAAAATTTACTATCTTAATGCCAAGGCAATTTGCCAAAGAGGAACCAGAATGTGCAATACACAAGTGTTAAGGTCTCAGGGAATACAAATTGAAATAATAATGAGTTACCACTTCCCATTCATTAGATTGGCAAGAGTTGGCAAGAAGTGAAAGAAAGACTCATATATACTGCTAGTGGGAGCGTAAATGAATAAAATCAGATAGGACAGCAATTGGCAATATTGACTAAGGCTGGAGGTACACATTCCTTACAACCTAAGAATTCTGTTCCCTGGCATGTGCTCCAGAGACAGCCTCACACCTGTGTTCAGGAATGTTCACTCAGCATAATTGTAATTAGGAAAATGGAAAACAGCCTAAATGCCTGTCAATTAGGAGTGCAGATAGACACACTAGGGACAATTTCCATAATGGACTATTTCACAAGAGGAAAAAATGAACACAACAGAATTCATGTATCAACATGGATAGTCCCCCAAAACAATGTTGAATGAAACATTAAGTAGTGTAGGGGTATAATTGGTATGATACCATTTATATGATGTCTAGGAACAAGCAAAACAATCCCTGATATTGCTGGGGGATATGTCCATATGTAGTAAGATTACAAACACACCTGAAGAAAGAATGCATGCCAAGTTCAGTGTAGTGAGAAGGGGAGGGGCTTGGAACCAGCAACTGAGTTCATGCTGTGTCCGAAATATTTTTTCCTAAGCAAAGATGTATTCATTATGTTTTCATCTGCACTCTTAAAATGTACTCTTTAAATGTACTTTTAATGTATTTTAAAGAAATTTTAAATGAGATATTTAATAATACAAGTATTTGAGAGCAATAAAAAAAGAAAGTCCATACAAGGAAGATGAACTTAGAGAGAGCTACCAGAGCAGGTAAATTTCCAGCATTCTTCCATCATTGTTGAGAGATGGGTGTCAAAGCCAGTGGTGTTCTGTTCTCCTTGGCAGGTAGATCCCCAAGGTGGGGTAGCTCAATGCAATTAGCTGGTAAGATCACCGGACTCACTCTTCCAGGGATGACTCCGTGCACATTAGGAAACCTGACATTGGTTTGCCTTCCAATGTCGCTCTTTGCTGTGGGGGCAATGCCCTGGGCACACATATTATCAGAACAATCTGCAATGGACTGGATGTTTGTTTCCCCCTTAAATTCATATGTTGAAGCTTAATGCCAATGTGGTGGTATTTGGAGGTGGGGTCTTTGGGAGGTAATGAGGTCATGATGGTAGGACCGTTGTGAATGGGATTAGCGCCTGTAAGAGGGGGCCAGAGAGCTTGTGCACTTCTTTTCTGTCATGTGAGGATGCAATGAGAAGACAGCTGTCTGTGACCTGGAAGAGGGCCCTCACCAGAACCCAACCATGCCAGCACTGGCACCCTGATCTTGGGCTTCCAGCCTCCAGACCTGTGAGAAATAAATGCCTGTTGTTGATTAGCCACCCAGCTTGTGCTATTTTGTTACAGCAGCTTGCACTGAGTAAGTTACTCCCTTACCTGCTGTAACCGTATACAGGAGGGGCCTGTGCATTTGGTAGCTTGGGTTCCTCCCTGAGCCTGTGAAACTCAGATTTGAACTCATGTATTTTGGGTGCCATGACTCTTGTCGAGGCAGAGTGAAAGGGCAAGGGCATGGAGCTAGATATCCAGGGTGACAACAGGCTCCCATGGTGCCTGAGTGTGCATTAAAAAAAGCACCCCTTCCACAAGACATTCTCCAAACTGTCGAACCAAACCCACCAGCATCTTCCTACCTGCCCATGTGCCGGGGTGGGGGGAAAATTAGACATGTTTGTCTCCCCACTACAGATGTCGGCCAAAAGATCCAACTGGAAAATGCTTGCTACTACCTTCCAGTTTCACGACCCTCTCAGCTAAGGAAGCCCTTCCTGCATCCATGTCTCTCTATGCCTGTCTGTGAAGTCCCAGCTCACAGCTGACCTGGTTAGGTAAGCACTGTTATTTTGTTTCAACGGAGGGAACCTTTGGATTACATGTACATAGCTAGTCAGTGGCAGCATTTGGTTCATCACGCTGGTTTTAAAAACTCCATTGCCTTTTCTCTTCATTAGTCCTACCATCTTATGAAGAAAGTCAACTCAGTAAAAATATCCGTCAAACAATGGCTTAGGGATATGCGTACAGAACAATCAAATCAGCTGACAGAATATCTGGCTTTTCACCCAGTTATAAAATGTTGTGCTTTGCTTAACATGGTGAAGAACGAAAGCTGCTAACAGCTGATTTCTTTCTCCCAAAATGTGAGCCCTGCTATGGGAGAGCGCAACCAGCAGGGGGTGCTGGCGTCTTTCCCTGAACTTCAGGGCACGCTTGAGAGAGGGTACCTGGCGGGTGGGCAGTGGCCTCAAGTTACCAAACGAAGGGGTGGGCGCAAGGTGTGCTGATTGGACTCCATTGGCTGCGCTGGGTTCCCGTAGCGTATGTGAGAGATACCTGTCACCACTTCCCGGCTAAGACCCAGCCAGTTTCAGCAAGGACGTTCCCTCCACTGGACCCACCAGGACCCACTCCCTGCAGGGCACCATGGTCCCTCTCAAGAGGCTTTGGAGGAACTTGGGAGTTACAGGGTGTTCCCCTGATGGGAGAGTCCCTGGCATGCCGCGTGTGAATGGGACTGAGTTGGGTGGGGGAGGCTGGGAGGGCACTTGTGCTGGGTGTGATGGGGGAATGTAGTCCATGTTAGTTCCTCCTAAGAGCAGCCACTAAGAGGACTCTGGGGAGGGACAGATGGGTGCAGTGTTTTAACCCACAAATGGGAGGGTAATTCTGGCATGATGGTGGTTTTAGCAATGTTAGTAATGCACGGACCACCATAACCATGATAGTGAAGCTACATGTCTAAAAAATGTAAATCAAATCAGGCCACCTGCTAAAAACGATTCAATGGTTTCCCATTGCCCCCCCTCCCTTTTTTTGAGGCGGAGTTTCGCTCTTGTCACCCAGGCTGGAGTGCAATGGCATGATCTCAGCTCACTGCAACCTCCGCCTCCTGGGTTCAAGCGATTCTCCTGCCTCAGCCTCCTGAGTAGCTGGGATTACAGGCGCGCGCCATAACACTTGTCTAATTTTTGTATTTTTAGTAAAGATGGGGTTTCACCATGTTGGTCAGGCTGTTCTCGAACTCCTGACCTCAGGTGATCCACCCGCCTCGGCCTCCCAAAGTGCTGGAATTATAGGCTTGAGCTACCGCGCCCCGCCCTCCCATTGCTTTTAGTAGAAAATACAAACTCCTACCCGTGGACTATTGGGGCTATCACGATCTGGGCTCTGCATCTCCATCTTCTCATGCCAGTCCCATCCTCTGCCTCCCCAACCCCATCGCCCTTCCTCCTGCATGGCTGCAGCCACACCTGGCTTCTTCTCTTTAATATTCCTACCATGCCTGCCCCACAGGACCTCCGCAGGAGCTGCTCTCTCTGGGGTGTGCACTTCTGGCTCAGGGCAAGGATCCATCTTTCTCACCCTTCAGGCTGTGTGTAGATAGATGTCCCTCTGTAGTGAGGTCCTCACTATCCAGCTCATTACGCTTCACTTCGGCACCCTGTCCAGACCCTTCACAGTCAGCTGCCAGCTGTGTTTTCTTATTTATTGGTGCTCATCCAGTCCAGTCCTGGATGGGACTGCCTGCCTCATGAGGGCATGAGCTTTGCCTTCTCCTCTCCCAGAACCTCCCTGATGTGGTTGCTTGGACACGTGGGCCACCCTCCCAACACCAGACTATCGCAGGGTGCGGGAAGGCCTGGGGCCGCCGCGGGCCTTGAGGATCGCCATGTTTCCTTCTCTAGTTTTTGAGACATTGGTGAAGATCCTCTGCCTGCTTCTAGCACACACATCCTGATCTCCTTCTGCCTTCAAGACACAAGATGGCGCTTTAAGCCTGGTTGTTAAGAAAGAGGACTACAAACGCTTGAGTTTCTTCCCTCTGCTCGCTCTCAGACGTGGCTTGCGAGGGGATTTGTGGGGTCCACCTCTCCACAGCTTGGTGGGTGGGTTCCGTCCTCCTCCTCGGACAGGGCAGGACCAGCAGCCAATCACTCCTTCCTGCCAGAGAAGGAAGTGGCGCTCAAACTGTTTTTCTGACATCAGTAATATCTGCCTACACTCCTCCAGCAGGCATCTCTGAAACATCAGTTTTGGGTGATTGGTCTAAGCCAAGCACCTTTGATAGCAAGGGTAAGCTCGCTATCCTTTGCTGGAGATGGGCACGGAGAGGGCATGTGAAGAGTGCCAGACCAGGCGTTGACAAACTATGGCTCATGAGAAGAATGGAGTGTACATTTTTAAAGGGTCATCTCTCTCTCTCTCTCACACACACACACACACACACACACACACACACACACACACACACACACAGAATATGCTGCAGAGATCATATGTGACCTGACAAGCCTAAAATACTCACTATCTGGTCCTTTATAGGAAATGCTTACTGACCTCTGGTCTAAACACTGAGAGGTAAGGGACCTCTGCTGCACCGCCCTGGAGGGATTTTTGATCCCTAAATAAGAAGAGGTGAGGAGGAAGCCTGCCCTTCCTCCTGGCCTGAATGTGCTTCTGAGAGGCAGTCAAGCCTGGAACTGTGGCAGCCGGCTTGTGACCATGAAGAAACCAGCCCAAGAAGAAAGGCCAACCTGCCAAGGAGGGAACAGGAGCCTGGGGCCTCGAGGACTTTGCTGAGCCTTCGTGTGACCCTGGAGCCACCTTCCTCTGGAGTTCTTGTGATGGCAGATAATTCAATGTTGTCATTGTTCAAGCCAGGGGTGGGCAAACTTTTTCCATAAAGGGCCACATGGAAAACATTTTAGGCTCTGTGTGGGCCATGAGATCTCTGTTGGCACTACAACCCTAAAAACAACCATAGACAATGTGTAAATGAATGGGTACACCTATGTTCCAATAAAACTTTATTTATAAAAATAGATGGTGGGCTGAATTTGGCCCTGAGGGCCAGAGTTTGCTGCGTATTTTGTTTGTTTGTTTGTTACTTGCAGCTGACCTATCCTAACTAGTACTCCCTGAAGTCTGCCTCAGCTCAGAAGCGTCCTTGGGTTCCAAGCCACAGGGGCTAAGCTTGAGTGTGGGTGGGGTCTGCAGCAGGGTGGTGGGAGGGATAAGCACATAAAGGCCCACACATTGATCTGCCCTTTCTATGGTCCAGGTCGTGCTTTCCTGCAATATCTTCTCATCATGGGCCTAGCAATCATGATGGGAAGGCCTCACTTTAAGAGAATGCTTTCAGCATTTCCAGGCAGTCCCTGCTTGCCCTCAACACTACATGTAGGCCTCAGCCTCCACACCTAGCATGTTTGTTAAGCAAGACTAAGCCACATGAAGCAACAGGGCAAGGGGAGGGCCCTTGTGTTCTCAGGGTCCCACGGCAGAAGTGTGGTTCCGGGAGAAATGGGGGAGTGTGCCCTTCCCTGAACAAGCATATTCCCTCAGTGTGGAGGAGCCCCTCCAAAATTTACAAGTGCTGTGATGACACGATGCTCATTCAGACCATCAGCTGCAGACAGATTGCAGAAATATGTAAGGGCTCTGTCCTTGGAGGTAGGATCTGGTTGCTCCTTGTTCCCTAAGCTTGGCCCTGAAGGGAGGGCAGGATTCCAGCCAGAGTGAATGAAGAGTGAGGCTTTGGGGAAGGGCTCGGATTGCCTCTCGTGCTTGTGTTCAGATTCCTGCTGATTGGTTGTTCCCCAGGGAGACGAGGCTTCGAGGCCAGGTCTCTGCTCTGAGTTAACTTCACCACCCTGCACCTTGGTGGCAGTAAGAGAGCGACCTCAAAGGGCCGCTGAGAGAATTGAGGTGGATGCCTGTACAGCTCTAGTTATGGCACCCATTCCGGCCCCTGGCAAGCTCTTACTACGGTTGCAGGTGTAATTTCCAGTCTCTGCCTCCAGGGATTGCTGCTGAGCACAGACACGTTTCTCTGCTCACAGAGTGAGGCCGCCAAGATGATTCTCAGATCTCTGGTTCTGTATACAGCCCAGATAGCCTGTGAAAGGGGGAATGATAACCCCCAAAGATGTCCACGTCCTAACCTCCAGAACTAGTGAATGGGATGTTGGCAGAAGAGACTCTGTGGATGAGATTACTTCAAAGATTTGCGACGGGGAGACTATCGTGGGTTATCTGTGTGGATACGCAATGTAATCACAAAGTGTCCTTATAGATGAAGAGGGAGGCAGAGGAGATTCGACTACAGAAGAGAAGGTGATGCTACCGTGGAGGCAGAGATTGGAGTGATGTGCCCACAATTCACAATGCCAGCAGCCACCAAAGAGGCAAGGAATGGATTCTCCTCTAGGGCTTTTACCAAGGGTCCTGGCAACACCTCAGTTTTAGTCCAGGAAGACTCGTTTTGGATTTGTGACCTCCAGAACTATGAGAGAATACATCTGTGTTGTTTGAAGCTGCCAGGTTTGCAGTAGTGTGTTAGAGCAGCGTGGAAAATCCATTGAGTCCCATTGCCCTGCTTTTTATGCCTTGATGCCTTGTACAAAAGCAGAAAATGGTATGGATGGAATGGGAGGTCATTATGTTAAGTGAAACAAGCCAGGCACAGAAAGACACACATTGCGTGTTCTCACTGATTTGTGGGATCTAAAAATCAAAACAGTTCAACTCATGGAGCTAGAGAGCAGAAAGGTGGTTACCAGAGGCTGGGAAGAGGAGTGGGGGGCTGAGGGCAGGTGGGGATGATGTTAGAAAGAATGAATAAGATATACTGTTTGATCACACAGCAGGATGACTGTAGTCATTAATAATTGTACATTTACAAATAACTAAAAGACTGTAATTAGATTGTTGGTATTAGAAAGGATAAATGTGCCGGGTGCAGTGGCTCAGGCCTGTAATCCCAGCACTTTGGGAGGCCGAAGTGGGCGGATCATGAGGTCAGGAGATCGAGAGCATCCCCGTGAACACTGTGAAACCCCATCTCTACTAAAAATACAAAAAAAATTAGCCTGGCATGGTGGCGGGCACCTGTAGTCCCAGCTGCTCAAGAGGCTGAGGCAGGAGAATGGCATGAACCTGGGGGGCGGAGCTTGCAGTGAGCAGAGATCACGCCATTGCACTCCAGCCTGGGTAACAGAGCTGGACTCCATCTCAAAAAAAAAAAAAAAGAAAGAAAGAAAGGATAAATGCTTCAGGGATGGACACCTCATTCTCCATGATGTGCTTATTTCACAGTGCATGTCTGTATCAAAACATCTCATGTACCTCACATATATATGCACCTAATGTGTACCCAGAAAAAAATGAAAAAGAGCATAAAAGAAAAAAAAAACAAAAAACAAAAGCAGAAAAGAGGGCAAATGAGAGTCGGGGACTGTGATCTCATTTTGCCCAGGATGAAGCTGGGTGACCCGGGTACAGAGCAAGCCCCTTGGCTTCTTGAGCTCCCATGTGCAGAGTGAGGGGCGGATGCAGGGGCAGGGTGTGACTTTGATGAACATTCCCTCCAGGTGGCTCTGCCCTCGGCCCCCTCTCAGGATTGTTTGTAGCTCTTTGCCTCTTCTTGGCCATTTGGAGTTTTCAGGGGCCCTACTAGGTCCTCTTGACTTCTCACTTTGCTCTCCTTGGTGGTCTAATTCATGGCCAAGGGCCCACCTGCCGTCCAGACACTGCTTTTCAACCTGACCTCTCAGCTCCAGGCTGGTTATTTCCAACAGCCTACTTGGGTGTCTCAAAGGCACTTTACACTCAATGTGTCCAACACTGAACTCAAGGCTCCCGGCATCGCCATTCAGTTATCCCTCCACATTTCCAACCCTATGGATTGCACTAGCGTCTGTCCATTATGCAGGCCAGGCTGCAAAGGCTGTCTCAACGCTGCCCTTATGCTGTCGGGGCTTAGAACATGACACCCCAAAGCGTGGTGCCTCAGCCTGAGTATTTTGAACTGAAGGACATTGGAAGGAACTCAGAAGCAAGGTCTTTCCAACCTCCTCAGACCCTCTCTTCTGCTTGCCTTCATCCTCCAAAGTGAGTCACAGAAACCAGAATTTATCTTCCTCAAGATGGGTCATAGAACCTAGAAACCCTCCTGCTAAAGCAAACCATAAAACCTAGAAAGGTCACTCTCTATCTTCTCCTTCTCCTTTGAAAACTCTCATTTCAGAAAGGGTCCCGCCCCATACCCAGGAGGAATGGAGGCTACACAGAGAGGCTGAGAAGAATCTGAGCAGACAGTTTTGCTGGGTCCCCTTTCAGTCTGTTCCCAGTAGGTCATACCCGTTTGTCCAATCACATTTCTATCTGGCTGTCCATTCTTCATCTAATCTAAGCATAAAAATTAACAGTTTTCCCTGGGCCTTTGGGTTGTCATTTCTGAAGCCTCCCATGTCACATAAAACTTGGATTAAATAAATTTGCTCTGTTTTTCTCTTGTTAATGTGTCTTTTGTTATAGGAGTGTTGGCCGTGACCCTTAAGATGGATAAGTAAAGGACTCACACCTTCACAGCTCTACAGCCCCATCTCCAATAAGTAGCCACACCTGCCACTTCTACCCACAAATACCTGGATTCCGCTCATCTCTTCCCATTGTCATTCCTACCACTCAATTCCCTGTCACCATCATCTCCTGATGGGTCTTCTGGAGCAGCTTCCTCACTCATCTCTCCAGTTCATCCCTTGCTTCTACCAGTCTATCCTTGCTACGGTAAAACGGGCATTTGAGAAAGGCAATTACACGGTTACCCCTCCCCTGCTCAGCACTCTCCAATTTGATGGACACCAAAATCCTTGCCTTGGTCCCCTTGGTCCTGCGTGCCCTCCTCTCTGGCCTCATCTCAAGCCACTGCCCTCGTGCTGCACTCTTCCTCTGTAATCCACACTGCTGGCTTCTTTTCCTTGAATGTGCTATGCTCTCTCCTGCTGCAGGAGGGCCTTGCACTTGCTGCTTCCTCTTCTTTCTTCTAGTGAATTCCTATTCCTCCTTCAGCTCTCCATTCAAGCCAGTGCCTCAGGGAAGTCTTCCCTCACCTCTAGACCAGGTCTGGTGTCCCTGCCATGAAGCCTCACAACACCATCCAGCTTTCCTTCCTTGCATCTGTCATAGCTTTTGATCATACAATGATGTGTGGGACTTTCTGAATAGTGGTCCCTCTTTACCAATTAACTGTGAGCCTCAAGAGAAAGGAATAATGTCTGTTTGCTCCTCCTCTGTATCCCTAGTGGTGGTAGAAGAGGAGATCAATAATTATCCTCAAATGAACTAAAATGAATGGATGCTTAGATTTTTTTTTTTTTTTTTTTTGAGACAGGGTCTTGCTCTGTTGCCCAGATGTGATGATCATGGTTCACTGCAGCCTCAACCCCTGGGGCTCAAGTGATCCTCCCACCTCAGCCTCCCAGGTAGCTGGAACTACATGCATCCACCTCTATGCCTGGCTAATTTTTGTATTTTATTTTATTTTATTTTTTTAGAGATGGGCTATTTTTACGTTGCCCAGACTCGTCTCGAACACCTGGGCTAAAGCAATCTGCCCACCTCAGCCTCCCAAAGTACTGGGATTACAGGCAGGAGCCACTGTGTCTGGCCCAATGCTTAAGATCTTTTGAGACAAAAAGGAGGAAGTGGGAGATAGTTTCAATACCACAGGAAGCTCAGAAAAAAAAACACCCCCCAACCCCCCCAAAAAACACACATGTATTTATTTGATATTTGGCTGTGCAGGTTAAAAAGTTATTTATTTATTTATTTGCTTTTGGAAAAACTCGAGTCAGCTTGATGAGGTCACTTTTTCCTGCTACTCCTTCTTATTTGGGGAGTAAAGGGACTTCCATGATCTGGATGGATGATTGTGATGAGGAGGTTACCGGGATTGCCCTGAGAGAATGGACTGTGAGCTTTCAGGGATGGAAGCTGCATCTTCATCTCTATAATCCCTTGTTTGGCACAGTGTCAGCCTGAGAAGATGCTTGGCGACAAATATGAATTATGGCACACACTGTTAATTTCTTACCCATGAGCAGTTCCTTTGCTTGCTAACAGAAAATCCTGATTTTGCTTGGATAAACAAAGTGTCCAGTGTCAGGTGATGACTCAAGGTTGGTTTAAGCCAGGCTGGGGCCTTTTGTTCCTTTTTGCCTGATACTTGAAAGAGTTTACAGTAGGGACTGTCCTGTGGTCCACTTCTGCATAATGAGACATAAGGAGAAGTCTGCTGTGTCCTTCTAAGAAGATTTTCTTCACTGGTTAAAGGCGAGAGACACATCAAGAAAAGCCCCCCTTGACATAGCTTCCTCCATCTTGTTCCTGGAGTCTGAACTTGGTCATGATGGCTGGAGCTATAACAGCCATCCTGTGATCATGAAGCTCCAAGGGTATAAAGCAGTAATATTCAGGAAGGTGGAGCCTTTGGACAAAATGATAAAAGGAATCTGGGGCCTCAGCTACATCACTGAGCCTTTTCAAGTCCTTGCCTTCTTCCTCTTAAATCCTGTTATGTTACATAACTAAATGTCTTTATTGCAAAAGCCACAAGTAGTCAGGCTTTCTGTTATTCACAGCTGAAAGCATTTCTCTTATTTTCAAATAATTTCAGACTTATAGAAGAATTAATTGTAAGGCAAAGAACTTTCATGACCTTCACCCACCTTCACCAATTGTTATTTGCCACATTTACTTTCTCCATCTATATAGTCTATTCTACTCTATTATCTTTCCCTGAACCATTTGAAATTCAGTTGCAGGCATCCTTCTCCTCTCCCTTAAACATTCCAGAACATATTCCATCAGAACAAGAAGACTCTAGTGCTCAAGTTCGGGGAATTTGAGGTTGATGCCATACAATCGTGTAGTCCTTGATAATTGTCTAATATACAGTTCACTTAAAATTTCGCCAACAGTCCCAATAATGCCCTTTAAGGCACGTTTCCCCTGATCCAGCTGTCATACCTTTTTAGTCTCCCTTAATCTGGAACAGTTCCTCTGCCTCTTTTTGTCTATCATGGGGTTGACGCCGAAGAACAGTTCAGGTCAGTCCTTGAAGGTCCCTCCATCTGTGTTTGTCTGATGTTTCCTCCAGGGACCGGAATGCTACAGAAGCAATGCTGTGTTCTCAGTGTATCACATCAAGAAACACTTGGCACCCATTTGTCCTATTCCTGGTGTTGTTAACTTTGTTCAGCTCATTAAGGGAGGACCTGCTGGGTTTCTCTACTGTTAAGTTACCACTTTTTCTCTTTGCAATTAATAAACCATATGAGTGGAAGTGCTATGAGACAATGAAAACATACTTTACCTTCCTAAATTTTCACTCAGTGATGATTCTTCCTTGAATAAACTATTATGATCATGTTTGCAAATGGAGTTTTCTATTATTCCCTCTGTATTTATTCATTGGCATTCTACTGTAAGAAAGTCTTCTTCCTTCTTCCCTCCCTCCGTCCCTCCCTCCCTCTCTCCCTCCCTCCCTCTCTTCTTCTTTCTTTTCTTCCTTCCCTTTTCTTTCTTTCTATAGCTATAGGTTCCCATTTTATTCAATAGACTATAATCTACCATTATCATTATTAATTTGGATGCTCACATCATCCTAGATTTGGCCAGTGGAAGCCCCTTGAAGTTGATTGATGTGTCCTTTGACATGTCCCTGTCATTTTTTAAATGCTTCCTTGCTTTCTGGCACCACACAGCACTCTGGGCTCACCTTGTACTTCCCTACCCCAGCCTTAGCATCAGCCATTTCTACAAGGAGCTCTGAGTCCTTTTAGTGAAGGGTGGTATTTATAAACCACAATCTGGATGGTTTGTGGATATTGCACAGCATTCAGTCAGAAGCCATGGGAAATGAAGCGACATTTATTGAAACTTGTATTAGTCAAGCAACTTAATGCTAGGCTAAGTTGCAGTGAGTAATAATCCCTAACCCCAGTGACAGTGCAGAAAAAGAAGGGTTTCATATGTGGAGTGTGATGCATGTCAATGGGAGTTTCCTCCACCTGGTGACTCAGGTATCCAGGCACATTCATCTCTGCGGGTCTGCCATCTTGACACGAGGTCATTGCAGAAGGAGAGAGGGTGTAGAGTCATGCCAGTTCTTAGGTGCTCCTGACAAGGAGATCTGCAGCACTCTGCTCACATTCCTGTTTTCCAGAACTCAGCCAGTACCCAGTGCAACTGCCAAAGAGTCTGGGAAGCATAGAGAGTACACGGATAGCTGGAGATCCCTCATCACTACTGTCATGATATGTTCATTTATGCAATACATATCAATGGGTTCACCCCAGTCAGGCTGACTCCAAGAGGCTAAGATGACTTCACCTTGGGTGGTTTGCAGCTGGGAAAGAAAGGCAAGTCGGCACCGATCGAACAGATCATTCACTTCAGTGGGCTGTCGAGCTGTGCTAGAGGCAGGTGCAGTGTGCTGCAGAAATACAGATGGTGACTACTACCCTGGAGTCTTGGGGAGATCCTGGTGTGCATTGGTGTGGGGTTGGAAAGGTGAGTTGGCACTCACCCCCTTCAAGAAGAAGTGGGAAGGACATTTCAGACAGGGGCAAGTGCAAACGCACAGGGCCTGAAAGAACTAGGCTGGGAGAAGAGGATGGCATTGGAATGGGTGGGAGAGGGGTCTGCTGGGGAAAGCTGGGGAGGCAAGAGACGAGGCTGGACAAGCAGATTGTGAAGGGCCACACTGAGGAGCTGGGGATTAGTACATTAATTTTTATTAATTGGATTAATGATTAATAATGTGGGTGGCAGGGAATCATAGGGAGTGTGAAGAACACTGTGGTTGTGTTTTAGGAGGATTGCCTTGGTGGTAGAGCGTTGGATGGAGGAGATAGGAGTGGGGGTGAACACATCAACACAGAGACCTGCCCAAAGGCTCTGGCAGCCATGCAAGCAAAAAGCGTCGAGGACCTCAATTAGGAGGTAGCACTGGGGATGGATAGAAGGGGTTGGCTGGTGGAGCCATTTTGAGATAATGAATCAATAATAGCTTCCATCTATTGTGGATTGTCAAGATGTATTATTGGCTCACAATCCTTCCTGGCCTTTCCACATTCCTGCGACTTCCCTGTGGACAGGACAGAGCAGATTTCTTGCTGTGCACATGACCAGCTTTGGCTAGAGATGCATGAGCAGAGTTAGTGCATGCCTGGTCTGACTGGAGGCTCTAACTGAATGTGGTGTTGGGTGGCAGCACTGACCCTACCCCTGCACAATGAGAAGAGCAAGCTCCGGGGAACCACTGGCCTGTGAATGAGACACACAGAAGCAAACAGAGCCTGGCCCCCAGTCCGAGGCAAGGCTTCCCAGCTCACTGCAAATTATTAGCAAGAAATAAACACTTGTTTTGAGCTGCTGAGCCCCTGGGGCTGTGTGTTATGCAGCAATGCTGTAAAAACACTTGACCAATACAGGGACTTGCCCTTTCGTAAGTACAGCATCTCATTTACCCATGATATCTCTTCATAGTAAGGATTAGGGATGCCATTTTAAAGATGAGGCAACTGAGGCTTAGAGAGGTTACGTCACTTGCTTAAGGTTCCAGAGCTGGTAAGTCAGAGAAGGATTTGAAGCCAGGACTGTCTCGTAAGCCCATCCTTCTGCCTCTGTCTACACAGTGCTGCCTTTCAAAGGTGGCAAGCTCTTGAGTTAGCCATTTTAACCTGCCAGAAACCTCCTTGCTCCTGAACTGGGGAGAGGGACTGAGCTTTGGATTTCAAGAGGAGGATCTAGGGCCACCATCAGGGGTCCTGTGCTTGAGGTGATGTGGCTGGCTCATCACCTGAGCCTTTCCACCTGCCCCTCCCCATCCCCTCCCCTGTACCCTGCTCCCTGCCCTGTGCCAAGCTGAGCACATTGGCAGGGCTGGTGGCTGGGAGCTCAGCATGTATCCTGTAGCCACAGAACAGAGCTTTTCTTGCTATAATACAGAGTTCAGTCTTGATATCAGCAGTGGGTGCAGCAAAATCCCACCGATTTTCTTATCAAGTTTTCCATTTGTGTCAGTGAAGCAAATCCAATTTAAAATACATCTTCAGAAAAAGGAGGGTCAGTGAGTTCAAACAGAAGAATATTTGCTAACTGGATCAGGAAACCTCGCTCTGTGCTAAACTGTTTGAGGAAAATCCTCTTAGCACAATTTTGCAGGAGCCAGGCATGTGAAAGGATCATTTCCTCACTATCAACCCCTGAGATCAGGGCTCTGGCTGGATGAAACGAGGCAGCTGCTTAGCTGATTAGAGCCTGTGCTGATGAGGCTGAGCTCTGAAAGTCAACATCAGGGAGAGATCTTGGTTTCCAGTAGTTTTTAATTCTTCCCAACTCTTTGTGGGAAAGAGCCTGGGTAAGACAGGACACCAACTACTTGCTCAAAACCACCATCCCCACCAGACAAGCAGCTCATGGAACCCTCCCTGGGAAAGACTGAAGGCTGTGGAGACCTAGCTGCATATTATATTATATTTTGCATTATAAGGTCTTATCGATACAGAGAAAACTCTCAATTTCAAAAAATGATGAGAAACTCAGTCTTTTTTTTTTTTTAGATAGTCTTGCTCTGTCTCATCTCCCAGGCTGGAGTGCAGTGGCACGATCTCAGCTCACTGTAACCTCTGACTCCTGGTTCAAGTTATTCTTCTCCCTCAGCCTCCCGAGTAGCTGGGATTACAGGTGTCTGCCACCTCACCCAGCTAATTTTTGTATTTTTAGTAGAGATGGGGTTTTGCCATGTTGGTCAGGCTGGTTTGAGCTCCTGACCTCAGGTGATCTACCCACCTCAGCCCTGAAAGTGCTGGGATTAAAGGCGTGAGCCACCACACCTGGCCAAAAAATGAAGAGAAACTCAGTGTTTTGGATAACAGGGAGAATGTTTAGTGTTCTAAAAATGTATCCTTTCACATGTAAAGCTTCTTGCCTCTGAGCCTTTGCCAGTGCTGTTCCGTCTGCTAGGGTCGTACTTCCACCCTGCATGCTGGTGAATTCCACTTTGCCCTCCAGCCCAAGCATCATATTTTCCAGACAGTCATTTGCCATGCTGCCCACCAAACAGGCTGTCCCTTGTTCTCATGCCACTGCTGAACATTGTTTATTCCTTGTGCTAGGCAGGGCTCTGTCAGTTGTAACAACTGAAACTCCACTTAGACATGTTTCAGCTGAAGGGTGACTTATTGATTTTTATAACTGCAAAGACCATGGTATGCCTGAATTTGAAGGTTCAAGTAAGTTATTTTCTCTCTCTCTCTCCTCTTCCTCTCCTCCTTCTCATTTTCCTTCTCTTTTTCTTTCCTCTCCTCCTTCCCTCCGTTCTTCTTTTCCTTCTTTTTCTCTTTCTCCCTCTCTCCTTACTTTTTTCTCTTTCTCTCCTTTTAATTTGCTCTATTCTCTATATGGGTCTCGTTCCTTCTACTGCAAATAAGGAAAATGACCACCTGGAAACCCAAAAGGCCCACCACATCCCAGCAGAGCCACCCCAGCTGAAAGAAACCCAGCTTCTCTCTCCAGCTTCTACACATCAATCCAGGCCAGAACTCCATCTGACCCTTGTGAGACATGCTTCCACACCTCAGTGGACCACTGAGGCTCGGGAATTCAGCATAATGATGGGCACTTCTGGGGTCATGGGCCTTCCCTGTAGCTAAGGTGACAAAAGGACAGACTGGTCTGGAATGTCCATGCCAGCTGGCTTACATGCCCAGCCATTGATGCTGGCTGCTTTCTGGGAGCTCAGTTGTGCTCTAGACCAGAAAACCTCCATGTGGCCTCTCCACATGACCCTCATTTCTCAGCATGGTGGCTGCGGCCCAACGGGGAGACTCTCATGAGCAAAGTTTCCAAAAGACCAAAGTGGCAGCTGCGAGCCTCCTCATGGCTGAGCCTCAGCCCCCATGCAGCATCAGAGCCACTGCAGTCTTGGCTTCCCAGGAGGCCAGCCCAGAAGCAGCAAGAAAGGGGACCTGGAAACCAGGAGGTTTGGTTCGAGGGAAGGCCCTCTGATATAATTTGGATATTTATCTCCACCCAGATTTCAAGTTAAATTGCAGTCTCCAGTGCTGGAGTTGGGGCATGGTGGGAGTTGTTTTGACCATGGGGGTAGATCCCTCATGGCTTGCTGCTGTCTTTGAGATAGTGAGTTCTTGTGAGATCTGGTTATTTAAAAGTGTGTGGCATGTCCCTCCCCACACCCACCGACTCTCTCTTCCTTGTTCCTGCTTTGGCCACATGATGTGCCTGCTCATGATTGTAAACTTCCTAGGCCTCCTTAGAAGCCAAGCAGATGCCAGCACCATGCTTCTTGTGAAGCCCGCAGAACAATGAGCCAATACAAACTCTTTTCTTTATAAATTAACTTATCTCAGATATTTCTTTATAGCAACGCAAGAATGGCCTGATACGCCATCTTTGGAGACTAGCTAGCACATGGGCCTTCTCCATCTGTAGCTACACTTCTAGAACAGACATGGCTTCCAAGGCCACTGCAGCAGCTGGAGGAAGAGCTCAGGGTCCTGTGGGATGTTCCTCAGGCTCAGATCTGTGGTTCCGCCCACATTCTATTGGCCATAATCTCGCTCCCTAGCCTCCACTTGACAGCAAGGAACCTAAGGGAAGGGATCTGCTGAGGGCAATCTCTGCCACAAGGAGCAAGTGAAAGCAAGTAGAGAGGAAGCCAAGACTGATGCCCAAGTGGGAGAGGTGCTGAGGAGAGAGGTCTTTTTTTTTTTTTTGACAGAGTTCTGAATGTTTCAGAGTAGTCCAAGTGCACCCAAAAGCACAATAATTAAATGAGGGGCAGGAGAGTGGTTTAGAAGAAGATTGTTTTTCTGGATTCAGCTCCAACAAAGTTTGTCCTGCAGGTCTTGGTGCGGTGCCATGGTCCTTCTCGCCAATAATATTCAGCCTGGATACCCCGCTGTGGCTCTACCAGGGAGGAAAATATTTTCCTGCCACTGCCCTGAGCCTCCTGACTGACCCCAGCTGCCTTAGACATCCCAGCTTTTGGGACTACCCCAGACCTCCCTATAACCAGCAATCAGAGGCTGGCACAGCAAGGGTGCTTTGGAACCCTGCCTGGTGCTCCAGGGTGACAGGCAGCACCTGCTGTCATTGGTCAGTGTCTGTGCAGTATTTGCTAGAGTTTTGTGGATCTCAGCCTTGAAATCTGTGTCTTTCTATAGTCAAAGGATCTGAGTTGGGAGAAGGCACCTAGATATGCTCCACCATAGCGTTCTGGTGTTTCCTGTCATCTCTGAAGCCTCTGAGCTCTTATAACAGGGGCTTAAAGATGGTAGCATTGAGATATGAAGGCTTGTAGTTGTTGTCCAGTTCAGGGGACTTTAACTCCAGGTATCTGGAACTTAGAATAAATCCTCATGCCCTCACCATGGCAACAGGGCTCACCTCCTCTGTCTCATACCTCTCCCTCCCTTGGCCACTATTGCTACAGATATCCTGACCCTTTTACCTCTTTATCAAATAAGCCCACTCTGCCCCAGGGCCTTTGCATGGGCTTACTTTCCTCCAAGAATAATTTACTCCTGATATTTGCCTGACTAAATCCTTCTCACCTTTCTGATTGCAAAGAGGCTTCCTTGACAACTCATTCTGAAGCAGCTTTTCCCTCCAGTCTAGCTACTTTCTCTTTCGTTATTCTGTTTGATTTTATTTATAGCACTTAGCACTGTATGACATTGTTTATTTTGAAATTGTTTATTTCTCTCTCCTCAATAATATAAGCCCAAAAAAGACAAGGAATATGTTTTTGATTCTGTTTCTATCCCCGGGCCCTAGAATAGGGTCTGGGAGATAGTTGCAGCAGAATCCCTAGCTGAAATGGCAATCTTGTGCTAACTGGAAAAAAAGAGCTCCCTTGCCCCCATCCCTGTTTTTTTTTTTTTTTTTTTTTTTTTTTTTTTTAGATGGAATCTCCCTCTGTTACCCAGGCTGGAGTGCAGTGGTGTGATTTCGAAGAGAGCCCTTTCTTGATATACTTTGTCATCTTCTGCTAGAAGTTTTTTATACTCATTATACAAACCCACCCTATCTGTTACTTACACACCCTGTATGGCCCTGCTTCCACCCCAGCAAAAATGCTTGTGGAATGAATGAATGGGTTGGTGGAAGTCAGGGGGACTGGAACATCTGAAAACAAATGTCAGTGTGTGTGGCCAGCGTCTGTGCACCTTTCTTGATTGATTGAATCTTCTGTGCATTGATTTCATGGTATTGGGCACAGAATCCCCTTTTTTGCTCATTACCAACAAAGATTTGTCAAGCACCCACTCACTGTGTTCACTTGGGGAATTCAGACATGAACAAGACACAATTTCTTGATTTAAGAAGCTGAGATTCTAGAAGGCCAGGCAGTGATGTGAAAGATGGTGCATTCCAGGGTCATAATGGCTACACTAGGAGCCAGCCCAGGGCTCTCCTGGAGCACAGGACACCTGTTCAGTGCAGAGGACTCAGTAAGTCTTTCTGGAGAAGTGATTGAGCTGGCTCTGCAGGATGGAGAGGTTTGAAAATTGCTAAGTGCTTTGTACAACTTATAAAAATCCACGTTGCCCAGTTTCCAAGCAGTCTCATGTTCAGTAGACAAAAGGCAATTTTCAAACTGAAATTCTTTACTTGCATTTCTATTTCTATTTTCCTTCCTTCCTTTCTTCCTTCCTTCCTTCCTTCTTTCCTTCCCCCACCCCACCCCCTGAGTCTTGTTCTGTTGTCCAGCAGACTGGAGTGCAGTGGTGTGATCTCGGCTCACTGCAACCTCCAACTCCTGGGTTTGAGTAATTCTCCTGCCTCAGCCACCTCTCTATCTTTCTGTAGCTGGGATTACAGACACATGCCACCATGCCTGGCTAACCCAGATGCGGTTTCACCATGTTGGCCAGGCTCTTCTTGAACTCCTGACTTCAAGTGATCCACCTGCCTCTGCCTCCCAAAGTACTGGGATTACAGGTGTGGGCCACCGCGCCCGGCCCTTTACTTGCATTTCTTAAGTTGTGTGAAGTCAGTAGGGATTGTTCTCTAGAATTCCCTTTTACTCTCCTATCCACATTCCCCTAGATTGTAGTTCCCTCACCTCTTTCACACAATCTTACCTGCAAAACTCCACCCACAGCTTTCAATACCTCTCCCACTTCTCTGCTCTTTATTGTGAAGACAAGCACAGTTTCTTCCTTTTGGGACCATTCCTCCCTGCTCTGGCTTTTCAGGTCTAATAATGTATCCATCCTCTATCACAAAAGCCAAGCTAGAATCCTCTTTGGAGCACAGCCCAGGTCAAGAAACTGCATAGATACAGCAGAGGGAGAAACGAGGTTCAGAACACTCATGCATTAACTGTTTTGATCTCATCACAGTTTCTTCCTTTTTTTTTTTTTCTGAGGTGGAGTCTCGCTCTGTCACCCAGGCTGGAGTGCAGTGGTGCCATCTTGGCTCACTGCAACCTCTGCCTCCCACACGCCACCATGCCTGGGTAATTTTTGTATTTTTAGTAGAGACAGAGTTTCACCATGTTGGCGAGGATGGTCTCAATCTCCTGACTTCATGATCTACCTGCCTCGGCCTCCCAAAGTGCTGGGATTACAGGCCTGAGCCATCACACCTGGCTGGTCTCATCACACTTTCTAAACGACTATTATTAACTCATTTCCCAGATGAGAAAACTGAAGCTCAGAAAGATCAAGCGACCTGCCCAATATCCCAAAGCTATTAAGTGCCTATTCTTCCTGCCTGCCATACTTCCCTTCCCTCTGTCTTCCCCTTTGCCTACTTAACTGTGATTCAACCCAAAGAGAAATTTCCCCAGGAAAGCCTTTCCTAAACATCTTGCCTTGGCCAACCTCCCCAACTACTGTACACTTCGATAAGGCTGTGAACTTTCCCTTCACAGCCCTTGTCACATTCGTAATTGTTCATTTCCTTGGATTATTCCTGGGTTAAAGTCTATCTAGACTTTACGCATTTTTTTTTTTTTTTTGAGATGGAGTCTGGCTCTGTCGCCCAGCCTGGAGTGCGGTGGTGTGATCTTGGCTCACTGCAAGCTCCGCTTCCTGGGTTCACGCCATTCTCCTGCCTCAGCCTCCAAAGTAGCTGGGACTATAGGCGCCTGCCACCATGCTCAGCTAATTTTTTGTATTTTTGTAGAGAGGGAGTTTCACTGTGTTAGCCGGGATGATCTCAATCTCCTGACCTCATGATCCACCCGCCTCAGCCTCCCAGAGTGCTGCGATTATAGGCATGAGCCACTCTGCACAGCCTAGACTTCAAGCTTTTAGAATAGCGTCTCTCTCTCTCTCTCTCTCTCTCTCTCTCTCTCTCTCTTTCTCTGTCTCCCTCCCATTGTATAACCAGTGAGTAAAACAACATCTGGGACATGTCAGTACTTGCTAAATATTTACTGAATAAAAGAATGAATGACTGAAATTCAAACCCGTGTCTCCAAAATCCAAGTTCTTGTCTGACATCATGACTTGTTGTTCTCCAGGAGAACAGGAGACGTCTCTCTCTGTCTCCTAGGCTGAGATTGCAGTGGTGCAATCTCAGTTCACTGTACCCTCTGCCTCCTGGGCCCAAGTGATCCTCCCACCTCAGTCTCCCAAGTAGCTGAGATCATAGGCATGGACCACCATGCCTGGCTAATTTTTGTATTTTTAGTAGAGACAGGGTTTCGCCATGTTGGCCAGGCTGGTCTTGAGCTCCTGGCCTCAAGTGATCCACCTGCCTTGGCCTCCCCAAGTGCTAAGATTACAGGCACGAGCCACCATGCACAGCCATGCATATCTCCTTTATGTAACTTAACAACATCTGCAACGTTTGTTTGTGTGAGTTTTTTTATTCTGCCTGCATTTGTGTATGTGAGTCTTTTCCTGTGGATTTTTCCCACCATGGCTGTAAGCACCATGAGAGTGAGGAAAATAGCTGTTTTGCTTTATCATATTTTCTCTGGTGCCTAACAAAGTACCTGGAACACAAGAGAGTAACTAATGGGATAAATACACGCATTAATGGGATTTGTCAATGAAGGGAAAAATTTAGTGCATTAGCTTGAATGAGGAGGTAGGTCCTACTGGCCTCTTGGGTAGAGGCCAGGGCTGCCACTAAACATTCTACAATATACAGGACAGCTTCCCACACCAAAAACTATACAGCTTAAAATGTCGATAGTGCTGAGGTTGAGAAATCCTGGTTTGACATATTATTCCTGTGTTAAAATTAATGTATGTAAAATAATTTCCTCAGTTGTTAACATGGCATTTTTATCAAGCAATTTTGTTTTCTCTGAAATATACCTCAGATTGTTTTTAGTTTTTCCAGGGGAAACTATTCATCTTTTACTAGAGAAAAGAATATGGCAAACAGTGAATCTGTGTTTCAGGAAGGGTAACGTCGTTTTTCTTTTAATTTCCCTTTTGAAGCTCTCGGGGTGCTACCAACATCTTGGAAATCTGGATAATTTGAGTATTACTAAGGGAATAGTTTCATTCTACATGCTACAAATGTTTAATCATTTTATTTATCTAAAGCTCCTTTCTTGGCCAGGTGCGGTGGCTCATGCCTGTAATCCCAGCACTTTGGGAGGCTGAGGCAGGTGGATCACCTGAGGTCAGGAGTTGGAGACCAGCCTAGCCAAAATGGCAAAACCCTGTCTCTACTAAAAAAGTATAAAAATTAACTGTGTGTGGTGGTGCGTGCCTGTAATCTCAGCTACTTGGGAGGCTGAGGCAGGAGAATTGCTTGAACCCAGGAGGTGGAGGTTGCAGTGAGCTGAGTTTTCGCCACTGCACTCCATCCTGGGCAACAGAGCAGGACTTCTTCTCAAAATGAATGAATGAATGAAAGGAGAGGGAAAGGAAGCTCCTTTCTCTTCTATTCCCAGTATTGCACCCCAAAAATAAGTAATCCATAAACCCCCAATGTATATTTCTGTTTTCTTAACTAGTTCTGAACAAAATGTTCAGTGTTGGCTGGGCATGGTGGCTCATGCCTGTAATCCTAGCACTTTGGGAGGCTGAGGCTGAGGTCAGGAGTTTGAAACCAGCCTGGCCAATGTGGTGAAACCCCCTCTCTACTAAAAATACAAAAATTAGCTTGGCGTGGTGACGTGTGCCTGTAATCCCAGCTACTCAAGAGGCTGAGGCAGGAGAATCACTTGAATCCTGGAGGCAGAGATTGCAGTGAGCCGAGATCGTTCCACTGCACTCCCGCCTAAAACTCCATCTCAAAAAAAAGCAGGTGTTTTACTCTTAAAATAAGACATTAAAAAAATACTTCTGTTGTCTCCCCTCTTAGAACTGGTAATCTCTTCCTTCTCCACCCTCATCCCCTGCTGTAATTCTATATTGAAATATCATTGTATTTTGTGCCAGATGTCTTTGTATAAAACCAACTTAGTTCTGTGAGAAGAGTTGTACGTTTTTAATATTTTTGTTCTTTTTGTAGACTGCAGGAACAAAAATAGCCTTCCTATAGTAAGGTGGCAATTCACATTAAGAATGTAGATAAGCAAATTTAAACTTTTAAATGTAATTTGTCTAAAAAAATTGAAAAACAGTGTATAGTAAAAATCTCTCCTCCAACCAACGGAAAGTACTTTTATGTAAGATCCTTTAAGTTACTGACTTGAATCTTTACGTAAGGTAATTTGCTAGTATCTATTTTATAAATAATGTTATTTAATACTGTTTTATTTTCTATAGAATCCTGGTGTTTTTCCATGTAAATTTTTAAAAATTCTTAAAGTATGTATCCCTCATTTTCCCCTATAGTTGTTTGCTTCTACTTCTGTTTTTAAGAGATAGCATCTCAGTTGTTTAAGCTGGAATGCAGTAGCATGATCATGGCTTACTGCAACCTTGACTTCTTAGGCTCAAGCAGTCCTCCTGTCTCAGCCTCTAGAGTAGCTGGGATCACAAATGCATGCCACCATACCTGGCTAACTTTTCTTTTCTTTTCTTTTTTATTTTTTTGAGATGGAGTCTCACACTATCACCGGGCTGGAATGCAGTGGCGTGATCTCAGCTCACTGCAACCTCTGCCTCCCAGGTTCAAGTGATTCTCCTGCCTCAACCTTCCAAGTAGCTGGGATTACAGGTGCCCACCACCATGCCCAGTGAATTTTTTGTATTTTTTTTGATAGAGATGGGGTTTCACCATGTTGGCCTGGCTGGTCTCGAACTCTTGACCTTGTGATTTGCCCACCTCGGCCTCCCAAAGTGTTGGGACTACAGGTGTGATCCATCACACCCGGCCAACTTTTCTTTTTTTTTTTTTTTAAGAGACAGGGTCTTGCTCTGTTGTCCAGGTTGGTCTCAATTCCTGGGCCCAAGCAATTCTCCCACCTGGGCCTGCCAAGGTGCTAGTATTATAGGCGTGAGCCACTGCACCCAGCCCTTTATAGTTTCTTTCTTTTTTTTGAGATGAAGTTTCCCTCTGTCACCAGGCTGGAGTGCAGTGGTGCGATCTCGGCTTACTGCAACCTCTGCCTCCCTGGTTCAAGCGACTCTCCTGCCTCAGCCTCCCGAGTAGCTGGGACTACAGATGTGTGCCACCACGCCCTGCTAATTTTTGTAGTTTTAGTAGAGACGGGGTTTCGCCATGTTGGCTAGGCTGGTCTCAATCTTTTGACCTCGTGATCCACCCGCCTCGGCCTCCCAAAGTGCTGGCATTACAAGCGTGAGCCACTGTGCCCAGCCAGCTCTTTATAGTTTAAGAGGAAGGATAAACCTTAAGAGATCACAACACTATATTTGTGTCAGGGATCCACAAGACTGCCTCCATGTTTGGAGATTTGCTAGAAGGACTCATGGGATCAGCTTAGGGTTGTAATGGCTAAGATTTATTACTGTAACATAGTATGGATATATAGTAGAAAGATCTCAATGGCAAAAGACACTGACAGAGTCTGGAAAAATCCATGTACCGGCTTCCTTATGTGCTGTGCCTTCCATGAGGATCACACAGACTACCTTCTTTCCCCCTTAATGAAAATACAACAACCTATGTGACTTCCCAAGAAACACAGGTTTTATCTCGGCTGGGTCACATATGTGTACTCTGCCTAGCATGTGTGAAATTTCCAGACTCACAAAAAGAATAGCAGGATAAGCCACATTATTTCCATAGTCTAGATACAGTAAACCATGATTACCAGTTATGGAACCCTCTTGAAATTCAAGTCCTCAGAAGCCAGCCTAGGACCAACTGTGCAGACAGACAGACCCTCCTTCACAGGATAATATAATAGTCTCAGATCTGCTTTGTTAATTTTTGTTTGCATAGAGTTTTATAATTGGAAGATGTCTCAAATGCTACATATTTCTGTCTAATGGACTTTAGTAAGAGTGTTGTATAGTATACAACATGGAATTATTCTCCATTATAGGCAGGCTGTGATAAGTGTTCTAATGTTTATACAAAAGAACTCTGTAACTTTGAGCAGAGTAAAGAGAGTGTTAACGATACTTTTGACTGCAAATAGTGGAAAAATGTTGTGTTTAACTCTGAAATATGCTTTGCCTGATATTAGTATTTCTATTCTAGCTTTCTCTTGACTAGCGTAAGCATGGTATATATTATTCCATTCTTTTATTTTAACCTGTTTGCATCTTTGTATTTAACTTGTGTTTCTTGAAGGTGATAGTTTTATTTCTCTGATAAAAACATATAAGAAGACAATCACATTAAATGTATATGGTCTAAAACCTCTGCTTTTTAATTGGGGGTATTTAGACCATGTACATTTAATATGATTGTCTTCTTATGTTTTCTATTTATCTCTATCTGTTCCTTGCATTTTTCTTGCATCCCCCACCTGCCAAGATGGGGTCTTGCTCTGTCACCCAAGCTAGAGTGCAGTGGTGTGATCATACCTTACTGCAGCCTTGACCTGCTAGGCTCAAGTGATCTACCTCAGCCTCCCAATAGTGGAGACCACAGTTGTGCACCATCATACCCGGCTACTTTATTTTTTTATATATGGGGTCTCACTATGTTGTCCAGGCTGGTCTCATACTCCTGAGCTCAAGTGAGTCTCCTGCCTTGGCCACCCAGAGTGCTGGGATTACAGGTGTGAGCCATTGCACCTGGTCTTCTTGCATGCTTTTACTTTATTTATTTATTTATTTTTTTTGAGAGAGAGAGTCTCGCTCTGTTGCCAGGCTGGAGTGCAGTGGCGCTATCTTGGTTCACTAGAGTCTCCGCCTCCTGGGTTCAAGCGATTCTCCTGCCTCAGTCTCCTGAGTAGCTGGGATTACAGGTGTGCACCACCACACCCAGCTAATTTTTGTATTTTTAGTAGAGACGGGGTTTCACCATGTTGGCCAAGATGGTCTCGATCTCCTGACTTTGTGATCCGCTTACCTTGGCCTCCCAAAGTGCTGGGATTACAGGCGTGAGCCACCGTGCCCAGCTTACATTATTTATTATGATTCCAGTTTGCCTCTTTTTATTACTTTTACCTATTTTTAAAAATTATTTTTGTGGTTCCTTTAAGATTATAGTGCACATTTAGAGAGGTCAAGTAATATTGTACACTTCATCTATAATAAAAGCATTCCTTCATTTACTTTCTTTTCCTCCCTCCTGCACTTTGTGCTATTGCTGCCATGCATTTGACTTTTACATATGTTATAAACTCTGTAACATTTTGCTGTTTTTTTATTAAACATGTATCTCTTAGAGATTTAAATAATAAAAAATTTAAAAGATGTTTGCTCATATAGTTACCACTTTGGTGCTCTTTATTCCTTCGTATTGATCCAGATTTTCATCTGACATCATTTTGTTTCTGAAGAATATCCTTTAACATTTCTTGCAGTGAAGGTCTCCTGGTGATGAATTATTTCATTATTTATGTTTCTGGTGTGTCTTTATTTCACCTTCATTTTTGAAAGATATTTTTGCTAGGCATAGAATTCTAGTTGGCCTTTTTTCTTCTAGAACTTTAGAGATGTACCGCTGTCTTCTCACTTGCATTGTTTCTCAAAAGAAATCTGATGTTGTTCTTATCTTTGTTCTTCTATAGGTAACATGTCTTTTTATACACCTGCTATTAATAATGTTTCCTTGATTTTGAACAATTTGATTATGTTATCCCTTAGTGTAATTTTCTTCATGTTTCTTGTGCTTGGGGTTTGCTGAGTTTCTTGGATCCGTGAGTTAATAGGTCTTGTTATGGCTAGAACATTTTCAGCAGTTGTTTCTTCAAGTATTTTTTTTCTCTTTCTTTTTTTTCTCCTTTGGGGACTCCAGTTACCTGCATATTATTAGGCCATTTGAAGTTGCCTGACTGCTCACTGATGCTTTTTAAAAATCACTTTTTAACATTTTTTTTTCTTTTTGTACTTTAGCTAGTGTCTGTTCTTGTATCTTCAAGTTTGCTAATCTTTTCTTCTGCAGTTTCTAATCTGCCTTAGTTCATCCAATGTAATTTTCATCTCAAATGTTTTTGTCTTTGAAAGTTTGATTTTGGCTTTTCTTGTTTATCTCCCATGTCTCTATTTAATGTTTTGATTATATGAGATACATGTATAAAAACAGTTTTAATGTCCTCCTCTGCTAATTTTAACATCTATTTAAGTTCTGGGTCAGTTTTGATTGATTATTTTCAGTTTGCATCATGATTGTCTGCTGCTTTTTATGCCTGGTAATCCTTATTTAGTTGTAAAATTTACCGACAAAAGCAAAGTGACAAAAGGAGATAGGAAATATCATGAAAACAATTTCTCCAAAAAAAAAAAAACTTATGATGCCTAATCCCCTGAATAAAGACATTTAAGCCTTTCTTGCTTCATATTTAGACAAAAATCTTCCTGCTTATGTTCCTATTTCATCTCTGAAAACAGTGTAAGCAACCAGTTGTCCGAGGCACCATTCTTGGACAGTAATAATGTGCTGTCCTTCGTATATGAAGATGTAATTACTGTAGTAGCAACAAAAACCTAAGCTTTTGGATTGGATTCTGTTTTGGTTTTATTTTCTTCTACCACTACAATAAATGACACATAATCTTTCACTCTTAACAATAAATGGTGCATAATTTTAAGACAATTATGTGGAATTCAGAGAGAAATTCATGCTCATGGAACACGATTTATATTCTGTGAAGTATTAACAATGACTTAATGAATGAACACGTAATCTGATTTAACTAACACCATCTTATTAATTGATATTACATACACAGATCAAAATTTTGTAATATATTGAACAGGACTTAACAGAAAACTACATATATGTAAGTGATTAATAATCTTTCAATACGATGATGAAGCCAACAGAAAACTATAAAAACTATATTTGAGAAAGATGGAAAGTGGTAATAGGAGTATATATGTTCTCCAACTTCTAAATTAGAGAAAATCTTACGAGTCAGCAAGTTAACACTTAATTTGATTATTTTTGATGTTACCAGCCCCAGAAATAGCATTCTGAAACAGATTACAGGCTTTCTTCTTTCTATTTGTTGATACATCAACTACCACAACTCACCTTTCATTTTGTTGCTAAATTTTCAGAATAAAGTGTGTGTGTGTGTTAAAATTCTCCTGCTAAAATAATCTTTCTATGTTCTTACATATTTAGGTTTGGAATATGGTTCATGATGGCAGAATTGTCCAGGTCAATATAGTAAAATACTCTGACCAAGACAGTAGGACCCAGACTCAAGCTGGGGAAGAGATAAATAAGCTCAGTTAAAAAGAAAAAGAGGGCCAGGAATGGTGGCTCACACCTGTAATCCCAGCACTTTGGGAGGCCAAGGCGGGCAGATCACCTGAGGTCGGGAGTTCAAGACCAGGCTGACCAACATGGAGAAACCCTGTCTCTACTAAAAAATACAAAATCAGCTGGGTGTGGTGGTGCATGCCTGTAATCCCAGCTACTCGGGAGGCTGAGGCAGGAGAATCGCATGAACCCGGGAAGTGGAGGTTGCGGTGAGCCAAGATCATGCCACTGCACTCCAGCCTGGGCAACAAGAGCAAGACTGTCTCAAAAAAAAAAAAAAAAAGAAAGAAAGAAAGAAAAAGAAAAAGAGGTTGGGCATAATGTCTCAAGCCTGTAATCTTATCACTTTGGGAGGTCAAGGCAGGAAGATGGCTTGAGCCCAGGAGTTCAAGACTAGCCTGGGCAACACACTGAGAATCCATGTCTACAAAAAACTAAATAACTTAGTGGAGCAGGGTGGTGCACACCTGCAGTCCCAGCTACTTGGCTGGGAGGCTGAAGTGGGCAGATCACTTGAGCCAGAGAGGTTGAGGCTACAGTGAGTCATGTTTCTACAACTGCACTTCAACCTGGGCTACAGAGCGAAATCTTGCCTTAAAAAAGAAAGAAAAGAAAAAGAAAAAAGAGAAGAAGAAAAGAAGAAAGAAAAGAAACTTGCTGCATAGACATGACCATATTCATTTGAAAGCAAGTTAGTAAATATGTATCCTGAAAAGATAGTTTAGAAAAGAAACTTACAGGCCATGACCAGAGTGATTATAAAACATTCTCTTAACAGTTAGCAGGTGGAATAAAAAGTGTATTCTTTAAAATGATTTCATTACTAGTAAATAGTTCTATAAGGAAAAGTAGGGGGAAAAAGGCAAAGAAATATGAAACTAAGTCAATGAAAAGCAAATAGGCTATGATCACACATCTAAAGGCCATGAACATGGCAAAGAGTATTTTAAAGAATCTAAAAAGTGTACTTTGAATTTTAAAGTATTTTAAGAGATTAATTTTATAAAAGGAAAAACAGTGTTATCACGCAGAAGGACCATATTTAGTATAATCAAAAGTTTAAGAAATTGGCCAGGAGTGGTGGCTCACACCAGTAATATCAGCATTTTGGGAGGCCGAGGCGGGCGGATCGGATCACCTGAGGTCAGGAGTTCAAGATCAGCCTCGCTGACATGGCAAAACACCACCTCTGCTAAAAGCACAAAAATTAGCCAGGTGTGGTGATGCACACGGGTAATCACAGCTTCTTGGGAGGCTGAGGCATGAGAATTGCTTGAATCTGGGAGGCAGAGGTTGCAGTGAGCCAATATCATGTCACTGCACTCCCGCCTGGGCAATAGAGCAAGATTCTGTCTCAATCAAAAAAAAAAAAAAGAGTTTAAGAAATTAAGGAAAGCTGAGTGTAATGAAACCTTTTCAAGGGTAGTAGTGGTATAGCTCAAACCTGGTTTGAATTCCAGCTTTGTCACTTACTGGGTAAGTAAGTAGCAGCCTTAAGCCCAACTGGTGTTTGCTATTTGCACGTATTTTCATAAATAAAAGTGGTCTGTAATGTTTTCACAGTGTTGTCAAACTTCAAGATTATTAAAACTATTAATATCCTGTTTAATGTTTAAGAATAAATAACTATTTGATATCTTTTAACTACTGTCCTATCACTGACTTTTAAGACTCTTACTGACAATTTTGTGATTTTTTCATGTAATCATCCTTTATATCTTACTTAGCAAGTTCTCTATTAGACATATGTCTGCTGAATGAAACTTAATTACAGATATTTTTGAACATTTATTAAATTTAAATTATATTTGTACTTGTAAGAAATATTTAAACAATGCTTTGTTTTTCTAAAATAAAAGAAAACCAATAGCACAAACCTTCATTTTCTAAGTGTGTCAAGTTGTTTTGTTTTTTTTATTTGCTTGTGTGTTTGTTTTTTGAGACTGAGTCTCCCTCTGTCGCCAGGCTGGAGTGCAGGGTGCGAGCTCGGCTCACTGCAACCTCCAACTTGCTGGTTCAAGTGATTCTCCTGCCTCAGCCTCCCAAGTAGCTGGAATTACAGGCATGTGCCCCTGCGCTCGGCTAATTTTTTTTTTTTTTTTTTTTTGTATTTTTAGTATAGACCAAGTTTCACCACGTTGGCCAGGATGGTCTCCTCCTGACCTCGTGATCCACCCACCTCGGCCTCCCAAAGTGCTGGGATTACAGGTGTGAGCCACTGTGCCTGGCCTATTTTAACTGTTTTATGTCTTCTGGTTTCGTGTGACAATGAAATAAGTTAATATTTCCTGCCTGCACCAACCACATTTAGGCTCTACCTTAATTGTTGATGAGGTCTTGGAGCCTCCCTTCTGCTCCCAGAGGCTTTTCTTGCTCATGTCTCCAGCCACAATATCCTGGGGGCAGCAGAAGGGTATGTCACAAGGGCAGACCCCTGGATCTTGGGGAGTAGAAGCCCTGGGCCCTTCTCTCCTGCCTTGCCTTACCTGGCCAGGGGGCCTGGGATCTGCCTACCAAAACTTTTTCTGTGCGATCCCAGTGGAAGAAGCAGGGAAAGGAATAAAGGTGCCATCCACCTCCACTCGGACAACACAGCCTTCTACACCAGCAAGGGTGAACCCAACCCTACTGCAATACCTCAGGGTTCTGTCTGCCCACATTCATCCTGGACAGTCCCACGCTTGTCTTAACAAGGAAACCTGGCCTGCTACTAAACTCCCCAGTGCTGGCTCTGCAGCCCAGCCTTGCCCCTGGAGGGGACCTTACCTTGCAGGACGGAGTCTTGGCCGCAGACTGAGCCTATACCTCACCCGTCTCCCACCAACTCTTGGTACTGGATGCAGCCATGCTGGGCAGCTCTATGGAGGCCTGGCGGGCTAGCTTGGGGGTCTGGCCAGCAGTCTGCAGAGGAGGAAAAGCATCAGGATTACCTTAGTGGACAGCCACCGTGGTCACATCAGAGGGTCACACTGGGCAACCCTCTGCTTTGTGTTTGTGTTTTCCCTGGGAGCGATTTCCCAATGCAGCCCTAGAGTGGGGATCACTGGAAAGATGTGCCTTCCTCCATTCAATGCAATTGTGAGACACCTCCCTTTCCTGAAGAGCATCAGGGAGATGATGGCGCACAAGACAGATGTGGGTCTGCCTCCATGCTGCTCATGGGGTAGGGCTGGGGGACCATGGGATGGATGGAGGGACATTGAATGGATGGAGGGACAGTGGTTAAATTGCAGAGTATTGGTTGGATGGAGGAGCATTGATTAGATGGAGGACTATTGGTTGTATAGAAAGGTGTTGATGAAGGAATATTGATTGGATGGAGGAGTACTGATTATATGAGGGAGTATTTGTTAGATGGAGGGGCACTGATTGAATGCAGTAGTAGCCACCTGGCTGGGGGCTGCTGGGCCTCGTTCCACGTGGGGAGGCAGAGCCTGGGGTGCAGGGGCCCTCATGCTCACTCACGCCCCCACTCACGACCCAGCCCCTCCAAATGGAGGGCGGCGCAGAGCTGGGGCAGAGTATTGAGGAGGTGGAGGGTTTCCATGGAGGAGAAGCCTGGCCATGTTGCTCCCCATGTTCCCATGTCCCAGCCCCTCCATGTGAGCAAGGTCTCAGCTGGGGTGTGTGTCCTTGGGCCTGGGGCATGAGATGGAGCCCAAGCTCCTCCTTGGACCTGGGCTTCCAATGGGTCCAGGGCCCTCACTCCAGCTCCACAGACCCCCTCCACCAAGCCATAGGGGAGGCGTGGCTTGGAAGCACACATTGGCACAGAGACCCCAGAAGCCCGTGTGCACACGTTTCCTTAGGTCCACCCCTAAGGGCAACGAGTCCGGGCCCCAACAGCCCCATAAAGGCCCTCACTCTGCTCACAGCTCATGCCCAACACATGGAGTGCGGCCGGGCGCGGGACTCCCTAGGCCTGGGGCACATGCAGGTGCACACCCAACTCACACACATTCTCCACGAGCCCACGCTCCGGCCACACAGGCACACATGCCCGCACCCCATGCACATACAAATATGCACGTGCTCACACACGGGAACCCTTGACATCCACGTGCATGTGCAGACAAGCTTGGGAACAAGGGGACCACGTCCCCCTCCAGGGATCCCTTCAGGGTGCTGCAGCCTCACTTTAGTGAGGCAAACATTGACTGTTTGCCTTGCCATAGCCCTGACAACGGCGGTGCCGGCCCTGGCACGAGGCCCAGGTGTGTACTCTGGGAACATCATCCATGCAGAGCTGGGCCCCTGGAGGATCACTCTGACTGAGCTCTCCCTGGCTAGGGGCCTGGGGGACAGAGTGGGGATGCAGAGTAAGCATCTCCTGGTGTCTCCCCTAAAACCCAGTGCTGGGGAGAAGCCCCGCCAGCCCCTGGCCTCTGACCCAGCAGAGCTGAGGACGTGGAGGCCTCTGGGCCCCTTCTCCGTCTCCTCCCTTTCCCCTACCCCAGGATATGAGTCATGCGGGCCCCCTCCCCATGACCTCACCGCATCACTATTCCACAGCCGGGCTCCGTTCTGGGAACTGAAAGGGGGGCAGCTCTCCTGGGGTGGGGTGGGGGCCTCTGGCCTGGGAAAGGCGCCCCTCGGTCAGCGGCCCAGGCCCCTTGGCATACACCACGGAGCTGTCAGGACTCTGGGATGGCCGACCCCGCCCGTGGCCCTGGCTCAGCCCCGTGCAGCTGCGAGGGATTTGGTGTTCCTGCGCAAATGCAGTTAGGCCATTTCCTATGTCTGTTCCGGCTCCGAAGTCCAAGGTTCAGCCCAAGCGGCCAGGCGGTGGAGGGGGGGCTCCATCCACCTCCCACCCCAGCACACCCCCCCCACCCTCACAGTCCCAGGCTCCACTTCGGGGCCCGGCCCCCAGCCAGGGACACCAGTATGCACAGAACCCTGAAGGATGCCTCGTTCTGAGTGGAGCTCCCCAAGCTCAGGTCTGTTCCTGTCGGCCTCGTCCACTGCCAACCACCCCCAACTCGGGACACTGGCCCTTCTTCTCCTTCCTCCACAGACCTCCCCACCTCTACCTCCCAGTCCCCACTGAGGGCCTGACAATGCCCATCTTCGGCCCAGCACTCCCAGCTACCCACTGCCGTCCTTCCCCTGCCTGGAAGTGCAGACACTTCCAGAATGGGTGTCCGGCTCGGTCCCCGTCCTGACTCTGCTCCCTACAGGCAGCTCCTGTGGCTGCCCCGCCCAGCTGTCCTGAGCCCAGAGGTCGGCTGGAGAGGGTCAGTCCTCTCTGGGGTCCTGGGGAGTCAGGAGGCTCTGGTGAAGAGCAAGGGCTGCAGGGAGGATGTCGAGGGGAGGAGGAGCTTCTCCTCCAGGCCTGACCACAGGTCTCCTGGACACCACAGGGAGCTGGCGGGAGGACTGGGGAGTTGGGCTGGGCCTTCCACCAGGGTGGTTCAGGACTCCCTGCACAGCACTGAGGTCTCTGGTCCCCTCATTAGCCCAGCCTCCCGTGGGATCATAGACTTGACCCCTCAAGTCACTGCAGAGCCCAAGAGTGGAGAAACACAGCACCGTGTGCCGGGAAAAGGTGCCCACAGGGGCCCTTCATGGCTGAGGCTTCCAGAGGGTAGTGGGACGGCAACCCCGCTCCCCACCAGCCGCCCACCACAGCGTTCATGATACAGCTTCGGAGTGTGGGTCGGGGTCTATCTGGGAAACCAGGGCAAAGGCGGTGGCAGCTGGCAGCACCCACACCCACAGCTGGGGCACTGCTCACATGAGCCCCCATCAGCAGGCCCCTTGGTTGTGCCACAGGCAGGGGTCCTGCCCCAGGGAGGGGGTAGTCCGGGGGGGCTCGAGGGTGTGGCACAGGCCAGCTGTCACTCCTCCCTGGAGAGGCAGCTGGGGACGCAGCTGGGAGGGGAGCCAGGAGCAGAGACAGCCCGGGGCCAGCAGGTGGGTGACAGGTGGGGCAGCGGGAGGGGCACGCGCTGTCCGCCTGGGGCTGGGGTGTAGAGACGGGAACCTGCCCCCCAATGCCTGGTGCTGGCCCAGCCTCCCCCCGGGGTCTCTAGCACCTTCCCAGTTGTGTCTGCACCCTCCTGGGCATGGCGGGGGAGGGTGGGGGTCAACCCCTTTCCTTGTAGTCCCGTGCCAGTGGGCAAGGGAGACGCCCCAGTGAGCAGGAGCCTAGCCTCTCTGCCTGGGGAGGCCAGGTGATGAGCCACCCGGAGTGGGAGGGGGCCTTGAACTTGGGTCTGAAAGATGAGCAGGGGTTTGCTGGGCCGGGTACAGGCAAGAGCTAATGCAGGAAGGCAGAGAGCAGGAGCGCTTAGAGGGAGTGGCTCTGTGCAGCCGGAGTCAGATGGGTGACCCTCACTCAGGAGGAAGCACTGGGACCCTCTCTCCTCACGCTGGGTCCCCCGCCTCCCTCTAGGATCCCCACACCCAGGTCCTTCTGGGCCTCTGCCACACAGATCAGGTCTGGAAGGCTCCCTGGAGGAGGCGGTGCCTAGACTTGGACATAGGCCTGCAGAGCTGGTTTCCCTCACAACCCTGGGAAGACAGAACTCCTCAGCGGGTTGATGTGGAGGAGGGCGGAGCCTCCCTCCAAGGCACCAGTCCAGTGCTGGGGGCGACACAGAGAGCCAGAAGCTGGCGGGGGCGGGAGGCTCTGCCCCCCAAGGGCTTTACATGCCGAAGCCCCATGGCCGAGCTGGGACCCAGGGTCAGCCCAGGCAGGCCGCGAGAAAGGAGACTGTGGGCCCCACCCCATCACACAGGGAGGAGGTGCTGTGCCCGCTGGGGGGGCAGCTGCCCCTCTCTGGGCCCTTTGGGTGGGAAGAGGCTTGGTGAGGTAGAAAGCCCAGCCCCAGCCAGCAGCGTTGCCTTCTCACAGTGGCAGCCCTTTGTAACCCCGGGGGGTCCCTGCAGGGCCTCTCCCTGTTTTCTCACCATGGGGCAGCATTTGGGGGTCTCTTGAGGGACCCCCTAGATGCTTCTGCTCAGAGCCCCCAAAGCCAAGGAGCCTCCACTCCTCCGTCTGCAGCCTCCCCTGCCGGTTCTTGCTACCCAGGGTTCAGTGGCCTGGGGGCTGACGGAGGGGGTCGCCTCTGCCAAGGCCCCTCCCGGCGCCTCCCTGGCTCATCCAGCCCACCTTCCTCCCACGCTGGCTCACGCAAAGTGTTCTGGTCACCAGGAGCCCTTCCTGACCAGCCCCGGCCCCTTCTTGGCCTTCGCCCCACCTGGCCTCCCCTGGATCCCTGACCTGGGTGCCGGGCCTGCTGGGTCCAGAGCCCACCCCGCCCTGAACAACCCCGAGCCTCAGCCACCCTCAATTCTTACCCTTTCACAGCTGGGGAGTGGAGTCTGGGCCTGAGGTCTCCTGTGCGCCTCTGGGCGCCTGCGCCCGCGCTGTGCCTTTGCGAGGGCGGAGCTGCGTTGTGCTCAGCACAGACTCGGAGAGCATCGCGAGGGCGGAGCTGAGTTCTCCTGTGCACAGACTTCGGAGATACAGCGAAGGCGGAGCAGTGTTCTCCTTGGCACAGACCCGGGCGGGCCGGGGGCACCGGGAGGGCGGAGCTGCGTTCTGCTCAGCACAGACCCGGGGGACACCGCGAAGGCAGAGCAGCGTTCTCCTCAGCACGGACCTTGGGGGCACTGCCTCGCTTTGGGACAACTCGGGGCCGCATCGACGGTGAATAAAATCCTTCCTGTTTGCAGCCCTGAATAATCAGGGTCAGAAACCAGATAGAAGGGTTCAGTGTGGAAAACGGGAAACCAAAAGCCCCTCTGAATCCTGCCCACCGAGGTTCTCCCCAGCCAAGGTGAGGCGGCCGCAGTGCGAGATCCACACCGCAGCCTCGGAAGACAAATGCAGCATTCCTAATGCAGACATGGCACTCAAAAGATGACACCCCCCTTGCTCATGTAACAAGCACCTGTAGTGCTAATGCACTGCCTCGACACAAAAACATTAATATAAGATCCACAATCCCCTCGCTGCCGTGCAGTCCTAAGACAGCGATCATAATAATCAACATTGACATAGTCAATACAAACGTAGTAACGAACCTAGGCTTAAGGTTGGTGTTAGGGGTTAAGTTTAGGGTTAGGGGTTGGAGATAGGGGTTGGGGTCAGAGTTAGGGGTTAGGAGTCAACATTTAGAGTTAGGGGTTAAGAGAGGTTGGGGGTTAGGGATTAGGGGTTAGGGTTGGGTTAGGGGGAGGGGGAGAGTTGTGGTTAGGGGTTAGGGTTAGGGATTAGGGTTAAGGTTAGGGGTCAGGGTCAGGGGTCCCACTCTGTTGGCTGTCTATTTACTCTACTGACTGTTCCCTTTGCCATGCAAAAGCTATTTAGTTTAATTAAGTCCCAGCTATTTATCTTTGTTTTTATTGCATTTGCATTTGGGTTCTTGGTCATGAAATCCTTGCCTATGCCAATGTCTAGAAGGGTTTATCCAGTGTTATCTTCTAGAATTTTTATAGTTCAGGAATTAGGTTTAAGTTTTTAATCCATCTTGAGTAGATTTTTGTATAAGGTGAGAGATGAGAATCCAGTTTTATTCCCCTACATATGGCTCGCCAATTATCCCAACATCATATGTTGAAAAGGGTGTCCTTTCCCCACTTTATTTTTTGCTTACTTTGTCGAAGATCAGTCGGCTGTAAGTATTTGGGTTAATTTATGGGTTCTCTCTTCTGTTACATTAGTCTATGTGCGTATTTTTAAACCAGTACCATGCTGTTTTGGTAGCTATGGCCTTATTGTACAGTTTGAAATCAAGTACTGTGATGCCTCCAGGTTTGTTCTTTTTGCTTAGCCTTGGTTGGGCTACATGGCTCTCTTTTGGTTCCATATTAATTTTAGAATTGTTTTTGTAATTCTGTGAAGAATGATGGTGGTATTCAGATGGGGATTGCATTGAATTTGTAGATTGCCTTTAACAGAATGGTAATTTTCACAATATTGGTTCTACCCATCCACGAGCATGGGGATGCGTTTCCATCTGTTTGTGTCATCTATGATTTCTTTTCTTTCTTTCTTTTTTTTTTTTTTTCTTCAGAGGGAGTTTTGCTCTTGTCGCTGAGGTGGGAGTGCAATGGTGTGATCTCGGCTCACTACAACTTCTGCCTCCCAGGTTCAAGCGATTCTCCTGCCTCAGCTTCCCGAGTAGCTGGGATTATACGCATGTGCCAACATGCTTGGCTCCAACTATGATTTCTTTCAGCAGTGTTTTGTAATTTTCATCGTAGAGGTCTTTTGATTCCTTTGCTAGGTATATTCCTAAGTTTTTTGTTTGTTTGTTTGTTTGTTTGTTTTTGCAGCTATTGTAAAAGGGGTTGAGTTCTTGATGTGATTCTCTGCTTGGTAGCTGTTGATGTATAGAAGAGCTACTGATTTGTGTACATTAATCTTGTATCTGGAAACTTGGCTGAATTCTTTTATCAGTTCTAGAAGCTTTCTAGAGGAGTCCATAGGGTTTTCAAGGCGAAAGATCATATCGTCAGCAACCAGTGATAGTTTGACTTCCTTTTTACCGATTTGGATTTCCTCTATTTCCTTCTTTTGTCTGATTGTTCTGGCAAGCACTTCCAGTACTATGTTGAAGAGGACTGGTGAGAGTAGGCTCCTCATCTTGTTCTAGTTCTCAGAGAGAATGCTTTCACCTTTTCCCCATTCAGTATTATGTTGGCTGTGGGTTTGTCATAGACGGCTTTTATTACATTAAGGTATGTCCCTTGTATGCCTATTTTGCTGAGAGCTTTAATCATAAAGCAATGCTAGATTTTGTTGAATGCTTTTTCTGCATCTGTTGATATAATCATTTGAGTTTTTTTTTAATTCTGTTTATTTGGTATATCACATTTATTGACTTGCATATGTTAAACCATTCCTGTATCACTGGTATGAAACCCACTTGATCATGGTGGATTATCTTTTTGATATGTTGTTGGATTCAGTTAGATAGTATTTTGTTAAGGATTTTGGCATCTGTGATCATCAAGGATATTGGTCTGTAGTTTTCTTTTTTGGTTATGTCCTTTCATGGTTTTGGTATTAGGGTGATGCTGGCTTCATAGAATGAATCAGGGAGGCTTTCTTCTTTCTCTGTCTTGTGGAATAGTGTGAAAGGATTGGTATCATTTCTTCTTTGAATGAAAGAAGACATTCTTTGAATGTCTGGTAGAATTCTGCTGTGAATCTGTCTGGTCCTCGGTTTTTTTGGTTGGTAATTTTAAAATTACAATTTCGATCTTGCTGCTTGCTTTATTGGTCTGCTTGAGGTATCTACTTCTTCCTGATTAAGCTAGGAGGGTTGTATTTTTCCAGGAATTTATCCAACTCTCCTAGGTTTTCTAGTTTATGTGCCAAAAGGTGTTCATAGTACCCTTGAATAATCTTTAATATTTCAGTAGTGTCAGTTGTAATATCCCCTGTTTCATTTCTTAGTGAGGTTATTTGGATTTTCTCTCTTCTTTTCTTGGTTAATCTTGCTAATGGTCTATCAGTTTTATTTATCTTTTCAAATAACCAACTTTTTGTTTTATTTATGTTTTGTATTTGTTGTTGTTGTTGTTGTTGTTGTGTCGATTTCATTTAGTTCTGCTCTGATCTTGGTTATTTCCTTTGTTTGCTGGGATTGGGTTTGGCTTGTTCCTGCTTCTCTAGTTCCCTGAGATGTGAACTTAGATTGTCTGTTTGTGCTCTTTCAGACTTTTTGACGTAGGTGTTTAGGGCTACAAACTTTCCTCTTCGCACTGCCTTTGCTGTATCCCAGAGGTCTTGATAGGTTGTGTCATCCAGTTCGAAGAAATTTTTTACATTTCCATCTTGATTTCATTTTTCACCCAATGCTCATTCAGGAGCAGGTTATTTAATTTCCATGTATTTGCATGGTTTTGAAGATTCCTTTTGGAGTTGATTTTCAGTTTTATTCCACTGTGATCTGAGAGAGTGCGTGATACAATTTCAATTTTCTTAAATTTATTGAGACTCGTTTTATGGCCTATCATATGGTCTATCTTGGAGAAAATTCCATGTGCTGTGGAATAGAATGTGTATTCTGTGATTGTTGATGAAATGTTCTGTATATATCTAAGTCCATTAGTTCCAAAGTATAGTTTAAATCCAGTGTTTCTTTGTTGACTTTCTGTCTTGATGACCTGTCTAGTGCTGTCAGTGGAGTATTGAAGTCCCCCACTATTATTGTGTTGCTGTCTATCTCATTTCTTATGTCTACTAGTAATTGTTTTATAAATTTGGGAGCTCCGGTGTTAGGTTCATGTATGTTTAGGATTGTCATATTTTTCTGTTGGATGAGACCTTTACCATTATATACTGTCTGTGTTTGTCTCTTTTAGCTACTGTTGCTTTAAAGTTTGTTTTGTCTCATATGAGAATAGCTACTGCTGCTCGCTTTTGGTGTCCATTTGCATGAAATGCCTGTTTCTACCACTTTCCTTAAGTTTATGTAAGTCATTATGTGTTAGGTGAGTCTCCTGAAGGCAGCAGATAGTTAGTTGGTGAGTTCTTATCCATTCTGTGGTTCTGTATCTTGTAAGTGGAGCATTTAAGCCATTTACAACCAACATTAGTATTAAAAAGTGAGGTACCATTGCTTTCATCATGCTCTTTGTTGCCTCTATACTTGTTTTTTTTTGTTGTTTTTGCTTTTTAACTTGTATTTTTGTTTTATAGCTCTTGTGTGATTTATGCTTTAATGAAGTTCTGTTTTGATGTGTTTCCAGAATTTGTTTCATGATTTAGAGCTCCTTTTAGCAGTTCTTACAGTGCTGGTTTGGTAACGGCAAATTCTGTCGGCATTTGTTTGTCTGAATATGACTGTATCTTTCCTTCATATATGATGTTTAGTTTTGCTGGATACAAAATTCTTGGCTGATAATTGTTTTGTTTGAGGAGGCTGAAGAAAGTGCCCCAATCCCATCTAGCTTGTAAAGTTTCTGCTGCAAAATCTGCTGTTAGTTTGATAGGTTTTCCTTTATAGGTTACCTAGTGCTTCTGTCTCACAGCCCTTAAGATTATTTCCTTTGTCTTAACTTTGGATAACCTAATGACAATGTGCCTAGGCTAAGATCTTTTTGTGATGAATTTCCCAGGTGTTATTAGTGCTCCTTGTATTTGGATGTCTAGGTCTCTCACAAGGCCACAGAAGTTTTCCTTGATTATTCCCCCAAATACATTTTCCTGGCTTTTAGAATTCACTTCTTCCTCAGGTACACCAATTAATCTTAGGTTTCATCGTTTAACAGAATGCCAGACTCCTTGGAGGCTTTGCTCATATTTTCTTGTTCTTTCTTCTTTGTCTTTATTGGATTGGGTTAAATCAAAGACCTTGTCTTCGAATTCTGAATTTCTTTCTTCTACTTGTTCAATTCTATTGCTGAGACTTTCCAGAGAATTTCACATTTCTAAAAATGCGTCCAAAGTTTCCTGATTTTTTATTATTATTATTATTTTTTATTTAAGCTATTTCCTTGACTGTTTCTCCCTTTACTTATTGTATCATTTTTTGGATTTTCTTGCATTGGGCTTCACCTTTCTCTGGCCCCTCCCTGATTAGCTTAATAACTAACCTGAATTCTTTTTCAGATAAATCAGTGATTTCTTCTTTGTTTGGATCCATTGGTGATGAACTGGTGTGATTATTTGGGGGTTGTTGAAGAGTCTTGTTTTGTCAGATTACCAGGGTTGGTTTCCTGGTTCCTTCTCATTTAGGTAGACTCTGTCAGAGGAAAGGTCTAGGGCTGAAGACTGTTGTTCAGACTCTTTTGTCACACAGAGTGTTCCCTTGATGTAGTACTCTCCCACTTTTCCTATGGGCATGGCTTCCTGTGAGCCAAAGTGCATTGATTGTTGTCTCTCCTCTGGGTCTAGCCACCCAGCAGGTCTACCTGGCTTTGGGCTGGTACTAGGGGTTGTCTGCATAGAGCCCTGTGATGTGAACCATCTATGGGTCTCTCAGCCATGGATACCGGCGCCTGTTCCAGTGGAGGTGGTGAAGGGTGCAATAGACTCTGTGAGGGTCCTTAGCTTTAGTGGTTTAATGCTCTATATTTGTGCTGGTTGGCCTCCTGCCAGGAGGTGTTGCTTTCCAGAAAGCATCAGCTGTAGTAGCATGGAGGAACTGGCAGCGGGCAGGGCCCTAGGACTCCCAAGATTATATGTCCTTTGTCTTCCACTACCAACTTAAACATTTGTGAGAATTTCAATATCAGAAATTTATGTGTAATCGAATTTATTCTGGTAGCCTAAATTCTGGTAGCTTATTTTCTTATATGCTTCAATCTTTATAATTTAGTTCTCACATGAGGGAGATCTAATATTGGAAATACTTTCAATCTGTATGTTTATGTATTTATTCTAGTTGTCCTGGCACAAGGTTATCAATGTTGCTGTGTGACCAGCCATTGGCTTTTCACATTTACAACTCCTCTGAATTTTTTCTTGCCTCATTTCTGGTGCTGGGAAATTCTGATATTTTCTCCTCATCTCCATTGTACATTTTAGGGATTCTTGAAACTTGTGATGCACAAACATCCACACCTTCCACATAAGTAAAATATTTTACTTAGATATTTTCTAGCAGACACTGAGTTCTCATGAGAAATCCTCAGTCTCTTTATTTGGAACACCCCACCCCAGTATTCCATATGGAGTAGTCATGTGTAGAATGTGATTACTTCATTAATATGTCGAAGTATGGGTACATTTTGAACACATTTGTGAACTTGTAATCCCTTTCTTGATGAATAGTACCTGCGGATGAGCAGAATTGATATTTTCTTTGGAGCAGTAAGTTAGCACTGGTAGAATCTGTTCTGTAATCCCAGGTCCCTGGGCTCCAGTGTCAATGCTTCCTCCTTAGATCCTCCCTGACCCTGTAAATTTACCTCAGTCTCTATTTCTTAATCCAATAGCTATTTCAATTGATCTTCAATTACTTTGCATGTGGCCAGATATTATTTATGGGTTATATTCTAATTCACATTTTTCTGATGTAATTTCAGAGAGCCTAGAAAATATAATAAACTCCTTCTGACAGGTACTTGAGCCTCAGTATTTAAACATGAACAAATGCAGCATCTATTCCCTATCATGAGCACTCTTAATGGCAGTTGAGTGTTTATATCAAAAAAAAGTCAGGAATCATAATCATTTAGAGATAAAACAGATCCCAGATCTGAAAAGTCAGCTAGCTTAGGAGTTTCAAGACTTTAGGATTTCACAAATCAATAAAATTAAAAAGAAAAAAATGTAAGGTTTAACATAGAGATATCACTTAAACAATGACTACTATTTTGATAAAAGGACATTCAACGGTAAAGGTGTGGGAAATATAACCTCAGAGATGAAAATGTAATAGCTTGGGCCAAGCTCACTAAGTGTCCTTATTTTTGTGTTTCCACCATGGATGGCTGACACTGTCACCTCTGGCATGAGTCCACATCAGCACCCTGGAAATGCCTCCTATAGGGTAATCCTGCAGAAGGCACTAGCACCCCCAGACTCGGGCAGACAGCTGGCTAGACAGTGCTGCTGGGAGAGTACTGCCTCTCAAAACCCGTCTCTCTGTACCAGCTGCCCAGTGTTTCTGTTTCTGCCTACTTGGAGGAACAAAAGCAATCCTGCTCCTCTCCCCAGAGACAGGTAATTATGCCGCATTTTCTTTCCTGTTTCTTACATGACAAGCACTCAAAACTTGTCACTCTTTTGGTTCTCTCCAGTGCCCTCCAAACAGTCCATGTTCAAGCCAAAGAGGAATCACTTCTGCTTACCATGTTAACTTTTAAAATAGTTAACTGCAGCCTGCATTATGAGGATAGCATGCCAGCATAAGGAAGTTAGCATCATCTAGAGTGACCACAGAAGCTGCATCTGTCCGTGTGACTGGACACTGTATATGTCCAGATCTCTGCAAGGAAGAGTCATGTCGTACTTTAGAGTATGACTGAGTCACACTCAGAGGGAAGTGATTCCCACAAGCAGCTCCCAGCCAGTAACTGAGCTTGGCATGGATACTGAGGCAGGCCCCTTCCTGGGAGAAATGGGACTCCAGAAGTCCTGGACCCTCTCTACTTCTTTTTATACCTGCTTACAATTTAGCCAATTCTTTTCTGAGCTCATCTCTTTCTTACAGTAGTGACCAAGGGATGTTACTAACGTTCAGTTTCCCCATCTTTTCACCTTAAGCTTCAAGTTCCTTCAGCACATCATCCGCCCTTCAAGTTATTCCTACAACAGCTTTACCAAATATTTCACCACTGCATAACATAGATTACCATCTTTCCAACCCTCAGTAACGGTTCTCTTGCTGACTGCCATCTGGCCCTAGAGCCACATATTTTAGGGTTTGTGTTTTGGCTGCTCCCCACTCCTGGTACCATAACACCATCTATCAAATCTACCTGTAGATCATGAAATTACATAGGGCTTCACCAAAACTGCTATGGAGGTGGGGAGAGGGACAATTGGAATGGAGCTCAGAAAGCTGCACTTGCAGAGTCATTTATGTAAGACTGTGAGTGTGCTGCCGGTCCACATCAGAGGATGGGGACTACCATGGTCTGAATGTCTGTGTCTCTCCAAATTTCATATGTGGAAACTTAATCAAGGTGATAGTTTTAAGAGGTGGGGCATTTAGGAGCTGATTAAGGCATTTGGACAGAGCCCTTCTGAATGGGATTAATGACCTTATAAAAGAAATGAAGATGAACAAATGACCCCTTCCACCACATGAGGACATAGCAAGAAGGTACCATCTTAAAGCAGAGAGCAAGCCCTCACCAAGACACTGAATATGCAGATGCCTTGATCTTAGACTTCCCAGCCTCTGAAACTGCAAAAAATAAATAAATAAATAAACTTCTATTGTTTATAAATTACCCAATCTAAGGTATTTTGTTTTAGCGGCTCAAAGGAACTAAGACAAAGGTCATGGAGACCATAGGGTGAGTCTCAAGACTTCCCCCAACTCTACTTGGCTGGTCTCCTGCTGGTATTTTCCATCTGTAGAGAGGAAAAAGAACTCCCATTTTACCTTGCTTACCTGCACTTATGAAAAGTCAAACTGAGTCATGTTGAGAGCCAGGGAACATAGGAGTCGGTTCTTCAGCAGGAGCACTCAGCTAGTTGAAGGCAATGTGGAGTGATGGGAAGAGAGCAGTGATGCAGTGATTCTGGCACCAACTCCTTTACTATGGCATCCATTGTACCAGCTGCCATACACCTGGCTACTTCTACACCTTATCTCTAATCACTCCAGAATACGTATTAGTTTCCCCATCTTCTAGAAAGGAAAACTCAGACCCAGAGACACTAAGCAAGTAGCTCAAGATCACACACGTTATCTGTGATTAAGCCTCAGTTAGAACTGGAGTCTTGGATTTCCACATTTATACCCTTTTCATGAAGCTACCTAACTTTGATCCTCAAGTTTTCCCATCTATAGCATGGGACTGCTGGACTAGAAATCTCTAAGTCCCCTTTACCTCTTGAATTCTGTGTCTCTAAGGATGAGAATAACAAAACTCCTTTGCCTCTAGCACTTTCCAACTCAAAGCCCTATCACTCTCATTACATCTAATCACTGCAGCCAGAAGCATTAAATAAAATGGAAGGACTGACATTGGGAGTGGGCGAGGCAGAGAAGTTGGGGGCGTGGAGAAACAGCTCTTTTTACATAATGATTGCTACTATGATTTGGTTATAAATAACCAGTGAAGACAATCAGGCTTTTCTGGCAGTCCCTAATTGTAGTGAATGTTGGAATACAGTGACCACCCAAATGCTCTAGACTGATTGGGAAGGTGCCACTTCTAAATCAGCTGGGCTAAGTGCATTGCATAAGCTGAGTATTTAGCTTAATGATTAGAGCCAGTTGACGAAACACAAGAATATGGAAGCCTCCTGCTACTTCTCAGAAGATAAGACAATGGCATTCCACCACCAGTGTTTACTGTGGTACCCAAAGGGAGCTCCAGTTACTTCCCTCTGTGCCTATAACCCTTGGATCACCTGGTTGCACCAGACCCATCCTGACTAAAATCCCTCCAAAGGACCAAAGAGGAGATACGGACAAAAATAAAAAATAAATCTCATCTGCTCTCTTTCCTAAGGACCCAGCAGCCTCTATCCATCCGTCGTTCATTCACTCATTCCACACACTTTCATCTAGCCCCTGCTGAATGCCAAGCACTGGGCTGGAACTCTGGGGACTGTGGAGGTGGAATAGGAGAATATGGGCTTTCTGTGAGCAGTGATTGCCTAAAATATATACATCAAGGTTGTAGGATCATGTGCACCACTGCACTCTAGCCGGGGTGACAGAGTGAGACCCTGTCTCAGAAAAATAAAAAAAAAATTGTAGGATCATGGAGAAAGTGTCTTAAGTGTTTGGTGCTGTGGACAGGCAACACAGGCAGAAACTGGTGGCTAGGGAATCAGAGAAGTTTTCAGGAGGGAGCATTTGACTTGGGCTTGAACTGAGCATCATAGGGCAATATAGAAACAAGTTTATGGATAATTCACTGAATTGGTGGCAGTTTATAACTTGAGTCTTCCTTCAGATGATTGAAGTTAGTAGCCCAGCTATGAAAGTCTAGGTTACAGATGTCTCAGCCACAGCTTGCATATATATGGATGAGGTTCATACATATGCAGACTTGGGCTCCTGCCAAGATATGAGAGTTTTGGTCAGTCTCTGTCTCAATTCTAATGTCTCTGCCTACATACCTGAGTCCAGAGTTGTCATGCAAAGAACAGAACCCTGGAACAATCACACAAGGATTTGGTACTAGGCTTAGCCATTTTCTAGCCATGGGGACAAAAGAAAATTACTGAACCTCTCTGAGTCCCAGTTTATTTGTCTATAAAATAAGGATAGTGATACTGGGGTTACAAGGAAATTGTGAGAATTAAAATAGTTCAGGAGAGGTTAAGTTGTCCTGGGGCCACCTTTGTCATTGCAGTGACCACACTCTGTAGTGAGGGCACCCTTGAGAGCAGACAGCAGAGCTGCTATGTGATTCATCTCTAGAATCCATGATTCTTGGAACACTTCCTGAGAGCTATTAGGCATTCAAGAAATGTTAATGGTAGATCATAGTATAATGGTAGATCATAGTATTGTGATAGATCATAGTATTGTATTATTGTTCAGCAAACATCTGTTTTCCCTCCTTTCAATGGAAGTGGTGTACCTCCCCACCCCACTGACATTGGGCTTAGCCATGTGACTTGCTTCAGCTAATGGAATGTGGGTGACTCAGTGAATGCCACATCCAAGCAGAGGTGTTAAATATTCCTGCATGGCCTCTGGTGATCCTGTCCTCCAGCATGAGATGAACATGCTTCAGATAGCTGCTGCTACTCCCCTGGATCCTCTTCTGAGAGCCAAGTGAAGCAAATAGGAACCCAATTCACCACCCAGATCCAGGCCCATCTGAATCTAGCCAGCCCAGAAGAGCCCTGTAGAACCACAGCTGACCTATGGAAATGAGAAGTAAATGTTTGTTGTTGTTAGCATTGAGATTTGGGGATTACTTTTTATGTGGCATCATCACAACAAAGCCTGACTAATATATTGTATAAAGTTAATTGAGTACTAACAACATGCCAGGTATTGTTCTAAGTCCTTTATATAAAGAATCCCATCTAATCGTTACAGCACTGCATAAGGAGGTATCATAAGTATCTCCATTCAGCTGATTAGAATTGAGGCATCTGGTCAATCCCCTTCATGTTATTCCTCCTCACTTCCTGCATCCGAATGAACCAAGCCTCCTGTGTTCATTAGAACCACAGACCAAGCCTGCTGGAGAAAGACAGGGCTATGAAGATGGGAATGAATTGGCAAACAGCTTTGGGATGACAATGTTAAGGCCAGGCAAATGCTCTCAGTAACCTCAAATGAGTGTTGATGTTCATGAAGCCTGCTCAAAAAAGACACAGAAATTGACGTCTTTTATCTGAGGACCCTTCCTTAGCCTCAGGACTTAAGGCTATGGGAGCATGAGCCACATAACCATGAGAGGCAGGGGGTTCAGTGAGAAGAATAAGCTCAAGAGTCTTACCTGTGGGTCAGAATCTCAGCTGTGCCACACATACTGTGTGATCTTGAGCAAATCACCAAACCTCTCTATTCCTCATTTTTGTCACCTGTAAAGTGGGATTATTACTTGTACCTACATCCTGGATTTGTTGGGACAGTAAATGAGTTAGTGTTCCCAAGGTGCTTAACACAGAGCCTTTGCATGCAGCAAGCACCCAGTCAATGCCCATGACCATGGCCCCCTGCTCATGCTGCTCTTTTGTTCCCCCTGAGGTCTTTTGGGGACAGAGAGTGTGAAAATGCCCTCTACCCACACAAGGAAACAGGACTCAGGGACAGAGGACCTGTGCCCTGACCAAGGCAATGCATCCCTCACCATATATGCAGTGGTGCATCCTTTCCTGTTGCCTTTTGGATCAGCAATTAAGGCTTTAGTCTTTTTTGTTGGTGTGCAAAGGTATTTTCTTAATGGCCCTGCAGCCCAGCCATCACAAAAATGCTTTCCAGCTCTCAGCGAGAACATTTCTGATGCATGCTGAATCCAGAATTCAAATGAAGCAAAACAAAGGCACCAGGGGCTCTTATGAGACAGAGTGACTCAAAATAGAGGGAATGTGGGGACTTGGGGCATAAGATTGATCATGAATCACCAAATAGAAAAACCTTGGGATGGCTTTCAAGAAAAATCCTCCTTGAAGTTTTAACTTTCACCTACAAGCAAGTTTTCTCACTGCTCTGTACAGCAGGGTAAGGACAGCAGCCTCACAGCATCAGTCTGAGGATAGAATGGGTTAATGCAGCCAGGCACAGTGGCTCATGCTTGTAATCCCAGCACTTTAGGAGGCCGAAGCAGGCGGATCATGAGGTCAAGAGATCAAGACACCCTGGCCAACACGGTGAAACCCCGTCTATACTAAAATACAAAAATACTAGCTGAGTGTGGTGGTGCATGCCTGTAGGCCCAGCTACTTGGGAGGCTGAGGCAGGAGAATTGCTTGAACCTGGGAGACGGAGGTTGCAGTGAGCCAAGATCACACCACTGCACTCCAGCCTGGGTGACAGAGTGAGACTTTGTCTCCGCAAAAAAAAAAAAAAAAAAAAAAAAAGAATGGGTTAATGCCTGAGAACTCTTTGGCACAGTGCCCAGCACAAATTCAGCAGTCACTCAGTGTTGGCTATCATCTTTGGTGATGTTGGTCCCAAACCCAGACCTCTGCTCTTGTCCTCGGCTCATACACCCACCTGTATAGCCCATATGCACTTTAAACATGAGTCCAAAATGGAATCCAAAATATTAGATGCCCTCGTTGCCACCACCAGGTTTGCTTTCCTCTCAAGCCACTGAGGGATCCATAGAAGCAGAGACCATGATGAGAACCCATCTTTAACTCTGGGTCGCTAGCACAGGGGCAGAGTAGGCAGTCACTACATCTTCAGAGCTTGTGAGTTTTATTTTGCTTTGTTTTGCAATCTGTCATCCCCACACTCTTACTATATAAGACAGTGCCTAGCCAGACAAGCATAGGTTTAAATCTCCACCTTGTCATTTCTTAGCTGTGTGACCCTGAGCGACAAGCTTGAGTTTTCTGAGCCTCAGCACCTTCAGCTGTACAGTGAGAATGAACAGACCTCCTCACAAGGCTGCTATAAAGAATTAACGAGGCTGGGCATGGTGGCTCCCACCTGCAATCCTAGCACTTGAGGCCGAGGTGGGTGGATCACCTGAAGTCAGGAGTTCGAGACCAGCCTGACCAACATGGTGAAGCCCCGTCTCTACTAATAATACAAAAAATTAGCCGGGCATGGTGGTGGGCGCCTGTAATCCCAGCTACTTGGGAGGCTGAGGCAGGAGAATCGCTTGAAACCAAAACCGGGTGGCAGAGAGAGGTTGCAGTGAGCCAAGATTGCACCACTGCACTCCAGCCTGGGTGACAAGAGTGAAATTCCATCTCAAAAAAAAAAAAAAAAGGAATTAATGAGATCACTCCGCACAAATCCTAATGTGGCATCTGATACAGGGCGAGTTCTAGTAAATGAGCATTTTTTACACTCAAGATGTAAGAGTGATGGTTTCATTATTAGAGATGAGAGAACCAAATTAATAAACGTTTAATCATGTACTTAAAATCACACAACTGGGACTCATAACCAAGCCCTTTTCTTCCTGGTCTGATGTTCATTCCTTGTTGTCTGAAATGTCAAATCATTTTACCAGAATAGCAGGGGAGAGAGGGACAGAAAGTTGCTTAAATTATTGATTTTGTTTTAGCAGCCTCTCATCCTGCAAGAGGGGCTTGCAGTAACAAAGGCCTGGCACCTTTGAGTTTGTTTTTGGTCCATTTTTTAAATCTTCATTCCCTTTAGCTCTTGTTGAAAATGGCTTCCTGCCACTTTGCACAGAAAAATCTCTTTCATGAAATACCAAAACCAAACAAAAAACAGGCCTTCGAAATGCTGTTTTGCCTCCTCCTAAGAGCTAACATTTGCCAGTTGTAAATTAACATTCCTTTCGCTTCTTTCAACAGAAAATCAATCAGGGCCCTAAAATCCCTGCACATCTGTATTTAATCCACAAATAATTCAACAATGTTCTATCTTAATGGTGTATTGTGAGAAAAGCATAAATGTCATCAACTTCTTTTACGTGGAAAGAACAATAGGGCATGAACTTGTTTGTGCTCCTGATGTCCTTTAGAAATGGATTCCTAAGGACCAGGAGTGTTCTCCCCACCGACGGTGCACAGTGCCACAGCAAGGACAGTCAACTGGGAGTTGGGAGACCTGGACTTCAGTTCACACCACTTTGCTGGGGTACTTGGGCAAGTCCCTCAGGGCCTCAATTTCTGCATCTGCACAATATGGGGAGTGGTCAACATGATTTCCAAAGTCTCTAGCCAGATTTCAAATTTGTTTACAGCACACAGAAAATTGCTAAAGAGAAAAAACTATAGTGGCCATTTCTGTTCAGGCTGCAAAATCTTGTGCACTATTTACATATTTAGGTATGAACTGTCTCAAAGGGTCTTTCATTTAAAAATGACCAACATGGAGAAACCCCATCTCTACTAAAAATACAAAATTAGCCAGGCGTGGTAGCGCATGCCTGTAATCCCAGCTACTCCGGAGGCTGAGGCAGGAGAATGGCTTGAACCCGGGAGGCAGAGGTTGCTGTGAGCCGAGATAGCACCATTGCATTCCAGCCTGGGCAACAAGAGCGAAATTCCGTCTCAAAAAAAAAAAAAAAAAAAAAAAAAGAGGATGTAGGCTACAGCCATATACCCTGAACATGCCCAATCTCATCTGATCTTGGAAGCTAAAAAGGGTCAGACCTGATTAGTACTTGGATGGGAGAAAATGAAGGTGGAGATAGTTCTTTGTGAAGACACATGTGTGTACTTATTTGTGCACTTGTGTGCTTGCAATTGCATCTTGGGCACATGTGTATTGTGGAGGCATCTGTGTGCCTGTGGAGTGTGTATACATAAGTACCTGATGTATGTTTGGCTGCAGAGGCACAGAAGGTCAGCAACAGCAGGTGGCTGCATGCAGGGGCACTAATAATTACTCATTTTATACAAACTGTTTAGCAACAATGTTAGCTATTCTACTGCTGACTTTACGAACAGAGAAAATGTGGCCGGACACAATGGCTCCTACCTGTAATCCTAGCACTTTGTAGGGGCTGAGGCAGAAGAAGCCCTTGAGCTCAGGAGTTTGAGACCAACCTGGGTGACGTAGTGCGACCTAGTCTCTAATAAAAATTAAAAAAAAAAAAAAAAAACTATCCAGGTGTGGTGGCGCATGCCTATAATCCCAGCTACTTGGTAGGCTGTAGCAGGAGGATCACCAGAGCCCAAGAGTTTCAGGCTGCAGTGAACCATGATTGCTCCACTTCACTCTAGCCTGGATGACAGAGCAGGACCCTGTCCCCCTGCCACAAAAAAAGAAAAGAAAAGAAAAGGAAAAAGAAACATAGAATAGAAAACGTCTCCTGGTTTGCATCCTGGAATAGAGAAATGAGCACAGGCTTTCAAATCAAACAGTAGTGATTCATATCCTGCCCCTGGCACTCACCCAGCATCTCTGAACCTGAATATTTTCATCCAGGTTGACTTAAGGATGAAATGGAAAAAGATTTACAAAGTACCTGGGGCATAGCAAAGGATTCAATAAATGTTCTCTCCCTTTTCTTCTATATTAGTTATCTATTGCTAAATAACAAATTAACCCAGAACTTAGCAGCTTAAAACAGCAAGTGTTTTTCTGATAGTGTCTATGAGTCAGGAGCCCAGGCAAAGCTTCGCTGGGTCTTCTGGCTCACAGTCTCCCAAAGGCCGCAATCAAGGAGTAATATAAGGCTATGGTCTCATCTGAAGGCTCAAATGAGGGATGCTTCCTTTCCAAGCTCACTCATGTGATTATTAGCAGGTTCAGGTTTTGGCTGACTCTTGGTCAGACACTCCCCCAGCCTCTGGTTTCTTGCTACTGGGCCTCTTCATAGAACACCCACAACATGGCTGCTGGCTTCCATCAGAACAAGAAAGCAAGAGAGCAAGAGAGGGTGAGCAGGATGGAAGTCATTTTCTTTTTGTAACTTCTCAGAGGTGCTGTTCATCAGTTTCACCATATTGTGTTTGTTAGGAACAAGACATTAGGTTCAGCCAAGATATAAGGGAGTGGAGAGGATTATACAAGGGCATGAATACCAGGAGACATGGATCACTGGAGGCCATCTTAGGGGCTGCTGGGAAGCCTGTCCTCCAGCCCCCAGTGATTCACATCCTCCACCCCATGCAAAATACACTTGTGTCCTGCCAAGATCCCTAAAAATCTCCTCCCCCTTCAGCATCAACTAAAGTTCAGAATCTCATCAAATCAGGTATTGGGGTGGGGACTTCTTGAGAATGACTAGTCACATGCAGCTCCTAGAGTACAGTTCCTCTCTCTCTGAGAGCCTGTGAAACTAGAGAGACACAGTATCTGCTTCCATACTCCTAGCATTAAATGGTATAACAGGCATGGGTTAGCTCTATATCTGTCTCCTTTTTCTCTAGATGTTTGATGAGACAAGTATTTTAATTTTGTATTCCACTAATTTATTCATTCAACAAATACTTATTAGGTACTGACTATAGACTCTATTTATTTTGCATTCCCATTTTGCCAACAAGGAATCTGAGAATCAGAGGCAAAATATTACAGCTTGGCCCACTGAATTATTTTTTCTTCTCTGAAAGGACCTCTAGGATTCTCCATCAATGAGGACTTTCTAGTCACAGCTGCAGTGAGGTTTGAGTTTAGCTGATTAGACCATCAACCACAAAGACTACACATTCAAATACTTTTATGTGGCAGAATATCTAAGAATAATTCAAGCTAATAAAAGATCTAGAGAATAATTAGATATATTCATTGTTAATAAGAGCCCATTTAATATTGTAGCAAAGGCAAGATCAGGGCAGGGTCAAGGCAGATAATTTTCAAACATGCCTAATGATAGTGTAGACCAATGGTGTTTTTCAATTGTGGCTATATACATTCTAACACATTCAATTTTTTTTAAAAAGTGAAGCTTAGGTCCTATTCCTTAGAAATTCAGATTTAACTAATTTGGAGTGGGCCCCAGACATCAATATTTTAACTTTCAAGTGGTTCTAGGAAAGACAGGTTTAGGGGCTGTGGAGAGACACAGAATGGCAAGTACTTAGAACATTCACACATCCCCCACCTCCCAAGCTCCTAACAGAAATCATTTATTAGCCAGTCCCCTCAATGTCATTGGTTGGAATGCAATTGTGTAGTCTTTCTCATCCCAGGACTCCAGGCAGCCCCTACCCATGAAGCCAAGTTGACATATGAATGAAGGCATATGTGTTAGCCCTGACAAGCCACACTGGGCATGCTTTCCCAAACCTACAAATTATCAAGGGTGTAGAAAAATAGAGCCCTCTCCATGCTGAGCAGATCTCACTCATGTAGACAACTGAGGTCTAATTACCCATTGGAAAGGGCCATTGGAAGAGCACAGGAAAAGGTCCAAGATGGAGAGGGAATTTACAGCCAAGTCTGATAATGGTTTCAGAACCTCAAAATACTTCACCTGGAGAGGACCCATGGGCAATATACATGAAGGAGCTCTCCTCTTCCTGAGTCCCTCCAAAGAGTTGTGTAAAGCCCAAAAGGGGGGCTCTCCAGGAGTAGATGCTCTTCAAATCCCACTTCTATCCCTTACTAGAAGTATAACCTGGCTTGCTATTGAGCCTCTCTCAGCCTCCTTTTCCAAATGAGGACAATGGTGCCTATGTCACAAGAATATTGCAGTGATTCCATGAGAAGATGTATACAAAGCACCTTGCCCAATAGATAGTCAACAAATGCTGGTTGTCACCTTTATTCTGTCAGTGTTGGTGGAGTGCTGGTACTCATAGTTCACTAAGAGTTTTTAGGACAGCAATGATCTTAGAAGAGAATCAGATCAAAGTTCTGAGTGTTTTCCCTGGAACTGGCATTGTATTATTAATATCCTACAAATGGGAGACATGCATCCCCTGGTCTCATACCTGGAATATCAAAATGGTACTTCATTAACAGTGTCAAAGCAAAAGTCTGATGGCTCTGCCTGCTCTTGTGAGTAGGGGTACTCATATTCCCTTTAAGCCCTTCCCCCAAATTGGCCTAGAGGTCCAGGGGGTTCCACATGGGCTCAACATTCTCTGATTAACTCTCCCCTCATATCAACAACTTCCTCCTATCAAGCTTGACATCTTGTGCTATTTCTTCCTATTCTAGGTGTAGGCAAGTCTAGTTTGCTCTTCAGCTACTCTATCCCTCTCCTGCATATTGACTCTTGAATTCTTGATCCCTAGTAGCTTCTCACACTGTCTGTAAAATGGAGCATGGAACCACTACATAGAAACAGGAAGGTTCTGCCCTGTACTCTCAGCTCTTAAGGGCACAGTCACAAGAAGACCATTTTTAAATTCTCATTGTGTAACACCCTTACACATTCCACATGCATCATAGCACATAACTCTGACAATAAACTACAAGGTAAGCAACTAATTATTCCCTTTTTAATATTTTTTAAACCTAGGAAGGTAACTTAATCTCTTTGACTTCCAGTTCTCATGAACTAGAACATTAGAGAATCGAGATTTGAACCAGAGGTGATGGTTTTTAAAATATGTCTGCTAGATATCAAAATGAGTGCATGGGATTTGATATATGTACATAGGTAGGCATAGAAATAGATAGAGATGCTCAAGGATATGTGTATATGCACATATGAATATGTGTGCATGTATATACATGTATCCATTTCCCAACTCTGTCTTTTAAGAGGATATAGAAACAATATCACCCCAGTAACAATAAACACCCTAGTGCCCACATCTTGATTTCTCCATATCATTTTCTGCTAGAAGGAACCCTGGTCTCCTTGGAAAAATGGATGATTCCAAGGCTTGGACAGGGAATACACAAGATGAGTCTGACATATCTCATGTTGAAAAGTAACAAACTACTCAAAGAATAATGACAGCATGTCAAAAGGACACAAGAACCAACTTAAAGGGCTCCCACTCACCAAATCTAGGGCAACCTAAATATCATGATAAGTATGGATACCCTCAGTTCACTGAGAGATTTGAGGTCAGGGACAGTCTTAGAAGACAATAGAAAACAGTGTTCTGAGTGTTGCCCCTAGAATGAGCATTGTGTTAATATCATAGAAATGGGACACATGTGTCCCCAGGTCCCATACCTGGAATGTAAAAATAGTATCCATTAACAGCGTCAAGTAAAAGATTATAACCTATTATAAAAACTAGAAACCCGGGCTGGGCATGGTGACTCAAGCCTGTAAATCTCAGCACTTTGGGAGGCTGAGGCGGGAAGTCTGTTTGAGCCCAGGAGCTTGAGACCAGCCTGGACAACATAGGGAGGCCCCGTCTCTACAAAAAAAAAAAAAAAAAAAAAAATTACCTGGGCATGGTGGCATATGCCTGTGGTCCCAGCTACTTGGGAGGCTGAGGTGGGAGGATCACTTCAGCCCTGGAGTCAAGGTTGCAGTGATCTGTGATCATGCCACTGCTCTCCAGCCTAGACAACAGAGTGAGACCCTGTCTCAAAAACAAACAGAAAACTAGAAAACCAAGATTCTATGCCGATGTCAATAATATAAACAAGTGTTCTTCCTTACAGTAGAAAACCAACAATACATTTAGAAAGATTACAGAATTTTTTTAAAAAACATGATTTGACAACCACAGTAATAACTGATTCAGGGAAGGGCTACTAATAAATGCTAAAACCAATGGATGCAAGTTTGAGAAATAATAGGATATCTTCATAGTCTCAAAGTATTTCTCCAAAGGAAATACATATTAATTATAAAGAGTAAAACGGTGGACAGCACCGTAACCCCATGAACAAAGTTAACATTGCTAGTAATGGGACTAATTAATAGCACCTGCCCCTCATGCCTTGAGCTACAGGAGCTCAGCATGGCATCAGTGATATTCCTGCCCAACATGCATAACAGAATCTGATCATGGAAAAGCACCAAAAAACCGAAGTTGAAGGACAATTATACCAAGTAACTGGCCAGGTAATCTTCACAAAGGTCTGTGTCAAGAAAGACAAAGCAGCAGAAACTTTCAAATTACAGGGGACAGCTAAATGCAACACATGGTCTTGGATTGTTTTGTTATAAAGGACATTATTGTGAAGTCTGAATAAAGTCTGTAGATGAGACGAGAGAATTCCCTGTTTTTAGGAAATATGCAACAAAATATTCAAGAGTAAATGGGCATCACACCTTAGATGACTCAGAAGAAAAAGGGAAGAACAGAGATAAGTGATACAGTGAAACCCTGATGTTTGGGGGATCTGGGTAAACAATATTTAGAAATTCTTTGTACCGTGTTGCAAGGTTTCTGTAAGTCTGAAACTATGTGAGAACAAGTGTTTAAAAATAAAGCATAAAATGTAAAACATCTCTTCTGCAAATTCTTTGGCACTCCTCCCATGAAGAGGTAAAGTCTAATCACCTCCCCTTGAATATGATTTGGACGTAATGACTCATTTCTAACCAATGAATATGGTGTATGGATGCCTAATTATAAAAGAACATTCAGCATGTATCAGAACAAGGAAGTTCTGGGGCATGTGTTTTGTGTAATTCACGCTCTGTGTGGTTCATGTGCCCATTGCTCAGATAAAGAAGCTGGAGCTCAGAAAGGTGCCCAAATTCAGAAGACTAATAAATGGTGGAGCCAAACTTCAAACTTAGGGCACCGGAGCCTCCAATCCCAGGCAGGTGGCCTTGTGGATGGGGAGCTGGGACCTGGAGTCTGCCCGCCTGGCCAAGGCCTCTCGAGTGCTGCAAGATGGGTATTTGGGGCCGGATAATTCTCTGTGCACCATAAGTTGTTTAGCAACATCTTTGGCCTCTACCCAGAAGACGGCAGGAGCACCTGACACCCAGTTGTGACAACCAAAAATGTCTCCAGACATTGCCAAATATCTGTGGGGGTGCAGGGTGCAAAGTTCCCTCATTTAAGAACCACTGACCTAGGGTGAACCGTGGTTCCACTACTTACTTTTCACATGACCTTGGACAAACAACCTTGTCCTCAAGGTCCTCTGTGCCCCCATGTCCTCACCTGTAAAATGGAAAAATAATAACATGTGAGGTTAATGTGAGGAATAAATAAGAATCCAGGAAAGCAATTGGCCCATCATGTAAGAGCTACTTTGCCCATAACCCTAGGGTGCCTTCCCTCCAAACACAAAGCTGTGCACAGAGGAGGTACACAGTGAAGATCTGCTGTTGTATAGCTGTGGGGATGAATCAATTAACCATTTCAGTAACAAATGAACAAAAAACTGAATGTCCTGATCTGTGCACTAGTGCATTTGCTGACTGAAGATGTCCTGGCATCCTCTCTCACCATCAAAGAGCAGTTAGGATTAAAGACTCCACAGCCAGGCTACCTGGGTTCAAGTTGAGCTCTGCCACTCAGGAGTTATGTGACCACAGGCTGGTTATTTAGCCTGCCAATGCCTTCATTTCCTTATCTGTAAAATGGGGTAATAAAAGTGCTTACCTCACAGGGCAATGAGAGTGAAATGAATTAATACATGTATTGTACCCAGCACAGGCTGGGTCTCCATCATGCCTGCTGCAATTGCTGCTACAGCAATTAACATTAATCCTATCACACTCCTCTTTTATAGCCCTCCAGCCACACTCCTCTGAGGGTGCCAAGAACAATCCCATTTCCAAGCCTTTGCACTTGCCACTCCCTCTGCCTGGATTGCTCTCCTTCCCAGACATTAGCAGCCCTCCAATCCTTACTTCATCAAGGTCTCTCTTCATGTGGCTCTTTGGAAAGTCCTCCCCTGACCACCATAAATAAAACAGCAGCTTCACCACCCTACTCACCCTGGGCTTTTTGCAACATAGCAATTACCCCTGCCTGGCATTATCTATCCTGGTCAGTACAGCACAGTGCAATGCAGTGCAGTATAGTACAGATCTCTTTATTGGCTTATCTCTCCCACAGCTCACATAAATGTTCCAAGAGAGCAGAGAATTTGATTGACAACTATATTCCCAGCATCTAGAACAATGCCTAGAGCATAGTACATAATTATAATGAATGGTGAGTGATATTTTACAGAAGGAAATTCCAAAGTCCTCACATAACCCATTTTCCATAACACAGAACTTATTTAAACTGGAGCCTAGAACAGTGTTTTTCACAAAAGATTTTGCTTATAGCAACCCATGCTTTAGAACAGAATATTGTAAAGACTTCCAGATCAGTTAGATTTGAGTTTCTCAAGTAGTGACTGTGGACTCCAGTGAAACAGTAACAGGAATTCCACCAAACAAGGTTCACAAAGTGAATGGCATTGGGAAATGATACAGAATCTTCTCGCACTGGAGGATGCATCATGCACAGGAGAAACTCTAAGAAGTCCTATCGAGAAAACAGGTGTTGAACCTGGGTTTGCTGAACTTATTTCACCAGAGACCCCATCCATTAACATCTGCATCACAAAGCACAATTGGGTAAACAGTGATCCAGCTGAAGTCCTTCCATTTACAGACACAGACAGAAAATGAGGCCCAGAAAGGTTAATTGACTCACTCAAGGTCATGCGACCATCTCCTGAATCGTAGAGCTGTGTGCTTTTCACTGCCCCTAATGTTGCCTAATGGTTCACTTAGCTATCCATTCACAGGAGGTCAGAAACTGAACACGGGCCTCAGATTCCAGTATCATTTTGACTAAATTATATATAAAAATTGATGTACCGAATAGGATTTGCTTTCAATCTCACTATTCCAGAATAGTCATTCATTCAACAAATATTTATTAAGTACGATGTGCCAGGAGCTGCACATTTTGCAGTTGGCTGCACAGAAGACTGACAATAAAATTAGCCTTAGAGAGATCAAAATTGATTGAACTGTCCTTGATAAAACTGCTTCAAAGCAGGGACTTGCAAGAAATTGCATATTCACATTTCATTTGCTTCCATTAATAGTGCTCATATTTAGATCTGATGGTAATACTATGCTCTCAACTGGTGTGGGTCTGGAATAAAACACTCCCCTTGACTGTGCACACTGCAGAGAGGAAAAACAAAATGATTGGAGTCAGCTGGGCTTTTCTATTGAGCACCTCGACCTACAGATTTTCCAATTTCAAGTTCATTCACATTTCATCTCTGGCTTCTACATTTTAGTTAAAAAGCATTTCTCTATTTGCTATTGTCCACTAAGGAAAATGCCTATTTAAAAATAGATTTCTTTTTTAAAGCATCTTGATTCACACATTTCAAAGCCCTTCAGAAAACAGGATTTCTCAAAAGCCATGTGATTCTAAAACATGCTACAGATTTCAGATGGAGAAAGATTCAAGATATTATTCTACATGAACTTTTCAATGAACTGATCGCATCTGTCTAGGAATAAGGAGAGTTGTCTCATGTTACTTCAAAAAAGATTCCAAATGAAAAAAAAAATCTGGGCTTGAGAAGATCTAATGCCATGCCATTGAAGCCAGGTTTCAGCACAGACCCAACATGTGTATAAGTAATAAAAAGAAACCTGAGAAAACAGAAGCTCCTCAAGGTCCTTTGCCCTGGTGTATCTTTAAGGCCAAACTGTAAAGAGAATAAGCATGTACTTCCAGACCCAGCAAATGTCTTCTTTGCATTTTAAGGATGCACTCATCGTTTCTTCAGAAGCAATCCTGAAACCCAGTGTAGCAAAGCAAAGATAGTCACCACATAATACAAATAATCTGTGTTTATTAGATACCAGAATAAATCAGGGAGACTTCTTAAGCTATGGTAAAGAGACCCCCACCAGCACAGAGAGAAGAAATGACACAAGCACAAAGCCACGGGAATCCAGACCCAGGAAAGCTGTGCTCCCACCACATCACTGCACACACACAAAACCTGCTGTTTAAAAATCAATTCAAACACAAACAAGTGACTGAAAAAGCCATTTGTTTAAAAAGGGAGGGGAGAGCATATTTTTTAAGGACCAAGTATCTTTTTTTTTTTTTTTTTTTTTTTTAAGGAGCCAGCACCATACTCTCTTCTCTCACAGGATCATTGTTCCATCTCTGGTAGGCTGGGTACATTTGACTGAGTTTATTGCAACTGCTTCTGCCAATTCTTTGAACTATCAATCAATGGGGTGAGGTTTCTAAGCACACCAGCTACTACACAGAAACACATGATAAAGGGAGCAGTACTGGAAAGCCATGTATTTGCTTGTGTGTGCATGCTTGTCAATGTCTGTGTGGTTATGCAGATCCATGAGGGGGTTTCTTAATGCAGTTTAATGGAATCCATTTGGGGTGAAAGGTGTTATTTTGTCTAAAGAAATCTCCCCCTCGCAGTCCAGCTCTCAGACAGACTCTGCAACAGGGTCACCATCTGGGGATGTCTGATAGATCTGGGACATGCGATCGAAAGGACTCTCCTCCTCCTCATCGTTGTCCACCTCCCGGTCCCCGGGGGGAACGGCGTTGGGCATCATGTGGATGTAGGCAGCTGCGATTTCCTTGTGGAAGACCGTGTCTTGGTTGTAGGAGATGAGCTCATTGCTGATGTTCACCGTCTCCACCGGCGTGCGGGAGCAGACGTGGCTGCACCCCAGCAGCTGGGCAAACACCTTCCGGAAGTCGGCGTTGAAGGCATAGTGACTGGGTTGAGTGAGGAGTTGGCCCAGCAGAACCAGATGAAGACGTCGAATGTGGTCTCACTGACGCAGGGGAAGCCGGCCGGAGGGCCTTTGGGGTGTCCACTGCAGAAAGGGACCATGCAGTTAAGGATGAAGAAGGGCAGCCAGCAACACACGAAGACCCCCATGATCACCGACAGGGTCTTGAGAACCTCGGTCTCCTTCTTGATGGAAAACCGCAGGCTGGTGTCGGGCGCGCAGCCTGCGCTGCTCCGGCAGCTCTGCACGTGCTCTGCGGCCCTCTCCAGGGAGGAAATCCTGCGGATCTGCACCTGGGCGATGCGGTAGATGCGCGTGTAGGTCACGATCATGATGGCCATGGGGATGTAGAAGCTGATGAGCGAGGAAGAGATGGCGTAGGTTCGATTCAGGCTGGAGTCACAGTTCTCTGCCCTCACGTCGGGCTCCCAAACGGCCTCCTCCCAGGGCGTCCAGTTGGCCAGGTTGTTTGGCAGGTCCAGCCCACCTCAAGAGACCGCCTGGTCCCTGTGCCAGTTGAGCTGGACCGGAATGAAGGAGATGAGGCTGGACAAGGTCCAGGCCGGGCGGACCATGACCAAGGCCATGCGCTGGGTCATCTTGCGCTCGTAGCGGAAGGGCCTGGAGATGGCCCAGTAGCGGGCCACGCTGATGACCTGCTGACGCACAGGTTCAGGATGGAGGCGGTGGAGCACATGATGTCGAAGGCCACCCAGACGTCGCAGAACGCTTCAAAGGGCCAGTAACCGGCCACCTCGGCGACTGCCTTCCAGGACATGACCAGCAGCGCCACGAAGAGGTCTGACACAGGTAGAGACACGATGAAGACGTTGGTCATCTTGGCGCGCAGGTGGCGGCTCCGCACGATGGCTGCGGACACCAGCACGTTGCCCAGCAAGGTCCAGATGATGAGTAGGGTCAGCAGGCAGGCGGTGACCACCTGCACGGGCCCCAGTGGCGGTGCCCCCGCCGAGCCCCCCACGGCATTCCCCTGCGCCAGCTGCTGGTACAGCGCTAACTGCCCCGGGTACGCGGTGCCGTTGCTCCTTGGCGGCAGCATTTCGGGCTGGGCCGCAGAGTCGGTTTGTGCGCGATCCCAACTACAGCCCTGCGACCCCCAGGCAGCCCCATCGGGCACCCCGAGGATGCGCCCCCTCAGCCAAGGGACCCTCGAGCCCTAGAGGGCGCTCACCATGAGCTGCGCCGGGTCCCGGAGCGCGCGGGGACTTCTCTTGCTTCCTGAAGCGCCTCTGGCTCGGTGGCCGTGGTGCGCCCCTCCAGTCTACGCGATGGGCACAGGAAGCGGCTGGTGCCCGCTGACAGCCAGGGCTGTTCTCGGGAGTCTGCGGCGCGCCACATGGCAGCGACAGCGGCTGTGTCTGGTTCGGAGCGAGAGAAGAGAGCAAGCCGCCACTGAGGGGCTGGGGCAGGCAGTCGCCAGCGCCGGGCTGGCACTGCGGCGCTGCCGCGGTCCCTGGCCGCTCCCCGGCCCCGCGTCCCGCCCCCCGCGCCTCCGCGCTGGACTCCAGCCCCACCTGTGCCTTGGCGCCCTAGCTCACCGCGCTCGGCGCGCCAGAGTGTAGTGGTGATCCCGCAGGTCCCAGGAGCGCCCCAGCGCCAGACCCTAGCCCCGGGCCGGGGAAAATTCTTCCCGGGAAGACCGAAGGGTGCTTGGTGTAGCCCTGGAGCCCTAGCCCTAGCCACGCTTGGGGAACAAGAGGTGGGGTAGGGATGAGGACGCGAGGGCTTCCGGAGGGGGAAAGAGCATTTGAAGTGTAAAGGGGACGGCCTTGGATTGCCCACAGACCTGAGTCCCAATCCGGACTTTATTCCTGGCTCTGCAACTTTAAGGGCCCTACATTACTTTACCCGGCCTTGGTTTCCTTCTCCACAGCGTGGGATAATGATTCCTACTCCTAGAACAGTGTCAGAACTCAGGGAAGCCTTCTAGGATGAGGTGTCCAGTAGACAGTGTCTCCTAGGAACAGGCTCCCGCTTCCCCCAGCCCCTCCCTCAACACCATGAGGCTGGGGCTTCACCTGACCTCTTGGGAGACTGTCCTTTTCCCCACCACCGCCCCCAGTCCTTCAGTGATTTTTCCTTTGGGGAATAATTTGGAATGAACCCAGAAGACAAGAGGAGGAAGAGAGCCCCCCACCCCCCCCCACCCCCAGAGAGTTGGAAGCCTCTTCTTTGCAGGGCACTTTTACAGTCTTTCTCTTTTTCAACCTTGAGAGGGGTGGATACATAGCTCAGTGTTGAACAGAAAAGGAACTGACGGGGCCCAAAACCCAGACTGAAAAAAAAAAATGATGGAAAACAATAAAGAGGGAAAACAGTGTTCCTGAGCTCTGAGTGCACCTCCCAGCTGACAAGTTGCATTTGTGAAGTGTTTCGGCCTCTGCTGGCGTTAAGCTCAGCTGAAGGCAGCTGGGAGAGAAAGGGATGTGACAGCAGCCAGCTGCACAGCTCCGGCTGCGACCTGCTGGCCCAGACACCTGCAGCATGGTGAGGTCTAGTAACAGACTAGACTTTCTCCTCCCTTCCTAGTCTCCCCCTTCACCAAATGCACTTGCACCCTGGACCAACACCTGCAAGTGGCCCAGCTTCTCAGACTTAGGCTGCTCAGCCTACACAGTCCCTTCCCCCAACCTCTTTCCCCTTCAGTGCTTTCTGCCGCTGGAGAAGGCAAGACCATCTGTCCAGGTGCCTAAACCTGAAACTGAAGAGCCATCCTCACCTTCGGTCTCTCCTCATCTTCTAGGAGCTGGATCACTCCTCTGGCCATGGACATCCCTGTCCAGAATTGTGCCTCCTCCACCCTGTTTGAAGGTGGCACTCTCCTGGCCTCCAGGCTCTGCCCTGACCCTCTGTCTTCCCAGAGGCAGTGATCTTTCCTGAATGTGACTATGCTCCTGTCACTTCCCTGATGAAACACCCTCAGTGTGTTTCATGATCAGCTCCCTGTGGCCCCTGTTCCTCTCCTGGAGAGGAGAGGAACTAAAAACACAAAAATACAAAAAATTAGCTGGGCGTGGTGGTGGGTGCCTGTAGTCCCAGCTACTCCAGAGGCTGAGGCAAGAGAATGGCGTGAACCTGGGAGGCAGAGCTTGCAGTGAGCCGAGATTGCGCCACTACACTCCAGCCTGGATGACAAAGCAAGACTCCATCAAAAGAAATGAAGAAAAGAGAAGAGAAGAGACGAGACGAGGACAGAAAGAAAGACAGACCGGAAGAAAAGAAAAGAAAAGAGAAAAAGACCATATCACCCAAATATGAGAAATTCTCCCATATATACATACTTGTATCTAGATGACTAATCTCTGGAAAGTTATAAGAAAACACTGGTTCTTTCCAAGGAAGGGATGGCCAAAAGGTAGGCTAACTTAACATTGTTCACTCTTTTTAAGACCTTTGTATTTCTTGTATCATGCACAGGTATTGCCTATTCAAAAACAAACCTACAAAACAGGGAAAGACTGAAAGCTTTTCTTCAATATCTGCTACAAGGCAAGGATGCCTACTCTTAACACTTATATTCACCATAGTCCTAGCCAGAGCAATCACATAAGAAAAGGAAATAAAAGGCATCAGCAGAAAAAAGGGGGTAAAATTATCCCTGTGTGCAGATGACATGATCCTGTATGTAGAAACCCCTAAAAATTCCACAGTTACTAGAATAAATGAATTCAGTCAAGTAGCAGGATACAAAATCAACATACAAAAATCAGATGCATTTCTTTATACAAATAATGATCTGAAAAAAAATCAAGAAAACATTTCCACTTAAAATAACATCAAAAAGAATAAAACACCGAGAAACAAATTTAATGAAGGAAGTGAAAGCTTTATATACTAAACACTATAAAATACTGACAAAGTAAACTGAAGACACACAGCCGGGCATGGTGGCTCACGCCTGTAATCCCAGCACTTTGGGATGCCAAGGCAGGTAGATCACCTGAAGTCAGGAGTTCAAGACCAGCCTGGCCAACATGGTGAAACCCTGTCTCTACTAAAAATACAAAAATTGGCCAGTCGGGCATGGTGGCAGGCACCTGTAATCCCAGCTACTTGGGGGGCTGAGGCAGCAGAATTGCTTGAACCCAGGAGGCGGTGGAAGTTGCAGTGAGCTGAGATCACACCACTGCACTTCTGCCTGGGCAACAGAGCGTGACTCTGTCTCAAAAAACAGAAAAAACTTACAGACACAAATAAATATAACGATATCCCCAAGTTTGTGGATTGGAAGAATATTGTTAAAATGTCCATACTATCCAAAGTGATCTACAGATTCAATGCAATCCCTATCAAATTTCCAAAGGCATTTTTTACAAAAATAGAAAACACAATTCTAAAATTTGTATTAAATCATAAAAGACCCTGAATAGCCAAAAGAATCTTGAGAAAGAAAAACAAAGTAGAAGGTATCACACTACCTGATTTCAACTTATATTACAAAGTGATAGTTATCAAAACGTATGGTACTGGCATAAAAGCAGACACATGGATCAATGGAACTGAATACAGAGCCCAAAAATAAACCCAAACATATATTATGAGCTGATTTTTGACAAGTCCAATAAGATACAATAGGGAAAAGATGGTGTCTTCAATAAGTAGTGGTAAGAAAACTAGATATCTATATGCAAAAGAATGAAACTGGACCTGATGCCTATCTTACACATCATACATAAAAAGCAACTCAAATAGATTAAATACCTAACACCTGAAACCATAAAACTCCTAGAAGGAAATATAGGAGAAAAACTCCTTAATATCCTCCTTGACAATGATTTTTTGGATATCACACCAAAAGCTCAGGCAGCAAAAGCAAAAATAAGCAAGTGGGACCACATCAAGCAAATAAGCTTCTGCATAGCAATAAAAAAAAATGGGGTAAAAAGGTAGCACAGGGATTAGGGGAAAATATTGGCAAACCACACATCTGATAAGGGGTTAAAATCCAAAACATATAAGGAACTCACACAACTCAGTAGCAAAAAAAAAAATCCCCAAATAACTGGATTTTAAAATAGGCAAGGACCTGAATAGCCATTTTTCCAAAGTCACACAAATGGTCAAATGGTATATGAAAAGATGCTCAATATCATAATCATGAGGAAAATGAAAATTAAAACCACAATAGATATCATCTCGTGTCTCTTAGAATGACTATTAACAAAAAGGCAAAGACATAAGTGTTGGTGAGGATGTGTAGAAAATGAAACCTTTGTACATGGTTGATAGGAATGTAAATTAGTATAGCCATTATTGAAAACAGTATAGAGTTTCCTTAAAAAAAATACAACTACCATAAGATCCAACAATGCCTCTGTTGGGCATATATTCAAAGGTAATAAAATCAGCATCTGAGAGAGACATCTGGATTCCCACGTTCATGGCGGCATTACTCCCAATAGCCAAGACATGGAAACAAACTAAGTGTCCTAATGGACAATTTACTTACCCATTCAAGGACAGATGAATGGATAAAGAAATTGTGACATTTGTTTATACATATATTAAGTCCTCCCTTAATGTCATCAATAGGTTCTTGGGAACTGAGACGTTAAGCTAAATGAACATACAGCAGGTCCTCAAGTAACACTGTTTCCTTCAATCTAATTTTGGCATAATGCAAAATGAAAAAAAAAATCAGTTTTGTCATACTTTTTTTCCCCTCTTAACCACAGTTTCTAAGAACTTACTGATGACAATGAGGACTTTATACAATGGAATAGTTAGCTTTAAGAAAGGAGATACTGCCATTTGTGACAACATGGATGAACCGGGAGGAAAGTATGCTAAATAAAGTAAGCCAGACACAGAAAAATACTGTATGATCTCACTTAAGAAGCAGAATGGGAGGCCGGGGGGTGAGAAGCTGAATGTATAGAGAGTAGAATGGTGGTTATCAAGAGTCTGGAGGTAGGGGATGGGTGGGATGGGCAGAAGTAGGTCGGAGGGTACAAATCTGCAGTTAGGTAAGATGAATAATTCTAGAGATCAAATTAATACACAGCATGAGAACCATAGTTAATAATATTGTGTACTGAAAATTTGCTGAAAGAGATTTTAGGTGTACATACACAGAGAGTAACTATGGAAGGTGAAGGATACAGACATTTGTTTGACCATAGTAATCATTTCACTATGTATACAAAGCATGTTGTATACCTCAGATATGTATAATAAAAATAAATGAAGAAAAAAACAAAAAACTGTATCCTACCTGCCAAAAACAGTTTCAAATGCATTATGTCTTTGGATTTAGCATGGAATTCACCTTTGCAGGCCCACTTACCTACAACATTATAAATATACCAGGTGATTCATTGTACTATTCACAGTAAAAGATTGAAAGAACGCCGGGAGTGGTGGCTCACGCCTGTAATCCCAGCACTTTGGGAGGCCGAGGCGGGCAGATCACGAGGTCAGGAGATCGAGACCATCCTGACTAACATGGTGAAACCCCGTCTCTACTAAAAATACAAAAAAATTAGCCGGGCGTGGTGGCGGGTGCCTGTAGTCCCAGCTACTCGGGAGGCTGAGGCAGGAGAATGGCGTGAACCCAGGAGGCGGAGCTTGCAGTGAGCGAAGATCATGCCACTGCACTCCAGCCTGGGTGACAGAGTGAGACTCTGTCTCAAAAAAAAAAAAAAAAAAAAAAAAAAAAAGATTGAAAGAAACCCAAAGGTCTATCAACAGGGGAAAGAACAGGTAAATTAAATTGCTTATATTTCCATACAAAGGAATATTTGCAGCCATAAAAAAATGAAGGACAGTAAAAAGTAGTAAGACAAAAGGAACAAAATATATATACACACACACACACACACTATATATATATATAAACACACATTTCCTTGTACATGCATAAAACACATCTGGAAAGTTACACGAGAAACCTCTGAGGTTTCTGGAGATGCAAACTGGGGGCATGAAGGCAGGGGAAAGGGAGAGACTTCACTGTTTACCTTTTTATTATTTTCCAATTTTAAATCATTTGAATGTATAACTTGTCTAAAAATCAAATTTTAAAAGTTGAGGGAATTAACATTACAGAAAGTAACAAACCTCAAGGAAGCAGCCACCTTCACCAGATGGACAGTCTACCTCACTCTTCCCACGCTCCAGTAGTTACTGAATGCCAGTCCCCTCCCTCCATTCAGTCTGCCCAACCTGCTGGCCTTCTAGAGCCTCAGAGCAGTCCTATTCCCACACCTCCAAACACATCCATACACTGTGATGGTCGATCTGGGACCACCAGTTGAGAGGAAATGTGTTGTGTTTCCACTCTTCAGACAAACAGAGTGTTATTTTATTGAGGTTTGGGATTTTTTCTTGCATTAACAGGGTTTCTAGATCCCAGTAGGTGAATGAGAAAGAAGTATGCTTTTATTGCATAAGGAATTTGTTTCTGATACACCAAAGTGATGATGTATGACTTTTCTTAAAGAAGTGGTTATTAGAAGAGTTAAAAATCAATAGAAACAAAAAGTCATAGGTATTGTTCCAATACTCCAGGAACATCACAATTTGGATTCTGTAGATGTGTGTAATATAATGTGTAATATTACATTCTGACAACCTCAAGTTGAAAACTGCACAGCTGAAGATCACTTATAGTCAATAACACTTTTCAAACTTTAATTTTAAATTCATTAAGTCTCTCCCTAATGTATCGTACTTTTTAATAAAGGAAACTGTCAGATACACTATAATACAGAGGAAAACGTTTATATACTCTTTCATTATAATTTTTCCACAACTTCCAAAATGAAGAAAAAGACATGGAAACATTAAGTTCAGAGAATAATTGTGGCAGACAATTCCCTCCTCCTGAAAGTTCAATTACCCCAACACAGGCAAAATTTCTTACTAACTCAAAAGGAACTGAATTCACATATAAAGACAAACGTGGGATTCTGTTGAGTTCTGTTGGACACAGAACACAATTGCTCAAGCACTGGTTGGGCACCTGTATTCTAATAGCTCACGATTACTGAGCACTCCATGTCTGGGAAGAGCCAGTGCTGGGTGCCTGGCATGCATCCTTGCACCTCATCAGCACAACTATCCTATGGGCTCATCCTGGTTCACCTATTTTATAAAAGAGAACACTAGAATCAGAGAAGTTAAAAAATTTGCCTAAAAACATCCAGAGTAGGTTTCATCATTGCCCACTACTTTATAATGCTTTCCCAAGGGTACTGAGACGTTATCAAAACATGTTAGTGAAACAGTCTAAAACATCACAAATTTTAGGTTTAATACAAAATACCCAGAAAAGGGCAGCGTTATTAGAAATCTCAGCATAATGTAATAATAAGAACTTATGATGATTGTATTCTTTTCCTATTTTTTCTCCCGTACAGGCATATGAAATACCATAAAACTTATTTTAGTGGTGTGTGTGTACATGTAGTTTCAGGATAATATAGTAATCTAGAACATTTTTAATATGGCAAAGTTTGGCAATACTAAATTTTTAAAAAGGATTTTTATTTAGCAAACAGAAAGCAAAAATGTTGTCCAAGTAACATGCATTTATTTTATCCCTAGGAATGTACCTTTCCTTCTGCAAAGGATGTGAGATCCTGGCATGTAAAGGAACGTGAGGGACTAGTCATGAAAATACTGTATATTCAATTCCTTAAATTCTAAAATTGTCTTAGCATTTAACATCTAACACACTAAACAATCTTTTTTCATATTCAATAAAAATAAAGACAAATTCAGTAAATTCAGATGGGCTATTTTATCACGTAAATTTTAAAAAAGCAAGGGTAATTTTTCAACTGATTTTCTTTTACCATGATACGAGTCAATGAGAAAATATGAAATTGAAACATATCACCATTTCTCAGTGTTTACAAGTGGTAAGTCACAAGGAAAACCTTCCAAGATCTTCTGTGTTGTTTTTAAAAGGTATTATAATCACATAATTTGGGAAACAATGTGTACTATTATCAAGAAACCTTTCATATTTTGTGAAATGGAGCACTTCCCAAATTTAAGAGACTATGGAAACCTTTTTCAGACATTTTTTAACATCCTCAGAAATGGAAATTCTTGTTAATGCTGATCTGATCAATTCCTCCAAGTATATGGACTACTTCTTTGCAAACTCCAAGCCCCCAAATCAAATTACCTGTTCAACTGTATCTGAAAATCAGTTACATACAAGCATCAGAAAGTGTTTCTCCCAGCAACATAGACCCAAAACACACTACAAAACAAAAATTATCAAGAACATACAAAAGACATATCTTTTCATGTATTTATTTATTTTTTGAGATGGAGTCTCACTCTGTCACCAGGCTGGAGTGCAGTGGCTCGATCTTGGCTCACTGCAACCTCTGCCTCCTGGGTTCAAGCAATCCTCTGCCTCTGCCTCCCAAATAGCTGGGATTACAGGTGCCTGCCACCACGCCCAGCTAATTTTTGTATTTTTAGTAAAGACGAGGTTTCACCATGTTGGCCAGGATGGTCTTGATCTCCTGACCTCAGGTGATCCACCCGCCTTGGCCTCCCAAAGTGCTGGGATTACAGGCATGAGCCACCGAGCCCGGCCACAAAAGACATACCTTTTCAAAGCCACAATTACCTCTCACCTGGACCATTGTTTCTCACTGATCTACCTGTCATAACTCTTGCACCTAATCATCTACTTATATCATAGGAGAGTGTTCCTCTTAAAATATAAATAAGATCATGGTGTTCTTCTTTTCAGGAACATTCAATGGCCTCCCATTCCATTGCTATTAAGCACAAACTACTGACACATCACCTTATGGTTGTGTGAGATATACTGAGCCGTCCTTCTTGTCCTCACATCTCTAATCTTCTCACCTTCTGACTGTCCCCTCTGCTCACTCTGTTGGTCTCCACAACACTCTTCAAACATGCTCAGCACACTCTCACCCAGAGCCTTTACACTGGCTTCTTCACTGTCTGGGGTGCTCTTCTCTCAGGTAATCAAGTGGCTCACTCACTCACCTCTTTAAAATCTGTGCTCAAATACTGCTTTCTGTTCATATGGACCCTAAACACCTGTCTGTACTTCCAATTCCTTTTTTTTTTTTTTTTTTTTTTTTGGAGACGGAGTCTTGCTCTGTTACCCACGCTGGAGTGCAGTGGTGCAATCTCGGCTCACTGTAACCTCCGCCTCCCAGGTTCAAGCAATTCTCCTGCCTTGGCCTCCTAAGTAGCTGGGATTAGAGGTGCATGCCACTGAGCCCGGCTAATTTTTGTATTTTTAGCAGAGAACGGGTTTCACCATGTTGGCCAGTCTGGTCTCGAACTCCTGACCTCAAGTGATCTACCTACCTCGGCCTCCCAAAGTGCTGAGATTACAGGCATAAGCCACTGTGCCTGGCCAGGCAATTCCTCTTTATCAAACTTTATTTTTACCATGGAACTTGCCAAACACATTATAATTAACTGATTTTTTTTAAGAGTTGAGTTACCTAACATTAAAATATAAACTCTATGCAGAGAATTCTACCTGCTTTGTACACTGGTATGATTTCCAACATCTGACATACAGTAGGTATTCAATAAATTCTATTGTCTAAAAGCCGGCTGCAGTGGCGCATGCCTATAGTACCTGCTACTTGAGAGGCTGAGGCAGGAGGATCACTTGAGCCCAGGAGTTGGAAACCAGCCTGGGCAATGTAACAAGACACTGCCCCTTAAAAAAAAAAAAAAAAAAAAAAAGCTATGAAATAAAATGTAATGGAACAGAAATAATTATCACTTCACTTCTGAATCAGTTGAAAATAAATAACTGCCCCAAAAATGAGGAAACCTACAGTAATCCTCTTTAATTCATATTGGATTTTAGGTTACTATTAAAATATTTTGCTATCTCAAGAATTCAGCAGGCTGAGCAGAGCAGATGGCTTGAGCCCAGGAGTTCAAGACCACTCTTGGCAAAATGGCAAAACCCCATCTCTACAAAAAAATACAAAAATTAGCCAGGCGTGGGGGCCCACATCCATGGTCCCAGCTACTCAGGAGGCTGAGGTAGGAGGGTCGCATGAACCCAGTAGGCAGAGGTTGTAGTAAGCCAAGATCATGCCACTGCACTCTAACCTGGGCAACAGAGCAAGACCCTGTCTCCCAACCAAAAAAAAAAAAAAAAAAAAAAAAAGAATTCAGCTAGAAAAACCTTATATTTACTTTGATTAAGAAAATGTTTATAAACCAATACTTTATGATGCACACTGGTGAATATGAAGTTATACCTGAAGTAATATTAAATGACAGCTTTTCCATTTCTAGAATGTATGCCTCAACTACCTTAACTTAAACATGGTATTATCCAAGCTCACAGTATCTGAGAAGGTTTGTGTCGTTATCTAGCAAACTAAAGTCAAGACCTCTGTATTTCCCCACCTGTGATCTTCAAAGATATGGTGCTCCTTGAGATTTCTGTAAGGTAGGTCTGTTCTAAAATGTGTGAAAGGAAGAGAACCCGAAAAGGCAAGGTCTAAGAAGATCACTCATTTGGAGATGGCAAGGGTCACATCGGGGTTATCTAAGTCAGTGTGATTTACCCTTTGGTAAACCATACACATATTTCAAAAGTTACTTTATATGCTGTAATTCTTGCACACATATTTCACGGAAAATAAATTAGTATTACCTCGACTATCATCCATATCACCATCCCTTGAATGTTCTGATTGGATGTCTGGAGGGGTCTGAAGGACGGCCACGCTATTCTGATTTATAATCTTCAATTTCAGTTTTGGTTTTGACAGTTTTCTTCTTGGAACTGTAACTGTGAGGCTCTGTAACTGAGTCTTCCCTGATTCAGTCAAACACACACCATCCTGGGTATAAGTCTTGGGTGGGTCTAAAATTACAAAATCCCAAGAATACAAATTTAAACTTTCATTTTAAATTTGACTGATTACTGTTCCAAAATACCCATGTCAAGGGAATGTGACTGTAGTTCTAGAAAGTAATTACGTATCTATGAAATGCATGAATAATTAATTTCATGATACCCAATAAAAACTAGGAACAATAGGTCAAACTTCCTTGGATTATAGGCAGAAATGTTACATGTTTTTAAAAAATGGTCTTCCTGGGCCCGTTGTGGGGGCTCATGCCTGTAATCCCAGCACTCTGGGAGGCCGAGGCGGCAGGCAGATCACGAGGTCAGGAGATCGAGACCATCCTGGCAAACACAGTGAAACCCTGTCTCTTCTAAAAATACAAAAAATTAGCCCGGCGTGGTGGCGGGCACCTGTAATCCCAGCTGTGCGTGAGGCTGAGGCAGGAGAATCGCTTGAACCCGGGAGGCGGAGGTTGCAGTGAGCCGAGATCGTGCCACTGCACTCCAGCCTGGGCAACAGGGTGAGACTCCGTCTCAAAAAAGTCTTCCTGGCATTTTTATGTTCATGTCCCAATAAAAAGAGTTAGAAGCACTGCAAATATATGCAATGCTCAGCTAATCCACTATGAGCTTTTTCCTGGAAAAGATCAAAAGGCAGGGATCTATTTACACAAGAGAAGAGAGAATACTCCAGAAGCTCATCTGGAAAAATCAGAGTATCAACATAATTACTAATAGGGAGAAGTAATAAATAAGTACAAATCCTGCAGATTTAATTTTAAATGTACAAAACTGTTGTTCCTTAGAACAATTTCTGTACTATCCAAATGTTTTTGTATCAGGTGCTATTAAATACAAGTATTCAAAAGAATGACTGTTTAATAAGAATATCATATTAATCACCATACTAGGCTTATTAATTATTTTAAAAAATTAAGAGATTGAATTAATTCTAAAAGAAATCTGCTTGCTAACTAGGCCGTATTTTCTGCTAACTGATAATTAAGCACAGTAATATATCAATGAAACCAAAGCAAGTATGGCATTAATGGTTATTCTAAGAGCTGTTATTTTTGTTGCCAACTTGCTGAAATTTATAGGAATACTGCCCCAGTAAAGCTGGATGACATTTTATATATCATTGTGGAAATGATTACCAACATTACAGAATTTGGATAGAACACCCATATGATTGAAGCAGATTTTACAAGTGGTAAGCCAATTATGTAAAAATTAAGCAAAGTAAATTAATTAAATTAAGTAAAGCATTTCAAATTTTAACTAGCTCTTTTACTTTTGTGACAATTTGTGCTACAAGTGAAGATCCACAGCAGTCTGAGGAAGGCACTGAAATGAAAAAAAAAAAAATCCAGGTAATTCTTTTCAGAAAAGGTAGAGTGTATTTACATACTTACATATGATTAAAATTTCTGTTTCTATACTCATTTTATTAAAATAAATGTTTGAACACTAAAGTTAAAAGCACTTTTTAAAGCAACAACAAAACAAGAAGTGATGAAGGAAATACTCAAGTCATGGAGGAAAACCTGGCTAAGAAAGAATCAACACATTGGATTTTAACATATTGTCAATAACTACAAGATCATGTTCCTTGGAAGCAAAATTATAGTTTACATCTAAAGTATATGCTTTTTATTGTTTCATGTAAATTGTTTTATAACAAGTTGTGATAAGTCATGTATAACCAACAATAATATTTTTCATAAAATACTTGTCAAAGTAAGTTTCACAAAGACAAAATAGAGTAGAGCTAAGCTAATTCATTGGTTATGGACAGTAAGGTGCAAGTGAGTGGTACAAGAGTGCAGACTCACAGTTTAAATTATTCTCTTACCATTAGACGCAGGCATATAGGGTCTGCACATGTTACAATCAAAACCAATGTCTGCTACATTTTCCACTTCTTCCTCAGTATTTAAGTTCTGACGAACTGCATGCATCCATCTAAAAAGACCATATTTGTACATTTTTTTAAAAAAATGGAATATACTGAGAACTGCTACCTTTTAAAACCTGTAACACTGAGTCATCAAACTTAAAAGCCCTAAGCCTCACATGCTCCTCCTACCTTGCCCTTTTCTCCTAACTATCCCTATTAACAGAAAAACTTTCATAGAGCTAAGGAGGAAATAAAAAGGAATGAGAACAACTATTAGAGAGGAAGCAAAGCACATTACATAAGGAAGCTAATTATTTTATCATCATATATTAAATATTTCAAAGACAGCAAGGAAGCTAGTTAGGGCAAACACAAAGGTATTCAGAAAACGGCAAATGGCAGTGCTAGCATATATGGGCTCCAGGCAATGCATCTAACTTGAAGTAGACATATATCATGGAAAGCGATGTTGAATGGTAATTGGGAAATAAAGTAAAAAGTTGTCTTGCAATGGAACAGATAATTAGTAGCCAGAGTCCCAAGAATACTGTACTACTGATAAAATAATACTATCAATATATGTTCACTGCTTAACTTCTAAAGAGTACAACAATATACCAATGAAAGCAAGGAAACATTCTTGATTTTGAAATTCCACATAATTACGTAGGGAGGGCAGAAGGTGCTATCTAATACCTAGATATCTAGTATCTAGAGCTTTAAGAGAAAGTGGTTTAAGGAGAACAGAAAGTGTTAGATATTTTTTATAATCTATTAAAAGATTCAGAAACCCTTCATAAGAAACAGCATAGATGAAGGCAATAATTCTCCATCTAATTTCAAGGGATTCCTAAACCCTCAAAAAGGCCTAAATTAAAAATCTTCAGTCTTGGGTGGACACAGTGGCTCACACCTATAATCATAAAACTTTGGGAGGCTGAGGCGGGTGGATCACAAGGTCAAAAGATGGAGACCATCCTGGCCAACATGGTGAAACCCTGTCTCTACTAAAAATACAAAAATTAGCTGGGCGTGGTGGCATGCACCTGTAGTCCCTGCTACTCCGGAGGCTGAGGCAGGAGAATCGCTTGAACCCAGGAGGCGGAGGTGGAGTTTGCAGTGAGCCGAGATAGCGCCGATGCACTCCAGCCTGGCGACAGAGCAAGACTCTGTCTGTAAATTTAAAAACAAAACAAAACAAAACAAAACAAAACAAAACTTTAGTCTGGAGTTGAGAGTTCAAAACAGGAAATCAATTCTGTAAGTTTCTAGGTGACTAAAAATCTACAAGGCAAAAAGCTCTGTACCTAAAACTTGTGATTAAGGAAAAGCTATTTTCCTTTTTTTTTTTTTTTGCTACATTTCAAAGAGAAAAGCTTTAAAAAGATGAAAAAATAGCACAATACCTATCACATTGTCTTCATTGCAGAATAAGATCTTCTTCTCTATAGTTTCAATAGCAGACTGGACAGGAAGATAAACTTGCACAAGGAGCGCACTGTGTGTAATTGTTCTGCCATTCACATCTTAGACCTGCAGATGTTGCTCCACAGTGTCTGCACCAAACACACCTGAAATCCAAATCCCCCCGAAAAGTCTCAATTTTATTTTCTTAGTTATTCAGTTACTGTAATTCAGGAAGCTACATACGAACATAATGGGGCAAATGATTTAATGTGTATGTGAAAATTTTTCTGATTAGTGGTATCTATCATAGAATATGTGTATTATTCAATTAAATAGGTATGGCTAATTTTTAAAAACTAAAGTGGTATGAGAAAGCTCTGAACTTGAAAGACTAACAAGGCAAACAAACCCTAGAGAACCATTTGCACTTCCAGTCTCCTTTGGGAACTGTCTGCAATGGAGGGTCTAGGCAGTAGGTGTGATAACTTATGTCACAATCATCACACAGCAGGAATCTTCCTGGGTCAGTTGCCTTCCCACAGGCCTCACACACAGTGCACTCAAGACACCTCCAACCTTTGCTAAGAACCACTTTAGTGATCTGTAAAAGAAACAACCAATCCATGTGATTTATGCATTAACCTAACATAATCAAATATACTATATAAATTAATATGGTGCTTATGTACCTAGAAGCAGAAAGGGGCAATCAACTAACATTTATTGAGCGCCTACGGAGGCCCAATACTGGGTTGGGCATGTTCATACACGCTTTTAGGAGGCTACTGAGCAGAATAATAGAAAATGGCACATATTTTAATGCCTTTTTAAAGTCCACATAATTACCTTATGCTGTACATTTAATGTCCACTGTATTTATAGATATAGTGACCAGATTTTAAAGAAATCAAGTAAGCTTCACTATTATTGATACATAATTTGAAAATACATCAACAAAATCTCCATCTACATTTCCATGCTTAGAATCAATAGAAAAAATACCAAAAAAAATAATGTAAAGCATGAGTTCTTAGGGACATTTTATGATCTTAGAAGATTTCTATTTAGACTATGAAGCTAGGAATTCTGAAGTTCACATTCACTCCTCTGTTTATTCTCCCCTCTCTCAAGGGTATAAGTTAGCAGAATATTTGGGAATTTCCAAATCCCTAACAAACTCCTGAAGGAAGCCACACCATGTAATATTAAGATTGCGGAACTTCTTAAAGATCTCAAAAGACTAGGATCCTCAGACAGAACCAATCAAGTGCCCACATTATAATGAAACAGCAAGTAATGAGGGTACAGAATAAAAATTCAGATCATGAGGTACAAGAAAGCCTAAAAGCTACCAGAGAAGAAAATAAAAGAGTTAAATTCAAAGGAACACCCATCAGAATGGCACAAAACTTCCCAACTCCAGATGCTAGAAGAGTATAATCTTCCAATTCTACAGGAAAATACTTTTCAAAGTACAATTCTCAACCTAGCTACACAAGCAACTATGTGTGAAGACAGAATACGTTGTAGACACAGGAAGACTCAAAATTCAGCTCCTTCATTCTCCTTCTAATAAAGTTACTTAGAGATATGCAGAACAGAATGAGGATGTATTACAAAGAAAAGGAAGACTTGGGATCTATAAATCAACAGATCCGACAAAGGACATCAGGCCAGGGAAGTTTAAGGATGAGAACAACACACCCAGAAGCCACTGGCACATATCAGAGCAGGAGAAGGGAATGTCTAGAAAGAGGGTAGGACTTCTCCCAGAAAAAAACAGTACTTTAAAAAATAATCTTATATGATAGTTCTATAGTAGGCAAAAACAAAGTACGAATGGAGAGTCACTATTACTTTCTTGTTATTAAAAACTCCATGAAAGACAAAAGAAACTCATAGTATACTGTTTAGATCTGCAGTGAACATTTACTGAGTCATAACCAACACCTTATTAATTGAACTAAACATAGTAATACAACTATATTGGGAGAAGGAAGGAGGTGTATTTTAAGACCTAAATCAGAATTTATTTATTCACAGCAGAAAGTCAACAAAATCTAGCATTGATAAAGCAGTAAACCAGTTGATTATTTAGAGCTATAGCATTAACCACAAGAAAAAAGACCTGAAAAGATTAAAAGTGATTCCCTCAGATGTGGACGTAGAGTAAGACAAGAGTTGGTTGCTCATTACAAGGCCTTTTTTTTTTTTTTTTTTTTTGAGATGGAGTCTTGCTCTGTTGCCTGGGCTGGAGTGCAGTGGTGTGATCTCAGCTCACTGCAACCTCCGGCTCCCATGTTCAAATAATTCTCCTGGCTCAGCCTCCTGAGTAGCTAGGACTAGAGGAATGAGCCACCACACTCGGCTAATTTTTGTATTTTTAGTAGAGATGGGGTTTTACTGTGTTGGCCAGGCTGGCTTGAACTCCTGCCCTCAAGTGATCCACCCACCTCGGCCTCCCAAAGTGCTGGGATGACAGGTGTGAGGCACCACACCTGGCCCATTACGAGGCTTTTAATGTCATTTGATTTTTAAACATGTATATTTATTATTTTGATTAGCTTATTGATTTTTAAGAATTTGTCTTAGATTACCAAGTTAGTATATTATTTGCCCAAATGAAGGAAATGGCCTGGGGTAAGATCAGGGTGGCTTAGAGCAGTAGCCAGCAAACATTTCCAATAAAGGGCCAGAGAGTAAACAGAAAGTTTTGAGGGCCATATGATCTGTTGCAACTTTATAAAAACTCTGCCAGTGTAATGCAAAAACCGCTACAAATATATGTAAACAAAAGAACTTGGCCATATTTCAATAAAAGTTTATTTGCAAACACAGGAAATGGGCCAGATTTAGTCTATGGGCCAGTCTGCCTGACCCTGGCTTAAACAATGACCTGAAGACAAAGTGGCAGACAGATCTGAGGTGTTTAGTGGCAGAATTTTTAAAATATTTATCTTCATTCCTACTAAGTTTTCTTCACAGATACCTGTGGTCCCTTTTACAACCAAACTCTCAAGTTTCTCCGCTTATATTCACTCTTCAAAACACTACAGTCTGGTCTCTACACCCACATCCACTCATAACTGCTTAAGCCAGGCTTGTCAAGACCTTCTTATTCTCAAATCTAATGGAAACATTAGTGTTTGTGTTTCTTGACTTCTAGTACTTCAACACTTCAACAATTTCTCTGTCTTTGAAATTTCCTTTTAACTTAGGTACTGGGGTTGTACTATCATTTTTTTCTTCCATTGAACCAGTTTAGCCTTAGTTTTAAAAGTTTTTTCAAATAAGATGTCATCCAGGATTCCATCCATGGTACCATGTCCAAAGTTGTTACAGATATGTTTTATAATCTAATACGGATACATGCTTCAACGATAATGGAGTATATGGGACCAGCCTGTTTTCCCATAAGATAGTAGAAAATTGGACAAAGTGTATGAAACAACTGTTTTCAGATATTGGACAACACATAGTAAAGGAGACAGTGGTCTCTGAGAGGAAGGAAACACTCAGGGAGTCCTATGATATTCTGCCTAGAAACATTTTCCAGAATGCTGCCCAGGGAGGGAGAACCTCAGCAGAGTACAATCAATGGCCTCGCTGAGGTTAGGGGAGGCGAGGCAGTGGAATTTGCAGGACACAGTACTCAAAATGAAGAAGCAATAAGGACTAAGAGCTCCAGAAATCTACAAAGGATCCCCTGAAGTCTTTGGTGGAACACCAAGCCGTACTTCTAGAAGCCCAAAGACCCACAACCAGGGGAAAGTACATCTACTGGGAATGTGTAAGCTGCACAATTACCAGAGCTTGCAAAAGGCTCAAAGACAAGTGAAGCACAACCAGTCAGAGTACAAAGACACTGGTGAACAGGGGGTAGAATTCAGTAGTGATCCCAGAAAGGCCAAGTCTTAAGTATAGGGTTAAACTAATGCTAGGACTGCAGCTACCAAAATGTGGACTAGGGAACCCCAGTGGGTCTGTAAAGTTAAAACAAGTTTAAATAATACTAAGATTTAATTTGCCTTTTTTCACTTTAATTTATTCACAATTATACAGTGGTGTTTATAGAAGCTACATGTTGTATCATAATATTACATTGACATTGTACAGGTTGTGCTTCTGTAGTCTTGTGTTACAAAATGTTCCTAGTTTTAATTTCTAAAATGCTGAATAGTCCATAGTTAAAATCCTCATGAACAAAAACTATGGCGTCCCCAGTAATTTTAAAGAGTGTTAAGGTTCTAAAACCATAAAGTTTGAAAATATCCACCTTAGAGTGAAGGCTTTCTAGACTTGCCCCAGCAAGCTTAAAAAGAAGCTTCAAAGGTATCAAACTTATCCACAAACAATTGCCTCCTGCAATAAAAATGCAAGCTGAGCCAATTCATATATCCCTAGTATATTTCTAGATACTGCTGTATTTCTCAATGAGACTGCAGTATTCTATACTGTCCAAAACAGTGTCATGTAAAAGGAACCACACATAATTTTTAAAAACAGGAATAACTAGGTGTCTGATAGTGCACTAATTGTCCAATCTTAACTTATGTAAGTCGTACTCATCTGTAAAATGGGAATTCGGTAATTGTTGGATGGGTTAAAAGAAATACATTACTATCTTGAAAGGGATCTTATTCAATTTCCTTAGGTCCAAAACATTAAGCATTCTAAAAAACAAAATCTAATGATAGCAGCTACTTTTATACAGAATATAAAGTACAAAGAAGAAAAGAAACATGTTTTATGCATATATAACTCCATTTTTAATTGGCTTTATATACTCTGTGTTTTTCAGTCACATAGCATGAGCAACTAATTTTAAAAAACTACAGAAATTAACCGTACTAGTCTTCTATTTTGGATAGTATTAATTACAATCTTTCATTTTGATTCCTAAATTCACAAAAACCTGTATTACCCTATAAAATAAATACTAGTGTAGTTATCAACAAAGAATTCTGAAGGAGATAATGTTGATTTGCTTACTATACTGACATTTTACTGACAATGATATAACACAGTGATGTCTGAAGGGCAGGGGAGAATGGCATAAAAATCACTCATGGTTCACAACCTATTATTGAAACTGAGGTTAGTATTTATATTACATGGTATGGCAATACTAGAAAAGATTTCCTTGTGGAGTATACAGTTTAAGACCTCTGCTGTACAGCTATACCTCCATGCTTGCTTCCAGTGGCCATGACACTTTATTCAAATATGTAAGTTTTATTAAGACTGAGTTCTTAAAAAGAAAAAACCAAGAACCTTAGATACAACTAGTGAAGTATTGAGACCTGTCCATATTTAAAACCAAGCACACGATACCACTTAAAAGGTTCCCCAGAAAGCCTCTATCCTGAAATGCTTGAAAGTGAGCAGTGCTGACTCTCGATTATTACCGATTGCATTAAATATGACACTTGTTTTCTTTCTTTTGGCTATAAGGAGAAAATGTCATTTTGTATATGAGTGAGCACAGAGGAGACAGAATGTGGGAAAGAACAGAATGGGATAATAATTTTTTACTAAATACTCCAGTTCTCAGCTTTATAAGTCAACAGACAAAATGAATCAGCTAAACCTAAAATCTTTGTGAATAGTATAAATTGTCTTTTAAATTAAATGCATATATTTTTATGTTTTACTTTTTCAAGACAAAAGCAGGATATTAGTACAATATAAGATTTATAGAGGAGCAAATTTCTTGAGATAGGAAACCCTTAAAAGCAGTATTTAAAGTACTTAAATACTGTCACATATGTTTAATAATCATAATACTTAATTGTGAGAACTGGGAGCTCATGTTACTACTAAAACCAAATAAAAATTCAATACATATTTGTTAACTCAGTTTAAGGATGTTTACCTTAATACTGACACAGTATGGATGGTAACACTGACCACACTGAGAACAGGCAAGTAATCTTCCTTCTGCTCCTTGGCCAAAACTGCCACAAACTACACATGTATCCTGAAGTTAAGAAAACAGAACATATTTTAAATGGAGACTAAGCTAAAAACCTACAAATTTTACTTTAAAAATACCTTCTTAACTAATATAGCTCTATAGCTAAATATTGGATCACTTCTGTGTATATGAGATAAAGCAGAAATGTGCAAGGAGGAATTCAATGAGGAAGACAGTAAATTGTCAAGTTCAAACCTGATTCAAAGTGAATTTGTCACTGCTAGAAAACAACACAACCATATCGAGCACAGAGTTTTCTTCATCATCCTTATTTGATGAAATATCTGCAGTAGACACCTATAAAAAGCAAAATACACAAAATACGAAGTTATATTTTTCACTTGTTTTACACTTAACTGGAAAGCTTCAGAAAATTCATAATCAAAACATATATTTTTGCTAAGGTCTAGAATAACAATTCCAAATATTAATGCTAAGATACTACAGCAAAATGGAGTCATGACATTTTATTATTCAACTCATTCTCTCTTTAGAGGTAGAATTCCTTTAGACCAAGAGGTAATGAGAAAATATAATAAACCTGTCTTAGTAAGACTTGATTATGCAGAATTCTAATCAAGAAACTATAAATGATAATATTATAGGTATGTACACCACAAATCTATCACTATTTTAATGACACACACTTGGGATCTGCAATGTAGTTAGTCTGAACTGAGATGTCCTGCAAACATAAAATACAGCACATAATTACATATTACATGTTGAAATGGTAATATTTTAGATATATCGGTCAAAATGGAAGGCATTAAAATTAATTTCGCCTGTTCACTATAACCTTTATTTTGTTTCGAGAGGAGTTTCACTCTTGTTGACCAGGCTGGAGTGTAATGGCGCGATCTCGGCTCGTTGCAACCTCTGCCTCCTGGTTCAAGCTGTTCTCCCTGACTCAGCCTCCCAAGTAGCTGGGATTACAGTTGTCCACCACCATGCCCAGCTAATTTCTGTATTTTTAGTAGAGACGGGGTTTCACCATATTGGTCAGGCTGGTCTCTTAACTCCTGACCTCAAATGATCCACTGCACCCAGCTCACTGTAACTTTTTAATGTGGCTACTAGGAAGTTTTAAATTGCATATGTGGTTCTCATTATATTTCTATTAGCACCGCTTTAGAATATTATTTTGAATAACATCCAAATTTCAGTATCAGCCAAATGATTATCAACCAATATTGTTCAGTCTGGACTTAGTTCTATTTGACTAAATCAACTAAGTAGCCACTGGTTTGTTAATAATTTCTAGAGTGATATGAAACAAAATAAAGCTCTGAACTAGAAGTTGTAGAAGAAGACAAGGAGGGCACTGCCAAAATCATAAAATACAATCCTCTTTCTTTAAAAAGCTTACAACCGAAGCCTGGAAAGACAGAGTTGAAACACAACAGGTTATGTTCAAGGTCAAAACATAAAACGACTGAATTACTTTTCTTGAGGAACAACTGAAAGATTAACCAGCTGGGTGTGGTGGCTCATGCCTATAATCTTAGCACTTTGAGAGGCTAAAGTGTGTGGATCGCTTGAGCTCAGGAGTTCGAGACCAGCCTGGGCAACATGGTGAAATCCTGTCTCTACCAAAAATACAAAAAACAGCCGAGCGTGGTGGCACACGCCTGTAGTCTCAGCTACTCAGGAGGCTGAGGCAGGAGAATCACTTGAACCCAGGAGGCAGAGGTTACAGTGAGCCAAGATTACGCCACTGCACTCCAGCCTGGGTGACAGAGGGAGACCCTGTCTCAAAAAAAAAAAAAAAAAAAAAGAGGAAGGAAGGAAGGTTGGTTGGTTAACTAAATAGAAGGACTATATCTCAGTATTTTTCAATACAAATACATTTAAAAGCAGTTTTTTTTGTTTGTTTGTTTTTTTGTTTGTTTGTTTTTGAGATGGAGTCTCGCTATGTCACCCAGGCTGGAGTGCAGTGGCACAATCTCAGCTCACTGCAAGCTCTGTCTTCACGGCATTCTCCTGCCTCAGCCTCCCGAGTAGCTGGGACTACAGGCGCCTGCCACCATGCCCAGCTAATTTTTTGTATTTTTAGTAGAGATGGGGCTTCACCATGTTAGCCAGGATGGTCTCGATCTCCAGACCTCACGATCCACCCACCTCGGCCTCCCGAAGTGCTGGGATTACAGGCATGAGCCACCGTGCCCAGCCTAAAAGCAGTTTTAATGGATAGTACTAATGCTTTATAAGAGCAATTTATATTCATATGAACCCTAATGACTACAAGTGTTAATAATGCCAATATTCATCATTAGGGAGTAAGTAAAGCCATGACAAATCCAAACATTAGAAAATTACGCAACATTTTAAAAGTAGGGAGGTAGAAACTTGTATAGACTGCCATGAAAGAAATTATCAAAAGACGTTGTTGATGAAAAAATAAATTGCAGAACAGTATTTGAGGTATAGCACTATAATATAAAAACATGCAAAGTCATTATATGTAGTCTATGGGCACATATAATAGGTTGAATCATAAGAAATTGCTGCTTTTCATCAGTTCAGAAATAATATTGGCAATTTCATATGGATCAACCTAATATATAAATATACCAAACTGGTAACAGGGAAATAAGGAGGACTTGAGGAGTTAGTAATGGTAAATTCTGATCTACCTATAACGCTTTAATTTTTTTAATAGAGAAAATGTATTGATGTGTTGTATGCATAGCATTAACAAAATTAGCTTTCTAAGATTTTAGAGAATCATCCAAGATGATTCACAAAAGTAGAATCATCATCACCAGTAAGAAACTAAGTGACTACTAAAAGTAATCATTAATTCAGTCATAGGACTAATGATGCATTGACAAGGTTATTGAGATATATAATTATGGAAATGGCTAAAATAGAGATAAAGTATCTATTTCTACCTCCCAACCACTAACAGAAAATTCAACACATTATACACACTGAGCAGCTCAAAGAAATTGTAAAGATCCATTATTATTTTTAAAAGGAAATTTAACCAGTGGATGCTTTCACTGAAAATGATAAACAATATATTCCCAGTATAAACCAGAAACAAAGTCTGCAGTAGAAAACTACAATGTCCCTAGATTCAAGTGGGGGTGGGGAGTCATATTTAAATAATAAGTGCAGAAAAACCAAAATATTTTAAAATAATTGTCCATGCAAGAAAGAAAACAGTATCCTCTAGCTTGAAGACCCACTGTTTTTATTTTATAATTTATTTCATGACCTTTAGACTGCTAGAAAAATAAAACCTAACTTGAGGGCAAAGGTAATCTTTGAGAAAATATGTGCTATTGTTGCCTGCATAGATAATAGTGTGATTTATCCAGAAGGTGATAGAAATTTCATTTTCCTAGACCACAGATATAAGCCAAGGAGAATAGAAAGCTCTGACCTAAACTTCACAAGTGTCCCTTCCAAGCAGGGACACGTAAGAGTAAACAAAAAAAGAAGATCAAACTAAACTCAAAGTGAGAAGATAGGAAAAAATAAAGATGAGAATATAAATCAATAAAACAGAAAGGGGAAAGAAAATAGAGAAAAGTCCATGAAAACAAAGGCTGACTCAAGAAGATCAATAAGATTGATAAATCTCTAGCCAGACTGATCAGGAAAAAAATAAGACAAGATACAAATTATTAGTATCAAGAATGAGGAAGGTGAAATCACTACAGATTCTACAGGTATTAAAATAATAAGAAACATTATGATCAACTCCATTCCTTTAATTTGTCAAGATAGACAAAATGAACAAATTTCTTGAAAGGTGCAAATTTATGCAAGGAGAGACAGATAACCTAAATAGGTACCTATTAAAGAAATAAAATTTGTTGTTAAAAACTGTCCCACAGGCTGGGCACCAGTGGCTCATCCCATAATCCTAGCACTTTGGGAGATGGATCACCTGAGGTCAGGAGTTCGAGACCAGCCTGGCCAACATGGCGAAACCCCATCTCTACCCAAAACACAAAAATTAGCTAGGCATGTTGGTGCATGCCAGTAATCCCAGCTACTCAGAAGGCTGAGGCAGGAGAATTGCTTGAACCTGGGAGGTGGAGGCTGTAGTGAGCAGAGATCACGCCACTGCACTCCAGCCTGGGCATGGTGGCTCATGCCTGTAATCCCAACACTTTGGGAGGCCAAGGCAGGTGGATCACATGAGGTCAGGAGTTCGAGACCAGCCTGGCCAACATGGTGAAAAACTGTCTCTACTAAAAATACAAAAAAAAAAAAAAAAAAAATTAGCCAGGCATGGTGGCAGGCACATGTAATCCCAGCTATCCAGGGGGCTGAGGCAGGGGAATCACTTGAACCTGGGAGGCAGTGGTTGCATGAGCTGAGATTGTGCCATTGCACTCCAGCCTAGGCAACAAGAGCGAAACTCCATCTCAAAAGAAAGAAAAAAAAAAAGAAAACACAACAAAAACCCCCCACAAAGAAAATTTCAGGCCAAGATGGTTTCACTAATAAATTCATGTATAATATAAGAAGATACATTTCCACTACTACACAACTTTTCCAGAAAACTGAAGATGAGAATATACTTTCTGATTCATTCTATGAAGCTGGAGTTATGCTGATACCAAAACCAGATGAAGACATTACAAGAAATTAAGACTACAGGCTGGGGCATGGTGACTCACGCCTGTAATCCCAGCATTTTGGGAAGCCAAGGTGGGAAAATTGCTTGAGCTCAGATGTTCGAGACCAGCCTGGACAACATAGTGAGATGCTGTCTCTATTAAAAATTTTAAAAAAGTAGTTGGGTGTGTTGGCACACAGCTATGGTCCCAGCTACTTGTGAGACAGAGGTGGGAGGTCAAAGCTGGAGTTAGCTATGATCGCACCACTGCACTCCAGCCAGGAATTAGAACGAGAACCTGTCTCAGAAAAAAAAAAAAAAAAAAAAAGAAGAAAAAAAGTGCACAGGTCTACAACCGTGGTGCATCCACAGTTTTATTAATATTCAGCAAGAAAAGGAAGTACACTGTTAACAAGTACAACAGCATAGATTAATCTCCAAATAATTGTGCTGAAATAAATCAGTCCAAAAAGCACACAGTTCTGTATGATTCCACTTATATACAACTCTAGAAAATGCAAACTAATCTTGGGGACAAGGACGGATGGCAGGGGGAATGCAGAAAATTACAGAGGGACATGAAGAAACGTTGGGAGATGAATATATTCACTATCATGATTGTGGTATCGTTTTCAAGGGTGTATATGTATATATCAAAGCTTATGGAATTGTACATGTCAAATATAGCTTATATCAACTATACCTCAATAAGCCTGGTTTTAAAATTTTTCTTTTTGAAAAAAGGACAAGAATCTAAGCTTCCTTATTCCTGGTTTAGTAGTAAACTTGAACAATTTCACCTGTCTCCTATACTTAAAATGACATTTCAGAATTTTAAAAACAGGATTTTAATAAAATAGCGAAGTTATTACATAAAATATTTGCTAGTAGTTAACAAATATATTTGTAATACACATATAAATAAAGCCTCGTAACATGATAGTAAGCAAATATCAATCTTAAAATTTTTTAAATAAAAGAGCAACTATATTACATACTGACTTTTTAGAGAGGGTTGGCATAGAAAGATAAGGAGTCAAAGAGGAAGGTAAGAAAAGAGAAAGGATGAGAAAGTAAATATACAAGAAAACGTAACCAGAGGCTCAAAAAAAAAAAAAAAGCAAAGTAGGACAGTAAAATAAACATTTTGACCTATTTATATGATTTTTAAGTTCAAAATAACTTGCTATGAGATTTTCATCATTAACTGACATTTAGATTAGAGAAAATATACATGAAGCAAGCCTCACCCCAGGCAATACAACAGCTCCGATTCCACTTTTCAGCTTTGACCTGCCTCGGCCACCTCGCCCCGACAGTCCTGCACCTCGAGGTCTCCGCTTTCCTGGAAATCCAGACCCATGGCCCTATGTAACAGATTAGGAAAAGTCAACATTCTGTGACAGCCCAAAATAATTTTTAAATCCAAATGCCACTGAGATAAAACATTTTATTAAATGTTATACAAACACTTCTTTAGATAAGTATTAAGAGACCTGGCTTATTATTTTTATCTTTAAAAGTATATTCCACAACTTAAAATTCTAAATATAAAATGCTTACAACCTTAGAATCATACTTTCGGGCTGTCACTGTGAACGCTATCAGCAAGCCTTTGCATGATTTTTCTCTTTGCCACTCCTACATTCTCGGTGACGACAACAACTATAGCCTTATCCAGATATTTCGAAGTGCAACAAATTGTATTCAATATAGAGTAAGGATAAGGAAGAACTCTCTCATTAACTGGTCTCGCGGTGATTACAGTAATAGCTAACATCTATTGAGTACTTACTATGTACTAATCTAAGTATTTTTTACTCTCAACAATCCCATATAGTAGGTTTTATTATCCTCGTTTGAGATGAGTGTGCTGAGGAATAAAATGGTTAAGTAACTTGTCCAAGGTCGCTTAGCTAGCAAGCCTGGCTCCAGCGTCCCTGGGTTGGAAGCATATTCTGTACTGCTACATCAGCATGAAAGTTTATTTTTGCTAGTGTGTAACAGTATTCTTCCTGTCATTAAAATTAAGTCAGTTTCCTTCACTATTCAACAGTTCTCTTATGAACTCAACATTTCTACCTCATTCACCATTGTATTTAGAGGAAAATTTATTATTATTGTTATTACTTTTATTTTTGAGACAAGAACTTGATCCGTCACTCAGGTTGGAGTGCAGTGGTGTGATCACAGCTCACTGCAGCCTAGAACTCTTGGGCTCAAGTGATCCTCCTGCTTCTGCCTCCCAAAGTGCCAGGATTACAGGAGTAAGCCAAAGCGTCCAGCCAGGAAAAATTATTTGAGGATTACAGGAAAGCTGACAAAAGGCTTTGTGAAAGCTTTGCTTTAAATAATCTGAATAATAAATACTTGAAATGGAAATAATTTATCTGACTTCTTACACAAGAAATAAACCTATGGGAAAATGTGTTAAATTCCCTGATAATTTCAGACATTAAGTACCAGAGTATGGTGTTCCCTGCCCCCTCACCCTTGTTCGTACTAATTAATTACTCCTTGAAAAAACCTGGCACCTACCTAAGTAGATGAATTATGTGTATTTAAAATTATCCAGATGCTCAGGAAAATACTTAGGTGTTTCCCTCACCATAAGTTAAATAATATGTCATATCTTCAACTGATGTCCCTTATCATAGTTTGAAATAAACTGATTCCCTATTTAGCAGAATGGTTTCCAAGTCAAAAATTTATGATGATACTGTAAGCATAAAATAGAAACACATGAACAAAAGGAATGGGAGGAATGGCTTTTTTCCCTTTGGATGTAATAAATACAGCCAGCTCCCAGTTTCAAACTGCCACTCCTGTCTTCTCTTACCCTGCTCTCCTTGAGATCCCTTTTGAGAAGTGCATCAGCTTCTTTGCACAACAGATAGATGGGGTCAGGTTAGTTTTTTGGGTTTTTTGTTTGTTTGTTTGTTTTTGAGATGGAGTCTCGCTTCTTTGCCCAGGCTGGAGTGCAATGATGTGATCTTGGCTCACTGCAACCTCCATCTCCTGGGTTCAAGCAATTCTCCTGCCTCAGCCTCCCTAGCAGCTGGGATTACAGGCACATGCCACCACGCACGGCTAAATCTCTTTGTATTTTTAGTAGAGACGGGGTTTCACCACTTTGGCCAGGTTGGCCTCGAACTCCTGACCTCCGGTGATCTGCCCCCTCAGCCTCCCAAAGTGCTGGGATTACAGGCGTGAGCCACTGCGCCCGGCCGAGTTTGTTTTGTTATTAAACTGGTATAAAAGATTTTTGAAAAATTAAGTCAGTGATTAAAAATCAAGACTACAGTAATCTCTCAATTTATTTTCTCAAACATGAAATGCTGACCCAGAAAAAAGGTAAGTAAAAATTGGTGGTCTATATTATCAAACTGTCAAATGAGGTATATTTATACCTCAATATCTTGGATGATATCAGGGGGAGGTAGGGAGGTTAAAAAAAAATAGTTCTTCCAGTCATGAAAGAAAATAAAGTATAATCTAGAATTCCTTAAAATCCTTGATTAGTCTGAATTAAACAGCCATATTCCAGAATATTAAATATAGAATATGAAGAAAAACTGTCATCTCCAGTCAATGAAGTATTTTAACTTTTGAGTTAATACTTTTTCAAATTAATTTTTTTCTCTTCAAAATGCATCACACTACTTAACTCACTTCAAGGACTGGCACAGCCATCAACCAATGTCATGGGGAAAAAAGCCTTGTCATTTTAAGGTATTAAACAGACAATGAAATCTGCCACAATTTTGGTATTTCTTCTCCATAAGAACATAATAAATTAATGGAGTTTTTTCTTTTGCTTTTTTCTAAGCAACAAAGTTTTATGATATCATGAATGAAAAGGTCCTTAATTACCTTTTGGTCTACATGTCAAGGACTTCTCCCTCATAAAACCGGTAGTAATCACAACAAAAGGAATTAACCATAAAAAGAGGTATTAAAAATGTATATTGATTTTTAAATGCAAGCATATTATTTCTTTACATTAAAATTTTTAGATTTAAAAAGTGTTTCTGGAAGCTCAATCTAGAAAAGAAAGATTTAATTCTTTACACCCAGTAGGGCAAAACAAATCAGACAGAAATGATATATGAATGTAAATGCAATTTTATTTACCACTTTGATGCTCCAAATGGCACTGCCAGGAAGCTGCCTGGGTTTAAAAATTTCCCGACCTCCTGAAATGTCTGGGGACCAGGAAGGTGGGCTCACTGTATTATGGGTACTCCAAGCCTCCTAGGATATGGCAGTTGAGAAAATAGATGTGTAAAACTCAGCAACATAAAAGGTCAAAGCCAGCAACTAAGGAATTTTAGAACAGCAAAAACAAATGCAAACATATGGAAATTTAGGACAAATTGCTTCAAGGAAGGCAAAATAAGCTAATCACTAACAGTGATTTAAACATTTAAGTATAACAAATAACTTAAATGTTTGCTGCTACAGAGACATCACTACAATGAAACATTAAAAATTAAGGTTTATATGACATCAACATTGACTCATGAACTGCAATTACTGCACCAAAAAGTAAATAAAAGTCAATCACACTTTAAGAATTAACACTAGAAGAAAGTATTGGGGGGTTATTTTTCTTCTAACAACTATCACTCTACTTAAAAGGAGAAATGGATAACCATAAGGAATTCTATATTCTATAGCTATAAACAACCAAAACCAGTAGGCCAAAGAATGCAATGAGAAACATAAGCAATAGATAAATGCATAAACTTTACACTGTAGAGAGCTGGTAACATTAAAATGCAAATACCATTATAATCTTAGCATTTAATCACTCTTTCTTCAGTGACCATTAGTTGCCGGTTTGGTTTCGGTTTTTACTCAGGGAAATGAATACTTTATGGAAATTACATCCAATGGACAAAAGTGAAGAAACGTTAAAGCAAATTGTCCTAAATTTGCAAATTAAAATGCCTAAAGTACCTGATAAATTATATAGAAAGTAGTATCTTATTAAAATCTATATAACTAAAACTAAAGCATTTTACTTCCAAACAACCACATTCAGCAATACCCTGAACTAATCTGAAGATGCTAAACAGCATAAAGAAAAATGTTTACTCCACAAAGGTAACATTTTAAAGAAAAACAAGACAAATGTCAAACAATAAAAGGATATATTTTGAATTAGGTAATTCAATGGTGCATGCATAATTTTACCAATCAAGTAACCAAAACTTAAGACAAGGTACATAGTACTTACCAGGTTTCTAGAATATCATCAAATTAACAAGTACTATCTCATTAATCACATAAAAATACCACCAGGAATTAAAATAACCAGAAATAAGAATGTGACTACTCTTGGGGTAAGAGATAGGTAACGGAATAACGGTATTTTGGAAAAGCCACACAAGCAATAGACTGGTTTCATTTTTAAGTCACAAACTCAACCCACACACATTGAAGTCCAGCAATCCAACTCATTCTCTCCAGCAAACACTTTATTTTTTTCCCCCTCCAGGATTACCCTCAGGTGTTCTTTCTTACCCATCAAATCTCTAACCTAGCTCAGGTAATCACTATGCTGATTTCACTGAGCAGCAACCACTGCAGGTCAATTACCTCACTTTCATAATTTCAAATCAACTTGAATCTGTACCTATGTCTTCTTCCCTACTATTAGTAGGGAAGTGTTGTCAAAAGCCGTTTCTCTTTTCTCATTTTACTCATGCTCCTAACATCTGGCATACTGTTCTGCTGGATTTGGCAGCAGCCCACCTGTGGATAATTCACTGACTTCCTCGCTAATCTTTCTTCATCTCCTGTACGTGTTCTTCCTCTATTTGACTTCCAAAGCCCTGGAGTTTCCCAGGGCTTGAGCCTAGATCCTAAATGGTGTTATCTACAATGAGGGCATCTTGCAAGTTGATGCTTCCCACATTCTTATTTCTAGTTTTAATCAAAGATCTCCAAATTAGCAGGATTTTCAACTTCCTCCTTAGCATTTCCATTTTCTCACATAAAACCCCTCTTAATTTTGCCATGGTTAAAATTTCTCCCTTAACCGGTTTCATCCCAGTCTTCCCCATCCTTATAAATGGCATCCAGTCCCTTGTCACTCTCCTCTGCTCCTTCAGTCCTCTCCCCCAACACCTCGTCAATGCAAATCATCAGCAAATTCAAGACTTTTTATCTTCAAGTTTTGTCTCCGATCCTTCTGCTTCTTGTCACTTCCACCACTAGCAGCCCACTCGTGGCCACCACCATCTCTCACCTAACCTGCTACAAGAGTCTACTGCTGGTTATGCTTCTCCCACCCTGCATCTACTCAAGCCTTTCCCCACAGCAGCCAGAGGAACTTTTCAAAAGTACAAATGTGATCAAGCAAGTCACTATTCTATTTCAAATCTTCAATTGCTTCTCAGAGCACTTAAAAGACAAACCTTTCCCAGTGCCTTTCTCCAGCTCATCTTGTGGCACTTGTCTCCCTGCTGCTATGCTCCAGCTATTCTGGCTTCCTTGCTGTCCTTCAAACATGCCAAGCTCTTTATCAATCAGAGCCCAACTGACTCAGAACACTTCACTATACCATTCCAGCCCTTCAATAAATGTCTGGCATTTTCTTTCTTTCTTTTTTTTTGAGATGGAGTCTCGCTCTGTCACCCAGGCTAGAGTGCGGTGGTGCGATCTCGGCTCACTGCAACCTCTACCTCCCAGGTTCAAGCAATTCTCTTGCCTCAAGCCTCCTGAGTAGCTGGGATTACAGGCATGCACCACCACGTCCGGCTAATTTTTGTATTTTTAGTAGAGAAAGGTTGTCTCCAAGTTGCTCAGGCTGGTCTCCAACTCCCGACCTCAAGTGATCTGCCCACCTTAGCCTCCCAAAGTGCTGGGATTACAGGTGTGAACCACTGCGCTGGGCCAATATTATTTTTTTAAGAAAATACTAATAAAAAGGAACAATTGATATTAAATAAAATTTAACTATTGACTATAAATATATGTTTCAAGAGATTTGAGTGAAAATACCATTCTACGTTAAAATAAAAAATATAACATTCGATAACTATAGTAATAACATGTTCTCAAAGATTCAAGGGGCTAAAGCTAATGAGAAAAAGTTAAATATAAACATCTTACAATTTACCTAATTACTTGAAATAGAAACTTATGTTCATTCCTGTATTTCTCCATTTTTCCAATTTCTAATGTCTACTTCTTTCCATTTTGTATTTTCTTGTATTGAGGCAATTTAAAGAGGATATGCCAGGTCTTCAGAAAGCCAAGAACTGAATATAAGCACTCTGGAACCTATCTGAACTTAATTTTGTCCAAGATTTTTTTAATGGTTGAAAATTGGCTCAACTGGGGATACTAAGAGGAAATATCAGGGGCAAAGGGGATTTGGGTTAAACAGATCGAACAGGATTCTTACTGAAGGCAGGCCAGACCGATCAGAAATCATCTGGAGGGTGGTGGGAGATAACAAATTTGATCAGATATCAAAGGTGATCAGTACTGAGAGTGGGGGATTCTTTGCAAGTTTCTTCCTAAACCTGAGAGATGTGGGCCAGACTAGGATGAACACTGAAAGCTGAGGCTGAGAGGTGGCTTAGAGGATCCCAACTAGAGTTTGGGCAAGGGGAGAGGCTTTGTCAATGCAAACATGCATTCAGCAATATTACCAAGTACAGATGCATGCACCTAAAAATACTGAAAGGAAATATAAGAAAATGTTTAAAAATTTTTAGTGGCTTATTTATTTTATGTAATTTAAATATATATATATATATATATATATATATATAAAATTAAGGTGTACTTTGAACACATACTAACACATTCAAAGAATTAAGTATACATTTGATAATACATAATAGTTACAAAATAAGCAAGGTCTTCATGTAAACGAGTTTAGAATTTCCAGGGTTTATTACTTAGCATTTGATCAGCAGGCCTGTAACTTCTTCTGCTGCCCATTCATTGCCCATTTTATTAAAAATTCCTCAAGTGGATGCATTGGAATGGAAGAAACACTGACTCTTTCCTTCAAAGAAGGAAACAACAAACCTTGTTTGACAACCCTGGTCAAACAAGACAAGGACCAAGTGGCCAGTGGTAAGGAAAGTTGGTCAAAACTAATGAATGACATTTTAGGTTAAAAGTGAATTTTATTTAACCCAATTATTCTTATCCTATGAACACAAATTTGAATTTAAGTTAGCTTGATGTAGCTGGTCACCCCATTCCAAAGCATGAGTCGAAATACCCTAAGGTTCCAGAAGGAGCCAGCTTTCTTCAGAAGGTGGCAAGCGCATTGCAAAGTACTGAGGAAAACTTTCTTTAAAGTATCTTTTTTCATCATTCCATATTTTGCTCCTTATAATTGCAACTGCTCTCCTTATATGTCTCTTTTGAAACTTCTCACTTGTCTAAGGTACTATTGTTCCTCCTCATCTTTTTTTTTTTTTTTTAATAGCATAGTCTCTCTCCCTCCTTGCCATGCTGAAAAGGCTTCTGACTTGCTGTTCTTGCCAGGAAATATTTCTGCAGGGCGTATTGGAGTGGAACTACTTACAGAGTGTCAGGGCAAGTCCTTACATTTGTTTATGCTTAGGACACAACACAGAAGATAATTTTCTAAGTTAAAGATTGTATGATTTTATCTTGACTTCAGAAACTGGTCATACTTTTTTACTTTAGTTTCTAAGAACCTCAGAGCTGAACTTGAAACAACTTTAATAATTCCAATGAGACATTTGTTATTTATCCTTTTTAAAAAAGACTTTTCTAATTTAAATAATTTTATTATTGCTCTAAATTTGCCAGGTTCATTTAAGAATTTTATAAACTGTTTTAAAACTAATTTACATTAAGTTGGAATAAAGTTAACCAAATTAATACAAACATATTTTATTGCACTTCTCTTTATTGTGCTTCACAGATAGGAACATTTTTTCTTTATTTACAAATGAGATGTTTGTGACAACCCTGGTGAAGCAAGTCTATTGGTGCCATTTAACAAACAGCCTGTGCTCACTTTGTGTCTTGGTTTCACACTTTGGTAATCTTCACAATTTTTAAAATATTTCCTTATTATTATATTCGTTACGGTGATCTGTGATCAGTGATCATTAATGTTATGGGAGGCAGAGTTTGCAGTGAGCAGAGATCATGCCAGTGCACTCCAACCTGGGCAACAGAGTGAGACTCCATCTCAAAAAAAAAAAAAAAAAAGGAGTTTTTATATGTAGGGTACAAAATACTATCTGACCTTAGGGTGTGTGCAAATTTTTCTGAATTAAGACTTAAATACCAACAGGAGTGATTGTTTTTGTTACAATCACCAGGTGGGTGATCTGATACTTTCCCCTGAAAAATGCATATACAAAATTTTCACATAATTTAAAAACATCCACGGATGCATAACTATGGAATCAGTTTATGGATCAAGAATTCAACTCCTCAGAAGTAAAAGATTACATGAGAAAGTATCTGATATTGAGGTGACAAGGAATAATGTTGAAATGTATCTCATTAAAAAGTGCAGACAGTTGTGGCTAAGACATTGGGTATTACAGAGGTGCATCCATGTGTCCAGTGAGAAGACTTTAAGAATCTGTTTGGGAATAATGAGAACATGAGCATTCTCCTCCCTACCTCTAGCACTCCCCTCCTGCTATTTGGGTATTGTGAATTTACCAAACACAGTGATTTAGGTCACTTTTATTATTTCAGAAATTCCAGATACCTTACTACTTATATAAAATAGCCCTTGAAAGGATGCTTACCATTAAATAATGTATAATACAAAGAAAAGACAAATGTATGTGATCTGTAGTGCACAGTTATAATACAATCTGAATACTACATTTAAATTTTTCACTCCACTTTCCAAGAAATAAAGCATTGATTCTAAATATATTATCTATTTGTCAAAACAAATAGAAACTATCTAGTGTTTCATTTATAAAAGAAATTAATTAATGGTGTCTCTAAGTTAATTTTTTACTTCTTTTCCCCATATCATTTTTATATTATATGAGAGCATATTTTTCTACTCTACCCTGGAATTAATAAACAAAAAATAAGGTATGATAAGAAAACTTCAAATATAAACATAACCAAACTAAAATAACACCTTTTTTCTTCTATTTACTTTATTTCTTGAACTCAGTGATGTAATATGTCTTCATCTGCCTCTGAGAATACACTTAAAACTACAGAAGCAAATTAACATTTTCCCAATTCACATGTAGTGCAATATTTAAGATTTCATCTAATTGAACACGTGTTGGATCAAATTTATAATACTAAAAGCACTCTTCTACATACTGCAATGTCTAGATGGAAGACAAGCTAGTCAGGTGGCAGAGTGAACATCATTCTGGTAGGCCTTTTCAAGCTGTCACTTGCAAGATGTTTGGACTGCTGAGAATGTTAGCCATAATTAATTGCAGAGATAGGAGGCTGCAAATGGGTGAGGTAATGTTCAAATGCATGGAATGATGACTAGTCATAGTAAAAGATAATAGATGTGGCCACATTGCTTTGAGAAAATTTAGAGAATATTTTGGGTCACAATGATACATTTCTGCATTATTTGTGGAATGTTTTCAATGTAATTACATCACACAGGTAGACTTCCAGATCCTGTGTCTAACTTACTTTCCTTGGCTCTGTGGGAGAACACATATTCTAATGAAGTTCATTTTAAGGCAAATATTTCTTGAAAATACAAAACTGATAGATATATGTATGCAGGTTTCCTTCTTATACGTCTTTTATAAACAATGAAGTTGTATTTCTCCTTTAGTGTTTAATGTGTTTCATCAGATAATGCCCTAGAAGTTTTATCAAATTTTTCTGTCTACCATTTGAAGATGTATGAGAGGGAAAAAATGCAGTCTGCCTGCTTCACTAACAAAAGTAGGACAAAGGCCATCACAACTGAAATATGTGAAACACTTGGTTTTATGAATTTCAAGCATTTTATATCTCTACATTTGGACTCGAGTAAAGACATTTCATAGAAAAACTGAAATATTTTTATTTGTTTATTTTTTAATCTTGATAACCTGCAATAGTTTACAGCCAGAATGGCAGCTTTTATATATGTACACTCATTTAAATACAGTTTCATACCGTAAATAGCCATGGGGCAAAATATCTGCCTCTAGGCACAAAAAAAAAAATCTTTGCCGCTAAATAAACACCTTTAAGTGATACTGCAAAGAATAGATATGAGGTAATTTTTTACCTAAATGACTCTGGCCTGTATTAAGACATATTCACTGTAACAATTCAAGTTTTAAAATCCTTGTTTTGTAACTCAAAAATATATCTTTTTTACAAAACACACCTTTACATTTATTGCTATTGTACATTTATTTGGCAGGAAACAGGGATGTTTGATGTCTTGCAATGATAAAGCGATCGTATTCAATAGAAAATTGTCTCACATTCTGCAAGACTTTTGAACATTCTATAAGACAATTACATAAGTGAAAAACAAATTTGTAGATATTTGAGTACAACCATTTAATATATGAATAAAAGCAGTTCAGAACATTTTAATGTACACTGCATTTTCTGATAGTAAGATTTTAGGTTAAAATAAGATTATACTTCAAAAAGTGTACCATTTTGAAAAAAAAATCATATCACTGCTGGCAATGCCATTTTCATACTAGTCCAACATATTGCTTATCCATCTGTGTTTGTTTGATTTTACTGTTATTACTTTCATGATAATGCTAAAGTACATACATACACACACACACACACACCTAAGGTGTGCAGGCTTTCATCCAAGCTTACTGGTATTAATTAAAAATCAACCAGAGGTAGGGAAAAATAAAACTTATTCAAAAATACTATTGCAATAGGGAGAATATTCCAAACTCAATCTACAGGTGTCTCAGGATCAAACAGGAAAAGGCTTTCCTTTTCTAGGGAAGGACAAGCAGGGCTGGCAGAAGCCTCCTTGGAGAGAAGGACAGGCAGTCGGGTGAGCAGGTGGCAAAACCAGGATGCTCCAATAAAAATAGTTTCTCTGGGAGTCCCGCTCATTTTTGGAGTGAGCTGTTAGCGGGCTGGTCTGTCCTTTAGTGCTTGTTCAGTCTTAGGTGGTGAGCCAAGGTCCAGGGGCCTGAGGAGAGGAGACAAGACTGTCTGAAGTTTGATAAAATCAAGTCAATGGGTAGTTATGAGTAATTGTGAGCAATTGGTCAGCTTTGGGCTCAGCACACACCCCACCTTATGTTGTTTACCACAAACAAAACTTGTCCCTAAAAATTTTTAGGAATGGCATCAGATATAGCGAAGGTTTGCAAACTGATTTTCAGGGTTGGGCTGGTCTTCATGTGTTTGTTAACCTTGAGGACTAGGTATATCATTTGTTAAGTGTGTTATTGGACTGACAGCTGCTCTCTATGAAAAGTAGAATAATCATTGAATATAATAAAAAGAATAATTATTGAAGGTTGGATAAAGAGGTCCGCGGAGCGATGGGCGAGTACGCGGGTGCCACACGCTCCTCGCCTTCTGCTGCCTGCAACTGGTGGCAGCGCTGGAGCAGCAGATCTTTGACTTCCAGGGCCGCCTACCAGTGAGCTCCCACCCTAGCCAATTTCCTGCGCCTCGTGGCGCTCACCCTGGGCATCGTGGGCACCGCAGTGTGGCTGACGCTCCGGGCTGGCCTGAGTGCGTTTATCACCTGCTTCTACCCGAAGGCTGGACCCAATATCCCCAGACCGCGACTTCCCCACAGCGTCCAAATGCCCCTGTACCGATCCAGGGATGGAGAATCGCCGGGCAGCGGGCGACTCCGGTTCTGAGCTTCCCCTGGCCATGGGGCGCTGCCGTGCAGTCTTGTCCCTGGCTGCCTGCTGCACTGTCCCTGCAAAGAAGCCCTCAGCAGCGCCCGCAGATCCTCCTGGCGCTGCTCCGCTTCCTGTTCGCCAGCTATGGGAGCAAAGTCTTCCTGAAGGAGGAGGCAGCTTTGACTTCATCAGCGGCTTCCACTCCTAGGGATGCCAGGCGCCCCAGAAGACGTCACGTTGACACCAGCAGCCTCTATGCGCTTCGGGTAGCCCTGCCCCGCCTGCCCTGGCCCTGTGCCCTTGGCGCTGGACTGACCTCGGCAGCCGCGATCTTGGTCAGGACCAGCAGGCACAGCCCTGGGGGCTCGGGACCCACTGCAGCCTGTGAAGGCCCCATGGCTCTGCACACAGAGAGGCGGAGCAGCAGACTTTGGGACTTGGCCCCTCACAACCAGGACTTCAGAGAGGATTGGGGCGGGTAAGGGAGGGGCCACGGAGTCCGCATTTTAAAAAAATTCAGACTTAGTGTGAGCTGGAGCTTTTCTCCCTTCTCCAGCCTCTTCCTTTCACCCTTCACCCAGCATCCCGCCCCTGTCCAGAGAGAAACAGCAGGAGGGCTTGCCCTTTCTATCTCACCGCACTCACTCCCCAGCCTGAGGAAAGCCGGGGGAACTAGGGGCAGGAGTTCTGGTTTCTCATCTCAGGTCCATCAGACTCTGGGTGACAGCTAGCAGAGCCCTAGCCTTCTCGGTGCCTCAGTTTCCCCACCTTGTCATTAAAAGAGTCCCTTGGTAGGTGAGCTCTTCTAGCCTTCTCATATAACTCTGAATTCTGTGGGCTGGGGTGGATTATAAATCCCATTTTGCAGATGTAGAAACTGAGGCCAAGAGAAATGAAATGGTTTGAGGCCACACTGCTAGATTTTGGTGGAAGCAGGCCTTGAACGCAGCGGACTTTCTGTAGTTTCAGCCTCTAAAACCCAGTGTCCTCTCTGAGTTCCATTTTCAGGCCCCTCACTACATTCACACATCACTGCTTGCCAAGACCTCTCCTCAACCACCATCTTATCAAAGGTGACAAGAGTCACCTTTGCTCCAGTTCCCAGCAAGTTCCTCATCTCCATCAGAGACTGCCTCAGCATGGATTTCATTGTCCATATCATTATCAGCATTTTGGTCAAAGCCATTCAACAAGTCTCTTGGAATTTCAAACTTTCCCACATTTTCCTGTCTTCTGAGACCTGCAAATTGTTCAACCTCTGCCAGTTACCCAGCTCCAAAGTAGCTGGGATTACAGGCACACACCACCACACCCGGCTGATTTTTGTATTTTTAGTTTCATCATGTTGGCCAGGCTGGTCTTGAACTCTCGACCTCAGGTGATCCTCCCCCCTTGGCCTCTCAAAGTGCTGGGATTACAGGTGTGAGCCATTGCGCCTGGCTGCTGCTCCTTTTTTTTTTGTGATGGACCTAAGAGATCTTTAGGAATGAGGGAAATGATCCTTTCTTTGAATAAGGCAGAATACTAAAGACTAGCCAGCCCTCAGGCTCATGGTGGTTGCTGCTATTCTGTTGAATGTGAACCATAGCCTTTAGAAAGGAGCAAGTCTTTGTGGAATACACAGGATTTGAAGTGCAACAAAGGGGTGGAAACCCAGCTGACCATGATACCTTCAAGTGAGTTTTTCCACTGAATTTGATTATTTTCCCATTTGGCACTTCTTTCTGGGTTTTTTAAGCAGCCCAAAAACTCTAGGTGATTTTACTTTTGTAATTGTATTCTCTTGGGAATGCTCATTCCTGATTCCTCGTTTCACCAAATAGGTGTGGAACCTACTTGTTTCTGCCTATAATAATTCTGGAGTCTTTAAACAAAACGACTGTGACTTTTCATGTTGAGTAGAAGATAGATTTTACTCATGCTACAATCAATATTAATTCCTTGCAGTTCAAAGACACTGAGGCCTTGTCTAATAATATAGAAGTTGAACTTGGACTTGGGAGATGACTCCTGCCTCTCGTCCTCTCTGTGGCTCTGCTTTCTATTATTTTACTCATAAGCTTGTTTTGTCTCCTTGCTGAGAATTGTCAAACATGAAATGTAATTTCAGGCTATAGTGAAGAAAGATGACGTAGGCAGAAGAAATTGGCAATCATTTGGCCTGTACATGTTGCTTTTTGTTTTTTTTTCTGGACTTAGGATATAGACCACACCTTGACATTTCTGGCCTTTGAGTCTTTCACAACTGTGATTATAATACATTAGCTCTTCTAGAAGTTAGAAGTGACTTTGGATTAAGTCTTTCATAAGGTGGCTAAATGAATTTATATGGCTCATCACAATTCACTAGATTGGTTAAGCAGGAAGTTTACAGAGATTTTTTTCTTTGCTGTAAATGTTTTTCTAAATTGAAAAACTTCTATTACTGTTTTCTGGAGTACTAGAAATAAGTGCAAGTGATTGTTTTTGGCAGGAGGCCACATAAACATTTCTGCTTCTCTGTGCCTTATGGGTAGCATTGATATAAATTGTTAAAAATAATGATTGTAGATAGATAATGTATCAGAATTTGGGCTCACCTGCGGTAGCTGCTGTTGACCCAGAGGGACCACTGGGATCCTCACATCTCAGGGCAGCACATCGTTTGCAGCAATGGTTGATTCTACGCAACCTTTTATGAAATTAGGTGAGGCCCTTGCTTAGAATTTTTTAAAAGCTTAATATGAGTTTATATCTCTTTAAATATCAGTTTCTAATATTTTTTTTAAAGGCCTATGTTTACAACAAATTTAGGAGATACCTTTATGCACTACTAACTAGTGTTCTTTTGTGGTGCTTTAGAAATTCTGGCTTACTTGTATTTTTGCTGGCCTTCTAATGATTTCACTCATCAATCAGAAGATATTTGTGTCCACCTCCCTGCTTCCTCTCCGGTGATCTTGTCTATTCTTGGCCATTTTAGAGTTGACTTAGCAGCCTTCACAAAACTGATTGGAATTTCCACTGGGATTAAATTGATAGGTCATTTTTGGGAGACCTTTGCAATATTGAACTTTCCAATCCATGAACTTTACTTATCTGCCCATTTATTATGTTTGTTTTTGGTAGATTACAAAATTATATGATCACTCCAAAAATTACCTTGCCCTTTATAGTAAAACCTTCCATTGTAAACTTCTGGCAATAACTGATCTGTGTTCCTCTGGCATTGCTTTTTTTTCAGAATTTTATACAAATGGAATCGTTCAGGATGTAGCCTTTTGAGTCTGGCTACTTTCATATACTGCATCAACAGTTATTCCTTTTAATTGCCAAATAGTAATCCATTGTATAAATACTACATGGTTTGCTTATTGGTTTGTCGTTGGAGGAATATGGACTATTTTCACTTTTTGATAAATTATAAGTGGATTGGAATTCACAAAGTGCTTTTTGTCTGAGCATAGGTTTTCATTTCACTTGTGCAAATGCCTAAGGGTAGGATTGCCGAGTCACATGGTCCATGTACGTTTGACTTTATCAGAACCTGCCAAATTGTCTTCCAAAGTGCTGTGCCACTTCTGTTTCTTTAATAAATACAGGGGTATTCAAGCTGTCTGTTTCTTCTTGAGTTTCGGTAGTCTGTCTTTCAAGGAATTGATCTATTTCACCTAATTTGTAGAATTTAGAAGCATATAGTTGTTTGTTTTGTTTTTGTAGTGTCCATTCTAGCCTTCTAGTGTCTACAGGATTTGTAATAATATTCCTTTCATTTCTGGTATTGGCAATTTGTGTTTTCTCTTCTTCCTTTGTCAGTCTGCTAGAGGCTTCCTCATTTGATTGACTTCCACCTCCCACCGCCCTTGCAAAGAACCAACTTTGGATTTCGTTGAATTTTTTTCCTTTACTGTTTTTGTTTAAATATTACTGATTTAGTCTGTTTTTCTTATGCCTGATTTGAGTTTATTTGGTTCTTTTTTTACTTAAAGTAAATGCTTACATTATTGATTTGATGCTTCATTTCTCATAATTTAGTGCCATAAATTGCCCTGTAAGCACATATTTTGATAAGATGATGTCATATTTATTAAGTTCAAACTGTTTTCCAATTTGTCTTAAGATACTCTCTTTGACCTATGGGCCATTTAGAAGTATGCCATTTAACTTCTCATATTTGGGGATGTTCTAGAAATGTTCTAGATTCCTAGTTTAATTCTGTCATCAGAGAAAATAATTCACTGAATTTTAATTGTTTAACTTTAGGGTTTGTTTTATGACCCAGAATATGATCTCTCACCACCACCATCCAGATAATTCTTCAGGTTTTGACGTTTCCCAACCTGTCTGCTGGTTACTTTTCAGAGTACTTGGGTCATTGCTATTTATATTTTGTCCAGAGTTTCAAATTGTGATCAGTGGAAATGACAGGCCGTAGCATGCATACGCCATCCTGGCCAGCATCACAGGCGGTCAGCATATCTTTCTGTTGTTGTTTTGAGACAGGGTCTCACTCTATTGCCCAGGCTGGAGCACAGTGGCATGATCAGGGATCACTGCATTCTCAACCTGCTAGGCTCAAGTGATCCTCCCACCTCAGCCTCCCGAATAGCTGGGTCTATAGGTGTGCTGCCATGCCCAGCTAATTTTTGTATTTTTTATAAAGACGTGATTTTGCCTTGTTGCCCAGGCTGGTCTCAAACTCCTGAGCTCAGGCCATCCTCTCACTCGGGCCTCCCAAAATACTAGGATTACAGGCATGACCACCACACCTGGCCAGTACATCTTAAAAATAATTGCTGATCCACGTTGAATAATGATGGCCTGTAAATATTTTCTCTTGCACTTGCCTTGTTGGGTTTTGATATCAAGGTTATTTTTATTTTAACCTTGTAAAATGAACTCGGGAGTCTTCTTTTTTTATTCTCTGTGTTGGTGGCAGAGTTTTTTTTGTTGTTGTTGTTTGGTTGGTTGGTTTGTTTCTCTTGTATGTTTCATGAAACTTTTTGGTGAAGGCACTTGGGCCTGGAAATTTCTTTATGGGAAGTTTTTTCATTACTGATTCAATATATTTAATCTATGTAAGTTTTTTTTCTACTTTTTGAGTCAATTTTGATTTTTTTTCCTAGAAATTCATATCTCACCAAGTATGGTGGCTTATGCTTGTAATCCCAGCACTTTGGGAGGCTCAGGTGGGAGGACCACTTGACTACAGTAGTTCAAGACCAGCCTGGCCAATATAGTGAGACTCCATCTCTACAAAAAAAATAAAAATTAGCTTGGTGTGGTGGTGGGTGCCTGTAGTGTGAGCTACTTGGGATGCTGAGGTGGGAGGATCATTTGAGCCTGGAAGATCGAGACTGCAGTGAGCTGTGATTGTGCCTTCTTCCTTCCCCCTCCTCCTCCTTTTTACTTTTCTTCCTCTTCCTTTCTCTTCTTCTTTCTCTCCTTCATTATCCCTTTCGCTGTTTCTCTTTCTCCCTTTCTCTTTTTTCTTTTCTTTCAATTTTCTCAATTACTAAGAGATGTTTAAGTACCCTCAGCGTGTTAGTAGATACGGTTATTTCTCCCTTTAGTTCTCTTTTGAGATTTATAGTCACTCAAATAAAGAGATAACCCAAACATAAGCGTCACAAACAGGCTTTCATACCATTCTTAATTTGGTCCTGTAATTCTTCATTGCTGTATTAATTTTCTGATGCTTTTAAGGATGTTTTATAACAAATTGTGTAGCTTTTTCCAATGGAATGTTTATTCTGAATTATCTAATTCATATTGTAAGTATAGAGGGAGTTTAATATAAAATTATTAAACTAATATTTGTGAAAGAATGTATTTGTGCATTTAACAAATATGTTAATCCTCAGACTGTTATTGGGCAGCTCAGCATACAGGAATAAAAATAACACAATTTTTATGTGTACAATATTTATGGAATACGTTACTGGACCCAATAAATAATTTAGTTAATAACATGACAAAGAACAGAAATTGTATACACCATAGAGCATAGTAATGGAATAATGAATGATTAAAGTTATTAATATTAGGTAGAAAGTGAAGGGTATCTTTGAGAGCAGAATTCAAGGAAGCAAGCAATTCGCCTTATCAGGAAAGAGTTACCTGTGGATAAAGGAGAAACTGAAAAATTTACAAGTCAAGACTTTTTGAGCAAAAACAAAAATATGACTATTAGTCACCAATTCAGTACAGTGAAAAAAATGTTGAAGAGATATCTTGGAAGTAAACCATGTTGTGGAAGAGCATGTAGGGTTTTGATAATCATGGGATGATTCTGAATTAATTTTAAATGCGATAGGAATATATGAGATAATTTCACCAGAGAATAATATGATTGTGTTTGCATTTCAAAGGGGTGTATCTGGTGCACTGTGTAGAATAAATAGGTTATGTGAGCAAATAAATTGGGAGGCTACTCTAATCCAGCGAAAAAAGGTAGTGACCTAGGTGAGAATGCTGTCAGCATGAGTGGTAGTAGTGGTGAGAAGTCGTTAGGCCATGGATGTATTTCATAGGACTGGCCAAGAGAACTGCAGGTAAATTGGAGTGTAGGGAGTGAAATAGAGAACTCAAAGATGACTCTCAGCAATGGAAGGTGACAGCTGTCACTGAAGCATGCTGATGCCTCTTATTAAGAGAGTTACTTGGGAATGGCAAGATCAAAACTTCTCACTTTCAAATTTATGAAAAATATTGTTTTCAGAACGAGTGACTTTGGGATCAGAAAGCCACCATTCTAATTGATGGTTCCACGACTACACGGGCTCACACTCGCAAGAGCAAAAGTAAATCATCACAAAGGTGCTTCTTGATAATTCTAGAGAATGGAGAATTACTGTAACATCTTTCTGATTTTAGGAGAGGTAGCAGTTCCCTTTTTAGCCTAAACGCTATTTCTTTTTAAAGCTCAGCCAAGAGACTCCATTATAATTTTCAAATGTGTGTAACTTAAATTCTCATATGAAATACCACTATGCTTAAATTAGTCAAAACATTTTCCCCATCTACAACTCTATCTTGTCATTGTAATCATTTTCACAAAAGTGACTGCAGCTCTCAGACCCTAAAAAGAGAAAATCCAGGGTAGTTTATCTGATCTAGTTAGTTTCGAAGACAGGATCTAGAGATTATTTAATACGAAATGGGTCACCTGAAATGAAGTGTTTGCTGAAAACAGCTTGGATCAGCCCAGTTTTCTACCACTGAACCATGCATTTGGTTTAAAAAACACAACAACTCTGCGGAATATCGGCTGCTTCCAACTGTGTTGAAGGTGTTAAAGAAAAGAGCATAAAATTAAAAATGATCATCTGAGGCCTTTATAGTCTCTGCTCAAGAGACTAGAGTTTTCCATTCTTAACGAAACACCCAAATATCTTAATAATTGGGCAAAATCTAAATATCAGAGATAATTTTATCTTGAAGATTGTTAAATTATAACGGTGATTCACTAGCTTGCCACGTCTCTGAGTCAAAAATTAGGTCTTTGTTTAGGAATCAATCATAATCTGCAATTTGGAAATAGGAAGATTTTAGAAGACTCAGACATTGACTTTCTTGTGTGCAAAAAAAAAGACGTATTGAGATAAGACAAGTCTTTCCTTGCAAGGATACCTCTAATGCTCATACACCACCTCCCCTAACATTAATAGAGCTTCCAGGTCACTAACCAGTGTCAGAGAGCAGCCCACGCAACCAGAAATTCAAAAGATGTCGAACATAGGGTCAAGCTTAGAATAAGACGTCTTAGCTAATTAAGTATGCTTTTTTCCCGAAATTCATATTAACAAAATCTTGGATATGTCAGAGAATGCATTCTAAGTTCACTCAACCTAGGAGGGAGAAACATAATTTTAAATTAAGAGCTGAAGCATTCTTGTCCTAACACAAAGCAAGGAAAACGAAATATCACACCACAGGAGGGATTTCACAAATTTGCGTCAACATCAAAACCTTAAAATAGGCAAGGAGAATGCAGATTCACAATGAACTCTTGTACTTGTTTTGTTCAGAGAAGAGACGGTTCTGAGAGAATGACAGTGAACTAACCCCAGCTGGGTTTAGTTGGTGCTTTCAACTACTGCTTCTGATCAACTCCTTTAGCTAGAATAAATTGATGAGGATTTTGGCCTGTGGTATTAGAGATGGTTATTAATTTTTTCCTCTTATTTGCATTGTTCAATATAGTAAATACTAGCTGTATATGGCTACTTCAATTCAAATTAATTACAATGAAATATACTTAAATATTGAATTTCTTAGTCACTCTTGGTTCATTATTGAATATCTTCAGCTAAGATTTCCCAACTAAAGACACTAAGAGGTGGCTTAGTTAACCGGTCATCCACAAATATTGAAGCTGCTGTTAACTCCTGATATATTCTCTGCAAGGAGAATACTCATAAGCCTCCTCCTGAAATCAGCAGCCTAGAGATAGTTTTATAAACTGGATACAAGTTGGAAATCTATATACTCTTTAAGTGTTTGAAATATTAGCTTTCCAGGGAAGAAAATCAAATTCATAAGATATGCTAGGACAATTTAACTCAAGATGTTCAAAACTGAAATGACATATTCTACAACATGTGATAAAACCACCCCCTAACAACTTAAAGCAAAACAGGGATGGACCTTAAAGACCTGCCTTTTCCTCATCCCCCAGCCAATCAGTTTTCAAATCTTGCATTTTATTTTGAAAGGTCCCTATCCCCCTGGTCTCTTGTTTCTAGACTTGGCACATATTTAAGTTTGTTACCTCTCTCTACTGACTTTTCTCTCTTCAAACAGTATCCATGCCTGCCAAATGTGAACGTACAAGAAACAAATCAGAATGTGCCATTCTGATTTAAACTGCTTATTAGTTAATACCCTCAAGATAACATCTGGGTTCTTAGCTTCAATGAGTCAAGCCTACTTACATCTTTTTGTCTTTGGCTGCACATTTCCTATCACATCGCACTCCAGCGATGCCAAGCTGTGCCGGCCTTCCACTCCATCTCCATTATTTCACCCTCCGCCGCCGCCGCGGCTTTTTGCCCCCCCGCCGCCGCGGCTTATTCCCCCCACCCCGCCTAGGCTTTTTGCCCGCCGTGGCTTCCCCGCCCCCCGCCGCGGCTTTTTGCCCGCCGCGCCTTTTTGTCCCCGCCGCCGCGACTTTTTGCCCGCAGCGGCTTTCTGCCCCTCTGCCGCCGCGGCTTTTTGCCCCCACCTTGCCTCGGCTTTCTGCCCGCCGCGGCTTTCTGCCCCCACCCGTCGCTGCGGCTTTTTGCGCCCCCGCCGCGGTGGCTTTTTGCCCCACCGCCGCCGCGGCTTTTTGCCCGCCGCGGCTTTGTGCCCCCCCGGCGCCAGGGCTTTTAGTCCGCCCCGGCTTTTTGACCCCTCGCCGTTGCGAATTTTGTCGCCGCGGCTTTTTGCCCGCCCCCCGCCGCTGCGGCTTTTTGCCCCCCGCCGCCTTTTGCACCCCGCCGCTTTTTGCCCCCTCGCCGCCGCGGCTTTTTCCCGCCGTGGATTTTTCCCCCCTGCCCCCGCGACTTTTCACCCGCCGCGGCTTTTTGCCCCCACCCCGCCTCGGCTTTTTGCCCGCCGCGGCTTTTTAGCCCCCACCGCCGCGGCTTTTTGTCCCCACCCCGCCTCGGCTTGTTGCCCGCCACGGCTTTTTACCCCCCGCCGCCGCAGCTTTTTGCCCGCCGCGGCTTTTTGCCCCCACCCTGCCTCGGCTTTTTGCCCGCCGCGGCTTTTTGCCCCCCGCCGCTTTTTGCACCCCCGCCGCCGCGGCTTTTTCGCCGCCGTGGCTTTTCCCCCCTGCCCCCGCGGCCTTTTACCCGCCGCAGCTTTTTGCCCCCCGCCGCCGCGGCTTTTTGCCCCCACCCCGCCTCGGCTTCTTGCCCACCGCGGCTTTATACCCCGCGCCGCCGCGGCTTTTTGCCCGCCGCGGCTTTCTGCCACACACCCGCCGCCGCGGCTTTTTGCCCCTCTGCCGCCGCGGCTTTTTGCCCCACCGCCGACACAGCTTTTTGCACACTCGCCGCCTTGGCTTTTTGCCGCCGCGGCTTTCTGCCCCCTCGCTGCCGCGGCTTTTTGCCCCTCCGCCACCGCCGCTGCTTTTTGCCCCACCGCCGCCGTGGCTTTTTGCCCGCCGCGGCTTTTTGCCATCGCGGCTTTTTACTCGCCACGGCCTTTTACCCGCCGCGGCTTTTTGCGCCCCGCTGTCACGGCTTTTTGTCCCCCTGCCACAGCGACTTTTTCGCCGCCGCGGCGTTTTGCCCCCGCCGCCGAGGATTTTTGTCCCCGCCGCCACGGCTCTGAGGGCGGGAGCGGCAGACTCGGCTGCCAGCTCTACTGGCGTCCTGGCAAGGGCAGCGCTGAGGGGTGCTCCTGGTCCAGCTCTCCTGGCTCAGGGATTCCTTGCCTAGGCGCCGGCGCCCCAGGCTCCTTGCCTAGGCCCCTGTGGCCTGCATAGAGTGGCGCTGCCTGTGGAGGCGATGGGAGAGAAGAAGGAGGGCGGTGGTGGGGGTGATGCGGCGGCCACGGAGGGTGGCACAGGGGCTGCGGCCAGCCGGGCGCTGCAGCAGTGCGGGCAGCTCCAGAAGCTCATCGTCATCTTCATTGGCAGCCTGTGCGGGCTGTGCACCAAGTGCGCTGTGTCCAACGACCTCACCCAGCAGGAGATACAGACCCCGGAGGTAAGGGGTTCGGGGACCCGGGCTGGGCTCCAGGAGCGGCCCGGACACCTCCTTCGGGGCCCCAGTTCACTCCTGGCCGAGTTGCATCTTTGAGCCCACGTCACCCCCTTGGAGGCTTCCCCTCCCTCCTGCACTCGCTGATGCGGCAGCCAGAGGACCCAGGACCAGCCCTCACCTTGGGCAGGATTTGTGGAGCGGGTGCGTGGTGGGAACTGGGATGGAGGCTCCAGGGTCCCGTGGGGGTGGGGGTGGGCTGCGTGAGGACATCCCCTTACCCCCTGAATTTCCATCTGGTCCAGCCCTCTCATCTTGTAGGTGAGGAAACCGAAGGCCTGAGGGAGAAATGACTTGCCAGGAACCCCTGTTAAGGAAAATTAACAAAGTGTGGTTATTAAAGAAGAACTGAGTTGGGAGTCAGACCTGGAGGCCCGCACCCGTGGTTAAGACATTATACCACCTTGAGTCTGGCCTGTTGACTGAGGGTGAGCCACTCCATCCTCATGTGATTGTGGGGTCTTAACCTCAAGGGGTTTCCTGCAGGAAGAAGCAAATGGGTTTGCTTTCCTAGCTCTGTCCAGTACGTTAGGGACCCTGAGGACTGAAGAGATTCTTGGAGAGCCATCTGGTGTATGTCATGGGTGGGTCTTTTTGGAAGGTCAGTCTGCCCAGTGGGCTGGCTCAGCCCAAATGAACTGTCTTGAATCTTTGGAGTTGTCTGTGTACTTTTAAGGGCTTCTCAGCCTTGCACCAAAAGATCCCCCTGGAAATTAGGTGGGAAAAACCTTAACTTTTGTGGGGCCTTGTGTTTGTCTTAAAAGTTCATGCACATAGCCAGGTGTGGTGGCTCCCACCTGTTATCCTTTCCTGGATCCCTTGAGTCAAGGAGTTTGAGACCAACCTGGACAATATAGTGAGACCCCATCTCTACAAAAAATAAAATATTAGCCAGGGGTGGTTGTGCGCATCTGTAGTCCCAGCTACTACTGTGGCTGAGGCGGGAGGAGCACTTGATCCTGCACTGAGCTCTGATCTCACCAGTGTACTCCAGCCTGGGCCACAGAGCAAGACCGTGACTCAAAAAAAAAAAAAAAAAAAAAAGACAAGAAAAATTCTTCAAGATTTTGCATTCTGTCCCACTACCCATTGGTTTTCATGTCAAGATAATGTCAGAAATTCTTTACAATTGCTTCCAGAAGGAGTAGCCTTTTGATCTGGTGCACAGGTGTCCAGTCTTTTGGCTTCTCAGGGCCACATTGGAAGAAGAATGCTCCTGGGCCGCACATAAAATACACTAATGCTAACAACAGCTGATGGGGTTAAAAAAAAAAAAGTTTTGTGCATAATTTTCATGCTACCCACCACCACAGATAGGTGGAAAAGTCCTTGTAGGCAAAGGGTTGGACACGGCTGATCTAGTGTCTTGTCGTCCGTTTTGGCTTTCTCCCTGATTCCAGAATGCAGGTAGAGATGTAGAGACATGCTCTCAGGACAGCTGTTGAGATAAAAAAATTCGTTGTCATTTATTCCCAAGCACAGCTGTTTCTCATTGCATTGAAAAAGTCTCCATTCAAACTGCTGTCACATATAAAATCTATTTATGTAAGTCTGTATTTTTCTGTTGTCTTGGCCTTTGTAGGCAGTAGTGTGTTTTAACCGAGCAAACTGTCCTTCCAAATAATGAAGCCGAAGTCAGCCTACCTACTTGCCATTTTTCTTCCCCTTCCATTTTTGTAACCTCAGAATAATTGTAAGAATGAATTAAGATTTGTGTTTAAGGCCAGGCACAGTGTCTCAGGCCTGCAATCTCAGCACTTTGGGAGGCGGAGACGGTTGTATCGCTTGAGCTCAGGAGTTGAAGACCAGCCTGGGCAACATACTGAGACTCCGTCTTGTATAATTTAATTAAAATTGAAAAAAAGAAGAGAAAAAGACCTGTGTTTAAAATTTAAAAAAAGGGGGGGAAAGTGTAATGCAAAATGTGGACTATGCCAGCTATGATTGGGAAAACTAGTTTTTCATACAGCATTATCTGTAGACTTGTATTAGCAGCATACTGGTCATAAGCGTTTTGCTTTCCTCAAATATGATGAGGCAAGCTAATTTAAAGTGTGTTGGGGCTTTCTGCCGCGTGGCTCCTGGAGGTGTTGAGTCCCAATTTAGCCAATTAATTTAGGTTTAGTTTTGACGTGGATAAGGGAGACCAGCTTCATTCATGGTGTACACACAGTTTTGCGAATAAGGAAAAAATAAAAAGCCACCTGAATGTTCCTACTCATTAGATGCTATCTGGAGAGCTCCTACCCCACCCTCACCAAGGCCCGGGCCATTAAAAAGACTCAATGCAGCCTTTCTGTATCTCATACTGTATTCTGCAAGATACTCCTCTGAAAGAAAGTTGTGCTGCATCAGCCATCTCCCTCCTGAAGATCCCTGCGGATGAAGATTTCTGTTTTGAAAGTTCTGAGAATTCCTGCAACAACAATTCTCAAACTTATTTGTCCATGGGATCTTCTCTTCCACTGAATGTAGTTGGGGAGACACAGCCTTAAGCCTTGAGCAGAGAAAGAGACAAGAAACTGTCGGCTCACTTACAACCAAGTGTTGTGTTTATGTTTTAGGTTTTTATGAAACTGAGGTGCTGTTTGAGGTTTTAAATGAAATTGGGTGGTTGAGGAGAGGCTGCTATCCCTGTAGACTTAGCCAGCCATGAGAAGTTGCCTTTTGTTGAAGGAGGTGTTTTAGAAAGGGAAATAGGGTGTCTCCTGGGCATCGCATTAGCAATTAAATACATGTATCACTGAAATGAAATGATATGATGAAATGATGAAATGAAATGATGAAATGATGAAATGAAACGAAATGATGAAATGGAGAAATGAAATAATGAGATGAAATGATGATGAAATGAAATGAAATGATGAAATGGAATGATGAAAAATGAAATGATGACATAAAATGGTGAAATGAAATGAAATGAAATAATGAAGTGAAATGAAATGAAATGATGAAATGATGAAATGAAATGAAAAGATGAAATGATGAATTGAGGAAATGTATGAAATGATGAAATGAAATGAAATGAAGTGAATGATGAAATGACGAAAAAATGAAATTAAATGATGAATTGATGAAATGAAATGATGAGATGAAAAGGTGAAAAGAAACGAAATGATTAAATGAAATGAGACGAAAAGATGAAATGAAATGATGAGATGAAATGAAATGATGTGATGAAATGATGAGATGAAGTGAAATGATGAAATGAAATGATGAGATGAAATGAAATAATGCAATGAAAGAAGATATGATGAGATGAAGTGAAATGATGAAATGATGAAATGTGATGAAATGGAATGATGAAATGAAATGATGAAATGAAATTGTGAAATGAAATGAGGAAATGAAATGGAATGATGAAATGAAATGAAAAGATCAAACGGTGAAGTGAAGAAATGATATGAAATGATGAAATGAAATGAAATGAGGAAATGAAGTTAAATGATTAAATGATGAAATAATGAAATGAAATGAAATGATGAAATGATGAATTGATGAAATGATCAAATGAAATGACGAGATGAAAAGATGAAATGAAATGATGAAATGTAATGACGAGATGAAAAGATGAAATGAGATGAAATCATGAGATGAAATGAAATCATGAGATGATGAAATGATGAGATGAAGTGAAATGATGAAATGATGAGATGAAATGAAATATTGAGATGAAATGATGAAATGAAATGAAAGAATGAAATGAAATGATGAACTGTGATGAAATGAAATCATGAGATGAAATGATGAAATGATGAGATGAAGTGAAATGATGAAATGATGAAATGTAATGAAATGATGAAATGGAATGATGAAATGAAATGATGAAATGAAATGGTGAAATGAAATGAGGAAATGAAATGAAATGATGAAATGAAATGAAGTGAAATGATGAAATGATGAAATGATGAAATGAAATGAGAAGATCAAATGGTGAAATGAAGAAATGATATGAAATGATGAAATGAAATGAAGTGATGAAATGAAGTTAAATGATTAAATGATGAAATAATGAAATGAAATGATGAAATGATGAATTGATGAAATGATCAAATGAAATGAGATGAAAAGATGAGATGAAATGAAATGATGAAATGACGAGATGAAAAGATGAAATGAGATGAAATGAGATGAAATGAAATCGTGAGATGATGAAATGATGAGATGAAGTGAAATGATGAAATGATGAAATGTGATGAAATGGAATGATGAAATGATGAAATGAAATTGTTAAATGAAATGAGGAAATGAAATGGAATGATGAAATGAAATGAAAAGATCAAACGGTGAAGTGAAGAAATGATATGAAATGATGAAATGAAATGAAATGAGGAAATGAAGTTAAATGATTAAATGATGAAATAATGAAATGAAATGAAATGATGAAATGATGAATTGATGAAATGATCAAATGAAATGAGATGAAAAGATGAAATGAAATGATGAAATGTAATGACGAGATGAAAAGATGAAATGAGATGAAATCATGAGATGAAATGAAATCATGAGATGATGAAATGATGAGATGAAGTGAAATGATGAAATGATGAGATGAAATGAAATATTGAGATGAAATGATGAAATGAAATGAAAGAATGAAAAATGATGAACTGAGATGAAATGAAATCATGAGATGAAATGATGAAATGATGAGATGAAGTGAAATGATGAAATGATGAAATGTAATGAAATGATGAAATGGAATGATGAAATGAAATGATGAAATGAAATGGTGAAATGAAATGAGGAAATGAAATGAAATGATGAAATGAAATGAAGTGAAATGATGAAATGATGAAATGATGAAATGAAATGAGAAGATCAAATGGTGAAATGAAGAAATGATATGAAATGATGAAATGAAGTGATGAAATGAAGTTAAATGATTAAATGATGAAATAATGAAATGAAATGATGAAATGATGAATTGATGAAATGATCAAATGAAATGAGATGAAAAGATGAGATGAAATGAAATGATGAAATGACGAGATGAAAAGATGAAATGAGATGAAATGAGATGAAATGAAATCGTGAGATGATGAAATGATGAGATGAAGTGAAATGATGAAATGATGAAATGTGATGAAATGGAATGATGAAATGATGAAATGAAATTGTTAAATGAAATGAGGAAATGAAATGGAATGATGAAATGAAATGAAAAGATCAAACGGTGAAGTGAAGAAATGATATGAAATGATGAAATGAAATGAAATGAGGAAATGAAGTTAAATGATTAAATGATGAAATAATGAAATGAAATGAAATGATGAAATGATGAATTGATGAAATGATCAAATGAAATGACGAGATGAAAAGATGAAATGAAATGATGAAATGTAATGACGAGATGAAAAGATGAAATGAGATGAAATCATGAGATGAAATGAAATCATGAGATGATGAAATGATGAGATGAAGTGAAATGATGAAATGATGAGATGAAATGAAATGATGAAATGAAATGAAATGTTGAGATGAAATGATGAAATGAAATGAAAGAAGTGAAATGTTGAAATGAGATGAAATGAAATCATGAGATGAAATGATGAAATGATGAGATGAAGTGAAATGATGAAATGATGAAATGTAATGAAATGATGAAATGGAATGATGAAATGAAATGATGAAATGAAATGGTGAAATGAAATGAGGAAATGAAATGATGAAATGAAATGAAGTGAAATGATGAAATGATGAAATGAAATGAGAAGATCAAATGGTGAAATGAAGAAATGATATGAAATGATGAAATGAAATGAAGTGATGAAATGAAGTTAAATGATTAAATGATGAAATAATGAAATGAAATGATGAAATGATGAATTGATGAAATGATCAAATGAAATGAGATGAAAAGATGAGATGAAATGAAATGATGAAATGAAATGACGAGATGAAAAGATGAAACGAGATGAAATGAGATGAAATCGTGAGATGATGAAATGATGAGATGAAGTGAAATGATGAAATGATGGAATGACAAAATGCAACAATGAGAAGAAATTATGAAATGAAATAATGAAATGAAAGGATGAAATGATGAGATGAAATGATGAAAGGATGAAATGAAATGATGAAATGAGGAAATGAAAAGATGAAATGAAATGAATAAGTGAAATGATGAAATGATTGAATGAAAACATGAAATGATGAAATGATATGAAATGATGACATGAAGTCAAATGATGCAATGATGAAATAAATGAAATGAAATGATGAACTGAAATGAGATGAAATGATGAAATGATGAGATGAAAAGATGAAATGAAATGATGAGATGAAATGAAATGAGATGAAATGAAATGAGATGAAATGAAATCATGAGATGAAAAGATGAAATGAGATACAGTGAAATGACGAAATGAAATGTTGAGATGAAGTGATGAAATGAAATGATGAAATGAAACAATGAAATGAAGTGAAATGAAATGAGATGAAATGATGAGATGAAATGATGAATTGATGAAATGAAATGAGATGAAAAGATGAAATGAAATGATGAAATGATGAGATGAAAAGATGAAATGATGAGATGAAATGAAATGGTGAGATGAAATGAAATGGTGAGATGAAATGAAATGAGATGAAATGATGAGATGAAGTGAAATGATGAAATGAAATGTTGAGATGAAATGATGAAATGAAATGAAAGAATGAAATGAAATGATAAAATGAGATGAAATGATAAGATGAAATGATGAAATGGAAGGATGAAATGAAATGATGAAATGAGGAAATGAGATGAAATGATGAAATGATGAAATGAAAGGATGAAATGAGGAAATGAGATGAAATGATGAAATGAAAGGATGAAATGAGGAAATGAAATGAAATGATGAAAAGAAATGAACTAATGAAATGAAATGATGTAATAGATGAACCAAAAATTCTTATTCACTTTTTTTCTGGGCATCTTTCTAAGAGTATTTTAGTGAGGTTAATTTCTAAATATAAATTGCTATTCAATGGCTATACAGTTGGCCTTTGCACCACAGGGGTTTGAACTGTGCACGTCCACTTAGCAAAACCAACAATTCTACATCCTTATCCACATCCTGCCCATGAGAAAGATGAGGATGAAGACCTGTTTGATCATCTACTTCCATTTAATAACTAGTAAATCTATTTTCCTTATGATTTTCTTTTTTCTTTTCTCTGGCATGTTTGTTAAGAATACGGTATATAAGACATATAACATTAAATATGTGTTAATTGACTGTGTTATTTGTCAGGCTTACAGTAGGCTATTAGTAGTTAAGTTTTGGGGGAGTCAAAGTTATAGTGGATTTTCTACCGTGCAGGGGGTCCAGCACCCCAACCTCCGTGTTGCTTAAGGGTCAACTGTACGTGTTATTTCCTTTCCTGTAAGAGAAAAATGATGAGAAGGTCTTTTCTCCAATAAGTGTCTTCAAAATGTAGCAGATTTGAAATGTGTTGGCGCCACCATTTTGCGTCTCACTTTGAAAACTTATTATTTAAAATCGTACTAAAGCCTACCTTACTTTTCCAACCTTAGAAAAAATGTTCCAAAGAAAAGGGGCGAAACCATGCTAGTTTGCCCTGAAATTTGAAATTACCTTTTAAAAATATATTTTGACATTAATTACTTCCAAACTAGAGATCAGTTGCATACAAATGGCAGGTCACCCTAATCCACCCTATGACTGCACTTAGATTCATGAGGGATTGTGCCATCTAGAAAGGGCAGAGAGGAGGAATAGAGTGCTCTGCGTCTTGAAATATAAACATGCACATAGCCACATGCTTTGATTCTGTTGTCACTGTGTACTTACTGCTAGGAAGAGGGCATGTTTGTGTATTTTTATGCTAATTATTATCCAAGTTGTTAATGATTTACGCTTTCAGAACCATATAAAGATTTTTTTCCTTTCAGATATAAACTATCTTGCATTGTTCTTCTGATCATATGAGGGATAAATTTGCCTAAATATTCTTCAGACCATAATAGTATGTCCATATAAATGCCAGTAGCAAGAGTACAATCAACCACAACTGCCTTAGTAATTATTTAAAGCATGTCTGCCTATAAGTAATTGGCATTTTATATAATCAAGAATCTTTGATATAATAATCTCTCAACTATTTGAAACACGGCTCACATGTATTAATTTTTTAAGCAAATATATATATAATATCAGTGTATATGAAACTGAATTTTGGACTTTAGAACAGCTTCTTAGAATCCTGACTTAAATGTCTACAGTAATAGTTGGCTTAAAAAAATTTAGCACACTGTCACTATGATGAAAAAAATTACTATAAAATATTTAAAAATTTTTTCCACCCTAACATTTAGAATATTCTCACATTTGTGGTTAAAACCTATTGTGATTGTTCTTAGAATTTAGATAAAAAATGTCCCAGAAAGATTGAAGAGAAGCACTTTAGTCAATTTTTAGTTGTTGAAGCATGAAGAAATGGCATTTCATTGACATTTTAAAAATTATTCAGATTCCCTCTTTGAATTCAAGAATTTCAAAGATATCTTATTTTAAAATACCAAAATAGGAATAGAATATGAAGGGCTGGTTATGAGTAATATGATACAATTTTATGAGATGATGAGATTACAATAACAATACCTCCTCTCATAGAATAGCCAGCAAGTCTCCACTAAATAACAGTGCCTTGATTTTATAGATGTTTCATCATGGATATTGAGTTAATGTGAACCATTTGTAGACACAGGAGTTTATTAAAGACTTATATAATATCTTTCAAGTATTTAGAATAGTGTTGAAATTAAGCCTGCATCCCCACGATTTTCAGCGGTGCTGATGCCTAATAAACTCAACCCCTTGCATGCCAAAATTGGCTTAAAGCCCATCTGTTACCCAAGCTACACTTCAAGCATCGAGGTTCAAAAATGTGATTTTGAATATGCAAGAGTTTGAGGAATTCACTACTCACACTTTCTTGAACAGTCTATCCAAGTGCATCAAGCAAAATGTGAGTAAAGAAATTTTGAGCAAAGGATTGATAGTAATGTTGAATACATTTAATAGTAGATCAAAGATTAAAAGGTGAAAGTGAGGGTGAGAAGAGTGTATGAATGCTTTGTGTTCTGACAAAGAGAATGTAGCACCCAGGTCCTACCTGCTTGGATGCATTGCCGGTGCCCACGGTAGGCCATTTTATCCAGGTTTTTAGGTATTGTCTTATTTTGTTTGTTTTTTTTCTTTTCAGGAGTGTTAGTCCAAGACCAATAACTCCGTAACTGGTAGATTTGGAAGACTTTAATAGTGCTTAACATTTTGTACATAGCTTTATAACAGTTTTCTTTTTCTTTTTTTCTGAGAGATTCTTTTCAATATGCCCCATCATGGTTGAACTCAAAAATCATTGTTTATTTAAAATCTACAACTGCTGACGTTTTGTAACGTTCGCATTCCAGGTAATTGCTTTTTTGTGCATTTTCTGTATTTTTCTCCATCAGTCTACCTAGATATTTGTTAGATTTAATATTTTAATATTTTTCTGAAAAAGTGAGCTTTTGCATTTTTAAATATATACCCAGTTGCTTTAATTCTGCTTTTTCGTGTACTATTTCCTCGTTTTTTTCTTTCTTGTTTTTTGGGTTTTTTTTTCTGACACGGAGTCTTGCTCTGTCGCCCAAGCTGGAGTGCAGTCGCGTGATCTCTACTCACTGCAACTTCCACCCCCCACGTTCAAGCAATTCTCCCACCTCAGCCTCCCGAGTAGCTGGGGTTACAGATGCATGCCACCATGCCAGGCTAATTTTTGTATATTTAGTAGAGAGTGGGTTTCACCATGTTAGACCAGGCTGGTCTCGAACTCCTGACCTCAGGTGACCCACCTGCCTCGGCCTCCCAAAGTGCTGGGATTACAGGCGTGAACAATGGCGCCTGGCTATCTCCTTCATTCTTTATGTTTATTTTACTGCTTTTATCTCTCTCTCTCTCACTGTTTCTCTCCTTCTCACATTCACTTTGCAGTTGTCAAATAGCCCAGGTGATTTTACAGATTTACTCCTTATAAAAGGAGGCATTACACATTACACATGTATCTTAGTGGCCTCACAAAAGTGTTTGGTTTATTTGTAGTGACTATTCACCTTTAAAATATTTCAATATTCAATAAAATGGCTTCCAACCAATATTATTACACTTATGTTTCTAACTTTCGTTTTTGTATTGATATCTGCCTTCATTGCTGTTTGTTTAGGACGTATATTCTGTGTCACGTTATTTCCGTGAAAATTGTTTGAATTTGTGGTATGGTCTAGAAAATGTTAATTTTTGTAAGTATTCTGTATGAACATGAAAATAACATGAATTATAATATTCAAGTTCCTTATATAATATTTGCCCGTTTTAAAATCCACTAGCTTCTTTTAAAACTTACTCTTTTAATTTTTTCTTTTATCTATTACTGAAAGACGTGTGTTTGAAATGTCTATAATATTTGGGGGCTTATCCATTTCTACTTACTTTCTGATATTTTTGCTTTATATAATTTGACTCTCTCTCTAAATACGTGTGTGTATGTGTGTGTGAGAGAGTGTGTGGTTTGTGTGTATATATATATGTATGTATCAGGCTAATACACATTTAAGTCATCACATCTTCTTAATAACTTAAAACTTTTATCACACTGGTTACACTAACTTATTTTAATAAATGTTTCTAACTTACATTCTATTTGGTCTACATAGCAACTTTTTAAAAAATTATATTCATGTAGTATGTTTGTATGTATATCATATATACACAGTATCTGTATTGTTTGAACTTCAAAGTTTCTGTAAATTTATATATTAGTTGTGTCTCTTGTAACTATGATAGAGACGGATGTTTTAAATTTTGCCAATCTTTGTATTTTAACAAAAACATTGTCTACTTAGGTTTAAGTTAATCTTTGATCATTTATACTTAATTTTGTATTAGTAATTTGTTGTGTATATATATATATATATATATATATATATAAAATGTCTCATTTTCTCCTATCACTTTCTGTCTTCTTGTTTTAAAATTATGACTTTTATTTTTATTGTTTTCATAGATACAACAGAGAAATGCATAATGTCCAGTCAATTTATTAAAGTTCCAAAGTCGGTCGCGCGCAGTGGCTCACGCCTGTAATCTCAACACTTCGGGAGGCCGAGGCGTGTGGATCACGAGGTCAGGAGTTGGAGACTAGCCTGATCAACATGGTGAAACCCCGTCTCTACTAAAATACAAAAATTAGCCAGGCAGGGTGGCACGCGGCTGTAATCCCCGCTACTCAGGAGGCTGAGGCAGGAGAATTGCTTGAACCTGGGAGGCAGAGGTTGCAGTGAGCGGAGATGACGCCACCATACTCCAGCCTGGGAGAAAGGGTGAATGAGACTCCTTCTCAAAAAAAAAAAAAAAAAAAAGAGTTGCAAAGTCATACCTTTCTGCTCTTGTCAGACAATTAAGGGGTCTTTGAATACTTCAGCCCTAATAATTTGCTTCCTAACATACATATTGCAGTGCTTATCTAATTTTAAATATTCTTTTGTTTCAACACCTAATTTTCTATTTTGATCTATCTTTATGTTTACAATATATTTTGCTCTGTGTTCATTCTTTGATTTCAGAACTTCAATCTTTCTGAAGCGTGTTTTCAGAGTTTCCTTTGAGTTTCTTTAGTGGAATTCTGCTGGTGGTGTTTTGTTTTTTGTCTCTAAATATGTGATTTAGCCATAGGTTGATGAATATTTTTCTTGGTTGAGGATTTCAGAATGGCATTATTATTCTTAACAAATAATATTGTTTATTTTACCTTTCATGCTTTCAGATTTCAATATGATTAAAGGTAATTTGATTTTTCTAGTGCTAATTGAAATATTTTTCCCTTCCTGATTGTTTACTATTTCTCTAGGAGATATGTAGATGTAGGTTTATCTCCATCGTAGCTTGCTTAGCATGCATAGAAGTTTTGAATATGTGGATTAGTGTCTTACAAAACTCTAGAGAACTTTCAGCCAAAATACCATCACATATTGTCCCTTCCCCGTTCCCTTCCTCTATGAGAACACTCACTAAACACATGCTACACTTTCTCACTGTATCTTCCATGTCTCTTCATGATTCTGTCCACATTGTGCCTTTTTTTAAATTTTCTGTAATGCATTCTGAAATATTTATGAGCTCTCACCATGGCCATGTCTAATCTGATGAGTTCATTTTTGAGTTTTTAATTTAAAATACTACATACAAACTACTTTTCAAATTTACTACATCAACTTTTTAGTCTCCTAAAAATATATTCCTTTTTTTAAATTTTTTGAAAGCAAATGTGCTTTATAATCTAACAGTGATATTTCTACTAATGAACCTCTGTGGATCTGTTTGTACTCTTTTTCTGCTTTCCTTTCAAATGGTGGAATATCATTTCCTTGCGTACTTAGATGCCTTTGAATGACAAAGATTTATTTTTCTCTGAAAATTATTATTGTGCACTTTTGCATATTAGTAAGAAGAAAATTTGCCAAAGAGAATTTGAATTTTTTGTGAGTCTACTAAAGGCACCACCATTCTGGGACCACATTATATTAATTCTTGGCCTAAAGGTGTTTGGACGTATGTTTGGACAGCACATTTAAACAATTTTTAAATTAATTGCTGTAAATCATTAATGATTGAGTTTCTTTAAATCTGTCCAATCTCAAGTCATTTTTATTTGCCATTTCCAGGGAATGTGAAATGAGACTAATTTACCTCTGATTCTTCTTTATACTGAGGAGATAAATTTTGGTGCTAGCTTTAGGGAAGAGCTCCTGTGTGATGCCCTATCTTGGGAAACACTATGTATTTCTTTACTGTCCTATGTGATGTATGACCATAGGAATCTGCACTCATTCATTTTGCTACATGTCCGTAGGGCAAAATCAGTATCAGTGTTTAGGTGTATTTTGTCTGCTCCCTGCATTCCCATGGTTTTGACCTTATCTTTTACTTTTTTTTGTGAACATACCAATGCTTCAATTTTTTTCCAGTAATATAATCAACTATACTATAAGAGAAAAATTTCGATAAAACACAAATTTCATGTTTTCCTACTCTAATTGGCTTTTACGTAAAAATACAGGTAAAATTTATTTGTGCTTTTTTGCTATTTCTGTTTTGCTATTTTCTGTTTGTCTATGTCTTCACCACATAGACACAATTAGGGAATGTTGTACACTCTTGTGCCAACTGCTTTGATAGTAACAAAATGTATTTCTCGAACTCCTAGGTATAAAACTCAAGTATCCACTATTTAAATTCTTTTTTGCTCACTTCTAGTATGTTTCCAGTCTCAATAGAAATCGATGCCAATCCAGAAATACAAGCATTATTCTAATACTTCTCACACATTACTGGTATGGATGACATTTTCTAGATCTCCTTAAATACTATCATTTTTCACTACTTGTATCTTAACTGTTAAGTTCAACATTTTCTGTAATATTAATATATTGTGAAAATTTCCTTTCTTTCTTATTTGTCCCAGGTTCAATGTTTTGCAGTCTCTACCTCACCCTGTGAAGCATAAACATTGTACATGCTGTACAAATAATACATCGTTCATGTACTTAGAGATTGCACAATTTTTATTTGGTTGACAATAGCTAATGTTTTCTTCTTCATTTTCTATTTCCTGATTTTTCTTTATTTAGTATATACTACACTGCCATAAAAATAAGAACGTTTTACAAACTAAAGCAAAAGGAACCCTAGGAATAAAATGCACAAATAAAATATATAAACATACGTTTAGATGTACCACGTACACTTGTAATTTATTTAGACTTTTAATTTTAGTACAATTTTAATTAAAGTCTGTGTATTATCTGTCATCGTCTTAGTATTTTTTATATAACAAATTGTGTAAATCAAAAAGTATCAATGTCATTGTAAACTATCTTGGCAGAGGTTGATCTCCAAGGAATAATTTCTCTCCTAAATTATGCCAATCCAAATTTCACTCTACCGTCATTCTTTTCATCAGTTTCAGAGGAATAATAAATTTCAAAATTGTTCAAGGTACTTCTTTTAGTTCAAGTAACATTTGACAGGTGTAAAACTGTAGACAGACTGATACAAACGTATTCTAATTGACTCAAAATTATATGGGACCTATTTTAAAATCTAGATTTTAAAATGTCGTGTCAACATACACATGTTCTCCTTGTGAAATAATTGTTTTTTATTCTCTGGATAGAATAATTTAATCTTTAAACCTTCCATTCACTCTTAGAAACAATATATTACATAAGGATATGCTTATAAAAATAATTCCCAACTAGCTTTTCAGTTCAGAAATATATGTGAAGAATCATCAAACATCTAATGGATTTCAAGGAGAAATGGGTTAGTAATTTATTCCATATGTCTCAATTTTTCCTAGACTCAAGGCTTCCTTTAAAATAATTGTAGGCATTTAAGAAACCATGCAAACTAAAAAGAAGAAACTGTGACGCTGCCGCTTAGGCTTTTTAAGTCTTTGGACATGATACAATATATTTTTTAAATTGTATCTTAATTAGACATTGTGAGTTCACCATCTTCCTGTCAATACAGCAACCAAGCTGATTATCATAGATTACAAGTTCAACTATCAACTGTGTTCTGAGAGTCTAAAAAAATAAATGAACGTATTTGTTTGGGTATTCTTAAAGCAGGAGTGAGGACACAGCGAAAGTGAGACAAGGAAAAGAGAACAAAATAAAACAGGAAAGACAGAAAAGCCAATACCACACGTGTTAAGAGGTAAGTTCCTGTGTTAGATATCTGGGCTTAATTTTATGGGAAGCTATGTGGAGCATGCCTCAGAATTACATCACTGAATCCAGGGAGATTCTTCTTAGTTACCCTCACCTTTTCTTCCCACTTCATGCCCAGTAACAAGCTCCCGTGCTGCTAGAGAAAGTCCTCAGCTAGAAACTGGTGCAAATTCTGGAGATGAGACCTTGTAGAGTGTTAAGAATGGTTTTCTTCCCAGCAGCTACAGCTAAGGAATAGGGGCTGGGCTATGAATACATCTGCTACAAACCAATAAAGCCCTTATGCTCCTTTTGGTGATCGACAATGTATTTAAAAATATTAGATGATCAAGAAGGGCTGCAGAAAGGAGGAAACAGAAACAAACAGCACACCTCTTGGTTTATTTTTTTTCATTTCATCAGTTTCAAGGAAAATATGTTGGGAGTTCCTGGCATAGAGAATGTCACAAAGACATGTTTTCAATAGTAGTGCTATCCCGAGGGCAGAGAAGACCCAGAGAAAGCCCAAGTGGCTGCTGGAACAAAATCAGACACCGTGCCACCTGTCCACACTCCTTGGCTCTGCCATCATGCTGAAGATCGCTTTAAAGGACTGGCTTCCCTCCCCCCAAAATTAAAAGAGCACAGACTGAGAAACTGAATGTGGGAGACAGCAGTGGATTATGCTGTTCTCAGGGGTCACCTCAGGTTTGGAAGCATTCTTTCAAATTAACCCATCTCAGGCCATCTGCAGAGAAGAAAGGTGGTACCTAACTTTTTTTCTTGTCGGCATTTGGTAGGGGTGTTTTATTGACCAAATATGTTCCCACAACCTAGTTTTTTGTGACTAACTAAATATAGTAGAGTTTTAAATTTTATCATCAAAATCTATAGACAATTTTTGATGAAAATAGACTCCATCTCTATGTCCTGCTTTTCTTCTTCTTATTAATTACATTGCTGTATAAAAGAACAAGACTTCAGCATCAAGAATATCTTGTCTCTTGGCATTGAATTTATACAAGGTGCTCTTTCTTTAATGCTGTCTCAAAGGACATATTTTTACTCATTAAAAAGGAAGATCGGAATCTAGTTGTATGCACTGCTCCAACATATTAATAATTAAAATTAGGAGGTAAATGTGGTCAAAGCTATAGAAAGACTGAGATGTCATTTATATGGATTACTCTATAGCACTCTACAAACAGAAATTGTTAAATAATAGTTTATATAAATATTTTGTAGCATTTCAAATATTTGAGTGCTTGAAGTTTCTCCTCTTCTATAGTTCAGATTATCAATTTGAAGACTTACTCCGCTAGTTAATATGTTTTTAGTCTCGTTTGAGTATTATATAAAAGCAATTTTCAGTTAAATGTGTTCCGCTTACATAAAACGTTACAAATTATTGAGGATTTAATTACTTATTCATGTTCCTGTAATGTCTTTAGAAGATTTTCTTATTATTACCTATCAATATATGTATGCTTTGTCAAAGAAAAATCAAACATATATATCATTGAAATTGAAACTTTTTAAAAGTACTTATTAATTCTATTGAAAAACCACATCCATAGGAACAATTACAATATAATATTGTGAACATGTAAACATATACCCTATGTCTATTTTATGTATAAGCATGTATGATTAAAAATATAGTGAAGAATTTTTAAACCTAGTATTATAAAGTAAAAATTAGTTAACTTCTGATGATTATTTGTTAATTAAGATAAAATTATTTTGATTTGGGTGATTTTAAATAAAGAAAAATATTAAATTACATGACAAAAATTCTTTATAAAATGTTTATGATTTTTACATTGGTTTTATCACTTTTCCCACTATTTTATTTTAAGATGACCTGCCTTGTTTAAAACACTGTATTCATCTTAGTTAAATTAGATTCCATTTGTAAAATAATTAACAAATGATTTGCTCTATTGTACAGTGCGGTTATAAACTGAGTCAGTATCTCAAGATTTGATCCCCATTATCATCATCTGTGGCCCTATTTGTTTTATAAATGTATTGTCTTTTTCCATGCCTGTCACATCTCTATTGCTCTTTCATTTTTCTCTTTGTCCCTTATAGGGAGCATTGCCTATCTCTAGATTAAGCAAAAGTTGCATCATAAAAAAGCACAATAACCTGCTCAATCTTTCTCACACAGAGAAATGTTTGTTAAGTAATTAAAGTGTAGATGATGATACAAAGAGCTTGATTAAATTAGATGCCAAAGTACCCTTGTGATTCAGAATATGAATGGTATTTAATTTCTTTGAAATCATTAATTGCTGAGTGAGATTAATTAATGCCAATATTCCAGAAGATGTTCTACTTAGTGAAATGTATACAACGAAAAGCACAATAACCTGCTCAATCTTTCTCACACAAAGAAATGTTTGTTAAGTAATTAAACTGTAGATGATGATACAAAGAGCTTGATTAAATTAGGTGCCAAAGTACCCTTGTGATTCAGAATATGAATGGTATTTAATTTCTTTGAAATCATTAATTGCTGAGTGAGATTAATTAATGCCAATATTCCAGAAGATGTTCCAGTCAGTGAAATGTATACAACGTGCAAAAGATTCAGAACTCTGAAGGGCAACATTATTCTATAATTAAGAATTAAGAATGAATTCGCATTAATTACTGGGGAGAAATACTTTTTAAGAATTAATGACTGAGAAAATGTTTTTATTTTTTATTTAGAAAATTATTTTGTGCATGAGCATTACCGCAAGTTTTGCAAGAAACATAAATTTAAAGAAACAATTATGTGCACAAGATGAATTTAATAACATCTTGATATATTCCACGATTGCGGTTTTATTTGGTAAATCTTTCAAGGCACACCATTTAAAGAGAATAAATGAGTCTTGGAAATCTTGTAGGTAAGGGTAAATATTAGGATGCATCCAGTTACATTTACACACACATACAGTTACATTTACACACACATACACGCATACAGACTGAGTCACGTGTGTGTATATATATATATGAATTTACCAATTGATGTTAACTAATATTTATAAGAGCCAGTTGGATTGATATATATTGTTGAACCTGAAAAATATTTATTATATACATGTTTAAAATACACACAGAAATAAATAGCAATTGCACTAGGCATTTGAAACTGTACTAAAATATAAGCTGTGAACATTTTGTGATCATTACAAATTCTTACACTGAATAAATATTTTTATTTTTACAATATTAATATGTTTGATACCTGTGTATATTTTTTTACAATGTGTTATTTTATTTTTGTCATAGAGTCATGTCATGCATAATAACATTTTAGTCAAAGATGGATTACATATACAAAAGTGGTCCCATGAGATTATAATAGATATTTTTACATACTTTTCTACGTTTAATTATGTTTAGATACATAACCTCTTACCACTGTGTTCTTATTGCCTGCAGTATTCAGTACAGTAATGTAGTACACAGATTTGTAGCCTGGGAGAAAGAGGCTATACCATATAACCTAAACGTGGTAGGCTGTACAATCTAGGTGTTTGTAATACTCTCTGTGATGTTTGCAAAATGGTAAAATTGCCTATGAATACATCTGTTAAAACGTATCCCTATCATTCAGTGATGTGTGACTGTACTAAAATGCTCAATGTAAGTTTCAATGCCCTCCATAAAATTGTTGTACTGTGAAATACAAATCTCTCACCCATGGCCTGAATATGTTTGCAAACTAAGCAGATCATGGGAAGGAGAATGTGCTGGCACCGCTGGGATGATTTTCTCACTCTACATGAATAATATCTACAGACTTCGTGAATATGAGCCACTTGCATAGAGTTAAAGTAGGCATCTCTTTGCTGGGAAAATTATCAAATGGGAGTATGAAGTGTTTTTACAAGATACTCGTTTGTTTGTAGCTGGTAGGCCTACAGTGGCTCTTGGTAATGGTTGAGGTTGCTAAGATTTGGTGGAAGAAGGCAAAATGAAATGGCCACTTATATGGTATATGGTATATGGATCACTTATTTCTGTCGAGTTACAAACTCAGCTGGCTATTTCTCCTATGTTAGTTATTTGGAGAAAAAAAAACGTGATGGTAATTTTGGGGTAACAAATACAATATTTGATGAAAGCAAATTTATTGAGGGTTAGACAAACTACAAGATACTTTAGGCTACAAAGTCAACACGAGAGTTCTGGCCCAAATTGTGCAGAGTTTGCGTCCAGCTGCACAGTTCAAAGGAAGAGGCCATGTAAGAAGATTCTCACTTCTGACACCAACTGCCAGTTCAGGGGTTTCCCCTGAACACCCTCAGTTTCAAGAATTTACTAGAAAGACTCACAGAACTCATTGAATGCCATTGTACTCATGGTTTATAATAGAGAAAGGGTAGAAATTAGGACCAATAGAAGAGACATATCATATAAGGTGGAATCTAGGAGATTTTGAAGGTTAAGTTTCCATTGTCTTCAGGACATATTACCTGTCATTGTTGTACAGCAACAAACATGGAGTACTACCAACCTGGGGAGCTCACCTGATGCTAACAAGACACTATTTACAAAATGAAAAGACAAATGAAAGGATGAGATAAGATGACGTTCCACATTAAGGCACTGGAACGAATAGCAAACTAAACCTAAAGCAAGCAGAAGGAAGAAAATTAAAATTAGAGAAATTAATAATTTATAATAATAATATTTGTTAGTGTTGAATAATTGATATTAATTCTTGACTAGCTTTTTTAAAAAAGAGAAATATTCACTTTCCAATTTATTCTGTGGGGCCAGTGTTACTTTGATACAAAAATTAGTCCAAATAGCATAGAAAAATAAAACTACTATAAGTATAAATGCAAAATTCCTTAAAAAATACTAACAAATCAGATCTAGCAACATATAAAAGAATTATACACTATGACAAAGTGAAATTTATACAAGTAATCCCAGGTTGGTTTAACAGCCCAAAATCCATTAAGGTAATACATCTTATCCATAGAATAAGAAAAGAGAATTCATGATCATCTCGATAGATTCGGAAAACACATTTAACAGAATCCAAAAGCTTTAATGATTAAAAATAAAAATAAAAACTCAATGAACCAGGAATAGAGAACTTTCTACACCAGATACATGGCACCTGTGAAAAGCCAACAGCAAGCAGGCAACTTAATGGTAAAGGATGCTTTCCCGCTATGGTCAGAGATAAGAATAGGATATATACTTTGACCTCTTCTAGTCAACACTGTACTAAAGATTTTATGCAGGGCAAATCGGCAACTAAAATAACAAGAGTCACCCATATTGAACAGGAAGAAATAAAACTTTATTTGAAAATAACATTGTTGTATATAGAAAATTTTAAGGAATCCACCGAACGATAGAACTCGTAAATTATTTCAGCAATATTACAGCAGACAAGGTAAATGTACAAAAATCAATTGCACACATCTGCAATGAAAACCCCAAAATGAATTTAAGAAAACACTTCAATTTAAAATAGCATAAAAAAAGAAATATTAATTAATTTGGAAAATGTGATACAAGATTTTACTCTGAAAATTAAAAATTATTGTTTAAAGAATATTTAAATAATTAGTAAACACCTTACACCCATGAATTGGACGATTTGATATTGTAGTACTTTACAATTTGAACTACAGATTTGATGAAATCCCTGCAAGTATCCCAACAGACTTGTGTCTAGAAACTGACAAGCTGATTCTAAAATACACATGAAATTGTAAGGGACTCAAAATAGCCAAAATAATCTTGAAGAAAGAAAACATATTAGGATAATTCACACCCCATGCTCCAAACCTTACTGCAAAGTATCAGTAATCAAGACAACACAACATTGATGAAGGAAAAATATATAGATTGATGGAAGAGAATTGAGAGTCCATATATAAAACTATGTGTCTACAGTCAATGGATTCTTAAAGTGGTGCCATGTGCAATTCAATGAGGAAGAGACAGTCTTTGAACACACTGGGTCAACAACGTACACGTGGATCACCACTTGCAAAATAATAAATTAGAACCCTTACCCCAAAGCATACAAAAATATTAACTCAAATGAATTAAAGACACACATGCAAGAGGTAGAATAAAGCATATGGGAAAATCTTCAGGATTTTGGATCTAGCAAAGAAATAGCTGTAACCCCAAAAACATGAGCAACAGAATAAAAATTAGATATTTAAAATTTCTTAAAAATTAAAGACATCGGTGTTTCAGAGGACAACCAAGCAAGTCAAAAGGCAGCTCCAAAATTGTGAGAAGATATTTGAAAAACACGTATCTATATGTCTGTATATATATATGTATCTTGAATATAGAAAAATTGGTTTAACTCCGTCACAAATATCCCAACTCAAAACTGATAAATGATAGGAATAGATGTGTTTCCCAAGAAGATACATGAACGGTCAATAATCCCATAAAAATATACTCAACAGCATCACTCTTCAGGCAACTACAAATCAAAACCACAGTTAGATACTCTATGGCTAGAACTGGCCACATTGGAAAATAATTTGATGGCTTCTAAATATATGAAACATAGAATTGTCATATGACCCAGAAATTTATTCCTAGGTATACACCCAGATTATTGGAAAGAGGTGTTCAAACACAAATTGTACACAAGTATTTTTAGCAGCAGTACCTAAAATAGCCAAAGGCTGAACACAACTCAAATGTCAATAAAAATACTATTGGATAAACAAAAGGTTATATCCATGAAATTGAATGTTATACAGTTATAAAAAGAAATAAAGTACCAATACGTACATGAACCTTGATAGCATTATGCCAACTGAACGAAGCCGGGCAGAAAAGGCCACCTATTGTACGATTCTATTTAGATGAAAACAGAATAGGAAAATCTATAGAGACAGAAAACAGATTTGTGGTTGCTTAGGATTGAGTAGGGGATGGGTGCATAGGAGGTTAACAGCTAGGGAAGGTGGGGTTTCTTTTTGAAGTGATGAAAATGCTCTAAAATTCATTGTGATGGTGGCTCCACTTATCTGTACATATACTAAAAGCCACTGACTTGTAGACATTAATGTGTGCACTCTACACTATGTAAATTATATCTCAATAAATCCTTTCAAAAATACACAGAAGAGTAAGGGGTTTTGGAATGTTGCAGCTGGGATGCAGTTTGAAATACTGAATAGGCCTCATCGAGAATGTGAAGTTTCAGTAAAGACCTGAGGAAGTTGAATGAGCTGATCAATGGATATATGGAGGGCTATCTTTCCAAGCCAAAAAATTAACTAGAGTCTTGATCGTAAGGCAGCAGCATGTTGGTATGTCCAGAGGACAGTGAGGTGGCCAGGACCACTGGTAAGATCAAGGGTGAAGATATAAAAGAATTTTGGCGGTTAACATGAGGCAGATGATGATGGGCTTGCAGACCATTGTAAGAAATGTTGTTTTTAGTGTACATGAAATGGGGAGACAACTCATTATCCCATTATCAATATTTTAATAAATTGGATCCATGAACCAAATCCAATGAGATTAAATCAATTAATAATAATATGCAAATTTGTATTAAAATTACAAGAATTACTTGCACATTTGAGAACAGGAGAGACATGATTTTTATCAGCAATAATAAACATTATTAATTTTAATTGTGATCAGCTAATTGAGATTAATTGCAATACATCTTGATTTATAATGTGACTGTCAAAAGGAAAATATGATTGTAATCTTATACTACATCTATCAATGTCTTTTATTCATAAGAGTATAGAGTAAGCCCCTAGTTTTCAAAGCCAACCTATGAAGCAGTGACATCTTATGCAAGTTTGCTGCTTTCTGCCACAGTGATCCTTGGTCAGTGGGCACAAATTGTTTACAAAGGCCCCTAGGTCTAGAAATAGTTTGGATCACAATGAACACAGAAACACCTTCATCCCTTCAGAAATACCCATCAATTACTTCCAATACAGAATGAAAAATTGACAAAGGAAATATGTGGATTGTAAAAATGCCAGTTAGCTTGCAACTACATGAAAGAAAAATGCCATTTTTATTACATTAGGTCATTGTCTCACATGAGTTTTGGTATAGCAAAATGTTGAACCAAGGGAAAAGAGAGATGAATTAATGAAGTCTTAAGATATCAAGAATTTGAAAGAAAAGGCAGGTCATCTTTGAAGGTTAGTGACATAGCATTCATCTTCTGTTGTCACCTTTCCCGTCATTCCCTGTATGCCTGACGGACAGGTTACACTCAAGTTCAGAGAACAGCATGCAAAATTAGCTACCAATTAATCTTTAGGAAGTGAGCTGCATTTCTAGCCAGACTGAGCTTACGTTTTAGCAGGAAGCATTTTTGGGAAATGTTTATGTTAGACTTTGCCCTTCTTGACAAGGTGAGACATAAACGTCTACTTTATAGACATGAATTGAGATGGGAAGATATTTGGGGGAATCATTTACTCAAACGCTAAATAATAAAGGTACACAAAGGGCAAATTATACTAGATTTCTTTCCCACTTGTTTTCTATGTCTCATGCAATTCACCTTGATTCCCTTCAGTTTCTGTTTAATGTAGAAAGTGGCATTTTCATTATTTTAAGCTTCTAGCACAATGAAAGAATTTCTCTTTTTCATGAACAGGATCATACATGAAAAGGAGGAAGAGTGTCCTATATCATATTTATTGTTCAACAAAACACTGCTCCACGGCTTAAATTCAGTTTAAAAAAGAGAATTTGTTGAACATCTAACACATACATAAAAGGCAGTAAAGACACATGAGAAGAGGGCAGGATATTGAAGTATACAGACTTCAATGCTGAGTTTTATATCTTAGGAAGTTACTCCACCTGACAGAAGCTCAATTTCCCCTGATTTAGGAAGGCGATGCTAATGGGTATTGCATAGGTGTAAGTATAAAAATGTTGTATTTAAGAGAATCCCACAAGCTTGGTATAAGGCAGAAAATAAATAGATGCGACATGAATAAGTAGTTTATTACATTTGTATGCTACCTGCGGACTAGAGGAAGCAAGAAACACAGCCACTATGCTTGATTAGCATTATAGAGATGGTACGATGATGGTTGCCAGAAGCTGGGGGAAGGAGGAAATGGGGAAGTATTGTTTAATGGGTATAGAGTTTCAGTTTTACAAGATGAAACGAATTATGGAGATGGATGGTAGGGACGGCTGCACAATGTTATGACTATATTTAGTACCACTGAACTGTACACTTAAAATGGTTAACAGATTACATTTTATGTTATGTGCATTTTACCACAATAAAAAAAATAAAATACCTTAGGAACATTTTCATGAAAAAGCCCACATAAAATTCATTTTAATGCACGTGTTTATGCATAGCTTTCTATTTTTCTCTTTTCTCTTTATATTCCAAATTCTAATCAGAGAAGGGAATCCCCTCTGTACCTCCAGGATATTCAGTAAAGACCACTGGAGGTTCATGCCCTAGTGACAGTGCTCATTTAGCTCCAAATTACAGATGGCTCTAGACTAACTCAACAAAGTTTAAAGAGAAGATTTAAAACAACAGACAAATACTCATCCTGAAGTTACTGAACTGCCTGTCACAACATTATTCAAAGGTAGCCAATAAAATCTAGATATTCAATAGCATAACATCAAAATACCCAAAAAAAAACTCTGAAATGCAAAGAAGCTGTAAGACATATATAATTAAAATATATATTAACAGGATAAAAATAAGTCATTTATAAATGACAGAAAAGAAGGAAATTTCAAGATCCTTAAAGTAAATATATTTTATAAATACATATAGATAAATACATATATATGTCAAGGTACTTAAATGAAAATTAAATATAGGAGAAAAATAAAAGTTATAAAATGAAAAATGTGACATATATAGATGAAAAATAAATACTTGAAATAAAAATTCCATGAGATAGAATAAGTAATGGATTTTACCCTAACATCAGAACATTTATAGAACAAATTGGAAGCATTACAAACTAAAGGACAAACGGTAAACTAAAATAAGAAAACCAGAAACTCACTCATAGGTCAGACAATGTGCATCAGTGTAACATACATGTAGTCAATATCTCAAAAAGGATGGGTGGGGTAATCATAGGTGAATAAGGAATGGTACACTCATTCCTGAGGGCACCGAGGAGGGAGGATAGCTTTAGATTTCTAAGGGAGAGTTTTATCCATTCATGAAGGTCCAAACCCATGACCAAACACCTCCCAGTGAGCCCCACCTGCAACATTGGGGATCAAATTTTAACATGAGATTGGAAGGGGCAAGCATTCAAACCATAGCAAGAGTTAAATTTCCTTTTTAAAAAATTCACTGATATGATTCCATTTCGCCATAGATAAAAACTAGTATTTCAGCCTACCATTGAGTGTGCTTATAGCTCACCAAAAGGGCACTCAGTCTCGGGAATACAGATTTGCATAGAGGTATCCTATTGCAGTCAAAGAAAGAGCAATGAGGGATAGAAAAGGTTAGTGATGGAGACACCAGCGCTGCATTTTGCAACAAACAATGTAAAAACTTTATGGATTGGTTCTGTTAACTTACTTCAGTTTACATTCCTCTCAGGTGGGAGAATTGTTGCGTTTTTTCTTAAGATAGAAAAGCAATTCAGGTAATCTGAAATCTCCACAAGAAGGATAAGAAGCACAGCAGAAACTATTCTAGGCAGGAAGTCAATCCTTTCAACTGTCTGTGCTCCATAGAAACAATTGTCTGCACTGGGAGTCATATGAGGTACAGACAACAGCCAGACCTCTGATCCTCTCATTAGTGATTTCAGAAGAAATTACCAGTCAACTGAGTAACTCACTGAGTATAGTAAACATTTGGCACTGAAAGAGGTTAGATGAATAACTATTTGTATCACCATATTCATGAAGCTGGAATATGTTCCATTACTGGTATCACATCCGAATGGAAGATATTAAAAGGTCTCTCATCTTGTAAGATAGATATGAAAGAATATTTTCTGAGAAATGAAATTATTAACACACCTGCGAGGTGCATGGAAGAGAAAAAAAAGAATAATCACCTTGAGATCTTCTCCTTGATAAGAGAACTCACTAAAAACATAAAGAGAAAAATACAAGTTTAAAATAATTAACCAGAAGAAGATGACTCTAGAGATTTTAAATTGCTGATAAGATTTTAATTTGCTCCAAGTTGAAAATAATTATATTGCTTGTGTTTTAAGGCACATAATGAGCAATTATATCACACAGGATAGTTTCAGCAGTAAAATAGTATCCGTTAACAGCTGGAACTCATAAAAGCATAGCACAATGTGAAGATGGAATTTGCTAAAATAAACCATCTGCTGAAAACTGCTATTCTGCAAATTTAAAAATAAAGTTTAAATGTTATTTGTCTTATTTAATAGGTCTGTGAAAAAAATGCGCTATTTGGAAAGCAGCTGCTACCTTAATTCTTTATATTAGACGGCTGGTTACAATAATGCACAGTAAGGTGCTACATAGATATATTGCTAAATTTTCTGCATATACTATGTATTTGGCTTAAATTAATTGAAATTTTATTGTTAAAATAACAAATGTACATTTCAATGTTTTGACACAAATTGCAAATATACCTTTAAAAAGCGTCTTACACTCTAAATATTATTTGTCACCTATATATTTGTCTTTTCTCTATAGGAAAATTTAAATTTTTCCCTTGAAGCTTTAATTATTTGAGTCTATAAAACAAACTGATAATGTACAAATTAACAGGAAAAAAAGGTTTACAGATATGTGCACAAGTATGCACTTGGAGTTTACATAATATATATAAATATATCTATACAAATATTTGTATATTATAAAGAGATATACAAATATATACTCTTTATATAAAAACTCCAGGAAAGGCAAGGTAGTCAACACGCCTATGCTGTCTTGAGGTTGCAGAAAACACAGAGCTGTAGGTTGGTAAATCAGGCTTTGTGGAAGACAGGTGACGACAAGGAAGAAAGAGGAGCCTGGCAGCAGAGGTGGTCTTGTTACATGGATGAAACCTCACAGGGAGCAGCCCTCCTCTTGGGAAGTATAGATAGGAAATGGCTTTTAGAAATGTAAACGTGCCAGGCTCAGTTAATCATTCCTATACCCAGACAAGGGAGTATCTCAGGGAAAGCCTGTCTATATCAATGCAGATTTTCTCTACAAATGCAAATCTCCCCAACAAACACAGCTTTTCAGCTATTCTTGTAGAAGAAGCTATCTCCAGTCTTCCGAGTAGCCATCGTGAAATATGTCAAAAAGCTGGCCAGGCGCATGCCTGTAATCCCAGCACTTTGGGAGGCTGAAGTGGGTAGATCACCTGAAGTCAGGAGTTGGAGACCAGCCTGACCAACATGGTGAAACGCCGTCTCTACTAAATACAAAAAATTAGCCGAGTGTGGTGGTGCATGCCTGTAATCTCAGCTACTTGGGAGGCCGAGCTAGGAGAATTACCTGACCCTGGGAGGCTGAAGTTGCAGTGAGCCAAGATTGTGCCATTGCACTCTAGCCTAGGCAATAAAAACAAAACTCCATCTCAAAAAAATAATGTATTTTAGGGTAATATTTTGAGTATCTTTACCTCCATATGTACAATAAAAATTATTGCGATTTTTAATCTTTTCTGTGGAGAAAACACAGGTGTGATTTCTAGTGTAGCTGAACATCGTTTATTTGACAGTATTGCACTTGTGTGTGGGTGTGTGCGTGTGTAGCTACTTTTTAATTTGGTTCTCACAAAATGATTAGATACTAACAATTAATTCAGTAAAATGTATGTTTTGCAATATTTCTCCATGTTATTATGCTTTAAATTAGTTTAATCATGCCCCTATAATGTGTACATTTTAACCTTTGACTATAGGTCTCAATCTTACTTTGGTTCCTGTATTTGAATTTATGCTAATAAAGTCCCACAGCTTAATAAGATTACATAAATTTTTTGTATAATTTTTACTAGCATTCTGATGTCATTTTAAATTATGTAATGAAATCAAATTTTAATTTGGATTATTGTTATCTGAGTTAAGGATATAAATTTTTAATTTTCTTATAAATATTACTTAATTATTTCTGAACCATACATTGACTAGTCTGCCCTTTATATGATGTGTATTATAAGAGCTTAGGATTGTTTCATTTGCAAAGATGAATGCTTGAGAAGTAGATATTTAATCATAACATTTCAAAATCTACTGGATAACCTAGAATTGAAACATAGCCTATAGGTTGAAAAACTCCTGTAGTGAAGAAAGAAAATAACTAATATACAGTGACAATATAAATATTATAAGTATTTATTTTATTATCACCCTGAAATTTGATAATACAAACATGTAATATCTACATATCATCCATATATCAGGTCATAAAATATCAATACATTCTTCAAAAATTTAGCATAACAGAAAATGCACTCTCTCTCCTTGATGGAATTAAGTTACAAATAAAAGTAAAAATAAGTAGATAAGTAGATGGAAGTAGATGTTTAAGAACAAAGAAAAATATTTGTTTTGGATAACATAAAATCTCAATTGACAAATCCAATATTTCCAGAACTTTACCTGTCAACTGGTGGAGAGTTTTCCCCAGGAGACATTTGTCAATGTCTAGGGTTATCGTGGGGATGTCAAGACTGGTGGAGGTGTGAAATTTAGAGGTCAAACGAAACACCTATCATTGCTAGGGCAGCCTCCCACAACAAAGAATCCTCTGGTCCTAAAGGTAAGTAGCACCAAGGTTGAGAAACCATAATCTAGACAGGAAACACTACGTAGCTATTCCAAGTGCTCAGGAAAACACATCAGTGCTCTCGAGGGGAAAAGTGTAAACATTTTAATTGCTGTACATGGTGACACAAATCCATGTTGTTAATCTAAGTGGAAGGAGCTGAAGCACAAAATGTAATTCAAAGAGTTTACTTGAGCCACAGTGAGGACAGCTGCCTGGAAGAAACAGACCCAAATATCCTTGGATGTGAACTCCCTTTGGAGCTTTGCAACAAGAAGTTACTTAAAGGCAAAAAAGGGTCCAGAAGTGTGATGACGCAAAGAGGTTTGTCACAAATTCTCATTGGCTTATGGAAATAACATTTATTAGTGACTGGCTACACACTGTTACACTATTATGGGGTGTGGATTATAGTGTCTGGTGTGGCCTTATTGGTTAATTTATAGCTACTGTGGCAACAGCAAGCAGCCTAGATGAACACACAGCTCAAAGAGGAGCAGGACAGAACTGCTGTGTCATTTGAATATCTCTCTGGGCCTGATTATTTCAAAGGACTTGCATTTCTCACATGAAAGTTATTTTCTTTTCTCAATGTCCATAAATGAGAATAAATAGACGTAAAATAGATCTTTTCGAGGATGAAGTAAATGGAATGAAAAACAAAACCCAAGCTGACCAGAAATCATAGAGGGAAGAAAAGGATATAAATATATGGATTTTTCAAAGTGATTTTAAGCTATTAGGAATCAGTTAAATGTTGGGGGAATTGGTCTGAGAATAGGCTAAAGGAGAATGTCCCTTTTGTCTTCTGAAGTCTCCCTGAAAATCACTAATAGGAGGCAGATAAAGAGTAGAAAAGGCATGCAGGTTTCTGTAATGTGTGTACACTGGAACCCTTAGAACGAAGACCCAGTCACACGATGCGTGCAGAAGCTTATCTACCACATGAAGTTTACAGAAAAATGGGGTCTTGGATCACAGGGAAAAGAAAGAAAAAGGTTATGTGAGAAAACGACCCTGGCTAGCAACAGTGGACTTATTATATAGGTGGAACCTCACTGGGAGTAGTCCTCAGAGAGAATAGAAAGAAAATGTTTCTTTCAGACCTTTGGAGACTTAGCCTCTCAGTTAACCTTTCCTAGATCCAGACAAGGGGGCAGACCTCAGAGAAAACCTGGCTGCATCAGGGCAGATTCTCTACCGATGCAAATCTCCCCAAGACAGCTTTGCAGCTAACATTGCTTTTCCAGCCCTTCTCAATAGCCATTTTGAAATATATCAAGGAAATATATTTAGGGGTAAAATATATTAGTTTCCTTCATACAGCTATAAAACATACAGGAATAATTTTTGTCAATGTCTACTACAAATCCAATATAGCAGTAACTATGAAACCCACCAGATATTGATGAAAAAATATGTAGAGTACCTCAATTACAAATGTTGATACTAAAATGCCAAATAAAATACAAATAATATCCAACAATATTTGAAACAGTAAGACAAGAAATTGGCAAAAAAAAAAAAAAAACAAATATCCACCTTCGGGATGAAAGTGTGTTTCCAAATTTGGTAATCCAGTAATATTAATAATCGTATTGATTAGCCCAAATTAAAAATAAATAGGGGATTCTCAGTACATGCTAAAATATGTTTGTTAAAAGGCAATATTCATGTCTTTAAAGGTTTTAAATGCTATAAAGGGTCTGATATTCTATATGCAAACATGTGTATGTCCATTAGAAGAAGAGAGGCCTGATTTTCATATGTTACTACATAGAGACAGAGAAGTGGATACATTAATTTGCATATGCATAGAGAAAGCATAAAACAGAAATTGACTATCATATTAAAGGAATTTTAATTCAACAATAAAATAATTCAAAGGTAAAATTTTAAATATTTTTATCAGGTACATTATTATTATTAGATGATATTTATAATAATTGTGAAAATATTCAGCACTAAAATAAGATACAATGTCTAAACATCAGTATTAAAACTAGTATAAATTTTTACTTGTTTATACAAGCAAAATTCAAGCTCGACCTAAATTTTATGGGAAATAAAAGAAAAATATTAAGGGAGCTCTTTAATGACATAAACATATATATATAAACACACACATATAACATGTATATATGTTATATGGGATAGATATAGATTTAACAGGCTATATCTATATTTGTATCTGTAACTACAGCTGTATTTATCCACATTTCTATGTATTTACTCAGTGATATAAATATAGACTGGAATAAATATAAAGACACATATGATTCTTGGATAAAAAGGATTTAGCATCATAAAGACAAATTCTTTCCAAATTCACTTATGAATTCACAACATTATACAGTTTCATTAGTATAATTTAATATTTTTAAATAAATTCCAAGATTCATTTAAAGGAATATACATGTATACAAGCAGTCAAGAAAGAAGCAAGAGGGCACTAAACTAACTTGCTATTAAAATACATTTTTAAACTTAGTCACTAAAACTGAGCAGTACTGATTTGGAGTACTGGAATTTAGGTGTATGGGATCTCAAAAGCACAGAGCTCAAAGGAGACCCCTGTATGCACGAGAGCTTAGGATGTGCTTTAGAAGGCATTATCAAACCACGGGCAAAGTTACTTTAGTGTCATAGTCTTACTAGGTTTGAAAAGCCAGAGAAAAGACTCAGGACCACCATATAAGAGCAAAACAAAAGGACAGGGAGAGAATGTGAAGATACAGAAACATTTTACATAAAGTTGTATAAAACATCTTTTAAAGAAAATATAAAGTTTTGGATATACATCAAAATCAGCAGAGCCACTAAATAAATAAATAGGCATTGTAAAATAACGAGAAAATTTAAAAGGATATCTAAAAAATATTGACGCCTATGATTTTTAAAATATGTTTAAGAAATCCGGTATTTCACAGGGCAGCCTTTCACAACACAGGTATGTTAGGACATTAAGGTCCTTCTGTTTTTAATTTACTAGTGTTTATAGGGTTACAAATGTCTTCTACCCTTGTCTTTTGTCTGATGGTGCAAAAAATTTTCATAAGCATGTATTTCTGAATGCCTGATGGTTTGACATATATAATATGCTGCCAGTATTAAAATATGAGACGGAAAACGCATCCAATCTTCTCACTGTTTACATAAATTCTAGGTTTCTCCTATTTACCTCAAGTACGTATGGATCGAATTCTTACCTTTTAATATTGCCATGGCATTCACATTGAACATAAGTTGAACTCTCTTATATGGTAGCTGGGTTCGGATTCTCTTGACAATTTCCAGTTCTAAACCTCACAGTTCCTCAGGATGGTTGGCCCAGATATTGACCCTACACAGTTGTCTCCTCGTCGTGACTACCAGCTATGGAAATAGTCAGCAGAGACTTGAGAAGAGGGGTTTCAGGTGACAGAGCTCCCATGGGAGAAGCAGGATCCAATAGAGAGAAGAGAAAGAGCAGAGTGGTTTTATAGAGAGCCAGGAAGAACAATTTGTAGCCCAGGGAATCAGGGAATAACCCCTCACTCAGAAAAAGAGAGCCAGAAAGAAGAGACTTCTAGCCTAGGGACTCAGAGAATAGACCACTCAGAACAAGAAGCCCACACGAAGACCTTCCTGCCCAGAGGATTGCTTTCAAAAGAAGCCTGCGACTCTACTCCAGCTTCAGAGAGAATATTCATCCCTTCAGATTCAAAATCTGTCCTTAGCCATCAACGGGCTTTTGTCTGGAACAATGGCTCAGGAATCTGATTCACCAACGGATCCCTAATCAGTCAGAAATGACAACAAAGACTTCAAAGGCATGCATTTAGGGTTCTGAGTGAGAGGCCCAGGATCCAGTGATGAATCTGTCCTAGTTGAGTTTCAACACCATAGTTGTTAAATAAAAAATTATTCAGTGATACTTCAAATGCACAGTAAAGAAGACTTTATTCAAGACCATCACCATAGATATAGGAACCACTGCAACACAGTCTTGGAGCTGGGGAGAGAGATGGGCTTAACTCTGAATACAGCATGGGGAAGTGGGAATTTATAGCCCAGGAGCAATGCAGGGGTCAGTGAATGGAAAATCACTAAGAGGAAACATCAGGAGTAAGGGAGATTCTGGCTAAACCGCCCTGAAAGAATTCTTGCTGAAGACTGGCCAGGGTGATCAGACATCACCTGCAGAATGGTGAAGAATGAAGAACCTGATCAGATATTGAGAATGAGGGGTTCTTTGGTAAACTTGGCAGTGTTCTTTGCTAATGCTGGATTTTGCGAGGAAGTGCACAGTTTAGCCTAGCTGAAGATTTAGAAGCCTGACTAAAGTTGGCCAAGCAAAGAATCTTTGTTATCAACATATTCCATCAAACCTCACATCCCTGCCTTAAATGATCAAACCATCCGCACTCCTGTATGCTACTGTTCTCCATGAAAAGTTACTTCTTCTTTGCCTTAACCAAAATCCAGCCATTCTAGAAAGACACCAGAAGGCTTTCTGCAGCATCTAAAATTCCCCACATTCTAGGCCCAAATCCTTTTCCTTTCCCTGTTGCTTTTAGATCCACATTGTGTAACCCTCATCTAGAAACCTCAGTTTCTTGGTGTCATTTTTTTTGGGGGGACGGAGTTTCCGCTCTTGTTGCCCAGGCTGGAGTGCAGTGGCATGATCTCAGTTCACTGCAACCTCCATCTCCCAGGTTCAAGCGATTCTCCTGCCTCTGCCCCTTGAGTAGCTGGGATTACAGGTGCCTGCCACCATGCCTGGCTAATTTTTTGTATTTTTAGTAGAGACAGGGTTTCATCCTTTTGGCCAGGCTGGTCCCGAACTCCTGATCTCAGATGATCCACCTGCCTCAGCCTCCCAAAGTGCTGGGATTATAGGCGTGAGCCACTGAGCCAGGCCATTCTTTTTATATAATGTAACTTGTACTTTTATGTAGTAAATTATCACAGTGGTGTCAGACACTCTGAGGAAGAGTATTTTACTGTATCATTCCCATTACCCAATCAGGAAGTCTTAACAGGCAGATTTTAACAAAAATATAAGACACAACTGTGCCCTAGCTTTTCTCACATACTTCCTACCTCACACTTCACACATTTCTTTTTCTCAGCACCCACTCTTAAGTAATAATTTATTTCCCCTGAATATTATTTACCTTCTGTGGGCTACTTTACATATCATCTGAAAGCATGATCAAAACAGTTATATTTGTGAATAATTTTATTTTGGTTTATTTCTTAGCAGAAGGAGGAGTTAATGGTAACATTTGTAGGCCGGGCACGGTGGCTCACGCCTGTAATCCCAACACTTTGGGAGGCCGAGACTTGTGGATCATGAGGTCAGGAGATCGAGACCATCCTGGCTAACACGGTGAAACTCTGTCTCTACTAAAGTACAAAAAAATTAGCCGGGCGTGGTGGCGGGCACCTGTAGTCCCAGCTACTCGGGAGGCTGAGGCAAGAGAATGGCGTGAACCCAGGAGGTGGAGCTTGCAGTGAGCCGAGATCGCGCCACTAGGCTCCAGCCTGGGAGACAGAGCGAGACTCCATCTCAAAAAAAAAAAAAAAAAAAAAAAAAAAGGAACATTTGTAATCTCCCAGAGATTGCCAAGGAAAACATTCTCCTGGCTGAATTTATGTGGAGTTCATCATCTAAGCATAAAATATTTTATAAAGGAATGGGCCAATCAAATAACTGCTATGCGGTTGACACCATAAACCAAGTTAGCTTAGTACCACTCTAAATAGTTGCTGGGAATATAATGATTTTCAAAGACATGATCTCTAGAAATAAATAACTAAAAGAGAAGCACGGTGTCATGCATTTATGCATACACATAAGCAGGGACTAGAGATCAAGAATAGAAATAAAAGAGGTTTTTACACTTGGGGTGCTAAGGTCGCAATGATTTATTTGGAGAGAAAACGGAGGCCCTTCTTTAGTAAATGCAAAGCACCATGTGTTTAATGAAGATACATGACCTAAGCTTTGAAGATCGTTTAACTAATTCAATAACCTTGCCAAGTATCCATTACTACATCTCAACAATCAAATTTACAGTGACATCTTTGAGTTAAATCTCTCCATAGATGTCTGGAAACAGCTTAATTCTGTTAACTGCTGCCCATTGAATTATGCTTTATTTGGTCGTAGAATTTCATGTCATCTGTTAGTCTCCCTCACAACTTGGGAGATGTTATTCCTGTATTGTCTGTTCTCGTTGATGAAGAGAAGTCTGTGATAAAGTAATTGTCCTTCCTTTGCAGGTAATCTGCCTTCCGTCTCTGGTTGATTTGAAAATATTGTATTAGTGTTTAGTATCTTGCATTTTACTGTGGTATGTCTACATATGGATTTATACTTACTGAGTTTGCTCAGAGCTTGGAGTATTTCCTCAGTCTTAAAGGCCCTAGTTGTGAAAATGTTACTAAAGAAAAACTTTCTTTTTTTAACTTAAAATCCTTTTTATTGGGAAATAAATGTAAGATCATAGATAAGTTTGAAAATAAAAGAATTGTTAGAACAAAAAGTACTCATATGCCTGTTACCCTAATTTGTCTATTATTATTTTATTAAATTTAGGTTACCATTTGTTCTCTCTCTCTCTCTCTCTCAATATATATCCCAATTTTCAGTCTTTAGATCTAAATCTTTCAGCAACCTGGACTATCATGGCCCCAGTGTAATGCTTGGCTTTGTACCTCATGAGGGAAGAAATGTTTTTTTTTAATCTTAAGTTCTAGGGTACGTGTGCATCACATGCAGGTTTGTTACATAGGTATACATGTGCCATGTTGGTTTGCTGTACCCATCAACTTGTCATTTACATTAGGTATTTCTCCTGATGCTATCTGTCCCCCAGCCCCCCACCCCCTGACAGGCCCCAGTGTGTGATGTTCCCCACCCTGTGTCCATGCATTCTCATTGTTCAACTCCCATCTGTGAGTGAGAACATGCGGTGTTTGGTTTTCTGTCCTTGTGATAGTTTGCTGAGAATGATGGTTTCCAGCTTCATCCATGTCCTTGCAAAGGACATGAACTTATCCTTTTTTATGGCTTCATAGTATTCCATGGCACATATGTGCCACATTTTTTAATCCAATCTATCATTGATGGACATTTGAGTTGGTTCCAAGTCTTTGCTATTGTGAATAACACCACAATTAACATACGTGTGCATGTATACATCTTTATAGTAGCATGATGTATAATCCTTTGGATATACACCCAGTAATGGGATCGCTGGGTCAAATGGTATTTCTAGTTCTAGATCCTTGAGGAATCGCCACACTGCTTTCCACAATGGTTGAACTAATTTACGCTCCCACCAGCAGTGTAAAAGCATTCCTATTTCTCCACATCCTCTCCAGTATCTGTTGTTTCCTGACTTTTTAATGATCATCATTCTAACTGGCATGTGATGGTATCTCATTGTGGTTTTGATATGCATTTCTCTGATGACCAGAGATGATGAGCATTTTTTATGTGTCTGTTGGCTGCATAAATGTCTTCTTTTGAGAAGTGTCTGTTCATATTCTTTGCCCACTTTTTGATGGGGTTGCTTTTTTCTTGTAAATTTGTTGAAGTTCTTTGTAGATTCTGGATATTACCCCTTGGTTAGATGGGTATATTGCAAAACTTTTCTCCTATTTTTTAGATTGCCTGTTCACTTTGATGAGAGTTTCTTTTGCTGTGCAGAAGCTCTTTAGTTTAATTAGATCGCATTTGTCTATTTTAGCTTTTGTTGCCATTGCTTTTGGTGTTCTGGTCGTGAAGTCTTTGCCCGTGCCTATGTCTTGAATGGTATTGCCTAGGTTTTCTTCTAGGGTTTTTTATGGTGTTAGGTCTTTCATTTAAGTCTTTAATCCATCTTGAGTTAATTTTTGTGTATGGTGTAAGAAAGGGATCCAGTTTCAGCTTTCTACATATGGCTAGCCAGTTTTCCCAGCACCGTTTATTAAATAGGGGATCCTTTGAGGGAAGAAAATTATTTCTAATATTTTAATCCAGCTATGTATGTAAAAAGAAGTCTTTTTCATATTTTATCTATTATTTCTGTATGATTGGAGTATGAGTCAAAACATCTCAATATAAATAAAAAGTTACATTTCAGTAATTCTTTTTTCCAAAATTACAAAACACTAGTGGTCAAAAACACTACTATTTCCAATTCTCTTTACTTTGTTAACATTACTTTTTGTACTTATGAGAGAAGAGTTTGCAATCCAAAAAGAGCAGGAAGGAAGAGAGATTAGAGATTTTTTCTCTCGCTTGCTCTATACATATGAGATATTTATATATCTATATATCAACAGTTGACCTTTGAATAACACTGGTTTAAACTGTGTGAGTCCACTTATAGGTGGATTTTTTCAGCCAAATACAGATTGAAAATATAGTATTTGTGGGACGTGAAACCCACATATGTTGAGGGCCAACTTTTCATATGCGAGCTCTGCAAGGTTGACTGTGGGACCTGAGTATGTGCAGACTTCCTTATATGCAGGGCTCCTGAATGCAATACCCCACTAATACTGAGGGATGACTGTATATGTCTCTATCTATCTACTCTATCACATATATATATATATATATATATATATATATACACACACACACACACACAAATATGTGTATATATATATATGTATGTGTGTATATATATATATATATACTTCCTATATTACTTTGCTAGGGTTGTTATAACAATTACTGCAGACTGGGTGAGTTAAACAACAGAAATTTATTTTCTCACGGTTCTGGAGGCTAGAAGTGTGAGGTCAAGGCATCAGATGTGTTAATTTTATTCTGAAATTTCTCTCCTTGGCTTTTAGATAGTCATTTTCTCATCTTGTCTTCTCATGGACTTTTTTCTGTGCACATGTATGTCTGTACCTAAATTTCCTCTTCAAATAAGGACACCAGTGATATTGGATTAGGACCCAGACATGTGACCTCATTTTACATTAGTTACCTCTTAAAAGTCTCTATCTCCAAATATAGCCACCTTCTGATATACTGGGATGGCAGGGGGCAGGGTACAGCATATTAATTTGGGGAAAGGACACAATTCAGCCTATAACATATGCAATATATTCTTCTCTGATCTATATTATATAACTTTTACATATAATACATATATAATTTAATATACATTTTAACCCCTTGATTAATTTTCTCACTGCAGAGAAAACAAGAATTAAAGAAAAGCTTCAGGTGATACCGTTTTTGAATGAGTAAGAATTGAGCCTACCCTTAACGCAAGAATGAAGTAGAAATAAACTGACTTAGGGAACAGCATAAAAAAGTTCTCTTATGAGTCAAGATTTCAGTGTGATGTCATCATTTTTTCCAGGGATTAAATGTTAGAATATATTGCATGCCCATATTGAGGTGGAATCATAAACTTATTTCAGACTTATTATAATGGCTCATTTTCTTATGCCTTCACCATTGAACTTGTACTTAGCTGGGGATTGAGCTGAAAGTTTGCCTTTTCTGTATCTAGCATAGTTGCACCAAATCTGACCTTAATCCCAAATTTTCCTCTCTGTAATATCTTGTTTCCAAATGAGGCTCACATTGAATTTTCTCTTGTTAGAAATATAACTGGCAACACCAATCAAAACCATTCATTCCATTCAGTTGCCTGTGAACAAGCTTGATTTGCTTTGTTATTAATACAGCTTCTTGTGGGTTAAGTAGAAAGCTCTTTTGTAAATATCCCTCAGTTTAAGTATATATATAGTTTACATTTCCAGGTAAACTATAAATTCTCTAAGAAAGGCCCAGCACGGTGGTTCAAGCCTATAATCCCAGCTCTTTGGGAGTCTGAGATGGGTGGATCACTGGAGGTCAGGAGTTTGAGACCAGCCTGGCCAATGTGGTGAAACCCCATCTCTACCAAAAATACAAAAATTAGCCAGGCATGGTGGTGCACACCTGTAATCTCAGCTACTCAGGAGGCCAAGGCAAGTGATTAAACCCAGGAGGTGGAGGTTGCAGTGAGCTGAGATCGCACCACTGCACTCCAGCCTGGGTGACAAGCTGGACTCTGTCTCAAAAAAAAAAAAAAAAATTCTGTGAAAAGATCTGTGATTTCCATTCTCCTTTATAGTAATTGTTAAGCACTCACAATTCGATGGTTATAACAACTATCAAAGAAAAACAATTATTTTAATAAATATTTTTCATCATTTTCTCCTTTCTAAGCCCTATGCTATGCACTAAAAACTGCAGAGAAAATCAACACATTCTCTACCTCACAGCAGATTTCTTGGAGAGAGATAGGGGTGGGGAGGGGAATAAGGGTTGCTAAATGTTGTCAACTTTGTAATACAACTCTCAAAGGGAGATAGTTATTAGGGAGGCAAAGTGCTCAGGCTCAGATTTCAGGTTGCCTAGATTTGAATTCTGTCTTCACTGCTTCTTTCATGATTTGCCCAAATTACTTAAGCTCTTTAAACCACAGTTTCCTCATCCTTAAGATAGGGATAATAAATAGAACTTATCTCATAAAATTACTGTGAGGATTATAAGTGATTATGAAGTTGATTAAATTTCCCCAGTGCTTCATACAAAGAAAGGACTCAAAGGATATGCTAGTTCATAGTATGGGCATAGAAGAAGATATCCCTTCTCTCCTGGGATATAGGATATACATAACTGTCCACTATAAAATTGAAGATAGGCTAGAGAAAAGCTAAAAATGAAGAATCTAATAACTCTTTAGCCAAGAGAAAATGAAACATGAGGGAAAGGGAGAAGTTCCAAATGAGGTCCAAATTTGTCATGGGCCACTGAATGGTGGTGCCATTCAGGCAGAGGAAACCCAGAAGGAGGAGTCATTCTGTAGTTAGAGGGCACTTAATGAGATAATATTAGAGATAACTGAGGTTGAGTTGTTGGTACATATCTGGGTGCAAAGTCTCCATAGGTCCGGAATTTTGAATAGTTTTCTGGAGTCATCTGGTTATTGTTAAAGCCAAGAGAACTGGTGAGATCACAGAATACAATAATGATCAATAAGAGGGAAGGGAAGAGAGCCAAGAATGGGAGACTGGGAAGCATACACATTTAATTAAGGTTTGGTAAGGTGAAAGGTGTCAGCAGAGAATGTAAAGGTGAAATAATGAGAGAAAAAGGAGGACATCAAGGAGAAAGTCGTGTTTTGAAAAAAACAAAAAGGACACATTTTCAAGAAAGACATTGTCAATAGTTTAAATGTCACAAAATAGTAGAGTATAATGCAATTAAAAAAAACAAAATCTATTGCTTTTGTTAATTAAATAACTAGTAACCTCGGCTGCAGCAGTTTCAGTAGAGTGAGGAGAGTTGACACCAAACTGCACCAGTGGAGTGAAAATAAGTGGGAAGAAAGAGTGAGGAAGTGGAGGGCAGTCTTTTTTTTTTTTTAATAAAATATTTTCCCAAACTGTCTTTTCTGGAACTTCCAACATGTCTGCTTAAGAGCTTGTCTAAGTTGAATTCATTCGAACTTCTTGAACCTAATTAGTTTCTTTTTGCTGTTTTTTTTTTTTTTTTTTTGAGATGGAGCCTTGCTCTATCACCCAGGCTGGAGTTCAATGGTGCAATTTCGGCTCACTGCAACCTCCTCCTCCTGGGTTCAAGCAGTTCTCCTGCCTCAGCCCAATTAGTTTTAAAGACGCTGCATATATTGGCAGGGAAAACCTAGAACACAAAGTCAAACTTCCAATTATCTCCCTTCAGTGCTCAAATCAAGCGTTCATTTGTTGCAAGGAATGGGGATCTGGACTCCAGGGAGAAGAATAGAGTTTTAGAAGGAGAGTTCTCCTAAAACTAAATGGAAGGAGGGTTCTTTGAGATACCAAGGATTTGCAGGACTTTATTTACAATGAAATGTTAGTTTCAGACAGCCCAGGAGGAATAGGTCTATTAAAGGAAAGCAAGAGTAGTTGGCGTAAGGAAACAATTTGCATTGGAGCCTGAGAGTGAGTATAGTAATGACCACATGAGAGACCCATTTGACTCAAGTACTTCAAAGCATTGCCAGTGTTAGTCTTTGCTCCACAATCAAGTGGGGAAAAAGTGAAATGTCTTTGAAGAGCATTTCCTGTAGGTGGCCTTTGAGGAGGTCCTGAAAATTCCAAACCTGCAAGTATTAATGGCAAAGAATAAAAATTTCTTTATGTAAAATACTTTTAAAAATCTTTCTAAATAGCAAGACATTATATATTACCATTGTTAAAAGATAAACGAATTGAGAAATATCATTAGAATTATATGCAGCAGATAAAATGGTCACTTTTTCTTTTGAGACGGAGTCTCGCTCTGTCGCCAGGCTGGAGCACAGTGGCGTGATCTTGGCTCATTACAACCTCCAACTCCCTGGTTCAAGTGATTCTTCTGCCTCAGCCTCCCGAGTAGCTGGGATTACAGGCACGTGCCACCACCCCAGCCAATTTTTGTATTTTTAGCAGAGACGGGGTTTCACCATGTTGGGCAGGATGGTCTTGATCTCCTGACCTTGTGATCCACCCGCCTTGGCCTCCCAAAGTGTTGGGATTACAGGCGTGAGCCACTGCGCCCAGCCAAAAGGTCACTTTTTAAACTTAAAAATTATTAAGAAAACAGTGAAAACTTAATGTTTAAAAGAGTAGAAGATAGGGAAAATTATTACACAGAAAAAGATAAACAACAGAGAAAGATAAATAAATTGCCAGTGACTATGTAAAAAGTTGCTCAGCACCAGTGGTAGTTCAAATCCAAATAGCACTGAGTTAGCATTTGTTAACTAATAAATTGGCAAAAATTATATTTTGATAAAACCCAGTGTTGTTGACATCCCAAGGAAAAGGGCTATGCTCACACAGCCTTGGAGCATGTGCACATTGATGATTTTTTTGGCATAAAAATTAGTGGTTTCTATTAAAATCAGCAGTGTAATTCACAATCGCTAAGACATGGAATCAACCTAGGTGCCCATCAACTGTGGATTGGATAAAGAAAATATGGTACATATATGTCATGGAATACTTTGCAGCCATAAAAAAGAATAAAATCATGTCCTTTACAGCAACGTGGATGCAACTCGATGCCATTATGCTAAGCGAATTAACACAGGAATAGAAAACCAAATACCACATATTCTCACTTATAAGCAGGAGCTAAACATTGAGTACACGTGGACACAAAGATGGGAACAATAGAAACTGGGGACTACTCGAGGGTAGAAGGAGGGAGGGGGTAAAGGTTGAAAAACAACTACTATGCCTAGTACCTGAGTGATCGGATCAATCATGCTGCAAACCTCAGCATTACACAACATACCCATGTAACAAACCTGCACATGTACCCACTGTATCTAAAATCAAAAGTTGAAATTATAAAAAATAAAAAAATAAAATCAACAATGTATATTTCTCTCACACAGCCATCACGATGATGTATTTGGAATAAGATATGCATAAGGATGTTCGTTGCAGTGTTGTCTGCAAGGGCAAAGTGAAAACAATCTGAATAACCAACAATATGACACAGAGTAAGTAATTATTGGTACGTCTGTACAATGCCTCATGCAATCACCACTGACAGCGTGGGAAAGAGAGACATCTATTATGAAAAGACCACTAAGACATATGATTACATGATAAGTGCAAGGTTCATGAATAAATAGCATGTATACTAGTATAGCATACTTCTTTCTAAGAAAGAAACCATAACACATACAAGAATGGACAAGAAGTTATTAACAATAGCTAACTTTGGTGATAAGACTGTAGGTTGTAAAAAGCCAGACTTTCATTTCTCATTTTAAACCCAATGAATTATTTAAATCTAACCCTACTGCATTCATTATCTTTATAATAAAATAAATATGTATAACAATGAAACATAGTTTTTAAGTATTTGGGACATAAATTAAACATTAATAGATTACACCTCTTAAACTTGGTACTTTAGTATCCCATTTCTCTGTGAGAACTCTGAAAGCTTCATCTTCCACAGTTTAGGTAATTCTTTGGTGTCTTATTTTGTTATTTTCTTGCCCTGAGATTAGCAATGTCAGATCTCCAAACTGCTAACTCTTCTCTTTGGCAGATCAAATGCTTCTTCTTAAAAAAATTAAGTTTTTAAAATGTATTTCATAGGATTTTTGTTCTCTCTCTCCCTCTTTTTGTGCATATGTGTGTGTGTCTGATTAGTCTTTATTATCTTAAAATGGTTAGTCCTGATAGACCTGTTTCTTCAAAATTTCTCTCAGTTCTTTGGCAGTTTGCTCTTAGCTTATAATTAAAGATCAATTTCTGACTTGTCTTGTTCTAGAAAACCTCAATGGAAATTACAGGAAGCTGAATCAGATATTAATTAAAAACATAAACCTGGTGAAACCCGAACATAGAGGCTCCAGTTCAAAGATGCTTCCAATAGTTGACATGGCCCTTCATTCCTTAAAACCAGCTATTTTTCTTTTGAATTACATTACCTTTAATTCTGTAAATTGGATGTTATATAGTACCATGAAAACTGCTGTGAGTAATTATAATACTCATTGCTGAGTGATGTGACTTCTTTCTCAAGGCTATTTCTGAGGGAAATTGTACAATTAGATCTTTAGGTATTGTGACTTGTTTTGGAAATCATGGTGGCCCTCCAGGGAGCTAATGAATCTTTAATTATTTAGAGGTTCACATGAGACCCCTTACAGATATAAGCACATTAGCTCTGTAGCTAAGGGAACATTTAAAAACAGTAACATGAAATGTGTCAGACATAGAGGAAAGATGAAGAAGCAAGTAGAAGCTAATGCAAACAGAGGAACTGCCAGCTCTCTGTGGCACTCTAGCTCTCTCTGTCAGTATTTGGTTGGCAATGTAGACATAGTGGATGAGTGCAATTACATATGTTAGGCTCATTCTGAAATGCAGGAGCATTTTAGATTTTCATGTAGAAGCCTGACAAGCAAACTACATCTAGGATATACTTTGATAACTTTGAGTTGAGAGCCAAATTTTTTGAAGGTAAACCATCTCCCTGTTTTAAAGTAGTGTTTAAAATTATAAAAATTTTAATACATCTGTAATATAAAATATTTAGATATAACTACTACAAGTGCAAATGAATTTTTTTTTTCTACTTCTGCATTCAACTTTTCTCTTCTCCCTTCAGGGAAAACACTTTTGTGTAAAGGCCTCCAAAATATATGTAGAGGCGTATGTATGTTAAAAACATGTATACATATAATGCATAACCAAACAAATGAAATATCCTAAACATATGGACCTGAAAATTGCTTATAATAAATTTGAACTGAACATATAGGCATAAATGTGGTTCAGAAGTGTCCAGTTGAAGCAACTTCACTTTGTTAGGTCAACAAAAGTTGGGGACACCAAGATCTACTCCTCTGATTTTGTTCTAGCATTATCTTAATGGAAATGTTTACTGAAATGGAAATACATGTAGTGGACATCGTGGTGGTGTCTCAAGCATTCAGTGTTCCCTGCTCTCACACACTCCTAACCAAATAATGAATTTCTCAGCTTCACAATGTTTAAGTGACATGAGTCCCATGCCCAATTCTTGGTCATTTTAATTGGTGCATGGAAGGAACGTGTGCCTTCTGCTAATCAAATCAGAATGAAGTACAACTTTTTCATTCCATGATTGAAGAGGGAAATGCCTTCTTTCCAAATGCAGCAGAGGAAGCACGAGGTACTAGGATTGGAAGTTGTCTACTCATGACATGATATTTTAAGCCATAGAATAAAACTGAGACCTAATGTCTTAGTCCTTTCAGGTCGCTATACCAGAATATCACAGCCTGGATGGTTTATGAACAACATAAATTTATTTCTTACAGTTCTAGAGGCCAGGAAGTCCAAGATCATGGTGTCAACAGATTCAGGGTCTAATGAGGATTTGTTTCCTGGTTCACAGACAGCTGTCTTTTTGCTGTGTCCTCACATGGAGGAAGGGGCAAGGAAGTTCTCTAAGGTCTCTTTTATAAGGGCACTAATCCCATTCATGAGGGCTCTGTCCTCATGACCTAATCACCCCCCGAAGACCCACTGCCAAATATCATCACACTAGGGATTAGATTTAAACATACAAATTTTGGGGGACTACAAACATTCAATCTATATCACTTAAGGTAGAGTGAAGAAACAGGGAGGACAAGAAGCATTTATTTTGTGTCATTATTAAACTTCTGCATTAAGCTATCTTGAGCCTATACTATTGTTCAAAATCTCTTTATTATACAAGCCATTTTGAATTTTGATTGTTTGCAACCAAAATTAACCTAATAAGTTAAAATGTACTATAATGTTACATCATAATTTGTCTGTACTAGTAGTATTTGCTAGAGTGTTTAGGGGAATACTTGCTTGTTAACTTTTTAGTAAATATAACACTCCATGTTCAAATACATTTGGGAAATGCTGAGCATTTCACACTTTTAGAGACTCAAAACAGGCAGCACATTTTTAAAAAATAAAAATAAAACCAAATAGCATTGCATTTGGAGAATGGTACAAAAAAAGAGAATTTGATAAACCAGAGTTATCAGAACTCAGTGGATACTATGTGTTAGACATTATTATAAGCCATTAAACATTTTACAAGCTTGATACCTGAGTTAAAAATTAATAACCCAAAGACACATCAGAAGAGAAAAGTTGACATATTTTTATTATATTAATGACCTAAAAATATCATAGCAACTAACGTCATTATAGTCAACAAGTGAATGAACGTAAATAATATTAAATAACTATTAGAAAGTCTCTCTGATTAAGCATGGAAATAAATAGGCAGTGCTTTTGACCAATAAATGGAGGACTTACAATATTTTCCAATACGAAACAAAAAGATTCTAAATGTAAAGGTTTTAGGCCCAAAATATGTTAGTCAATTCATGACAGCAGAAATTCAGCAGGTCATATTTTTGGGGTAATGTAAATGACAATAGAAATCATGGACTAAAGTGTAACAAATAAGTAATATCTAGGCAGGTGGAAATTTTAAGATCTTTTAAATTAACTTCTGGACTATAGCAAAAATTCAAACTAAAATTCATCAGGGAGTCAGGGAAGGTCAAATGAAGAAGCATGGGGATTGAGGCAAAAACCCTGAATTATACCAATATTATCTTTTTTTTTTTTTTTTTTTTTTTTTTGAGAGAGGATCTTGCTCTGTTACCCAGGCTGGAGTGCAGTGGTGCAATCATAGTTCACTGCAACCGCGACCTCCTAGGCTCAAGGGATCCTCCCACCTCAGCCTCTTGAGTATCTGGGACTACAGACCCTCATCACCACAACACCCGTCTAATTTATTTATTTTTTGTAAAGATGAGGTCTCACTTTGTTGCTCAGGCTGACAAGTATTATCTTAATGTTATAGAAAAAAAGTAATTCTGGCCATATATAGGTATTATTCTTTGCAGTGGAATATCATTTCAGAAATTTGTGCCAAACATAAAATTAGTTTTCTAGTAGTAAAAAGTAATTAAACTCTAAATTATTATTACCCCTAGTATACTGGGGAATGAGTGTGTGTTCCAAATGAAAAAAACTTGGGATGTCTAATGAGATGCTGTTTTCTGTCGCAGAAAATCTATGTAAAATGTTTTTTCTCACGTGTACACTGTTGATATTTGAGACAGCACATGTTAACACTTCAAGAAGTAAAATAAATGTGTTGATTATATCCACAGTTTTCATATTTATTAACTATATATTTTGTTTTTAATGTAATGCCTATTGAAAAACCTGTAAATAGTTGTTTCTTAAAATTGATAAATACTGCCTAAGATTTTTCTGTATATTTTCATATTTCAATTTTCCTGTGAGGTTAGAATGAACACTTTTAGCTAAGACATTTGGGCCTCCAAATCCTAAACCTTTCAGAATGTTAGTTTATTATTTGGCTTTTACCTAAATTATTTTCTGCTTATTCAAGATCCTTAGGTCTATCCAGTTACGTTTTTATTTTTTTATTTTTATTTTTTTATTTTGAAACAAAGTCTCACTCTGTTGCCAAAGCTGGAGTGCATTGGCATGATCTGGGCTCACTGCAACCTCTGCCTCCCAGGTTCAAGTGATTCTCCTGCCTCAACCTCCCGAGTAGCTGGGATTACAGGGGCATACCACCACACCCAGCTAATTTTTGCATTTTTAGTAGAGATGGGGTTTCACCATGCTGGCCAGGCTGGTCTCAAACTCCTGACTTCAGGTGATCTGCCCACCTCAGGATCCCAAAGTGCTGGGATTATAGGCGTGAGCCACCATGCCTGGCTGTATCCAGTTACATTTTTAAGACCAGCCAGGCTTAATATATATTTGGTCTTTAGCTCAATTCAATTTGTTGCATTTTGTCCATTGTACTTCATGTGACACAGAATATATCTTAATTTAAAAAGACATATGTTTGTTGAGCTATCTGTTACATTGGTATATCTTGGAATTTTAAAAAATATAAACCACAGAAGCCAATTATGGCTGACATTAACAATAAATAGGTTTATCACAGAAATAGTGGGGAACTTGTAGAACTGTTGAGAAGGCTAGAGAGCCAGATCAAAGCTAGGCAGCCAGGAAATGTACCCCAAACCATGCTGTAGAACTCATCCAGGGAGGAAACCACTGTCACCACCAGTAAGAAGTAACACCGAAGATGCAGAGAGCAACAATTGCAGCAATTGCTCAATCCTAGGCTAACTGCAAAGCCACCAGCACCACTCCCACTTGTTCGCTTTGCAACAGATAGCTGCAAAGGAGGCTGAGAAAGCAAGCATTTGACATTTTAGCTTCTAAAGCAGGAGGTGGTTTCTTGTTTTCGTCAAAACTGAGAGGCTGAGGAATTCCTCAAACACAGGAACAAACATCAAATAGTAAATATTCATGCTTTAACTTGCTCAATATCAATATAAACTTTCCCTTTTGAAAGTAAACACGAAAGACCCAAGCTTCCTTCTAACAGAGTGCAACTATTTCTCTAATAATTGAACATGTACCTACAATCTCTTGAACAATGAAACAATAAAAAATTCTCAATCACAGCATGTACTCTAAGTCTAAGAATTCTGGGTTATGTCCATTCCTCTACGAAGTTCTTCACTATACTCTCTTGACATTCTGCCATATATCATTTAAAAATTAAGTTAATCACCCTCAATAAGCCCTGTTTTAAAAAGAGGGATAAATGGAGAGGAAAGAAGGAAAGTTGTTAAGATACATAAGTATGCACAGGACAATACAAGAGAAACAATGTGTTTGGATGTAAAGGCTCTCCTTTCTGCAAGTGGCCAGCAGGTCACTATTGGCATCTATGGCCATGTGCCCTCAGCTAACACCTCTGCTAGTCAGGGTTTTGCCTTGTGAGATGACCAAATATTCATTCCTGACAGAGAAATGTCCTTGATAATCTTTTTGTGTGAGCGTGCCATGGTCATTGTTAATTTCTTTCATTTAACAAAATAATAGACTTTATTTTTTGAGCAGTTTTAGCTTTATGGAAAGATCGAGCAGAAAGTACAGAGTTCTCACATACTGTCACCTTTATCCCACCCCCAGTTTACATTAGAGTTCACTCTTTGTGTGGTACAGGTCTAGGAGTTTTGCAAAACGCATAATGTCATGTACCCATCATTACATTATTACCAACGTATTTTCAATCCCCTAAAAATCGCCTGTTTCAGAACTATTTATCTCCCTACCCATCCCCAAACTCCTGGCAACCACTGAGCTTTTTTGTTGTTGTTGTTGTTACTTAGTTTTTATTTCATAATCATAAACTTAACTCAACTCTGCAATCCAGCTAGGCATGGAAGGGAACAAGGAAAACATGGAACCCAAAGGGAACTGCAGCAAGAGCACAAAGATTCTAGGATATTGCAAGCAAATGTGGTGGAGGGGTGCTCTCCTGAGCTACAGAAGGAATGGGTCTGGTGGTGAAAATAAAACACAAGTCAAACTCATTAGAATTGTCCACAGTCAGCAATGGTGATCTTCTTGCTGGTCTTGCTATTCCTGTACCCAAAGTGCTCCATGGCTTCCACAATATTCACACGTTCTTTCACCTTGCCAAACGCCACATGCTTGCCATCCAACCACTCAGTCTTGGCAGCGCAGATGAAAAACTGGGAACCATTTGTGTTGGGTCCAGCATTTGCCATGGACAAGATGCCAGAACCTGTATGCTTTCGGATGAGGTTCTCATCATCAAATTTCTCCCCATAGATGGACTTGTCACCGGTGCCATTAGGGCGTGTGAAGTCACCACCCTGACACATAAACCCTGGAATAATTCTGTGAAAGCAGGAACCCTTATAACGAAATCCTTTCTCTCCAGTGCTCAGAGCACGAAAGTTTTCTGCTGTCTTTGGAATCTTGTCTGCAAACAGTTTGATGGAGATGCGGCCCAAGGGCTTGCCATCCCTGGTGATTTCAAAAAAGACGACGGAGTTGACCATGGCTGATAGTACAGGGCTCACAGCGATGGTGGCGTCTGCAAAGATAACCACTGATCTTTTCACTGTCTTTATAGTTTGGCCTTTTCCAGAGTGTTGTATAGTTGAAATCACAGTATGTACCCTTTTCAGACTGGCTTCTTTCACTTAGCAAAATGTCTTTGTTTTTCTGTATCTTTTTGTGGCTTGATAGTTTTTTCCTTTTAGCACTGAATAATATTCCACTGTAGGAATATACCACAGTTTGCTTATGCAGTCACCTATTGAAGGACATCTTGGTTGCTTCCAAGTTGTGGCAGTCTTCATTTCTTTCTTTCTTTCTTTCTTTCTTTCTTTCTTTCTTTCTTTCTTTCTTTCTTTCTTTCTTCTTTTTTTTTTTTTTTTTTTGAGACAGAGTCTTGCTCTGTCACCCAGGCTGGAGTGAAGTGGCACAATCTCAGCTCATTGCAACCTCCGCCTCCCAGGTTCAAGTGATTCTCTTCCTCAGCCTCTGGAGTAGCTGGGATTACAGGTGTGCACCACCATGCCTGGTTAGTCTTCAGGAATATTTACAGGACTGTATAGAATTAGGAGCCATCAAAGGGGATCCCTGAATTCTTTCTGTTTTTCTTACAAATACCAGTTTTAAGGTCAAGATTTACTACCCCATGCCACAGTGTAGCCGCATTTTAAATTTTAAATTTTTGACTGTTTGTTTAAAGGTCTCAGGCAACCTAAAAGGCTAGATAGAAGTCTCTCATCCTCTAACGAAGGATGGATTGTAAAATGGAATACTGCTAAGACTCTCCCTTTGGGTACTAATTCTGCAAAAACCTAGAATCTCAGAGACAAGAGACAAGTATTTGGAGTGGATCATTAGATGTAATGACAAAAGGAGTCACTTCAACATTCATAACAAATATCAAAGATTGTTGTATTTTTTATATAGGAGACACCAGACAAGCTTATACTTAGTTACTAGTTCAGAGGATACACCACCACATCCTCTAGCATGAGTACAACCTTATAAGCCATTGTCTCCAGCTGGCACTGTGATTGAGTCTTTAATAAAATATTCACCATTCTGTAATAATAATAATTTTGGTTAGTGATAGGATAAATGGTGGACCAGGTGAGTCCAATGAATATCTACTCATTTGTTATACAACAAGTTCTTTTAAGAGAAGGATGTAGAACAGGATATTATGGCAGTATATATAAGGCATTCAATGTACCCGTGGAGAGTGGCGATCAGAGAAAAATGATGTCAGGTAAAGCAAATGTAATTCAAGGTTAAAGGTAGATTCCATTTACAAAATTCCTTGTTGCCTTTATCATAGAGGAGTTCCAATAAAATCAACAAGTCTGACAAAAGGTGACTGGTTTATTCACCCAGGATATGTTATTGTGTGCTTAGCCTTGGACTTTGTTGCTTGTGTGTTGGACACCTAATAGTCTTGACAGCTAAATAGGCTTTTGTAAGCGAGAGTGGTAAAGTCCAACATGTTGCTAAACCTATGTGTATTCTCTACTGCTACCACCAATGTTGCTGTTTATTAGCCTTCTAAGCAAGCAATGTAGTGCCTGGTGAAAGAGATTGTTTCATACCTTCATATCTATTTGATAACCTTCCTGATGATAGTTTGGTGAGCATTCGTATTAAGCACAAATATTCTTACACTCTGGCTCATTTTCTGTGGTTCATCTACATATTTTTTCCCCAAAACTCATTGCCACCAATCCTTCAGTCTTTGTCTTTCCGAGTCCCTAATTATCTTTTCTTTTCTTTTTTTTTTTTTTTTTTTTGAGACAGAGTTTCGCTTTGTTGCCCAGGCTGGAGTGCAGTGGTGCAATCTTGGTTCACTGCAACTTCTTCCTCCTGGATTCAAGAGATTCTCCTGCCTCAGCCTCCCAAGTAGCTAGGATTGCAGGCACACACCACCACATCTGGCTAATTTTTGTATTTTTAGTAGAGACGGAGTTTCACCATGTCAGCCAGGCTGGTTTCGAACTCCTGACCTCAGACAATCCACCTGTCCTGTCCTCCAAAAGTTCTGGGATTACAGGTGTGAGCCATCAGGCCTGGCCCCAAGTCCCTAATTATCTAGACAAATTATTAGCTGCCACATATACATCAATAATATCTCTCCTTCTAGACATCGTGGACAACCAATTACATAGGCTGAATTTCTTTTAAAATTGCATTCACGTAGGTTATAATGCCTAAGCAATCTACTTTTGGCTGCTGCTGTGATGTTGTACAGTGACTTCTGTAAATCAGGCTCAATTTTTCCCTCACTAATCAACTGGCCATAGAGAACTTCCCATGAAGACATAGGTATAGATTCTATTATTCCTACCTGCTGATGAAGCAGGATAGTTAATTGGAAAACACTTATTTCATGATAAGCAGCTCATGTTGTCATATTTTTTTGCATTGATAGGACTTCAGTTTCTACAATGGTCCAGGATCAATCAAGAGTTCTTTAAAGAAAACATTTATTTTGTCAAAGAAATGCATTTTGTTCCAAATCCTAAGAACAATAGTAGTGGTGTGTCAGAGGCTCTATTGCATCTGGATATAAAAACAAAGGGGCACAATATTCCTGACCAGTTGGGAATTATTATCTTCATCTCAATCCCATCAAAAGGTGGCAGCATGACAAGTCATGAAGTAAAAGGACCAGGTGATAAAATGAGGTCTCCAAAATCCAAAGCATCAAAGTTCTCAGTTAGTGGTCAGGGCTGCAAAGTGCCATAATTTTGCACTTTGGAAGGTATATCTTGAGAATATTGAGTGTATGAGACAAGTTAAAAGGTCATGCAGCCAGACGCGGTGGCTCACGCCTGTAATCCCAGCACTTAGGGAAGCTGAGGTGGGCGGATCATGAGATCAGGAGTTCAAGACCAGCCTGGCCAATATGGTGAAACCACATCTCTACTAAAAATACAAAAATTAGTGGGGCATCGTGGTGCCCTCCTGCAGTCCCAGCTACTTGGGAGGCTGAGGCAGCAGAATCGCTTGAACCCTGAAGGCGAAGGTTGCAGTGAGCTGAGTTGGCGCGACTGCATCCAGCCTTGGCAACACTGTGAGACTCTGTCTCTTAAAAAAACTAAAAAAATAAAAATAAAAAAAATTTAAAAGTTCGTGATTAACACCTCTGTTAGCCTCTGATCTTTATAATAATTATCACACACACACAAACCAAACACCACACATAGAGGAAACAGTAAAAGATTAAAGGACACAGCTAAAAATACATTTGTATTATTACTTCCCAAAGTTCTAAAATTATCAGAAGGGACTAGTGAATCTTTAAAAAATATTGATTATCCAACACTTTTTAATAACCAGTATAATTGCATTGAAGGCTACTGAACATGCACATGTTCCTAAAATTTTTCTGTTATGGTGTCTGGTTTGCGAAAGGAACAAAATTAAACATAGTTCCTTGGCAATTTTTCCCTCTTCCACTCTACTAATTGGCGTATGTGCGATGTGTGTTTATTGTAAAATAGGAATAAGATTCAGAGGTCAAGAATCAAAGTGAGTCAGAGTAGGAAAAGCCAGACTCAAGCATAACAGAAGGGCAGAGCCTGTCAAACCCCAAAATTAAAGGGTAAATTTCAACACAAGTAGAAGTGGTTCAAAAGCTAAGGGCATCCTCATAGTTCATGAAAAACAAGTATTCACGCAGGTAGCAGACTCTAATCTGCTTCAAGCCAATGTGCTATTCTCTTCGTGTTATTTATATCCCTCAGAATACCTCAAAGTTCCCAAGAGCAGTCAGTATTTAACTCTAAACTATATCATCTATATGATATATTTATTATATATAATATATATATTTATTATTTGTATAATACATATTATATATTTATTATATATTATATTTATATTGATTATATATAATATATATATATTTATTATTATATATTTTTTTGAGACGGAGTTTTGCTTTTGTTGCCCAGGCTGGAGTGCAATGGCGCTATCTCGGCTCACCACAACCTCTGCCTCCCAGGTTCAAGTGATTCTCCTGCCTCAGCGTCCTGAGTAGCTGGGATTACAGGCATGTGCCACCACGCCTGGTTAATTTTGTATTTTTAATAGAGAAGGGGTTTCTCCATGTTAGTCAGGCTGGTATTGAACTCCCATCCTCAGGTGATCTGCCTGCCTCGGCCTCCCAAAGTGCTGGGATTATAGGTGTGAGCCAACGTGCCCAGCCAACTATGTAATATTTTAATTGTGTAGTGATAACCCTCATCAAAAGAAGTATTCATTATGGTCAGTGTACTCTGCTTATTTACCACTGAAGCTTAACACAAAATTGTTGAAATAAACATGCATATTGAAGTACTTAGCTAGCTATTGAGGCAATACAGGTTTCTAGATTTACTCATTTTTTTCACTGTACACACATGTCGTGTGTGTCATGATAAACCCATGTGTGTGCATATATTGATTAAATATTATATTTCTTTTTACTTTTATTATTATTATTGAGAAAAGATCTCACTCTGTCGCCCAGGCTGGAGTGCAGCGGCACAATCTCGGCTGCCTGCAGCCTTGTCCTCCCAAAGCCCTAGACCCTGTAACATAATGGAATATGTATGTTTCTAATTTGTGCAATATGGAAGCAGGAATACTACATAGAACTGTCATCTTTTCCTATTGCATTTATTTTGGTGTGGAAAAATATAATAATTGGCTTCAGTCAGTAAGTCTATTTCATTCAAGAATATTTAAATATAATCCAAACCATCTTAGGTACATTTTGTGATACAAGAGGATGGTATCTTCTATTTGGAAATATAAAATCCCAGGGTCTCACAGTTTAAGTATACTTTCCAGGGGTATGTATAAAACAAGAATCCCACTTTACAAAGTTAATAGAAAAAATATATGCTAATTGGAAGGAGAGGCTTCTGATTGAGGATAAAGTGGAAATTTTCACATACTGCTAATTACACTTTAATGGAGTAAGAAAAAAAGAATTGGAAATAGTACCCTATAAAACTTCTGAAATGAAATTACAGTTTCTCTCTCTCTCTCTCTTTTTTTTTTTTTTTCTTGAGACGGAGTTTCGCTCTTGTTGCCCAGGCGAGAGTGCAATGGCGCTATCTCAGCACACTGCAACCTTCACCTCCCGGGTTTAAGTGATTCTTTTGCCTCAGCCTCCCAAGTAGCTGGGATTACAGGCATGCACCACCATGCCCAGCTAATTTTTTGTATTTTTAGTGACCCACCACGCCTGGCTGTCTCCTCTTTTTAGAATTAGGAGAACTGATTTTTTTCAGTGCTAAACTGGCACTGTCCTATGTTTTCAAGAAAGCAATATGGTGAAACGAAAGAGCCTGGATAGCATGTTTTGTTAGCTGGCGTCTAGTTCTTTAAGTTCCATGAGTCTATTGTGTCTTCTTTACATCTCAAAAAGAAGAGAGAAGAAACCTGCATCTAATTACTGAAGCAGTTTCATTCAGCAAATGTAATTGCATCGCAGGCACATCTCAAATTAAAAATCTTCATCTTGGTCTCTGTCATTTCCATTTTAAACTGGGACTGAATAACCTGTTTTGCCACTCAAAATAATAGCCAGTGTCTCTTTCTTATTAAAATATGTGATCTTTTGCTTGATTACCTAATTATGTCACCTGCACCTTACATGAGGCAGATAGAAGAGTCTTCCAGTCTGCCAGAGCAGATCTACCAAACTAGACTGCACATACAAATTACCTGGGGATCCTGATAAATTACAGATTCTGAGTCTGCTTTCAAAGAGGGCCTCAAGTCAAGCTGATGGTATTAGTCCCAGGATCCCTCACTGAGTAGCAAGGTCTTAGAATTAAAAAGTGTGCAAGTATAAGGCCGGGAGCAGTGGCTCATGCCTGTAATCCCAGCACTTTGGGAGGCCAAGGCGGGTGGATCACCTGAGGTCAGGAGTTCGAGACCAGCCTGGCCAACATGGTGAAACCCCGTCTCTACTAAAACTACAAAAAATTAGCCAGGTGTGGTGGCACGCACCTGTAATCCCAGCTACTAAGAAGGCTGAGGCAGAAGAATTGCTTGAACCTGGGAGGTGGAGGTTGCAGTGAGCCAAGATCACGCCACTACACTCCAGCCTGGGCAACAACAGCAAAACTCCATAAAAAAAAAAAAAGTGCAAGTTTATAAACATGGAAACGTGGACAATTGTAAGCAATATTAGAGAACTGTAGAAAACAATTTTTTAAGTGATATGTTTAACCTATTTAGAATAAAACCCATTATGGTCCTAGGAATTTCTGGAACTGCCTTACTTGTGAGAAACATGATCCTAAGATGCCCATTTGTTTATCAGTACATCAATTTTCTCCTTCTTGAATTGGTATCATTATTTTCTTCCAAGAAGCCTAGCACACTTTTGTTGTTGTCATTGAAAGAGGGCATATAAGGGTTATGGCTGCTATTTGGAGAAATGCATTAGAAAATAAAAAGCTTGAAAAAGTTGTATTACTGAGAAAAAAGTTGAATGAAAATAAGAAAGATTAAATTGAAATAAATAATGAATCAGTAAGGTATGCACTGTTAAACACTTGATGGGATTTCCCAAGTATCAACATGCTGATAACTTGAAATAAGAATGGGAGAAAAGGTCAATATGAATTCTTAAAATGTTGAAGGCTGGGAATAAGAAGTAATATATCACAGAATCTGATAGAAAAATTTTTATTTATTTTATGGGAGAAAATGGGAGACTAACAGACAATAGGAATAGGAAAGAATAGAAATAGCAAAAAGAAGTGTATCTGCAATTATTAATATAATACAAGAGGACATTGTGTAGAGATATTTAAAGAAAGATTGATGAAATTTAGATTTATGGAGAAATATCCTAATAAAGACATTATTTATAATCAACTGTTCATCATTATTATATAATTCTGACATTTTTTAGGTTATAAATGTAAGGCAGAAAGATCTAATATAAAATGTATAAATGGGACAACATATAATTTTGCTTAGGAAGTTGAATAAATAAAGTAGTGATTTACGATTTGCATTAATATAAAAAAATTTAAAAAATGGTTTACATTTTGTTTGAAATGGATCATAAACAGGAAAAGAGTAATTTAGTACATTGAGTAATTTAGTACATTGGTCACCAAAGAAATACAAATTGAAACTATAAGATGCCTTCTCACATCTTTGTCAGATTTGCAGGTATAAAAACAGTAGTAGTTGTATTGGTTGGAGAACAGAAAGATGACACTTTCATATGCGGCTGATTAGAGCACAGATTGGTATATTATTTCTGAGATGCAATTTGAAAATATGTACCATCAGCCTCAAAGATGATTATGACCATGTGTCACTACTTTCTTGGAAATCATTATTAATGCATGTATAGATTGATGTTTACTGTAGTATTACTTAACTTAATGAGTTGAGTACAACCTTCACTCCCAAAAAACATGAGGTAGGGGTGAACTAGTTAAATATACAATCACAATGAGCTATGACAAAATGCAGTTAGTTAAAAGCACATTTATAAGACTATTAATGGCAATAAACATGATTTAATATAATGTTTTCAAAAATTAGGGGAATTCTATTCCCAGCATTGTGGTAGACTAAATTTGCTGAATCACTATCCTGCTATATGAAATCTACAAATACCAGATAAAATGTACATGTCATTTTTCAAAAGTATATTACTGACTTGAATAGAAATTAAGGTGAACCACATAGGCCAAGCATAAGGAGAATACATAAATCCAGAGAGGTATGCAGACCCCCAAACCAGAAGCTTCCATAAGGACAGTCCTGGCCCTAGTACCCTGAGCTTCAATTTTTATGACCACCTGGGATATGGGAGAGTGTGAGACAAAACCTAGTGCCTGCCCAGTATAGCAGTCTTACAGGAGAAAACTGCTGAAAGCCAGAGATACGAAGGACTATAATTTCAGGGAAAGGATAAACTAGATAAAAACCTGTTCCTCAGGGGGAGACAACCAGGAAATTTTCCTGCCTCAAACTCGGTGCTATTTAGAGGAAAAATGAGAAGGCCATCTTCACATGAATTTGTGGTTTAAATTTTCACTGTAAGTATAAGTTAAAAAAAACCCACACATGAAACTGATAATTTATTTTATAGTTATCCCATGTTGGTATTACCACCAAACACAAGACGAAGGCAAAGTGTCTTTGGAGAAACCCACATTCAGCCCATGTCTCAAAGAATGGCCACAGGTAAAATTTCATCCAAAATGAGAAAAAAGTAAGACTCTTACAAAACTCATGAGGAAATAAACATCATGAGCAGAAACAGAATTATGCCCATAAAGATTTCAGATATTAGGACGATTATATAACTATAAAAGCTGTGTTTAATATGTTTAAAAAATCAATGAGGTGTGCCAGGAATATAAATTGAGACAGTGTATGTATCTTATATTAAGCAGATTGAAACTGAATTTAAGAGATCTTTTAGAAATAAAAAATATAATGAAAATTAAAAACTAAATGGACAGGTTAAACACAATATTGGATAGAACCAAAAAGAAAATAAGTGAGTTGGAAGTTAGACTAAACAAATTATGCTGAAGACAGTACAGAGGAGGAAAGGAAAATGGATATGTGAAATAGAGGTTGAAAAATTAGAGTATCTAATCATATCTGCAAAAGAAAAATTGAATTGGGGGAAGGTTATATTTAAGGTTATATTTAATATCTGAGGGCTTTTCGTCATTGGAATTTATTAATGTTCAAGGAAACCTGGAAAGTTTTCTAACACATTAAAGGAGCTTTAATTATAAGTTCCAAATTCTTCTTAGAAGAAGAGAACCAGCAGGCCCAGACATTTTTACTGGTGAGTTCTATCAAATGTTTTCAAGAAATGGATTATTTCCATTTTATAAAAACAACTCCAGAATAAAAAAAGGTCCATTTGTTCGTTCATTTTATGAGGCCAGTACAACCTTGATACCAATGTTATATGAGAAATGTGTAAGACAGGAAAATTACATGCCAACTTTCCTCATGAACCTAACGGCAAACATTTTAAATTAAAAGTTAGCAAATTAAGTTTAGAAGTCTATAAAAAATATAGTATGAAAATTGTGTTTGTTCCATGAATGCAAGGATTTCTAACAATAGAAAAAAAAAACTATGTATAATTCATCACATTAACAAGTTAAAGGAGGAAAAGCAAATCATCATTGTAGGAGAGGCAAAAAGTGAATTCAATAAAATAAAATATTTAACTTTGACAAATCTTGTTTAGCAAACAAGAAATAGAAGAGCTTTCAGTGTTTGCTTATAAATCAGAAACTATTCTTCGTCTTTCAAGCAGAGGTGATTTAATACAGGTGATTGATTACACAAGTGATGGAAGCCAAACCAGGCTTGGTGAGTCAGCAGCCCATATTTAATATATTTATATATTAAATATTTAATTATACTTCAAAACTTTTATGTACACTATAATCTCATTATTGTTTTCTATACTATTATATGCAATATACAAATACAGAAATACAGAAATGTACCTCAGTTTGAAAGAGAATTTGAATATGAGGCAAAAAGATACCCCCAAATTATAGTTACATTACAAGAATTGAATTTAAGAAGGAAGAAGCAAATTGCAAGAGATAAGGCCAAGCCTCTTTAGTAATGATCATTCTAAATCCAATTGGTATAAATTTAGGAACGCACAACTGGATTGCAGTGTAACTAAGAAAGTTTGTGTGTCAATAACCATATTTATCCTATGTGAAGAAATAATAGTTTCATAGGAGAAGGTTAATTGGCATGGAGTCTGTAAAAGAGAAGTTTGGATAGATGATTGAGCTATGTATTTGTCAAATAATATCTAAAGGTAAAAAGAGATCTAGTTCACAGAGGCGAATCTCTGATTTTTTAATTTGCATTAACAGAAACAACATTGGAAGGGAGTATATTAAGATTTTAATAGTGACTATTTCTGCCAATGGTTTCTGTTTTATTGTTTACTATTTTTGGTATATTTCCAATGTTTCTTAATAAGTGTTTATTATTTAAAAAATGAGAAAACAGCAATGAGTAATTCAGTAAAATAACATTTTTCAAAATTGTGACTGCTATGATTATGAGCCAATTATGAAAGAAAGAGACACAGATAGAAATAGGGTGACCAATCTTTCAACTTACTCAGGAATGAAGGATTTTCTGGATGGGGGATTTTTGTTGCTAAAATCGGGACAGTAGGGGACATATTGGGACTGTGGAAAAACCCTACAGGGATTTATTTCCTAACTATGAATTTCTATCTTGGTCTAGAGACGACTGTTCTCATAAATAGGTAGAATAGATGTGGTATTTCTGGAATGAGATTTAACATCTTTACGTAGCTTGCCCTATTAAAAGTAGACAAATGCTTGTGAGAGAATATCATATACTTTTGAAAGCTAATGTCTTAACTAATTCGCTGTGAGCAAAGCTCTTGAAGACTGTGATGTAACAGAGATTCCTAGGTATCAGTGAAGATACGGAGATGAAAAAGGGAAGTTGAAAAAAGAAGCTGAGAGATAAGCATGGAAATCATTTTCCAAACTCATTTTTCCAATCTCCATTTTCCTGTATTGAGAAGTGAAAATATGTTTTCTAGAGATAAAGTTCTAGAAATGAACTCTGACATAGATATTTTAAAACCCATTTCAGAAACAAAATAATATGTGAACCTAGAGTAGTTGTAATTTATGTCCTTTTGTCTGTCTTTATCCTGTAGTTAAGTTTCCCTTGGGATCTCTTTGGGAAAATGGAGTACTGCATTTTACAAGGCAGGACTTGAATTTTCGTTCTTTTCCTTCTTTCTCTCTCTCTTTCTTTCTTTCCTTTTCTTCTTTCTTCTTTCTCTCTTTTTCTTTCTTTCTTCCTTTCTTTCCTTCCTTTTTCTTTTCTTTCTTTCTCTCTTTCTTTCTTCCTCTCTCTCTTTTTCTCTTCTTTCTTTCTTTCTTTGTTCCTTTCTTTCTTCTTTCTTTCTTCTTTTCCTTCCTTCCTTCCTTCCTTCCTTCCTCTTCTTCCTTTCTTTCTCCTTTCTTTTTCTTTTTTTTTTGACATGATCTCACTTTGTCACCCAGGCTAGAGTGCAGTGATGTGATCATAGCTTAATGCAGCCTCTCTGTCCTGGGCTCAAGCAATCCTCCCACCTCAGCTTCCAGAGTACCTGGGGCTACAGCTGTGTGCCACCACGCCCAGCTAAAGGACTTGAATTTTCTTACATATCTTGGCCCTATAGAGTGGTTCTCAACCTTGGCTGCACATGTCTATTACCTGAGAAAAGTTTTAAATAACCTAATACTCAGGTCACACCCTAGACTTTAGGGGTGAGACAAGCATTAATATTTTTTAACACTCTTAGAATTAAGAGCCACTAATATTGTAGCACTGCAATTCCTATAAAGAGAACAGATGTGAGTCGATTTGTTACAGTATTGTTGTATTCATCTGTTTTCATGCTGCTGATAAAGACATACCTGAGACCGGGCAATTTACAAAAGAAAGAGGTTTAATGGACTTACAGTTCCACATGGGTGGGGAGGCCTCACAATCATGGTGGAGGACAAAGAGGAGCAAGTCACATCTTACATGGATGGCAGCAGGCAAAGAGACAGCTTGTGCAGGGAAACTCCCATTTTAAAAATGATCAGATCTCATGAGACTTACTCACTAACCCAAGAACAGCACAGGAAAGACCCATCCTCATGATTCAGTTATCTCCCACTGGGCCCCTCCCACAACATGTGGGAATTATGGGAGCTACAAGATGAGATTGGGTGTGGACACAGCCAAACCATATCAATTGTCATCACTCAAGGCAGATGAGTATATAGAAAGCTATCAGTTGTAAGGAATTGGACTAAGTTTAAGAGAATAATAATTAAGATAGAACAAATGTTTGGTCCTGCTTAAGGGCTAGGATAGATGAGGCACAATAGAATCATGTGGGGAGCTGTAAAAATGCCCAGGCCCTACTCTGTGTCAATTAAATCAGAATCCAGAATCTCTGCTTGAGTGTGTCTAGAGTATTGGTCAAAGGAAACAGTGATTTTGATGTGCAGCCAGTTAAGAGCTGATATTCTCAAGGATCATGATGTGACACAGCTGTTTCAGAAGGGTAAATCTCCATACTCCCACTTTAGAAGAAAAGAAAAGGCAAAATGACAAAACAATCAAGCAAAAGGGCTGGAAGAGCTGGTAGATAACAGGGTGTCAACTTGAATTAATTCAGCTCTTTGGTAAAGATTAGCTGGAGTAAAGAAATTCCAGTTAGTCAAATGGGATGAATGTCCTTTCATGGAAACCATATCATGCTTTTTGAATGATCTGAGAAAGACTGGAAGCATTAGAGGTGAAGTATATCCATTTGCTCAATGGGAAAAGATTTTGTTTTATTTTATTTACATAATGTGATATGCTTGGCCATCTGCAGTAGTGCCTGAAAGGGGATGTAAAACGGAAAATGTAGTCAGTGAGACTGATTAATAACCATGGGTAGAAAAATAGGCCAAGTGGAAAAACTTATTCATATAATTGCTTCATTTTGCTGACTGCAAAAGGATTTGTTTTGGAAGTGATTTCTGCTCTTTAACCTAGTGGATTGATAGATCACAGAAAGGTCTTAGAAATGACATTACGTAATTTTGTTCGTAACATGAAATTAGCTTGAATCAAAAAATGTATACCATTTTTTTGTATCTACCTTCTAAGACATTTGTCTTGAGAAATTAATGATTCTACAACATAAATAGTCATTGTGAAAGGAAGGAAAAAGATAACAGAGGGCTTTCATAATAATCATGGACTCAAGATTATCTAATTTAAAAAGACATATCTCATTTTCCTTTATTTAAACATAAAACAAATGAGAGAAAACAGAAATAGCTCATAATTTTATTTATCTGATAAAACATGCTGACATAAAAATATAATTCATGCACCCAGTAAGAAAATCAAAAAGTTAAATAAAGGTAAAAATGAAATATAAAATTCTCTTTCCTCCTGTCTCTTACCCCCAGACATCTAGAATCTCTCCTTAAGATAATCACTGTTGACAATTTCTTGAGTATCTTTTTAAAAATGACCTTAATACACATCCCCCGTATAGAATATAGATCTTAAACAAGGTAGAAAATAAAATTTTATCTTTTAGTATTACACAAAAGGATGTTCAGAACTAGGCTTTGTATTTTTTTTTTCTAGAGATGAGGTCTCACTGTGTTGCCCAGGTTGGTCTCAAACTCCTGGGCTCAAGCAATCCTCCCACCTCAGTCTCCAAAAGTGTTGGGATTATAAGCATGAGATGAAGTCTTGCCTGGCCTAGGCATTCTATTTTTGTTTAATAATTTACCTTCAAGATATTCTTAACTTTTAACAACTGTATTGTATAAATATATTTTTTATTAAAACAATAGGCTACCAATAACATTAATAACATATCTTGGTTTATGTATTTTACAAGATTCTCCATGTGATAAATTCCAACCTGAGAAGTTGCTATACAACATATGAATTTAACATTTTTTAATTGCTGCGATCTAATATGATCCTAAAACATGGCCCTAGTTTATATTCCTATGAGAATGTCTAATACCTACACTCTTGCTAACATTGACTGCTATTGCATTTTAAAGACGCATTAATTTGATTGGATTGATGTTGAACATCTTCTGTTACTCCTGGCCATTGCATTTCTTTTTCTACCTATTAATCTCCCTTGTATAATATTGCATTATTTGTCTTTTTTGTCTCATTTATCGACAAAGATTAAAGTTATTGGCAGTAGTGAAAATGGAGAAAAAAATCAAAATTCAAATACTGTAGAGTACAATATTTTGGAGAATAATTTGATTCTATATATTGAAATTTAAATTGTCTTTAATCTTTGACCCAGTTATTCTATTTCTAGTAATTTTTCTACCCAAATAATAATTCAGGAAGGAAACCTTTACAGAGATTATTCTTATAATGTTTGTGATACAATATTTACAGGCAACATAAATTCTCATCCAGAGATCGGAGTAAATATTATATAGTATATCTGTAGAATGAAATGTACCTTGCTGTTTAAATGAATAAATTAGTTATTATCATAAAATAAATGTCATGTAAAGACATTTATTTTATGGTGTATAAAATTAGAAAAACAAGTTATTAAAAATAACATGATTTTTTGTAAAATGCTTTTATTTTGTTTTTAATTGACATAATAATTGCACATGTTTATGGGGTACAGTGTGGTGCTTTAGTGCATGTGTACATTGCGTAATGGTCAAATTTAAAAATTAAATGTATTGATAGAAAAAGTGTTTGGATATTTGTATCCTAAATGCTAACAGTGATGATATCTGGAATGTGGAACTGCTGGTAATTTTTCCCTTTTTCTTTTAGAGATTTTTGTACTTATTTTTAATAATAAACATATACTAATTTTATAATAAAAATAACAATGAAGTCCTTTCCATTTTGAAAAATTAATTCCAATAGAAAAATACTGTACTCGAGCCACTTTCCAGGGTTTTCTTATTCTTAGTGCTGGTATAAGGTACCAGTGATATTATATTTTCAGATATGTTTGGCTTTTCTGCCTTATGGTTGAAGATGAGCTTAGGAAGTATTGCTGCCTAATTTTCAGGCTTTTGAGCCAATGCTTGGTGCACAAAAAGCACCACATCAACTTTAAACAGAATATTCTGCTTCTTTAGACTGTATTTCCTACTTTTTATAGTATTTATTAGCGCCAGAACTCTGTGACTGTTTCCCAAAGAACAAGAGAGAAGGATCAAGGAAAGTGAGAAGCAATGAAACTAGATTTAATTAATACTCTGGCTTGTCAGCAGCTTTCATGAAAGATTTGTTTGTTGAAGAAGTTGAACCTATTAGCTTAAACAGGGATTAACTCTGCCAACTCTGACAGAGCATGGACAATTAAGAGTTTATTGGAAATTAATTGAAAATAATACAGTGTTGTGAGGTGGGATGAAGATGATTTCCTTTAAGGAAATTATGCCAAGTGTTTTGAATCAGCCAAGGATAAACAAATGCAGACTATCATTTGATGGAGGTATTATAAACTGATAACATGATTCGAAGTATAAGAATGGCAAATTGTGAAGAATGAATAAAATTACAGAGATAAATAGCAAAAATGTGAAACTAAAATAAAGAGGAACAGTGAGTAAACGGGGTTAGCTGAGAATATGGTTTAACAGGGCATACTCTATTCATTTATGAAGAAATTTTAATCCTCAAAATGCTACTTGTCTTAGTCTGTGTAGGCTGCTGTAACAAAATACCACAAGCTGAGTAACTTATAAACAACAGAAATTTCTTACAGTTGTGCAGGCTGGGAAGTCCAATATCAAGGCAGATTCAGCATCTGGGGTGAGGTTCACCCTTCTGGCTCATAGATGGCAACTTCCTGCTGTATCCCCATACTTTGGAAGGGGCCAATGAGCTCTCTGGGATCTCTTTTATAAGGGCACAAATTCCATTCATGAGAATCTTGTCCTCATGGCCTAATCACCTCCCCAAGGCTCTATCTCCTAACACGAGTAGCTTGGGGGTTAGGATTTCAATATACAAATTTGGGGGGACATAAACAGTCAGTCTGTGACATTGCCATTTCATCAGTAAGAATTTTCATGAACTCACTATTAAGATTTATGTTTAGGTTTTTTATGCGGATGTTCTCACTTTATAATATTGTTTGTCTGCATAGTTTAAAGAAAAGGACAATGCCCAATTAGAACAGGAGGTGTCTTTTGTTGGCCAGCAAAATATTTTAAGATGCCTTGAGTGTGACCCTACATAGAGATCATCAAGGTAACATCATTTTGTTCTTGTTCTAGATCCACATGTTTCACTCAAGATCCCAGAAAGAAAATGTATGAAAACACATTGGAAGACAATAATCCATCCTTACAATGCTAGCCAATGTTTATTATTGCTTTCTATGTGTGAGGAATTGTGTTAAACACTTAAAAAGATGTTATCCCTCATAATTATCATAACACCTGAAGAAGTAGGTGGGGTGATTTTCTCCAATTTAGATATTATAGGAACTGAAACACTTGCCCACTAAACAGGCAATTGAAAGAGATAGGATTTCTATAGAAAGTTACCAGCTCCACAGCTAGTGTTCCTATTCTCATCATTAGTGTTCCCTTAGTGGTTTTGATATTACACCTAATACTATTTAATACAAAATTAAAGCATCCACCCTATTCTGGGATTTACCATCAAGAATAGAGCACTGAGCCTGATAAACAGTATCCACTTTGGAATGCATGTTTCTATCCAGCTACTTAATATGACATAAGTTCATTGGACATTAAGGCCAGATTTCTTGACATGCTTTACCTTCAAATTAACAAGTTTGGCTTATTCAATTGTGGACCTTTAACCCTTAGGCCAGATAGTATATGAGGCCTAGAGTAGTGGAAAAAGGTAACTGGATTTACAAAATTTGACTCTTCAAATTCTGTAAGAATTCAATATATTGAGGAACGTTTAGGTGCATAGTAAAATTATAATTTCATATTGTTGCACAGACTCAGGCAGATGAAAGAGACTCCAATAGTGGTCAGGTAGTACCCAGACAGTCAGTTGATTGTCTCTGTGCTGAAAGGATTTAAAAATGAAGAAGAGTTTGCTCCAATGTATGTTTCAATATCTCATTGTTTTACAATAATATTTGAAATAATACCTAGGAACCCAACTTACAAGGGATGTGAAGGACCTATTCAAGGAGAACTACAAACCACTGCTCAAGGAAATAAAAGAGGACACAAACAAATGGAAGAACATTCCATGCTCATGGATAGGAAGAATCAATATCGTGAAAATGGCCATACTGCCCAAGGTAATTTATAGATTCAATGCCATCCCCATCAAGCTACCAATGACTTTCTTTACAGAATTGGAAAAAAACTACTTTAAAGTTCACACGGAAACAAAAAAGAGTCCGCATTGCCAAGTCAATCCTAAGCAAAAAGAACAAAGCTGGAGGCATCACGCTACCTGACTTCAAACTAGACTATGAGGCTACAATAACCAAAACAGCATGGTACTTGTACCAAAACAGAGATATAGACCAATGGAACAGAACAGAGCCCTCAGAAATAACACCACACATCTACAACCATCTGATCTTTGACAAACCTGACAAAAGCAAGAAATGGGGAAAGGATTCCCTGTTTAATAAATGGTGCTGGGAAAACTGGCTAGCCATATGTAGAAAGCTGAAACTGGGTCCCTTCCTTACACCTTATACAAAAATTAATTCAAGATGGATTAAAGACTTACATGTTAGACCTAAAACCATAAAAACCCTAGAAGAAAACCTAGGCAATACCATTCAGGACACAGGCATGGCAAGGACTTCATGTCTAAAACACTGAAAGCAATGGCAATAAAAGCCAAAATTGACAAATGGGATCTAATTAAACTAAAGGGCTCCTACACAGCAAAAGAAACTACCATCAGAGTGAACAGGCAGCCTACAGAATGGGAGAACATTTTTGCAATCTACTCATCTGACAAAGGGCTAATATCCAGAATCTACAATGAACTCAAACAAATTTACAAGAAAAAACAAACAACCCCATCAACAAGTGGGCGAAGTATATGAACAGACACTTCTCAAAAGAAGACATTTATGCAGCCAACAGACACATGAAAAAATGCTCATCATCATTGGCCATCAGAGAAATGCAAATCAAAACCACAATGAGATACCATCTCACACCAGTTAGAATGGCGATCATTAAAAAGTCAGGAAACAACAGGTGCTGGAGAGGATGTGGAGAAATAGGAACACTTTCACACTGTTGGTGGGACTGTAAACTGGTTAAATCATTGTGGAAGACAGTGTGGTGATTCCTCAAGGAACTAGAACTAGAAATACCATTTGACCCAGCCATCCCATTACTGGGTATATACCCAAAGGATTATAAATCATGCTGCTATAAAGACACACGCACACGTATGTTTATTGCGGCACTATTCACAATAGCAAAGACTTGGAACCAACCCAAATGTCCAACAATGATAGACTGTATTAAGAAAATGTGGCACATATACACCATGGAATACTATGCAGCCATAAAAAAGGATGAGTTCATGTCCTTTGTAGGGACATGGATGAAGCTGGAAACCATCATTCTCAGCAAACTATCACAAGGACAAAAAACCAAACACCGCATGTTCTCACTCACAGGTGGGAATTGAACAATGAGAACACATGGATACAGGAAAGGGAACATCACACACTGGGGCCTGCTCTGTGGTGGGGGGCTGGGGGAGGGATAGCATTAGGAGATATACCTAATGTAAAAGATGAGTTAATGGGTGCAGCACACCAACATGGCACATGTATACATATGTAACAAACCTGCACGTTGTTCACATGTACCCTAGAACTTAAAGTATAATAAAAAAAAATTAAAATATTCTGCAGTCACAGTGACTGTCTTGGCTTCTCTTAATTTATGAGGACCTTTGTCTTATAGACTCTTTTCTTTAAAAAAAGATGGGGTCTTGCTATGTTGTCCATGCTGGAGTGCAGTGGCTATTCACAGGCTTGATCATTGCATACTACAGTCTGGAACTCCTGGACTCAAGTCTCCCAGTGGCTGGGAATACAGGTGAGTGCCTACCACACCTAGCCTGATTTACAGATTTTTGACATCTATTATAGTTAAATGTATTTTCAGCATTTGCATATTAAAGGAATAATATTGATGCTTAACTTCATTAGTGATCAGGGAATTCCAAATTTTAAAAAAATTTTTTCATCTCTTATAGTATATTTAAAAATTCATTGCTGATAAGGATTCAGGGATGCCAACATTGTACATTGGTAGTGAAAATGTAAATTGGAAACTTTCTGTAATCTGACAGTAATTATTTTTTTAAAAATCCTTTTGAACTTGCAGTTCTACTTTTGGGATTTGAATTTATGGAAAGTAAAGTGCCAGTGAGAAAGAATATTGTTGCCCCTTGAACAATATAGGGTTAGGGGAGCTGGCCTCCCACACAGTGAAAAATCTGCATACAAATTTTGATTCCCCCCAAACTACTAATAACCTATTGTTGACCAGAAGGCTTACTGATAACATGCGTTACATTTAAGACATATTTTGCATGCTATGTGTATTATATACTGTATTCTTACAATAAACTAAGCTACAGAAAAGAAATTATAGTCAAGAAAATTGTAAGGAAGAGAAAATATATGACCCATTCATTAAGTGGAAGTGGATCATCCTAAAGGTCTTCATCATTGTTGTGTTCATGTTGAGTAGGCAGAGGAGGAGGAGGAGGAGCTGGTCTTTGTGTCTTAGGGTAGCAGAGGTGGAAGAGGGTGAAGGGATGGAAGGGGAAGCAAAAGAGGCAAGCACACTTGGTGAGACTTTACAAAAATACATCATTATTTCTGTCTATTTTGCTTTTTCATTTCTCTAAAAACATTTCAGTGTAGTACCTATCCGTCTTCCACCATTTGCTTTAGTTTCAGTTCCTGTATCATGGAACGGTCTATGTCATAAAAGAAGTCAAAAGTAGTCTTGAATAATCAAAGTTCTTTTGCCAGATTGTTGAATGCCAATTTGTTTTCTGGCACTGCTTTTCCTATGTCTTCTTCCTCATTATCTGGCACTGGTTAGGAAGCACTCATCTCCATGAAGTCATCTTTTGTTAATTCCTCTGGTGTGGTGTGTATTAGCTCTTAAATTCCTCCAAGATCCATATCTTACAACCCTTCACTCCACACCTTTTTTTCCCTTCATATCCATACTTCTTTCCATGGTTTTCTCTAAATTGGGTTTGTCGTAATTCTGTAGCTATGCACAACATCTGGACACAAATTGTACTTTTGTCCAGCAGGAATTTATTGTTTTGAGTTTCATGGTTTTCTATATCAACTGATGACATCTTGAAAGGTGTAAGCCTCCCAGACTTCCATGATGTTCTCTCTATTGGGTTTCTCTTTTGGAATGTTGACAAATCTTTCCATAGAGTGCCATATGTAGAGCCTTAAAGGTCCTTATGACTCCCTTATCTAGAAGCTGAAGTAGAGATGTGTTTGGGGGGAAAGGAGAACACTTCAGTGCCTTTGGTGTTGAACTCATGGGGTTCTGGGTGGCCAGGGGGCATTTTCCAATTAAACAACAACAACAACAAAAAACTTTAAAAAGCAGTCCCTTATTGGCAAGGTACTTCTGACTTCAGGGACAAAGCATTGATGGAACTAATCCAGAAAAAGCATTCTCATAGTCCAGGCCTTCTTGTTGTACAACCAAAAGACTGGCAACTAGTGTTTCTCTTTTCCCTTTCAAGACTCAGGGGTTAGCAGCTTTATAGTTAAGGGCAGCCCTGATCATAAACCCGACTACATTTGCACAAAGCAGTAGAGTTAGCCTATCCCTTCCTGCCTTAAATCTTGGTGCTTGCTTCTGTTCCTTACTAATAAATGACCTTACTAATAAATGATTCTCCTGCCTCAGCCTCCCTAGTAGCTGGGACTACCGGTGCCCGCCATGACGCCCGGCTAATTTTTGTATTTTTATTAGAGACGAGGTTTCACCATGTTGGTCAGGCTGGTCTCAAACTCCTGATCTCAAGTGATCCACCCACCTCAGCCTCCCAGAGTGCTGGGATTACAGGTGTGAGCTACCGCGCCCAGCCCGCACCTGCAGCTTAATCCCATTTCGCTGGTGCAACTTCATCCTTCCGTATGCTCAGGCCAATAAACAGTACTGTAGGCTGGTCGTTCTTTGACCCCCATACATCCTATTGGTCGGAAAATTATGTTTTCTCTTTGGTTAACCGCAGACTTTGATATGCACACTCTTTCTTGGTCTGAAACCCACCCAATAGTCCCATACGTAGATTTTTGGATAAACATAGAATTGGACCCTTCTGATCTGAAAGTTTGAAACTCGATATTTGTTTTATTTGAGTTCCTTCCTTCAGGCCTCTCAAAAAAGATATCAAAGAACTGAAAGTCACCCAGACAATGAGATGCCGGACCCCTCATTCATCCTGATTGCTTCCTTGCCCCTCCCTAGTTCCTGTTTTCTTTCTTTTCTTTCTTTTTTTTTTTTTTTTTTTCTTTTTGCGACAGAGTCTCCCTCTGCCTCCCAGGCTGGAGTGCAGTGGCGCTATCTTGGCTCACTGCAAGCTCCGCCTCCCGGGTTCACGCCATTCTCCTGCCTCAGCCTCCCGAGTAGCTGGGACTACAGGCGCCCGCCACCACGCCCGGCTAATTTCTTTTCGTATTTCTAGTAGAGACGGGGTTTCACCATGTTAGCCAGGATGGTCTCGATCTCCTGACCTCGTGATCCGCCCGCCTCGGCCTCCCAAAGTGCTGGGATTACAGGCGTGAGCCACCGCGCCTGGTCTAGTTCCTGTTTTCTTACACATTGTCACATTCTTTCCCTGCCATCTAAGCCTCTAGTTTTGGTTGGTCAGGGAGATGGATTTGAGACTGAGTTCTCATCTCCTCCGCTGCAGCACCCTATTAAAGCCTCTTCCTTGGCAATAACCGTCTCAGTGATCGGTTTTCTGTGTGGCAAGCAGCGGGAACCCCAGGTCTCTGAACTTTGGCAAAGGAATCTCCTGATAAAGGCGGGATCGATTTTACTGACCAAGCTGAAAACGATCAGACGTTTGAAAGCCTTAATCTCGGAGCCTGTCGGAGTTTGGTCTGCCCTTGAGGCTTTTCTTTGAGCCTACCAGTCAAAATCAGCCTGGCCAAACCTGTCTTCAAGGACCAGGGGCAGGGCCGGCTTCTCCCGCCGGGTCGGCAGCCACCTTCCCCTTCCCTGTGACTTGAAGAGAAGCTTCAGGGGGCGTTTATTCAATTTGCGAGGAGCCCGCGAGGCGCAGGTGCGCGGTGACTCTGTGGTTCCCACCGCACCCGCTGCCCTCTTTGGTCCTCTCGCTGTCACCGGCGGGCAGTAACGTTCCGGGTGAGCTAGGGCTCCGAAGACAGCAGGCAGGGAGGGACCAGTGGGTAAGGGCACCGCCCGTTTAGGTCCTGCGCAGGAGGGATCCGAAAAAGGTCTTGAAGAAATAGAAAGGGAGGGCCAGATGCGGTGGCTCACGCCTGTAATCCCAGCACTTTGGGAGGCCGAGGTGGGTGGATCACGAGGTCACGAGTTCGAGACCAGCCTGGCCAAGATGGTGAAACCCTGTCTCTACTAAAAATACAAGTAGCTGGGCGCGGTGACGGGCGCCTGTAATCCCAGCTACTCAGGAGGCTGAGGCAGGAGAATCTCTAGAACCCAGGAGGCGGAGGTTGCAGTGAGCTGAGACTGCCCCGCTGCACTCTAGCCTGGGCAACACAGCAAGACTCTGTCTCAAATAAATAAATAAATAAATAAATAAATAAATAAATAAATAAATAAAAAGGGAGAGTTGGAAGTAGATCAAAGAGAAGAAAAGAAATCCTAGATTTCCTATCTGAAGGCACCATGAAGATGAAGGCCACCTCTTCTGGGCCAGGTCCTCCCGTTGCAGGTGAACCGAGTTCTGGCCTCCATTGGAGACCAAAGGAGATGACTTTGGCCTGACTCCTAGTGAGGAAGCCATGCCTAGTCCTGTTCTGTTTGGGCTTGATCCTGTAGCACTTGATTGTCTCTCCTGGACTTTCCATGGATTCCAGGGATGCAACTGAGAAGTTTGTTTTTAATGCACTTACTTGAAGTAAGAGTTATTTTAAAACATTTTAGCAAAGGAAATGAATTCTGACAGGTTTTGCACTGAAGACATTCACATGTGAGGAAAACAGGAAAACCACTACGCTAGAAAAAGCAAATGCTGTTGAGATTGTCTCACAAACACAAATTGCGTGCCAGCAGGTAGGTTTGAGCCTCAGGTTGGGCACATTTTACTTTAAGTGCACTGTTGGTGGAACTTAAGGTGACTGTAGGACTTATATATACATACATACATATAATATATATACATATTTATGTGTATACACACACACACACACACACACACACACACACACACACACACACACACACACAGGGTCTTGCTATCTTGCCCAGGGTGGTCTCCAACTCTGGGTCTCAAGCGATCCTCTGCCTCCCCTTCCCAAAGTGCTGGGATTACAGGTGTGAGCCACCTCGCCCAGGCCATTTTAATTTTAATTTAATACTTTTAATTTGAATACACAATCCAAAAATCATATAACAAGTACAGGAAACCCACTTTATGCCAAGTTTACAAAAACAGGAAAGATATGTCAATGACAAAGCGTCAAAGTGGCAACATCCTAAAGTACTGAGAGAAAAAAAGTTATTCTAGAATTCTATGCCAAATTGAAATATCTTTCAAAAATGTGACTGAAATCAGGACATTTAAAGACATACAAAAAAATGACAGAATTCACCGAACCACACTACAAGAAATATTAAAGGAGTCCTCCAGGCCTAAGGATAAGGATACCAAACAGAAATCTGAACCTACACAAAGAAATGGAGACGACTGAAAATCGCTATGTACGTACTTGGATGTTGGGGTTTATAACATGTCCAAAATCAAATTCCCTGACAACACTAACATAAAGGCCAGAAGGGGAGGTATAATGTCACTTGATGGCAGACGGATAAAGATGTATTCTAGGGACCCTAAAGCCATCACTGACATAACAAAAGAAAGAGTTACAGCTAATAAGCCAAATAAGGAAAGAAAATAGAATGATATATAAAAAAAAAACATGTAATCGCTGGGTGCGGTGGCTCATGCCTGTAATCCCAGCACTTTGAGAGGCCAAGGCAGGCAGATCACTTGAGGTCAGGAGTTTGAGACCGGCCTGGCCAAAACGATGAAACCCCGTCTCTACTAAAAATACAAAAATTAGCCCGATGTGGTGGCTCGCGCGGACCTGTAATCTCAGCTACTTGGGAGGCTGAAGCAGGAGATTCGCTTGAACCCGGGAGGCGGAGGTTGCAGTGAGAGCTGAGATGGCGCCACTGCACTCCAGCCTGGGTGACAGAGCGAGACTCTGTCTCAAAAATAAATAAATAAATAAATAAATAAACAAACAAACAAACAAACAAAAACTGTGTAATCCCTATGCTGGAGCAACTGCTCTCCAGGCCTCTACCGTATAGAAATACACAAATGGCCAATGAGAAGTGTACAAGAATGATCACTGCCGAATTATTTGCAATCATAAAATAGTAGCGCCAAAGTAATTTCAAAGATACATGAAAATCGTTTTATTTATTTAACAAACACAAACAATTGAACAAACAATGGAAGCAAGTCCTTTTGCCTAAAGGAACACAGAGGGTCATGCGGATGTTGCTCCTCCAAGGATTTCGGTGTTCCCCAACGGCTAGTTTTGGGTCTAGTTCTTCTGGAAGATCTTATTCTTGGGGAGCTACAGGTTCTGGCGTTTGGGGCTCTTTCAGGTTCTATCTCCATTTTCCCCTCAATTCCTCCCCATTCTGCTATAATAAAAAAAAATTCTCACCTCCGGAAGATCCCGCCTGTGCCTCCCCGCCAGCCTTTCAGGAGGTCTGGACGTCTGGTCCACCGCTCCCCGGCTTCTTTCCCCGCTTTTGCTTTTCCCCTCCCCTGCTCCCGCCCTCCGGCCTCAGGACCCGACCACCGCCCAGCTGAGCCCCCGCGGCTCCACGGCGCAGAAGGGGCACTGGAGGCCCTGCCCGTTGCCGCCCCGCGGGGTGCCAAGAAGTCCACGTAAATAAATGCTTTGTAAAAGGAACTTCCCCATGGAAAAATCTCTCATGATTTCTTCTCAAGGCTCTTCAAAGGACTAAAAGCTAAAAGGATGGATTCATTCGACAAGTCCTAGTCCTGCGCCCTGGTGAGTGCCAGACCCTGCTCCCCGCGAGGGGGACCCACGAGCCACCCTCACCACGATCCCTGCCCTGGTGGAGCCCCCGTGCGGAACACAGGATCCGAAGATGGCAGCGGAAGATCCGCAGCGGCCCCAAAAGCGACTGGGCAGGGAGGGCACAGGCTCCCTCACTGGGTGAAGGCGGCGCAAAGAACGGGAAGAGCCATCCCGGGAGCCACCGGGCGTTCAGCCTCCCTAGGGCCCCCAGGCGGTTCGGGCCGGGGTCTCAACCGGGGCGTTTCCGGGGGTTTCTGAAGCAGGTGAGGGGCAGGGCGGGCGAAGGCCATTCGGCTATCCTTCTGGCTCCAGAATCTCCCAACGCGCAGGTGTCCAACGTGACCAGCGCGACTTACCGCTCCAATCTCTCCGGTCTTCCAAGGCCTGCTCAGTCGTCCTGCCGGGCGGGCCCTGAGGATGCAAGGGACGGAGGAAGTTTCGTGCGTGCGCCCTTCCTATAGCGCCCAGTAGAACTGACAGTACCTGTCTCTGTGGCGCAATCGGTTAGCGCGTTCGGCTGTTAACCGAAAGGTTGGTGGTTCGAGCCCACCCAGGGACGCTTGTTTGAGCTTTTAAAGTATTCATGCATTGTCAATCACTAGATAAATGGGGAAGATTTTATCTTCCTGGAGTCCTAAGCCACTAATTTGTGACTTATCCATGTCAAGGGCCAGCCCACCTCCCCAACCGGATTCTTAACCGGGTATCTCCTGAAATCCTGGGTTTATACGTGTGTAACTCAGGAATCCTGAAACAGAGACCTAGGAACCCACTTCTGGTGTGATAAAATTCTAATTCAGTCCGTTATACGCTTAAACGAGTAATTTACATGCCTTCATTTTTTCATATGTTAATAATAGGAGGTCAGTAATATCCCGAGGATGTGCCTGGATTTACTGATTGCTCTATCAATAATGTGACCAGTGGAATCATTCATCATCATAGTGATCCTCTCCATCATTTTTGAAAAAGAGTATTTTTCCTCAGTTTGTGCATGATTTATTTAACCCTTTTCAAAATGTTTTTGTTAGCCAGGCATGGGGGCATGTGCCTGTAATCCCAGGTACTTGGGATTCTGAGGCAGGAGAATCATTTGAACCTGGGAGGTGGAGGCTGCAGTGGAGGCTGCACCAGTGGAGGCTGCACCACTACACTCCCGCCTGGGCAACAGAGCGAGACTCCATCTCAAAAAAAAAATAAAAATAAAAAAATAAAGTTTTTGAGATGAGGTAGGTTTCATTGTTTTAGGATTACAAAGAATGCTGCAGCCACCTTTCTTGTACACATGTCTTTGGTCATTGTGGAAATGTCTACACCGCAGATATTTCTATAGTGTAGGGAAGTTGATGCACTATTGCTACATTATAGGGTTTACATGATGCTTCTAATTTGAGTACATTCTGCAAATGTATCTTTCACGGGAGCCGTACCAAATAATATTCCAATAGCAATATTTATAGGAGGAAAAATGTGCAGAAGTGCAATTGAGCTTCGTGCCTCTCCATGGGGCCCATGTTCATAAAATGGTGGCATTAGCAATCATCTGAGAGTGGAGATTGTGGCCCTCTGACATCAAAAGCTGAAGCAGAGGACATGAAAACCCTCACTGTGCATCCTCTCTAGTCTGGCCAGAATCATTCCTAGGTCGGTGGTCTCTTATCAGGAGGGAATGCTGCTTGCTTGTTTTGTCAACATCACAAAACTGAGGAAAAGCATCAGGCCGTTGGTTGGTAACAGTGGTGAAGCAAGTCTTTCCAAAGGGCTGGTTTGTTGTTAACCCTTAGGGAAAAAAAAAGCCTAATTCTTTTTTTTTTTTTTTTTTTTTTTGAGACGGAGTCTCTCTCTGTTGCCCAGGCTGGAGTGCAGTGGCGCGATCTCGGCTCACTGCAAGCTCCGCCTCCCGGGTTCAGGCCATTCTCCTGCCTCAGCCTCCCGAGTAGCTGGGACTACAGGCGCCCGCCACCACGCCCGGCTAATTTTTTTTATTTTTAGTAGAGATGGGGTTCTACCGTGTTAGCCAGGATGGTCTCGATTTCCTGACCTCGTGATCCGCCCGCCTTGGCCTCGCAAAGTGCTGGGATTACAGGCATAAGCCACCGCGCCCGGCCAAAAAAGCCTAATTCTTACCAGCTGGTGCCGTGCAGTTCCAGGCTCTTGGTGTCCCAAACAAAGAACTGTACATGACACACACAAAGCAGCAAAGCAAAGCAAAAGTTTATTAAGCACAGTAACACTCTCAGAGTGGGGAGGGTGGGCTGACCTCTGGGAGATGAGATCAGTATTAGTTTGGTGTACTTGGGGTCTTTTGTGTTTGTGTGTGTGTTTTTCCTTCTCTTCACAAGGATGCCTACTGTGTTTGTTTGTTTGTTTGTTTGTTTGTTTGTTTGTTTGATGAGGCGGAGTCTCGCTCTGTCACCCAGGCTGGAGTGCAGTGGCACGATCCTGGCTCACTGCAAGCTCTGCCTCACGGGTTCATGCCATTCTCCTGCCTCAGCCTCCCCAGCAGCTGGGACTACAGGCGCCTGCCACCACGCCCGACTAATTTTTTTGTATTTTTAGTAGAGACGTGGTTTCACCGTGTTAGCCAGGATGGTCTCGATCTCCCGACCTCACGATCCGCCCGCCTTGGTCTCGCAAAGTGCTGGGATTACAGGCGTGAGCCACTGTGCCCGGCCAAGGATGCCTAATCTTTAGCCACTCTTTGCCTTTTGATTGATAGGTGGGTTGCTTAGTTACTTTGGCCCTTGTGTGCTTGAATGCTGCTTCCATCCCATAATTTTAAGTACATGCATGATATGCAGTCTGTATGCATGAGCTTTAATGAGCTGATTATCATATGAAGTCATGTTAAGGATACTTTTTCTCTCTAATGCACATGCCTGTCTCTGAAGAGCTGCCCCTTTCCTGGTTTGGATCTTGCTGGCCATGGGGTCCTTACTTGCTTTTTTTTTTTTTTTAAGACAGGGTCTCGCTCTGTTGCCCAGTCTGGAGTGCAGTGGCACGATCTTGGCTCACTGCAACCTCTGCCTCCTGGGTTCAAGCAATTCTCCTGTCTCAGCCTCCTGAGTAGCTGGGAGTACAGGAGTGTACCACCATGCCCAGCTATTTTTTTGTATTTTTAGTAGAGAAGGGGTTTCACTACATTGGTCAGGCTGGTCTCGAACTCCTGACCTCGGGCGATCCACCTGCCTTGGCCTCCCAAACTGCTGGAATTACAGGGGTGAGGGGCTGCGCCCGGCCTTGCTTGCTTTTTTTAATCTTACTTTTTGTTTTGGCCGCTCAACTGCTGCCTTTTATCTTGCTTCTTGCTCTCCCACCCCATCACCTTGCTTCTGTTTCTGCTTTTACTCATTCTGCCTTTTATCCAACTTCCAACTCCCTCTGCTGTTCTCCTGCCTCATAATGGCGGTTAGCGAGGGAGGGGTTTTAAGGGGGGCATGTCCGACCTCCTATCCTGTCACAGCCAGAAACAGCTTTCAAGGTTTCTCTGTGGTCCTGTCAGCCAAGAGGGGAGTCCGTTCAGTTGGTTGTAGGGCCTAGGGCTTATTTTTATTTCTCAATCCTGACAAGGGAAGGCTGGATTAATGCAGATTCTCTGCAGGTGTAAATTTCCCCTACAAAAGACAGTTTTGCAGAGTTACTTCTGTTTGCTGGCTCTCTGACAGCCATCTTAAAATATGCCAAAGAAATATATTCTGGGGTAAAATATTTTGATTTTTTCGTCTATCTATAGCTTCACCATGCTGACAGCCTCCAGTCCAAGCATACCTGAAGCCTTTCCTTTTAAAAAGCTTTTCCACCCTTCTGACTGCCTTCAAGTCTCTGCCAAAACACAAGTAACAGTGGCTGACTCCCTGCCATAGCAAGCTCAGAATAAATAGCCTTTGCTTTTTTTCATTTGGTTGGTCTTCGTTTATTTGCAGAAGCTTCAATGTAGAGTTGACAAGGACTCCATCTTTGACCAAACCTTAGTCAGTTTCCTCTGAGCCCTTTTCTCTATTAGTTCTTGGCCTGTCAAGTCCAGTTTTAGAAAAGAATACCGTCGAGCCTAGTTTAGCAAGAGTCCTACCAACCACCTTTGATAGCTAATCAAGTTCCTCTTAGTAATTTTCCATCCACTGACTTTCTTACCTTGCCGATTGGCTATAAATCTTCAACCCTTCTTGCTGTATTTGGAGTTGAGCTCGGTTCTCTGCTGGTCTCTCTTGCCTACTGCAGTACATACAATAAAATCCGCCTCATGCTTTTAACAGGTGTCAGGGTAGTCCCTCTGAAACTACTTTTGCAAAATTATGACAATCAGAGAAATCTGACATGGCTGACTCCATTTTGGTTCTAGCCTCACAGGCTAGCTGTCTTTGCTCATTCCTGTGCAATTTCTCCCAAGCTATCTTTGGGAAAAGTTGAGTTTATAGTTTAAATCAGGGGTCCCCAACCCCCAGGGCCACAAGACAGGTACTGGTCCATGGCCTGTTAGGAACCCAGCCAAACGGCAGGAGGTGAGCTGTAGGCTTTGGAGCATTACCACCTGAGCTCCGACTCTTGTCAGATCAGCATCGGCATTAGATTCTCGTCGGAGCTTGGACCCTGTTGGGAACTGCGCATGTGAGGGATCCAGATTGCACACTCCTTATGAGACTGTAACTAATGCCTGATGACCTGAGGTGGAACAGTTTCATCCGGAAACCCCCTTCCATGGAAAAATTGTCTTCCATGAAACCAGTCCCTGGTGCCAAAAACATTGGGGACAGCCAGAAAGGTGGGTTTAAATGATAACCTTCCCCAAAACTAAATTACCCCTGTAAAACTAATGAAAGGCCACCAAGTTAGGAGGATGAAAGGGACCTGAATTCTACTAAGATGTATGCCTCGTTAAATAATTACCAGCCATTATTCCAGAGGTCACAAGATTTGCAGCTTCCCCAATTACTGCTGTGAAGAACATCACTATTGCAGAACCTAAGACTGGCCTCTTGAGATGCCTTTTCAGGCTTTTGCATTTCTGACTACTGGATGTCACCATTTGGCCCGCAAATCAACCAGTCCCTTAGCTCCCACCCAGAAGCTGACTCAATGCAGGAGGGCATTTTCCACACCCCTGTGATTTCATCCCCAACAATCAGCACCGCCCAAGCCCTAGCCCCCTCCCCACCAAACTGTCTTTGAAAAAACCCTTACCTCCAAGCCTTCAGTGAGATCGTTTTGAGTAATAACTCCGTCCCCCACATGTCGTGGCTGGCCTGTGTCAATTAAACTCTTTACTGCAATGCCATGGTCTCCATGAATTGATTTTGTATGTACAATGGGCAGGAAGAACCCATCAGGCAGTTGCACCTGCAGGATGGTGCCAGTTCTTTCCACGAAGGCTGGTCAGATACCCAGAAAGTATTTCTCCACTACTACCTGGACGATGTGTCTCTCTGTCAGTCTCCAGGGAATGGGGTCTGAATCAAGTATTTAGTATTCAGCAGTTACTATACCGTCACCTAATCCCTCATTTTCAATATTTTGCCATGCCTTCCAGTGGCCTAACTGGCCACCATGCCACAGAATCTTTACTTTATGCTCTCCAGAGGAGACCTCTCCATTCAATGTTTTGTGATTTGAGCAATGGAATAGAATCTGATACTGGTGGGCTGGGGGAGGTCCCCGGACACTGGTGGGATCTCGACCCCAGCTGTGGTGTCCAGGCTCTTGACACCATCTCGAGAACCAAGTCAAGGATGAGTCAGCAAATAGTGAAAGAAGAGATGTATTGCAAAGCAGAAAGTACACACTCAAGAAAGGGGAGTTCGGGCATACCCGAGAGAGAACAATGGGTTCTGGGGTTTCATCTCAATGGGTTTCTTTAACCAAGGAGTGGAATATTCGTGAAAATTCCTGGGTAAAGGTGATTTCTCGGAACTGTGGTGCCATCCATTTTTACATCACATATTGGTCTCAGAACTGTCATGGCACTGGTGGGTGTGTGATTTAGTATGTTAATAAGTGTATAATGAGGGCCTAGGTAAAACCTACCTCAAATCTAGCACCACATTGGGTCCAGTCAGTCTTAGCCAGCTTGGTCCACACCCTGGTTTTTCAGCGTCTTATCAGCCCATAGCCTCAAGTCATGTAAATCTGCTGCCTAGAATTTGTTACCCTGCGGCCACCCTGTATTATTCCTGCCTCAAATCTACTTGTAAATATTCAAATGGTCTTTGACTTGGGAATTCCAACTTTACTTACTTCACAGTGTTTCCTGCGTTATAATCCAATGTAAGAAAAGATGATCCAGACATTTGTTAAACATCTCAAATAAGATGTATCCCAGGTATTTGTGTCAAATTTGGATTATTTTGGTTTTGTCTTTGCAGAATATAAAAAACTAACGTGAGGTAAACACTAAGGTCTGGAGATGGCTGTGCAAGAGATGACAAAGTCCAACACCACGCTGGAGAGTGTCCAATCATCTCTTCTGGGGCAGCATATTTTTCTACAATACTGAATTTGGAAAACAACAGCAACAACAACAACATCAAAAGCAAACAAATAAACAAACAAAAACCTACAAGATTCATGAAACTGGACAACTGTCTTTATAACATTACCAGTGATAAAACCAGTAAGGAAGGCTGGTTTGCAGTCATCTGAGAAGCCTCTTTCATTTCATAAATATGGTTTCTCTCTGACATTGAACGGCTTCCAATTTCAAGCGGAATGCTACATGACAAGGATAAGGATGTGAAGAGAACCGGTTTCTTTTGTAATCCTAAACGTTCTCGTCTGAGAATTAAAAGCCATTATTTGAAGAACGGTGCCCAGGCTCCAGCTGGCCACTGAAAGGTTGCTCCGCAGCGCAGGCTAAGGACCAGCTTCTTCGGGCGAGAACAGATGCCGGGGCGGGAGGGAAAAAAGGGAGAGACAGACGTCACTTCCCCCTGCCGGCTCCGGCAGCGGGTTGGTAGGCTGAGCGGCAGAAAGGCAGACGGGGACTGGGAAAGGCACTGTCGGTGACATCACGGATAGGGCGACTTCTATGTAGATGAGGCAGCGCAGGGGCTGCTGCTTCCCCACCTGCTGCTTCGCCACGAAGGATTTCCCGTGCCGTGGGAGCGGATTCAGGACCGCTGGTCGGACCTGAGAGTCCCAGCTGTGTGTCAGGGCTAGGAGGGCTGGGGGGGGTGGGGCTGCGCGGGGCAAGTGACCGTGCGTGTAAAGGGTGAAGCGTGTGAGGCTGTGGCGGGGCGGAGGTGCAAGAGCTCATACTTACCTGGCAGGGGAGATACCATGATCACGAATGTGGTTTTCCCAGGGCGAGGCTTATCCATTGCACTCCGGATGTGCTGACCCCTGCGATTTCCCCAAATGTGGGAAACTCGACTGCATAATTTGTGGTAGTGGGGGACTGCGTTCGCGCTTTCCCCTGATTTTTTGTAGTTTAAAGAATAGTCTACACAGCAAGGGTTACTTGTTTTTTTTACTGGCTTGTGTTTTAGTCTTAATCGTTACTCTCACAGTCGAAGGCTGAGAAATAGTAGTAATATGTCGCTTTCTCCCCGCCCCGGGAGAAATAAGAATCGTCGACCTTTACACAAGCTAGCTAGCGCGAAGGCCGCACAGCTCTTCCTTTATCTAGGCGGGGCTGCTTTTTGCAGAGATTTGTCTGCCCATGGTCTGCAGTCTCTTGGGTTCTCAGGGTCTGTGAAAATCTACGTGTTTTTCCCTAGCCCCCAGTCACATTTCACACAGCCTCTGCTTCTAGCTGCAGCCCCCTCAGGAGTCTGTAGGATTTCTGTGCTAGCGGGGAATGTGTTCTCACCTCATAGAGCCGGGTACAAACTATGCAGGCGGGGGCTGTTCTTTGGGATGAAAGCAGGGCCTTTAGGGCTCTTAGCGCGTCCCCGTTGGGTTGTAGACATAACACGCTTACTTTGCGGAGTGGAACGGCTCTCCCGGAGCCCAGGTGTCCTAACGCAATTCATCGAGGCCCGCAGGTCAAAACCGCAGTCTCACCTGTCTTGGCCGAAATGCGCTGCGATCCTCCCTGAAATATAAGGCGGGAAGTTTTATGAGGAGACGGGTCCAGTTTCCCTACTATCTCCTGCCGTTTACATATCTAGTCTTTCTTCAGACTTTATTTAAGCGACAGCTTCTTGTTTGATGTCTCGCTTCCGCATCCCACAGCCATTGCCAGGCAGCTTTCTAGATAGCACCCCGACCCATCCTTCCCACCCCCAAGCAGCCCTTTCCTATTTCTGGCGCCAGTGTCCTCCCCCCTTCCTCTTTCTTCAGGCCCTCGCTTATCACCTTCATGGACAGAAAATACTTAGCTCTCTCTCAACCTGCAGTTTGCACCTGACACGCGTCAGTACCCTGGCAAATTCCTTAATACCCCTTCTCAAATGACACTGTAAATTCATCTTTTTTTTTTTTTTTTTTTTTTTTTTTTTTTTTGACGGAGTCTCGCTCTGTCGCTCAGGCTGGAGTGCAGTGGCACGATCTCGACTCTCTGCAAGCTCAGTCTCCCGGGTTCACGCCATTCTCCTGCCTCAGCCTCCTACCAGTAGCTGGGACTACAGGCGCCGGCCACCACGCCCGGCTAATTTTTTGTATTTTTAGTAGAGACGGGGTTTCACCGCGTTAGCCAGGATGGTCTCGATCTCCTGACCTCGTGAACCCTCCCAAAGTGCTGGGGTTACAGGCGTGAGCCACCGCGCCCGGCAAATTAATCTCTTTTTAACTCCCAGAAGTATCTAATTGGTTTTGTCCCTGCACTACATGAATACTACAGAAGAAAACCCCAGGCCTAGCGATGGCGGATCTGGGCATTGTGCCAGCCTCTCCCAGGGTATGTTTTCTGACCTCACCTACTTCTGATCAACTGAGGTCAGGAGTTCGAGACCAGCCTGACCAACATGGCGAAACTCTGTCTCTGTTAAAAATACAAAACAAAACAAAACAAAACAAAAAAATAGCCAGACGTGGTGGTGTGCGTCTGTAGTCCCAACTACTTGGGAGGCTGAGGCAGGAGAATCGCTTGAACCCGGGAGGCGGAGGTTGCCGTGAGCCGAGATCGTGCCGTTGCACCCCAGCCTGGGCGACAGAGGGAGACTCTCTCTCAAAAACAAAAAATAAAAAACAAAAACAAAACAAACAAAAAACAAAAAAACTAGTCCATCTGAGACATATTATTGGAGACAGTAGAATTCTGCATCCAACAGGCACTTGGTGCAGATCTGAACCCATTGAGCTATTGGCTCATGTTCCCTCTGTTCTATTAAGTATCATGAGCAGAAATTGAGCTCTTTGGCTTTTACCCACTAAGTATGGCTGTAGGACAGGTCTCTCTCTCTCTCCCTCTCTCTCTCTCTCTCTCTCTGTCTCTCTCTCTCTCTCATTTTTGCATCATTATATTGTGCCATCAGTGTGGGTTTTTGGTTTTGATGTTATGAAGTGAATTTCTGGGGACAATCTCTGTTGGGTGGTGTTGACAAGGATCCAGTCCCTGTTTGGTAATACATGACAGCTAAGCTGCTCTGTGAGTCTTTTTTATTGTCTATTTATTGTCCTGAGAATAATGGTATTTCCTGATATTTGAGACTGCAGCAATGATGAGTTGTTCATATCTTGTCTTTCCAATGTTTGTTAAAAATTTTACAGGCCCAATAGTTGTCAATATCTGCAAGAGTGGCATCTCTATTACAAGAGTGATCTTACTACTCAATGTCCCCCTCCCACCCAACTTTGTTCCATAGGAGCTCTTGGCTTTAACAAATTTACTATATCTAAAAGACATCTTAGCACAGGAAGAACACTAAATCTGTAGCATGTAAGGAGCAGTTTTCTTTGATTGGTATATTCAGGTTTCTAACCAGCTGAAAAATTCAAATACATGTCCTTTAAGGATTAAGTTTAAACCACACTACAGAAAGGAGAGAAAAGACTTATATGATCATATGTAAGCAATGGAATCAGCAATATGAGCACTTTTCACAACTATACAAATCAAATTTAATAATCTCCAGAACATTAAGGAAGTTCAGCCCTTAATGAAAATGAATGAAAAGAAATTATTCGCCCACTGTCATATGCCCTGGAAAGAGAATGTCCTGCCGGACTCAAAAGGGTATCACAATATTACTCAGATTTTCAGCAACGAAGGCCCTCTGAGGATTTAATGATGTTAACATTTTCAGTTTATTTCCTTCACTGATAAACATTGTTAATAGATACCATTGCCTCTGTTTTCACCTTAAGTGATGTTACTTAGCACAATTCGTTTCTTTAGAATGCCCCCTAGTTTGGTGGAAGGAATTTTCTTGCTTTATTAATATAGGATATTTTCTCATGAAGCAAACTGGCATACTCTTTCAGTGAAGTGAATAGACAAATTAGGTCTCTAAAATTTTAAAGGAGTCACTGCCCCAATTATCTTAGGAACAATAATAATCACTTATATAAAATTAAAATAAGAAAATTAAGCCAGGTATGGTGGCTCATATCTGCAATCCCAGCACTTTAGGAGGCTGAGGAGGGAGGATCAATTGAGGTTAGGAGTTGGATACCAGCCTGGCAATATAGTGAAACCCCTGTCTCTACAAATTTTTAAGTATTAGCTAATTTTTTAAAGTTGGCCAGGCATGATAATGCATGACTGTAATCTCAGCTACTTGGGAGACTGAGGCAGGCTGCAGTGAACTATGATTGCGCCACTGCCCTCCAGCCTGAGTGACAGAGTGAGACTCCCAACTCAAAAAAAAAAAAAAGAAAGAAAGAAAAGAAAAAGAAAAAGAAAGAAAATTAAGAATTTGTTGAAAATTGTTTTACTACAATGCTAGGCTGCATGTCTTGCACCTGTACTCCCAGCAACTCAACAGGCTGAGGCAGAAGGATTGCTTTAGGCCAGCAGTTGGAGACCAGCCTGGGCAACAGGGCAAGACCCCATCTCTAAAAAAATACAAGGCAAGTTGAGCCAGGAGGATTGCCTGAGCCCAGAAGTTCCAAGCTGGTCAGCTATGATAGCCCCGCTGCACTCAAGCCTGGATAACAGAGCAAGACCCTGCGCCTTATTTTTTATCTTTTTTTTTTTTTTTTTTTTTTACTACTTATGCTTATTTATTTGTTTTTGAGACAGAGTCTTGCTCTGTAGCCCAGGCTAGACTGAAGTGGTGCAATCTCAGCTCACTGCAAGCTCTGCCTCCCAGGTTGAAGCTATTTCCCTGCCTCAGCCTCCAGAGTAGCTGGGATTACAGGCGCATGCCACCACACACAGCTAATTTTTATATTTTTAGTAGAGACGGGGTTTCACCATGTTTGTCAGGCTGGTCTCAAGCTCCTGACCCCAAGTGATGCACCTGTCTTGGCCTCCCAAAGTGCTGGGATTACAGGTGTGAGCCACCTCACCCAGCCTACTTATGCTTGAAATGTGAGGTTTCATTAGGGAGAAATTTTCTGGTTGAATTTCTAACATGAAAAAAATAATAGATTTAGCAGTAGATTAAATTAATGGTCTTGATAGTTTGGTACAATAAAATAAATGGAATGAAGTTGACAGCAGAGAGGAATCTTTGATGCTTTTGAACAATTTAAATAGTGTAAGTATTGTGGGGAAAAGAAAGAGAGATCAGACTGTCACTGTGTCTATGTAGAAAGAAGGAGACATAAGAGACTCCATTTTGTTCTGTACTAAGAAAAATTCTGCCTTGAGATGCTGTTAATCTGTAACCCTACCCCCAACCGTGTGCTCCCTGAAACAAGTGCTGTGTCCACTCAAAGTTAAATGAATTAAGGGCTGTGCAGGATGTGCTTTGTTAAACAGATGCTTGAAGGCAGCATGCTTGTTAAGAGTCATCACCACTCCCTAATCTCAAGTACCCAGAGACATAATACACTGCAGAAGGCCACAGGGACCTCTGCCAAGGAAAGCCAGGTATTGTCCAAGGTTTCTCCCCATGTGATAGTCTGAAATATGGCCTCGCCGGAAGGGAAATACCTGACCGTCTCCCAGCCCGACACCCGTAAAGTGTCTGTGCTGAGGAGGATTAGTAAAAGAGGAAGGCATCTGTCTCCTGCTCATCCCTGGGCAATGGAATGTCTCGGTGTAAAACCCGATTGTATATTCCATCTATTGAGATAGGAGAAAACCCCCTTAGGGCTGGAGGTGGGACATGTGGGCAGCAATACTGCTCTTTCAGGCATTGAGATGTTTCTGTATATGCACATCAAAAGCACAGCACTTTTTTCTTTAGCTTGTTTATGATGCAGAGACATTTGTTCACATGTTTTCCTCCTGACCCTCTCTCCACTATTACCCTATTGTCCTGCCACATCCCCCTCTCCGAGAAACACCCGATAATGATCAATAAATACTAAGGGAACTCAGAGACTGGTGCCGGCGCGGGTCCTCCGTATGCTGAGCGCCGGTTCCCTGGGCTCACTTTTCTTTCTCTATACTTTGTCTCTGTGTCTCTCTCTTTTCTCAAGTCTCTCCTTCCACCCGATGAGAAACGCCCACAAGTATGGAGGGGCAGGCCACCCCTTCATCTATTTAATATGTAAACGATGAAAACGTTCATTACATTATTATTTGCTTATTTATGTATTCATTTTGAAACGGAGTCTCACTCTGTCACCTAGTCTGGAGTGCAGTGGTGCAATCTTGGCTCACTGCAACCTCCGCCTCCTGGGTTCAAGCAATTCTCCAGCCTCAGCCTCCTCAGTAGCTGGGATTACAGGCACACACCACCACGCCCGGTTAATTTTTGTATTTTTAGTAGACACGGGGTTTCACCATGTTGCTCAGGCTGGTCTCGAACTCCTGACCTCGTGATCCGCCCCCTACGGCTTCCCAAAGTGCTGGGATTACAGGCGTGAGCCACCGTACCTGGCCCATTACGTTATTTTTTTTAAAATCAATGTGACTCTTTTGACAAATTAGAATGGCTCAATAATCTTGGTTACGCTGGGCACGGTGGCTCACGCCTGTAATCCCAGCGCTTTGGGAGCCAGAGGTCAGGAGTTCGAGATCAGCCTGGCCAACATGGTGAAACCCTGTCTCTACTAAAAATACAAAAATTAGCCGGGCATGGTGGCGGGCTCCTGTAATCCCAGCTACTCAGGAGGCTGAGGCAGAAGAATTGCTTGAACCTGGGAGGCAGAGGTTGTAGTGAGCCAAGACCGCGCCACTGCACTCCAGCCTGGGCGACAGAGTGAGACTCTGTCTGAAGGAAAAAAAAAAAAGAGAGAGAGAGAGAAATTTGGTTTTAGAACAAGACAAATTAAATGGGAGACTTACTTGCAATGAGACCTAGAAATTTCCAAATTTCTAAATTTCTAAAATTTCTAAAAGAACTGAGAAAATTGCGCCGGGCGCGGTGGCTCAGGCCTGTAATCCCAGCACTTTGGGAGACCGAGGCGGGCGGATCATGAGGTCAAGAGATGGCGATCATCCTGGCCAACATGGTGAAACCCCGTCTCAACTAAAAATACAAAAAATTAGCCGGGCTTGATGGCGGGCTCCTGTAGTCCCAGCTCTCGGGAGCCTGAGGCAGGAAAATTGCTTGAATCCGGGAGGCGGAGGTTGCAGTGAGCCGAGAGCACACCACTGCACTCCCGCCTGCCAATAGAGCCAGACTCCATCTCAAAAAAAAAAAAAAAAAAAAAAAAAAGAACTAAGAAAATTGCCTCCATTGAGGAAGTAAGCTTAAGGAGGTAAACTGACACGTTTTCTGAATTGAGAAATATTGAGGAGGCTTTGTCTCTTTCGCCTCCAACTGCTCCTTCTCCTCCTGCCCCTGCACCTGCATAGTCTTTCTTACCTGAGCCTTCCTGTCCTGCCTTGCCTCTTCTTCCATCACCATCACCTGAGGAAAGTCCCCAGGGCTCTGGCCCCTTCCCTGAAACTTCTGTTCTGACAGCCCCTTTCAAGGTAAAACCCAAACCCACAGGAAGAGGGGAGCCTACCATTGTGTACACCGCTTCACCAAAATGTGAATTAAGAATATTATAGCCGGGCGCGGTGGCTCACGCCTGTAATCCTAGCACTTTGGGAGGCGGAGGCGGGCGGATCACAAGATCAGGGGATGGAGACCATCCTGGCTAACACGGTGAAACCCCATCTCTACTAGAAATACAAAAAATTAGCGGGGCGTGGTGGCGGGCGCCTGTAGTCCCAGCTACTCAGGAGGCTGAGGCAGGAGAATGGCGTTAACCCGGGAGGCGGAGCTTGCAGAGAGCCGAGATCGCGCGACTGCACTCCAGCCTGGGCAACAGAGCAACACTTCATCTCAAAAAAAATAAATAAATAAAAATAAATAAAAAAAAATAAAGGACTTCCCTGATCTAAAGTTAAACACATTTCGTTCTTCTGTTTCTAAAGCAGGCTCCAAGATCCTATAGGCTTTGGCAGAAAATTCGACTTAACTGTCGAAACCTTTGAGCCCAAATATTCTGGCCTTTATCAATTAATTCACATTCTGGTGAAGAAGGCAAGGCCACTAACTGGTTGCAAAAGGCAAATTGGAAGGATTTTCAAGCAGAACATGAAAGGTTCACATTTTAGCCAAATATGTGCATGTTGCCATTCCCCAGGTCCTTCCTAAAAATATAGATTGGAGGATAATTCAGCAATGTACTAAAAAGCCAGACAAATCTGCCTTTGCTTACTTAAAATGGTTTGAGAGCCAGGCGTGGTAGCTCATGCCTGTAATCCCAGCACTTTGGGAGGCTGAAGCGGGTCGATCCCTTGAGGTCAGGAGTTCGAGACCAGCCTGCCAACCTGGTGAAACCCTGTCTCTACTAAAAACACAAAAATTAGCCAGGTGGCTACTCAGGAGGCTGAAGCAAAAGAATCGTTTGAACCCGGGAAGTGGAGGCTACAGTGAGCTGAGATCCTGCCACTGCAATACAGCCTGGGTGACAGAGCGGGACTCTGTCTCAAAAAGAAAAAAATTAGCAGGGTAGTAGAAATATAATGCACACGAGAATGATAATCATGAAGACAATCTGTATTCCAGAATAGTAAGGGAACCTATTCCATTAGGGAGCCAACTGAAAATATAAAATCGCAGTTCACACCCCAGGGTGTGGTGTCACATGCCTGTAGTCCCAGCTACTCGGGAGGATTGGTAAGGAAGTTTGCTTGAATTCATGAGGTCAAGGCAGAAGTAACCCTGATCGTGCCACTGCACTCCAGCCTGGGGGACAGTGAGACCTTGTCTCAAAAACAAACTAAAAAACAAACAAAAACCCCCACAAAACCAGACAACAACAACAAATTGTCTCCTCACTCTGAACTGACAGCGGCAAACAACACTTTGCTATTGGAAAATTGAAAGAAAAACACTCCCTCTTGCTGTCAACCTGCCTTCTTGCCCTAACATTTCTGACCCATGGTTTAAAATGCCCAAAAGCTGATGTACTCAATTTCACTTACCTGTTCTGCACCAGCATTTATTTTTGTGTGGAGGAGATCACCATGCATGGTCCTATAAATGTCTAATGGCATGGAATCATGAAGGGCCGTGTCTTTTAGGATATTTGGATATTTATACACATATACATATATATATATATATCTGAAGAAACCCAACATTACATATATATATGTAAGCGGAATGCTTCATCACAAGGGTAAGGACGTGAAAAAAAAGTTTCTTTTGTCATCCTAAACGTTCTCGTCTGCGAATTAAAGGCCATTATTTGAAGAAGGGTGCCCAGGCTCCAGCTGGTCGCCGAAAGGTTGCTCCGCAATAGAAGCTAAGGACCAGCTTCTTTGGGAGAGAACAGACAAGGGAGCGGGAGAGAAAAAAGGGAGAGACAGACGTCACTTCCCTTTGCCGGCTCAGCAGCGGGTTGGTCGGCTGAGTTGGCGGAGGTTGGGGTGGAAGAGCAGACGGGGACTGGGAAAGGCACTGTCGGTGACATCACGGATAGGGCGACTTCTATGTAGATGAGGCAGCGCAGAGGCTGCGCTTCGCCACATGCTGCTTCGCCACGAAGGAGTTCCCGTGCCGTGGGAGCGGGTTCAGGACCGCTGGTCGGACCTGAGAGTCCCAGCTGTGTGTCAGGGCTAGGAGGGCTCGCGGGTGCGCGGGGAAGTGACCGTGCGTGTAAAGGGTGAGGCGTACGGGGCGGAGGTGCAGGAGCTCATATTTACTTGGCAGGGGAGATAACGTGACCACGAAGGTGGTTTTCCCAGGGCTGAGGCTTATTCATTGTACTCCGGATGTGCTGACCCCTGCGATTTCCCCAAATGTGGGAAACTCGACTGCATAATTTGTGGTAGTGGGGGGCTGTGTCCGTGCTTTTCCCTGATTTCTTTTTTTCTGGTTTCAAAAATAGACCGTACGCTCCTTGTTACTGCTTTCTTTCATTGGTTTGTGTTTTTTGTGGTGCCCTTAAGTGTTACTGTTACAGTCAGAAGCCTGCAAAATAGGAAGTGGCATGTCGCTGTCTTTCTCGCTGGAGAAGTAAGGAGTGTCAGCCGGTTTATCCTAGGCTAACCAGCGCGAAGACTGCATAGCTCTTCCCTTTGAACATAAGGCTGCTTATTGCAGAAATTGATCCACGGTCTCCAGCGTCTTGGGTTCTCACGCTCTGTGAAGATTTTCGTGTTTTTCTCTAGCTTCCAGAGTCCCCTTTTACACAGCGTCTGCTTCTAACCGCAGCCCCCTCAGGAGTTTGTAGGATTTCTGTGCTAGCGGGGAATGTGTTCTCACCTCACAGAGCCAGGTACAAACTACGCAGACGGGGGCTGTTCTTTGGGATGAAAGCAGGGCCTTTGGGGCTCTTAGTGTCCCCGTTCGTTTGCAGACATAACACGCTTACTTTGTGGAGTGGAACGGCTCTCCCGGAGCCCAGGTGCCCTAACGCAATTCATCGAGGCCCGTAGGTCAGAACCGCAGTCTCACCTGTCTTGGCCGAAATGCGCTGCGGTCCTCCCTGAAACATAAGGCGGGAAGTTTTATGAGGAGACGGGTCCAGTTTCCCTACTATCTCCTGCCGTTTACATATCTAGTCTATCTTCAGACTTTATTTAAGCGACAGCTTCTTGTTTGATGTCTCGCTTCTACATCCTACATCCACTGCCAGGCAGCTTTCTAGATAGCACCCCGACCCATCCTTCCCACCCCCAAGCAGCCCTTTCCTATTTCTGGCGCCAGTGTCCTCCCCCCTTCCTCTTTCTTCAAGACCCCCCTTATCACCTTCATGGACAGAAAATACTTAGCTCTCTCCGAACCTGCAGTTTGCACCTGACACGCGTCAGTACCCTGGAAAATTCCTTAATACCCCTTCTCAAATGGCACTGTAAATTCATCTCTTTTTAACTCCCAGAAGTATCTAATTGGTTTTGTCCCCGCACTACATGAATAGTAGTATTTCAGTACAGAAGAAAACCCCAGGCCTAGCGATGGCCGTTCTGGGCATTTTGCCAGCCTCTCCCAGGGTGCGTTTTCTGACCTCACCTACTTCTGATCAGCTGAGGTCAGGAGTTCGAGACCAGCCTGACCAACATTGCGAAACCCCGTCTGTACTAAAAATACCAAAAAAAAAAAAAAAAAAAAAAAATGCCCAGCGTGGTGGTGTATGTCAGCAAGGCTGTAATCCAAACTACTCAGGAGGCTGAGGCAGGAGAATCTCTTGAACCCAGGAGGCAGAGATTGCAGTGAGCTGAGATCCTGCCACTGCATGCAATACAGCCTGGGCAACAGAGTGAGGCTCTGTCTCAAAAAAAAAAAAAAAAAAGAAAAGAAAAGAAAAAAGAAAAAAAAATTAGCAGGTTAGTAGAAATATAATGCACACGAGAATGGCAACCATGAAGACAATCTGTATTCCAGAATAGTAAGGGAACCTATTCCATTAGGGAGCCAACTGAAAATATAAAATCCCAGTTCACACCCCAGGGTGTGGTGTCACGTGCCTGTAGTCCCAGCTACTCAGGAGGATTAGTAAGGAGGTTTGCTTGAATTCATGAGGTCAAGGCAAAAGTAACCCTGATCGTGCCACTGCACTCCAGCCTGGGGGACAGTGAGACCTTGTCTCAAAAACGAACAAAAAACCCCACAAAACCAAACAACAACAAAAATTTGTCACCTCACTCTGAAATGACAGTGGCAAACATCACTTTGCTATTGGAAAACTGAAAGAGAAACACTCCCTCTTGCTATCAACCTGCCCTCTTGCTCCAACGTGTGTGACCAATGGTTTAAAATGCCCAAAAGCTGATGTACTCAATTTATAGTACACTTACCTGTTCTGCACCAGCATTTATTTTTGTGTGGAGGAGATCACCATGCATGGTCCTATAAATGTCTAATGGCATGGAATGATGAAGGGCAGTGTCTTTAAGATATTTGGAGATATATATATATATATACACATATATACACACACACATATATATAAATATATATATATACACACATATATCTGAAGAAACCCAACATTGGGCGAGTTCCCTCTAACTTTTCTTTTTTTTTTTTTTTTTTTAATTTTTTTTTTTTTTTATTATACTCTAAGTTTTAGGGTACATGTGCACATTGTGCAGGTTAGTTACATATGTATACATGTGCCATGCTGGTGCGCTGCACCCACTAACGTGTCATCTAGCATTAGGTATATCTCCCAATGCTATCCCTCCCCCCTCCCCCGACCCCACCACAGTCCCCAGAGTGTGATATTCCCCTTCCTGTGTCCAAGTGATCTCATTGTTCAATTCCCACCTATGAGTGAGAATATGCGGTGTTTGGTTTTTTGTTCTTGCGATAGTTTACTGAGAATGATGGTTTCCAATTTCATCCATGTCCCTACAAAGGACATGAACTCATCATTTTTTATGGCTGCATAGTATTCCATGGTGTATATGTGCCACATTTTCTTAATCCAGTCTATCATTGTTGGACATTTGGGTTGGTTCCAAGCTACCAATGCCTATGCCTTTCTTCACAGAATTGGAAAAAACTACTTTAAAGTTCATATGGAACCAAAAAAGAGCCCACATCGCCAAGTCAATCCTAAGCCAAAAGAACAAAGCTGGAGGCATCACACTACCTGACTTCAAACTATACTACAAGGCTACAGTAACCAAAACAGCATGGTACTGGTACCAAAACAGAGATATAGATCAATGGAACAGAACAGAGCCCTCAGAAATAATGCCACATATCTACAACTATCTGATCTTTCACAAACCTGAGAAAAACAAGCAATGGGGAAAGGATTCCCTATTTAATAAATGGTGCTGGGAAAACTGGCTAGCCATATGAAGAAAGCTGAAACTGGATCCCTTCCTTACACCTTATACAAAACTCAATTCAAGATGGATTACAGATTTAAACGTTAGGCCCTCTAACTTTTCACTAGGCATGACCACTGCTCTATTTTAGATAGAGATTCAGTGGGGCAAAACCTGAGAATTATCTGCCCGGCTATCAAGAAGATAGCTCCTTGCATTTTTGCGGGGAGAGCACTTTTGCTTCAAGGGAGTGTTTCTTCCTAGGATTATAAATCTTTCTGTAACCTCAGGAAACACTGCTGATGAAAACCAGGCATGGTGGCTCTGGCCTGTAATCCCAGTGACTCGGGGGCTGAGGCAGGAGGATCACTTAAGCCCAGGAGTTGAAGGCTGCAGTGAGCTATGATGGCACCACTGCACTCCAGCCTGGGACACAGAGACAGACGCTGTCTCTGAAAGAAAAAGAAAAAAGAAAGAAAAACATTGCTGATGAAACTGCGGCCTCTTTTGCAGCTCAATAAAAAGCTATTTATTCACTGGCTAAGGTTGTACTAGGTAATCACATCACTTTAGATGATATATTTAGCTGAGCAGGGAGATGTATGTGTGGTGGCAAATACCTTTTGTTGCATATACATAAATGTTTCCCATGCAGTAGAACCTTCTCTAGAAAAAAAATTAGAAAGGAAGCCACTTGGCTACAATAAATCACTAAAGAAGAAATGGTATTTGATGTTTTCCCTGATGTTTTCAGTTGGCTGCCTAATGGAATAGGTTCCCTTACTGTTTCGGGATATAGATTCTCTTTGTGATTATCATTCTTGTGTGCATTATATCTCCACTAGTCAAATTATTAATGTTATGTATTTCTCATTGTTTTCATGGTACTCTGAAGACTAGAGATGATTCAACAAGTGACAGCAACTATAGAATTGGCCGAGATCTCTCTGTCTCCCCCCCCGCCCCCAATTCTGTGATGCCAATTCAGCTTCTGGGCACTGTTAAAAATTCCTTAGTGAGAGGGCTCCTTTCCTCCCCTGCCCCCAGTGTGGGACAGGACTATCTGGGAATGAGCCTTTCTGGCAAGGAGAGATACAGCTTTTGATCAACAATGCTTTCAAGAAAGACTTTTTATCTGGCCGGGCGCGGTGGCTCACGCCTGTAATCCCAGCACTTTGGGAGGCAGAGGCGGGCGGATCATGAGGTCAGGAGATCGAGACCATCCTGGCTAACACAGTGAAACCCCGCCTCTACTAAAAATACAAAAAATTAGCCGGGCGTCGTGGCGGGCGCCTGTAGTCCCAGCTACTCGGGAGGCTGAGGCAGGAGAATGGCGTGAACCCGGGAGGCGGAGCTTGCAGTGAGCCGAGATCCCGCCGACAGAGCGAGACTCCGTCTCAAAAAAAAAAAAAAAAAAAAAAAAGACTTTTTATCTAAAGGGAGAATGAGGAAAGAAGAGAACTTTTATGAGGAGTGTGAGCCTTTCCAAATTCTCAGGCCCAGAGAGGCATTACATTGTGACAGCAACCACATTCTGCTTCCTTTTTGTACAATACTGTATTTGAAAAACAAAAAAACAAACCTACGAGACTCATGAAATTGGACAACATTCTTTATAACACTACTACTGGTAAAACCAGCAAGGATGGCTGGTTTGCAGTCATCTGAGCAGCCTCTCTAGTTTCATAGATATGATTTCTCTCTGATAGTCAAAGGCTTCCAATTTTAAGCAAAATGCTACTTCACAAAGATAAACAGCTTTGAAAGGAAACGGTTTTCTTTGTAATCCTAAATGTTCTAGTCTGCGAATTAAAAGCCACTATTTGAAGACCGGCGCACAGCTTCCAGCTGGCCGCCAGAAGGGTCCTCCGCAGGACACAAGTTAAGTAGTCGCTTCTTTGGGGGATACTAGATGCGGGGTCTGGGCGCACCTCCGGAAAGGACAAGGGCGGGAGGGAGAGGTGGGACAGCAGACGTCACTTCCTCCGTCGGCTCCCCCAGCGGGTTGGTAGGCTGAGTGGCGGAGGGTGGGGCGGAAGAGCAGAAGGAGACTGGGAAAGGCACTGTCGGTGACATCACCGATAGGGCGTTTCTATGTAGATGAGGCAGCGCAGGGGCTGCTGCTTCGCCACGAAGGATTTCCCGCGCTGTAGGAGCAAGTCCAGGACCACTGGCTGGACATGAGAGTCCCAGCTGTGTGTTAGGGCTAGGAGGGCTCGGGGTGGTTGGGGATTGGCTGGAGTGGTGCTGGGGCAAGTGACTGTGCGTTTAAAGGGTGAGGCGTATGGAGCTGTGGCGGGGCGGAGATAGGTGCAATCTTATTTATGTGGCAGGGCAGATATTGTGGTTACTGAAATGGCTTTTAAACCCGACTCAACTATTTCATTTCAAGTGTGCTGTTCTGTCATTTTCTCTAACGTGGGAAGCTCAGCTGCGTAACTTGTAGTAACGAAGCGGAAGTTACAACGAAAAGACAAGTTTTCCTGTGCTTCGCAGGCCCCCCCTCCCCCCCCACCAAGGCCTGCAGTGGATAGAGCCTAGCAGATCCTGGACAATACTATCCTAAAAGCTACATCTCTGACAGTGATTTCCAGCGACTTTGTCAACACGGTCCGCCCCCAGCAAGTATAAGAGGAAAAACAACAAATGTCTTTACTGCCTTGTCTTTCCCCCTTGCCACTTGTCATTATTCAAGTTTTGTAAGTTCCTGATTTCCATTCAGTGCAGCTGCAAGGTTACCAGCTGTGCTTGCGTTGCAAGACCTGTCACAGTTTGATTAACTGCCTTCTTTCTGCTTCTGTAAGCCCTCTTGCCTGCCCCGCGAGTTTCGCACCATCAAATTCCTGCTGCACCATTCAAACTAGCCAACCCCCTTTCAGAAGTGTGTATAAAAGTCAAGCCCCCTGTCTTTCTTCGGGGCTCACGCTAGGCCCGAGTGCACTCAATAAAATCCTTCTGTTCCACCCGTTGGTCTCTTTGTTCTCCTGATTCCCGCAACAGTAGTAGGGGACTGCGTTCGTGCTTTCCCCTGGTCTTTCATGGTATGAATAATAGACAGCATTTGCTTTTTTCATCTATAGTCGCAGGCCCGGTCTCAGTGATTGTATGGTGTGGTCAGCTGTTTTTGTTTTTGTGAGACCTTATTTTCTTGTTTACTGTCCTGGGACAGATGTCTGTAGTCACTTGTTTCCTCAGGAGGCAAATTTCAGTCTCTGTGGGGGAGGTCTCTCATGTTAGCTGTGGTGGTACTTGGCGGGCAGAGCTCAGGGATCTAGGCTTCCCTGCTTTGTAGATTGCTCAGTGGTCCCCAAGGCCTACTGGCTTTTAACACCACTTGAAAACCTTAGTGTTTTTCCATTGTCCCCAGAGTCACCTCTTACAGAGCCTCTTTTTTTTGTTTGTATTTTTCCCTGAGACAGAGTCTCACTGTATCTGGTGGGATCTTGGTTCAAGCGATCCTCCCACCTCAGCCTCTGGAGTAGCACAGGCACGAGCCATCGCAGCCGGCTAATTTCTGTTCTTGTTTTGTTGTTGTTGTTGTTGTTTTGTTTTTTTAAGAGTTGAAGTTTCGCCATGTTGCCCAGGTTGGTCTCCAATTCCTGGACTCAAGTGATCTGCCCTGCCTTGGCCTTCTAAACTGCTGGGATTACACGTATGATCCATCACACCTGGCTAGCCCCTGCTTTTCCCTATAGCATTCATGGGAGTTTGTAGGATTTCTGTGCTGGGGGGAACATGTACTCAGCTCATAGAACCAAGTAGAAATTGTACTTGGAACTGGTGCCATTGGGTTGTAGACATAACACGCTTGCTCTTTGTATGGAAAGGGCTTTGCCAGTGCCCTGGTGCCCCTGCACAGGACATCGAGGCCTGCAGGTCAGAATGGCAGTCTCACCTATGTGTTCGTGTAATACGCAGCAATTCTCCCTGGAATATAAGATGGGAGGTCTTGTGAGGTTCCTACAAGTAAGAAGACACATTTCCCTGAAGTTTGTATTGACGAATTTAAAAACTAATAATAACAGCCCAACCTCCTGGATGGCAAATGTCCTTTACATTGACAGACCGCAACTGCCCTACTTGCCTCAGCTCCTCCGTGCAGATGCAGCCCCTGATTCCCTCCACACAGGTCATTTCCTCTCTGCTTTATCCAAAAGAGGGAGACAGGGGTTCTGCAGGAACCGCTAGGCCTTCAGGCCTTTGCTAGGAGCAAAGTAGGGGGAAATGGTCGCTGGAGCTGGGACCTGGGCACTGGGCCAGGTTGCCCTGCCGGAGGGGAAGTACTCAGGGCTAGAGGGGGCCAAGCACCAAGACCTCAGCATCCTCAACCTCCAAAAGGACTCAGAGAGAGGCAGAAACCGAAACAGGGTTCTTCTTTCAAGGAAGACCCCAGGGCTCTGAACCAAAATCCAGATTTTTCCCCATCTGCAGCTTAATTCCACCTTAGTTGGTGCAACTTCATCCTTCCCCTATGCTCAGGACAAAAAACGGTTCTTCTATAGCCTGGTCATTCTCTGATCCCATACATCCTATTGGTCAGAAAATTATGTTTTTTCTTTGGTTAACTGCAGACTTTGGTCTGCACAATCTTTTTCTTTCTTGGTCTGAAAACCACCCCACAGTCCCATATGTAGCTTTTTTGGATAAACCTAGAAATGGACCCTTCTGGTCTTACAGCTTGAAACTTAATATTTGTTGGCCGGGTGCGGTGGCTCACGCCTGTAATCCCAGCACTTTGGGAGGCCGAGGCGGGTGGATCACGAGGTCAGGAGATCGAGACCATCCTGGCTAACACGGTGAAGCCCCGTCTCTACTAAAAATACAAAAAAGTAGCTGGGTGTGGTGGTGGGTGCCTGTAGCCCCAACTGCTCGGGAGGCTGAGGCAGGAGAATGGCATGAACCTGGGAGGCGGAGGTTGCAGTGAGCCGAGATCGCGCCACTGCACTCCAGCCTGGGCGACAGAGCAAGACTCCGTCTCAAAAAAAAAAAAAAAAAGAAAGAAACTTAGTATTTGTTTTATCTGAGTTCCTTCCTCAGGAAATGACCTTCAGGCCTGTCAAAAAAGCTATCAAAGTACTGAAATTCATCCAGAAAATGAGATGCTGGGACCCCTCATTCATCATGATTGCTTCCTTGCTCCTCCCTAGTTCCTGTTTTCTTACTCATTGTTAACATTTCTTCCCTGCCATCTAAACCTCTGGTTTTGGTTGGTCAGGGAGATGGATTTGAGACTGAGTTCTCATCTCCCCCACTGCAGCACCCTATTAAAGTGCCTTCCTTGGCGATAAGCGTCTCGGTGATTGGCTTTCTGTGCGGCAACCAGCAGGAATCCCAGATCTCTGAATTTTGGCAAAGGAGTCTCGTGATAAAGGTGGGATGGATTCTACTGACCAACATCAAACCGTTCAGACATTTGAAAGCCTTAATCTCAGGGTCGGGGTTTGGGCCGCCCTTGAGCCTTTTCCTTGGGCCTATCCATTAAAATCAGCCTGGCCAGGCCTGTCTTCAAGGTCCAGGGGTAGGGTCAGGTCCTCCCGACGCTTCTTGACGCTTCTCCCGCCGGGTCGGCAGCCACCCTCCCCTTCCCTGTGACCTGCAGAGAAGCTTCAGGGGGCGTTTATTCAATCTGCGAGGAGCCCACGAGGCACAGGCACACGGTGACTCTGGTTCCCACTGCACCCACCGCCCTCCTTGGTCCTCTCGCTCTCTCTGGCAGGCAGTAACGTTCTGGGTGAGCATGGGTGCTGAAGACACCCAGGCAGGAAGGGTAGGGAAGGGCACCAGCCCCTTAGGTCCTGCGCAGTGGGGATCCAAAAAAGGTCTTGAAGAAACAGAAAGGGAGCGTTGGGAGTAGATCAAAGGGAAAGAAAGGAATCCTAGGAGATTTCCTGTCTGAAGGCACCATGAAGAGAAAGTCCGCCTCCTCTGGGCCGGGTCCTCCCGTCGCAGGTGAACCAAGTGCCGGTCTCCATTGGAGACCAAAGCAGATAACTTTGCCCTGACTCCTAGTTAGGAAGCCATGTTTTGTCCTCCCCTGTTTAGCGCTTGATCCTGTAGCACTTGATTGTCTCTCCCGGGCTTTCTATGGATTCCAGGGATGCAACTGAGAAGTTAGTTTTTAATGCACTTTTGCTTGAAGTAAGAGTATTTTAGGCTGGGCAAGGTGGCTCACGCCTGTAATCCCAACACTTTGGGAGGCCAAGGTGGGCAGATTACTTGAGGTCAGGAATTTGAGACCAGCCTGGCCAACATGGTGAAACTCCGTCTCTACTAAAAATACAAAAATTAGCCGCCTGTGTTGGCTCAGGCCTGTAGTCCCAGCTACTCACGAGGCTGAGGCAGGAGAATCCTTTGAACTTGGGAAGTGGAAGTTGCAGTGCGCTGATCTCAAAAAAAAAAAAAAGAAAGTATTTTAGAATCTTTCGGCAAAGGAAATGAATTCTGACAGGTTTTGCACTGAAGACATTCAGATGTGAGGAAAACACGAAAACCACTATGCTAGGGGAAAGCAAATGCTGTTGAGAATGTCTCACAAACACAAATTACACGTCAGCAGGTAGGTTTGACCCTCAGGTTCGGCACATTTTACTTTAAGTGTACTGTTGGTGGAACTTAGGATGAATCTAGAACATTCACGATGTATGTATGTATGTGTGTATATGTATATATATACACACACATATATACATATATATGAGCATATATATACACACATATATATACATACACATGAGCACGTATATATATGTGTATATATATGTGTGTGTATATATATGTGTGTGTATATATATATGTATATATACATATATATATGTGTATGTATATATACATATATATATATGTGTATGTATATATACATATATATATATGTGTATGTATATATACATATATATATATATGTGTATGTATATATATGAGAGACAGAGAGACAGGGTCTTGCTGCCTTGCCCACACTGGTCTCCAACTCTGGGCCTCAAGCGATCCTCCTGTCTCGCCTTCCCAAAGTGCTGGGACTACAGGCGTGCACCACCTTGTCCAGCCCATTTTAATGTTTTTAATTTAAATACACATTCCAAAAATTATATAACAAGTACAAGAAGCCCGCTTTATGCCAGTTTTACAAAAACAAAGTGGCAACATCCTAAAGTACTGAAAGAAATAAAGTTTTCCTAGAATTCTATGCCAAAATGAAAAATCTTTCAAGAATGTGATTGAAATAAGGACATTTAAAGACATACAAAAAAAAAAAAGAAAGAAAGAATTCAGCAACCCACACGACAAGAAATGCAAAGGGAGTCCTCCAGGCCTAAGGATAAGGATACCAGACAGAAAACTGGATCTACACAAAGAAATGGAGACTACTGGAAATCGGTATGTACACAGTTAAATATATATGTTCTTCTTATTTAAATCTTTTAAAATAATTTGACCGATTAAACAAAAGCAATAATAATGGATTGTGGGGTTTATAACATGTCTAAAACCAAATTACATGACAACACCAGCATAATGGCCAGAAGGGGAGGTAGAATGTCACTAGATGGCACTGATAAAGATGTATTCTGGAAACCCTAAAGCCATCACTGAAAAAGCAAAAGCAGAAAAGAAGTCGGAGATGCGGTGGACAAGAAGAAAGAAAGAGTTATAGCTAATAAGCCAACAAAGGGAAGAAGAACATGGAATGATATAAAAACCATGTAATCACTGTGCTGGAGCAACTGCTCTCCAGGCCTCTACCCTATAGAAATACACTAGTGGCCAATGAGAAGTGTACAAGAATGATGACTGCAGCATTGTTTGTAATCATAAAATAATAGAGCCAATGTACTTTCAAAGATATATGAAAAGGGTTTTATTTATTTAACAAACACAAACAATTGTACAAACAAGGGAAGCAAGTCCTTTCGCCAAAAGGAACACAGAGGGTCATGATGATGCTACTCCTCCAGGGATTTCAGGGTTCCCAGACACCCAGTTTTCTGTCTAGTTCTTCTGGAAGATGTTATTCTTGGGGAGTTATAGGTCCTCGCGTTTGGAGCTCTTTCATGTTCTCTCTGAATTTTCCCCTCAGTTCCTCCCCATTCTGCTTCAACAACAACAACAACAACAAAAAACAATTCTCACCTCCAGAAGATCCAGCCTGTGCCTCTGCACGAGCCTTTCAGGAGGTCTGGATGTGTGTTCCACCGCTCCCCGGCTTCTTTCCCCGCTTTTGCTTTTCCCTTCCCTCCTGCCCTCCCGCCCCAGGACCCTACCACTGCTCAGCTGAGCCCCCGCGGCTCCACCGCGCAGAAGGTGCACTGGAGGCCCTGCCCGTTGCCCTCCCCGGGGGATGCCTAGAAATCAACGTGAATAAACGCTTTGAAAAAAGAACTTCCCCATGGAAAAATCTCATGATTTCTATTCTTGGGATTCTTCAAGGGACTAAAAGCTAAAGGCGACGATGGCCCCGGGAGGTCGAGGCTGCAGTGAGCCGTGTTTGCACCACTGCACTCCAGCCTGGGTGACCTAGCGAGACCCTGTCTCAAAAACAAATCAAAACTTCCCCATGGTAAAATATTTCATGATTTCCATTTTCGGGGCTCTTCAAAGGACTAAAAGCTGAAGGTGACGATGGATTAATTCAACAAGTCCTAGTCGTGCGCGCTGGTGAGTGCCAGACCCTGCTCTCCGCGAGGGGACCCACGAGCCACCCTCACCACCATCCCTGCCCTGGTGGAGCCCCCGTGCGGGACACAGGATCCGAAGATGGCAGCGGAAGTTCCGCAGCGGCCTCAAAAGTGACTGGGCAGGGTGGGCACAGGCTGCCTCACTGGGTCAAGGCGGCACAAAGAACCATCGCGGGAGCCCACCGGGCGTTCAGCTTCCCTTGGGCCCCCAGGCGGCTCAGGTCCGGGTCGGGGCCGGGTGTTTCCGGGGGCTTCTGCTGCAGGTGAGGGGCAAGGTCGTCCTGGTTCCAGAATCTCCCAACCTGCGGGTCTCCAATGAGACCAACACGATTCACCCCTCTCATCGCTCCAGTTTTCCAAGGCCTTTCACAGTTGTACTGCCGGGTGGGCTCTGAGGATGGGAGGGTTGGGGAGTGTTTGGTGAGTGCACCCTTCCTATAGCGCCCAGAAGAAGGTACACTACGTGTCTCTGTGGCACAATCGGTTAGCGCGTTTGGCTGTTAATCTAAAGTTTGGTGGTTAGAGCCCACTGAGGGACGCCTGCTCCAGGTGTTTTGTTTTGTTTTGTTTTGTTTTGTTTTTCTTCTTCCCTGAGACACAGTCTTGCTCTTTCGCCAGGCTGGAGTGCAGTGGAGCGATCTTGGCTCACTGCAACCTCGGCCTCCCGGGTTCAAGGGATTCCCCTGCCTCAGCCTCTGGAGTAGCTGGGAATACAGGCGCGCGCCACCCCGCCCAGCTAATGTTTTGTGTTTTAGTAGAAACAGAGGTTTCACCTTGTTGACCAGGAAGGTCTGGATCAGCTGACCTCGTGGTCCGTCCGCCTCGGCCTCCCGAAGTGCTGGGATTACAGGTGTGAGCCACCGCGCCCGGCCGCCTGTTCCAGCTTTTAAAGCGTTCATGCATTATCGATCACTAGATAAACGGGGGAGATTATATCTTCCCAGAGTCCTAAGCCACTCGGGTTGTGTCTCTGTGGCACAATTAGTTGTCGCATCCGAAAGGCCTAGCTAACTTTTGTATTTTTTGTAGAGAAAGGGTTTCATTATGTTGCCCATGGTGGTCCCCAAACTCCTGGGCTCGGGCACCTCCGAGGTCTCCCAAAGTGCTAGGATTACAGGCATGAGCCACTGCACCGGGCCTTATACAATGCTTCTAATTTCAGCACATTTAGCAAACTTATCTTCTGTGGGAAAGGTACCAAATCACATTCCAGTTTATTTCTCAACTCTAATAATGTCTCTTTCTTCATTTACTTGCTGACACAACAAATTTTCTCCCCTCCCCTACTTTTTGTTTTGAGACTAGGTGTCACTCTGTCACCCAAGATGGAGTGCAGTGGCGTGATCTCAGCTCACTGCAAACTCACCGCCCCTGCCACTCTGGCACTAGTGATCCTCCGGAAGAGCTGGAACCACAGGTGTGCACCATCAAATCCAACTTTTTTTTTAGAGATGGGGTCTTGCTCTGTTGCCCAGGTTGCCCCCAGGAGCTCCAACTTCTGGGCTCAAGAGATTTGCCTGCCTTGGCCTCCCAAAGTGCTGGGATTTCAGGTGTGAACCACTGCACCTGGCCTAACAAACTTTCTATACATGTGCCCATGATATTCTTTTCTTTCCTTTTTTTTTTTTTTTTTTTTGAGACACAATCTTGCTCTGTCGCCCAGGCTGGAGTGCAGTGGAGTGATCTCAGCTTACAAGCCTGCACCACCACGCCCGGCTAATTTTTGTATTTTTAGTAGAGACAAGGTTTCATCTTGTTGGCCAGGCTGGTCTCAAACTCCTGAACAGCCTCCCAACGTGCTGGTATTACAGTCATGAGCCACCATGCCCGGCCATGTGCCAATGATATTCTAATATGGGGACAAGTGCCTTTCCGGTTTAAGTAAGGGGGAGGTAAAACAGAAGGACATGGTGGACATTACACACGGATATTCAGTTGCATAGGATGGACAGCTAAACTTCTAAGACATGTTATTTTATTTTTTGAGATAGAGTCTTACTCTGTTACCCAGGTTGCAGTGCAGTGGCATGATCATAGTTCACTGTAAGCCTCAGCCTCCTGGGCTCAAGTGATCCTCCTGCCTCAGTCTCCCAAAGTGCCGGGATTACCAGCCTGAACCACTGCACCTGGCCGAGATATTTTAAAGTCCTCCAACATCTGTAATTGTTTCTTTTTATTTTATTATACATAATAAAATATATACATATTTTATTAAAATTATATGATAATAAATATATACAATTATATATTATGTATAATAAAATATAGTATATATTTTATTATATATGTTTATTTAAAAATATATATGTATTCTTTAGAGATGAGGTCTCACTATGTTGCCCAGGCTGGTCTCGAACTCCTGAGCTCAAGTGATACTCCCATCTTGGCCTCCCAGAGTGCTGGGATTATATGTGTGAGCCACCGTGCCTGGCCCTGTTTCTTTTTCAAACTTAATTTATTTTAGAGACATGGTCTTACTCTGTCATCCAGGCTGGAGTGCAGTGGTGTAATCATGGTTCACTGCAGCCTGAACCTTCCCAGGCTCAGGTGATCCTCCCACCTCAGCCTCCTGAGTAGCTGGGACTACTAGCATACACCACCATTCCTGGCTAAATTTTGTATTTTTTGTACAGACAGAGTTACATCATGTTGCCCAGGCTACTCTCCAACTTGCGAGCTCAAGTGATCCGCCCACTCCGCCTCCCAAAGTGTCGATATTACAGGCATGAGCCACTGTGCCCAGCCTGTAATTGTTTGCTGTGGTGACCAAGTCACACTGGTCCGGAGAAGACAGGTCATAGTGACCTCTTTGATAGCTTTCTGCCAAGTTGCTTATCCAAAGGGAGCAAAATCACAATGGTCCCAGTCATTTTTTTCTCCTCCCCTTTCCTCTTTTCTTTATAAATGTTGATTTTACTTTTATTTGATGAACACAATCTAATGCCAGTTCCTCTTCTATATTGATGGAGAATGAGCATGCAGACAAGTGTCTCTGTATTATTCCTCGACTGATTTCTTTCAGAGGCTATGTCCATAAAAATTAATCCATCTGACACCCATCATTGGAGCCAACAGAATCCTGCACCTAACAGGCCCCTGGTGCAGACCTGGATCCTTAGAGCCACTGGTTCTTGTTCCCTCAGTTCTTGTTCTCATGAGCAGAAATTGAGCTGTTTTGCTTTTATATACTAAGTATGGTCATTGGGCAAGTCCTTCCTTTCTCTATCTCCCTCTCTCTCTTTCTTGCATCATTGTTTTCTGCCATCAGTGGCATCAGTGTGGGTTTCTGGTTTTGATGTTATGAAGTGAAGTTCTGGGGACAATCTCTGTTGGGTGGTGTTTGACAAGGTGTTTGGTGATACATGACAGCTAATCTAGTCTGTGAGTCTTTTTTGATTGTCTATTCATTGTCCTGAGGATAATGGTATTTCTTGATATTTGAGACTGCAGCAATCAGAAGTTGCTCATATCTTGTCTTTCCAATGTTTGGTAACAATTTTTTGGGCCCGATAGCTGTCAATATCTGCAAGAGCGGCATCTCTATTATAAGGACGATCTTACTACTCAATGCCCCACCCACTCCCGCCACCTAACTTCATTCCATAGGAGCTCTTGGCTTTAACAAATTACTATACCTGAAAGAAATCTTAGTACATAAAGAAAACTAAGTCTGTGGCAGGTAAGGAGCAGTTTTCTTTGATTCGTATACTCAGGTTTCTAGTAGCTAAAAACCTCTAACCAGCTGAAACACATGTCCTTTAAGGATTAAGTTTAAATCACACTACAGAAAGGGGAAAAGAGATTTATATGATCACAGATAAGCAATGGAGTCAGCAACATAAGCACTTCTCACAACTATACAAATCAAAAATTTTTTTTGCTTAAGACAGAGTCGCGCTCTGTCACCAAGGCTGGAATGCAGTGGCACAATCTTGGCTCACTGCAGCCTTGGCCTCCCGGGTTCAAGTGATTCTTGTGCGTCAGCCTCCTGAGTAGCTGGGATTACAGGCGTGTGACACCATGCCTGGCTAATTTTTGTATTTTTAGTAGAGATGGGGTTTGGCCATGTTGGCCAGGCTGGCCTCGAACTCCTGAACTCAAGTGATCTGCCCACCTTGGCCTCCCAAAGTGCTAGGATTACAGGCGTAAGCCACTGCGCCTGGCCACAAATCAAATTTAATAATCTCCAGAACATCAAGGAAGTTCAGCTCTTAATGAAAATGGATGAAAAGAAATGATTTACTCACTTTTATACGCTCGGGAAAGAGAATGCCCTGCCAGACTCAAAAGGGTATCACAGAATCACTCAGATTTTCAGCACTGAGGGTTTTCCAAGGATCTAATGATGTTCCTTTTTTCAGTTTGTTTCGCTCACTGATAAGCCTTGTTAATAAATACCATTGCATCTGTTTTCACTTTAAACGATGTTACTTAACACAATTATTTGCTTTCGAATGCCCCCTAGATTGGTGGAAAGAAATTTTCTGATTTATAAATATATTTTCTTATGAAACCAATTGGCATACTCTTCCAGTGGAGTGAATAGATAAATTAAGTCTCTAAAACTTTAAAGAGATTACTGCCCCAATTATCTTAAGGACAGTAATAATTACGTATATAAAATTAAAATATGGAAATTAAGCAGGGTGTGGTGGCTCACACCTGTAATCTTAGCATTTTAGGCAGCTGAGGAGAGAAGAAGGATTGAAGTCAGGAGTTTGATACCAGCCTGGGAAATATGGTGAGACCCCTGTCTCTACAAATTTAAAAATGAGCTGATTTTAAAAAACTAGCCAGCACAGTGGCTCACATTGGTAGTCCCAGCTGCTTGGGAGGCTGAGGCAGGAGGATCACTTGAGCCCAGGAGATCCAGGCTGCAGTGAACTATAATTGTACCACTGCACTCCAGCCTGGGTGACAGAGTAAGACCTCAACTCAAAATAAAAGAAAATGAAGAATAATTTCTTGACTTTTTTTTTTCCCTGCAATGCCAGGCTGGTTGACTCACACCTGTAATCCCAGAAAATCAGGAGGCTGATGTGGGAGGATTGCTTTAGGCAAGGAGTTGGAGGCCAGCCTGGGCAACAGGGCAAGATGCCATCTCTAAGAAGTTAAAAGGCGGGCTGAGCTGGGAGGACTGCCTGAGCCCAGAGTTCCAGGTTGGTCAGCTGTGGTTGCACCAGTGCACTCTCACCTGGATGACACAGCAAGACACTGTCTATTACATTTTTTAATTCTACTTATGCTTTAAATGTGATGTTTCATTAGGGAAAAATTTTCTTGTTGAATTTGTAACATGAAAAAATAATAGATTTAGCTGTAGATTAAATTAATGGTATTGGCTGGGCATGGTGGCTCACGCCTGTAATCGTAGCACTTTGGGAGGCCGAGGCAGGTGGATCATCTGAGGTCAGGAGTTCGAGACCAGCCTGGCCAACATGGTGAAACCCCATCTCTACTAAAATACAAAAATAAGCCAGGCATGGTGGCTGGCACCTGTAATCCCAGCTACTTGGGAGGCTGAGGCTTGAGAATCACTTGATCCCTGGAGGTGGAGGTTGCAGTGAGCAGAGATGATGCCACTTCACTTTATGGGTGGCACAGTAAGTGAGAGTGTGTCTCTAAAAAAAAAAAAAAAAAGAAAGAAAAGAGAAGAACTTTTTCATGTGAAGAAAATGAGTGCTTTCAACTTAGCATGCCCAGAGCTAGGCATTAAAATGAGACAGCAACCACATCCTACTTCCTGCTTTCTAAAATCTTTTAAGTTAAAAAAAATTTTTTTTTTATTGTATTGAAATGGAGTCTCACTCTGTTGCCCAGGCTGGAGTGCAGTGGCAGGATCTTGGCCCACTGCAACCTCCTCCAGTCAGGTTCAAGCAATTCTCCTGCCACAGCCTCCCGAGTTGCTGGGACTGAAGTCGCGAACCACGATGCTCCCCTATTTTTTTTTTTTTTTTTTTTTTTGTATTTTTAGTAGAGACAGGGTTTCGTCATGTTGGCCAGGCTGGTCTCAAACTCCTAACCTAAGGTGATCTGCCCAACTTGGCCCACCAAAATGTGAATTATGACCACCACCGGCCACTTCCCCACTTTTGAGCTATGTATTCATCCACTGAAACTGCTTGCTATTGCCACAGTTAGCTATAAAGTAACCTAATCACATGCACTGGACACCATCTCTCATTCCCTGTAGCTGAACAATGTATAGCTAATCCCTAATCAATGTTATTTCTGTAAACCACTGGGAGTTCCTGACAAGCAACTTTCTACCAGCCAACTCCCTGTCTCCCTTTTTGGTCTTTACAAACCTGCTTGTAACAAAGGCCAAACAGAACCCATATGCAAGATTGCTTGGCTCTGAGCCTTCTGGGCAACTATCCTCACACTGGCTCAAACAAACTCTTTAAATCATATTTTGTGCTTAAGCCCCTTCCTTCTAGGTCGATGTTTTTGGCCCTGGGAGCAGGATTCAGAGCAACTTATCTCTGACCATCTGACCGTCCTCTCAAAGGCCTCCAGGGTGGCTACATAGTAGGTAGAATTTGATTGGTGAGATCAGTTTGCAGTCCGGGAAGAGACAGTCTCTGGTGTGTGTCTTTGAAGAAGTGCTTTTTCTTCAGAGAGAGAGAGAGAGAGAGGGCAGGTTGGTTTTTGTGCCTCACAGGGTGTGTATCACACAATAGAGTCATACATATTCAGCAGGTTTGGGGAAACGCCATTTCTGAGGGGTATTGAGCTCATGTGCAACGGGTAAACATATATGTAACATGCACCCCATATTCACATTGGGAAGGGATTTTAGCATTAAAATGAGGTGGAAATTGGCTGTTTATGTCAAAAGGTGAACTACTGGACACGAAGTCGGTTTGTGTGCAGTCCCTGTAACATGGCTGAAACTGGCTTGATATCTGCAGTTGCTTATCGGGAAAGAATGGAAGGCCACTCCTTTGTCCCATCAGAGCTCTAGTGATCTGGGTTGTAAATCCAGTTGAGAAGGGCTGGGAAGATTTTGACAATTTGCTTGCTAGCCCCTATTGTTAAGGAGTTTAGCAACAGTGTGTTTTTTTCTGTAGCCATAGGAATTCAGGACGTTGCCATGCCAGATGAGCCCTGAACCCTGGACCTGTAGCTAACTTTTGTTTCCTTAAACTTACAGTCTGTCTTAGTCTATAAGGGGGCATGTATTTTCATCTCTCAGATCACACCACATTCCTCCTGGACTGGGTGCCTGGCCAGCTCTGAAGCCCTCAAGTTTGGACTCTGAGAGAAAGAGTTGGGCAGTAGTAAGTGGGGAATCCTCCTGAAATCTGGACCTTCCCACTCTTTGGTTGAAGGCCTGGACTTTGCTTGAGTGTCCTTTCCAGCTCTCCCTTTCTAGAATGGAGGTTTTCTGTCTTTACCCTGTGGGTAAGAGGTTTGAGTCTCGGGGGAAATAACTGCCTTTTCCACCTCTGCATCAGGACAGAAAGTTTGGGTCACAGTCAGGCAAAGAGCTCTCCAGAGAGCTTCTGCCTTTCCTGCCTCTGTTCCTCAGCAGGAAGTTCTGGGTCAAGGTATTGGCAGGTAGGCCCTGGTGGTGTCATTTTATGTAGCATGTTGTTTTGAACATTCGGGCTTAGCTTTTCATTTGTGACTAATTCCTGTTAGTTCTTAACTGGAAAGCGCATGGAGGTGCATTCCCCTGCCCTGAAGAAAAGAAGTGATCTGCTTCCGCCAATCCATTCAGGTGCTCCAAGTGATCGGGGATGTTGCAGAGGTGTCGGGGTCATTACTCACCATGTGAAGGTGGCCTCATAGGACACTCCCCATCAGAAGAACATCTTTATGAACCCCCTTTCCTGCTCTTCTGGGAGGGTATATGTCGGACGGGTCCCTCATAGCACATGCACTCTGTGGCCACCTGGTGGTTAGAAACAGTGGGAACCACTGAGACAGCGATACACAACTCCGGTGTTATCTGTAGGAGTGACTTCATAAGCACCACACTGTGACCCAAAACACATCACAGGCCTTGGTCATCTGAAAAGCTCCTGAATTATGGGAAATCAAGCTTCAAAATTTAGCACACTGCGAAGAAACAACCACCTTTAGAAACATCAGCTGGGTTTATGTATAGCACTTATGAAGCGTCCTCTTGTAAATATCCAAGAAACTGGATCCACCTAACCAGGAAAACTGATAAGCAGAATGAAGAAAATGGGGATATTTTGAAATGCTTAAAATAATTTATTAGTGTGCACAATTGGAAAAATTTGGTTTTAGAACCAAATTAAATGGGAGACTTACTTCCAATAATACCTAGAAATTTCTAAAAGAACTGTGAAAATTGCCTCCAGTGAGGAAGTAAGCTGAAGGAGGTAAACTGACACGTTTTCTGAATTGAGAAATATTGAGGAGGCTTTGTCTCTTTCGCCTCCAACTGCTCCTTCTCCTCCTGCCCCTGCACCTGCATAGTCTCCCTTACCTGAGCCCTCCGGTTCTGCCTTGCCTCTTCTTCCATCACCATCACCTGAGGAAAGTCCCCAGGGCTCTGGCCCCTCCCCTGAAACTTCTGTTCTGACAGCCCCTTTCAAGGTAGGGGCTTCCACAGGAAGAAGGGAGCCTACCATTCTGTATACTGCTTCACCAAAATGTGAATTAAGAATATTATAAAAGACTTCCCTGGGCCGGGCGCAGTGGCTCATGCCTGTAATCCCAGCACATTGGGAGGACTAGACAGGTGGATCACGAGGTCGGGAGTTCGAGACCAGCCTGGACAACATGGTGAAACCCGGTCTATACTAAAAATACAAAAATTAGCCGGTCATGGTGATACATGACTGCAATCCCAGCAACTCGGGAGGCTGATGCAGGAGAATCGCTTTAACTCGGGAAGTGGAGTTTGCAGTGAGCCAAGATTGCACCATTGCACTCCAGCCTGGGTGACAGAGCAAGACTTTGTATCAAAATACATAAATAAATAAATAAAAAATAAAAAAGACTTCCCTGATCGAAATTTAAATCAATTTCCCCTTCTAATTCTAAAGCAGCCTCCAAGATCCTATAGGGTTTGGGAGAAAATTTGACTTAATTGTCCAAACTTTTAGCCCGAATATTCTGATTTTTATCAATTAATTCACATGTGGTGTAAGAAGGCAGGGCCACTAAATGGTTGAAAAGGGCGAATTGGAATAATTCTTTAGAGGATTTTTAAAAACAGACTAAAGCAGACAATGAAAGGGTCTGCATTTTGGCCAAATACTTCCATGTTGCCATTCCCCAGGTTGTTCCCAAAAATGTAGATTGGAGAATTCAGCAATGCACTTAAAAGGCCAAGCAAATCTGTCATTGGTATTTTAAGTGGTTAAGATTTATTGATTGATTGATTGAGACAGGGCCTCACTTTGTCACCCAGGCTGGAGTGCAGTGGCTCCATCATGGCCCACCACATCCTCAACCTCTCAGCTCTAGCAATCCTCCCACCTTAGCCTCCCGAGTAGCTGGGACCACAGGTGCATGCCACAATGCCCAGCTAATTCTTTGATTTTTTTTTTTTGTAGAGAGGACATCTTGCTGTGTTTTCCAGGCTGGACCTGAATGAACTTCTGGGCTCAATCAATCCTTCCCCTCAGCCTAACATTTACACTGGGAGCAGAGATGCATTTGGAGTAGGTGATGATTTTGGAATGCTTTAGAAGCAACATAGGTATCTGATTTCATCAGGTCAAGCCATCAAAAATGACCAATAAATCTCTGACCTCTTAGAAGCAATTTGAAGACCCAAATTTTGGCCATCATCAAAATTCGTGTTCATTCAAAATTAGACATTCTGGAGAGCAAGGACAATCATTTTGCTGATGCTGCAGCTAAGAATGCAGCTCTGAAGGTGACATCAGACACAGAACTCCTCGAAATGACCTTGCTGACTTATGACCCATTGAAGACTTCATTAGAAGTACAAGTGGGCTGGGCATGGTGGCTCATGCCTGTAATCCCAGCACTTTGGGAGGCCAAGGCTGGCGGATCACCTGAGGTCAGGAGTTTGAGCCCAGCCTGGCCAACATGGTGAAATCCTGTCTCTATTAAAAATACAAAAATTAGCTGGTGTGGTGACACATGTCTATAATCCCTGCTACTTGGGAGGCAGAGGCATGAGAATTGCTTGAACCTGGGAGGCGGAGGTTGCAGTGAGGTGAGATTGCACCACTGCACTCCAGCCTGGGTGACAGAGCAAGACTCTGGCAAAAAAAAAAAAAGAAGCATAAGTGGGAGCTCCCAAGCAGGAGAGGGATCTCTGGAAGGATAAAGGGAACAAATTTCTTCCAGAAACAGTCATATGGTATGGGCCCAATGATACACTCACTGATCTATCCCTTAGGCTTCAATTACCCTTTTACAGTACTTCATAAGCTGACTCATTGGAATTCAGACAAAATGTTGGCATGGGGAAAGCAATGGTATTGAAAATCATTGCCTATGATTGCAGAAAATGTTTAGTCTTGCCATACTGTCTGTCCCAAACATAATCCTGGAAAACCCCTTCATGGGTCACAGGGACATTTTGCCTTTGGGACCCTTCGAGACACGGCAGTTAGACTTTATCCAGCTGTCTCCATCTCAGGGTCACAGATACTTTCTGGTGCTAATTTGTATATGCTCACTGGGGTGAGCATTTCCATGCCGATGAGCCACAGCCCAAGTAGTAGGTAGATTGTGATTAGAAAAGGTAATTCCTCATGGGGGGTGCCATCTGAACTCCATAGAAACCGAGGAACACACTTCATTGGTCAGGTAATTTGATCCATTTGTAACATTTTTGCCTAAGTCTCAACATTTCCATTGTGCCTGTCACCCCTAATCCTCTGGGCCGATGGAATGCACTAATGATACAATAAAAACTCAATTGGCAAAGCTAACAGAAGTTTTTAACCTTTCTTGGACAAGGATCTCCCACTGGTTGTGGAAAACGTCCACACTCTCCCTCTTTGAAATAATAACAGGAAGACCCTTGCAGTGGTTAGATGAAGGCGCTTATGAATCTGCACTTCTTAAAGGTGACATTCTCCATTACTGCTAAGATCTCACAGAACTTACTAAGAACTCTACATTAACAAAGAATTCCATTCATAATGAACTCCTGGGAGATGAAAATATCAAAAATCTTGGCCTATAACCTGGAGATGTTGTTGTTTACTGGAAACAACATCAAATAAAATATTCTCCCCAAGACTGTTGGAAGGGACCACATCAGCTATTATTATTACTTTATATATTTTTTTGAGATGGGATCTCATTTTATTCCCCAAGCCAGAATGCAGTGGCACAATCATGACTCACTGTAGCCTTGAACCCCTGGGCTCAAGCCACCCTTCTGCCTCAACCTTCCAAATATTTGGGACCACAGGCATAGGCCACTGCACCTAACTGACAACAGGTATTACTGACCAATCTGTGCCAGTAAACATAAGGGCGTTGACACATGGATTCATGTTTCTCTTGTAAAAGGCAACCCTACCAGAGTGGACATCTATCAGTGGAGATTTTCACTTAGAGGTAACTCACAATCTTCCTGACAGAGATGGCAAGTAGCTGACATCTGGTGTAGTCCGCTTTCACCCAAGATACTGGCCTGTATAATCAGTTACAATTCCAGTGCTGACCGTGCCTGAGAGAGTTAGTCTCTTTTTTGCGGACTGGAATACATACACCATTAGGGCTCCTTTAAGTTGTAGGGGTTGTCTCTTGGTGGTTTTGGTAAAATCACCCTATATGCATATTCTCTTAAGATATGACACACTACTCCTCTTGCGTGTATGTGTATATACATATACATACATACATACATAGCAGAATACCTGTGATCAGATTTCTGTTTTACTGTCCCTAATTAATTTGATTACAGCAGGGAGGGATAATTCTCTGATTAGAATCTCACAAACCATTACCTCTGTGGGAAATTTGACAAGGTTCCAGGTTTGCCACTCAAAACCACAAACCACTTTTGACCATAATGACCCATTGGTACATCCTGTGCTAAATTTCACCTGTATTCCTCCTGATTGCACTCACGATGCAACTCAGGGTCATATCAAGCAAAACCTGTTTATCTAATCTGTCTGACTCACCCTAACCTTCCTGCTGCAAGTCTCAGTTTAACCCATCGTAATCGTATTGTCAAAATAATTGCCTGTAATCCCAGCACTTTGGGAGGCCAAGGCAGAAGGATCACTTGAGCACAGGGGTTTGAGACTAGCCTGGGCAAAATGGTGAAACACTGGCTCTATAAAATATATACAAATTAGCTGGGTGTGGTGGTGCCCACCTGTAGTCCCAGCTACTCAGGAGCATGAGGTGAGAGGATGACTTGAGCTAAGGAGTTCAAACCTGCAGCAAACCCTGATGACGCCACTGCACTCCAGCCTGGGCAACAGAATGAGACCCTGTCTCAAAAAATAAATAAATAAGCTGCGTGTGGTGGTGTGTGCCTGTAGTCCCAGCTGCTTGGGAGGATGAGCCATTGAGCCTTGGAGGTCAAGAGGTCAAGGCTGTACTGAGCTGTGATCTTGTCACTGAATTCCAGCCTGGGAGACAGAGTCCTTGTCTTAAAAAGTAATTATAATAAAAATAAAAAGTACAAAACCAACCAAACAAAAAATTGTTTCTTCACTCTGAAATAACAGTGGTTAACACCATGATGCCACTGGAAAGTTAAAAGAAAAACACTCCCTCCTGCTATCAAGATCCAACCTGCCCTCTTGCTCTAAATTTCTGACCCATGGTTTAAATGCCCAAAAGCTGATGTACTCAAGTTATAGCGCACCTACCTGTTTGGCGTTTATTTTTGTCTCTTGAAAAGATCACCATCCATGGCCCTATAAATGTCGAAGGGCATGGAATGATGAAGTGCAATGTCATTATTGTTATGTATCTCTCATCGTTTTACTTCTGGGAAAACTAATTTCATGGTATTCTGAAGAGTAGAGATGATTCAATAAGTGACAGCAGCTGTAGACTTAACTGAGGCCCCTCTCTCTCTCTCTCTTTTTTTTTTTTTTTTTGCCACTCTATGATGCCCTTTTTTTTTTTAAGACCGAGTCTCACTCTGTCACCCAGGCTGGAGTGCAGTGGTGTGATATTAGCTCAGTGCAGCCTCAAACTCCCAGGCTCAAGCAGTCCTCCTACCTCAGCCTCCTGAATAGCTGGGACTAAGGTGTGTGCCACTACACCTGGCTAACTTTGTATTTTTTGTAGAGATGGGGTTTCACCATGTTGCCCAGGCTGGTTTTGAACTCCTGGACTCAGGCAATCCACCTATCTTGGCCTCCTGAAGTGCTGGGACTACAGGTGTGAGCCACCATGCCTGGCTGTAATGCCCTTTCAATTGGACTTTTGGGCATTCTTAAAAATTCCTCAGTGAGGTGGCTTCTTTCCTCCCCTGTCCCCTGCTTGGGACAGGACTATCCGGGAATGAGCCTTTCTGGCAAAGAAGGACACCCTTGACTTAGCTTTTGATCATCGATGCTTTCAAGAAGAAAGATTAAAAAAACTTTTTATCTGAGGAATGTGAGCCCTTTCAAATGATCAGGCCCAGAGAGACGTTAAATCGAGACAGCAACCACTTTCCGCTCCTTCCTTTTGAGCTGCGCTGAGCTATGTATTCATCCGTTGAAACTGCTTGCTATTGCCTTAAGTAGCTGTAAATTAACCTAATAATGCCACACCAATCCCTATACCCCCATACCCTATAACTTAACAACATATAGCCAATCACCAAGCAATGTTATTTCTGTAAACCAATGAGAATTCCTGATAGGCACCTATCAGCCCACTGTCTGTCCCTGCTTTTGAACTTTAAAAACCTGCTTGTGGGCAGGGTGCGGTGGCTCACGCCTGTAATCCCAGCACTTTGGGAGGCCGAGGCAGGCGGATCATGAGGTCAGAAGATCCAGACCATCCTGGCTAACACGGTGAAACCCCGTCTCTATTAAAAAAATACAAAAAAATTAGCTGGGCGTGGTGGCGGGTGCCTGTAATCCCAGCTACTAGGGAGGCTGAGGCAGGAGAATGGCGAGAACCCGGGAGGCGGAGCAGAGTTCGCGCCACTGCACTCCAGCCTGGGCGACAGAGTGAGACTCCGTCTCAAAATAAATAAATAAATAAAAAATAAAAAATAAAAACCTGCTTGTGACAAAGGCCAAAGGGAGCTCAGATCCAAGCTTCCTTGGTGTGAGTCTTCCAGGCAGTTGTCTTCATGTTGACTCAAGTAAACTCTAAATTATATTTTGTGCTTCAGCCTCCTTCTTTTAGGTCAACATGTTCAACAACAGTAGAAGAAATACATAAGTTAATGTATATTCCTACAAAGGAATACACGTAGAACCAAATAACCATATGAATAACATGAAAAATTCATAGACATAGGACTGAGTGAAAGAAGTCAGACCTATGCCTCTGCTTCTGCAACCGCCTTTGCAAAAATTACAACTGGGACAATTACCACAGTGAAAGAGATCTGATCTAACTGATTCCATCTTGCTTCTAACGTACAAGCTGTCCTTGTTGATTGCTGGGCACAGGCCGAAATAACTTTGGGAGGAAATTAGTTTATGGTTTAGCTGTGAAACAAAGATGATAATATCCCTTTCCCAAAGCAAACCCCTTTCCTGCCTGGGGACTAGACTGCCTTTGCCGGACTAACAAATTAGCCACGAGATTAGAAATTATGGTTTAGGAGTCATGTAGCCTCTGGCTGCAAGATTCTAAACCTCCCCAAATTGTTCCTGGAGATCACATCGTTATTGGAAAACCTAAGATCAGTGCTTGAGATATTTTGCCGACCCTGCACTCAGTGGATCAGCTGGCACCAGCTAGACTGATAACCTGGCTCAGCTGGTCTTGTGGCCCCCAAGCAGGAACTGACCCAGCACAAGACCACAGCTTCAGCTCCCTGTGATTTCATCTCCGACCTGGCCAAGCAGAACTCTCAATTCACCGGCCCCCAATCACCAAATAAAGAGTGCAGCTCTTTATTGCAATTCCCCTGTGTCGAAAAATTGGCTCTGTCTAGGCAGCAGGCAGGGTGTACCTGTTGGGCAGTAACACTCCCCCCAAAACCCACTACAGACTGTGACTCAGCTTATATGAAAGTAAAGGGCAGGAAAAACTTGCCTGATAGATTTGCAGAGACGGGGGTGGAAACCATTAATAAGTCTGTGGAGTATTCTCAGAGTTTGGTGTTGTAGTCTACATATTAAAAGTAATCAGTTAAACACCTGAAATAAAACTTCTCCCAAATATTTTTGCCAAATTTGGATGACTGTGTTTCTGTCTTCGCAGCATATAAAGTGTTAACATGAGGTAAGCGCTAAGGTCTAGAGAAGGCAGTGAAGAGATGACAAACTCCAGCACCATGCCTGAATGTCCAGTGTGCTCTGCTGGGGCAGCACATTTTTGTACATTGCTGTATCTGAAAAAAACCCTACAAGATTCATGAAACTGGACGACCGTCTTTATAATACTCCTAGTGATAAAACAAGTAAGGATGGCTGGTTTGCAGTCATCTGAGCAGCCTCTCTAGTTTCATAGATACGGTTTCTCTCTGATATTGAACGACTTCCAAATGTCAAGCGAAATGCTACATCACAAGGATAACCGTATGTGAAAAGAACCGTTTTTCTTTGTAATCCTAAACTTTCTAGTCTGAGCTTTAAAAGCCATTATTTGAAGAAAAGCGCACAGGCTCCAGCTGGCCGCCAAAGGGGTCCTTTGCATCACAGGCTAAGAACCTACTTCTTTGGGAGAGACCAGGGACGGGGATGGGAGGGAAAGGAGGTAGAGTCAGGTGTCACTTCCTCCGCCCGCTCCCACAGCTGGTTGGTCGGCCGAGTGGCAGAGGGTGGGGCGGAAGAGCAGACGGGGACGGGAAAGGCGCTGTCGGTGACATCACAGATAGGGCGATTCCTATGCAGAGGAGGCAGCTCAGGGGCTGCTGCTTCACCACGAAAGATTTCTCGTGCTGTGGGAGCTAGTCCAGGACCTCCGGTTGGACGTGATAGTCCCAGCTGTGTGTCAGGGCTAGGAAGACTTGAGGCGGCATGGGGGCGGGGTGGGGGAATGCGCGGGCCAAGTGACCATGCGTGTAAGGGGTGAGGCGTATGGAGCTGTGGCAGGGCGGAGGGGCGTTCATTCATACTTACGTAACAGGAGAAAATACGGCCATGAAGTTGGTGTTTCTCGGGGGCGATTTCTCCATTGTACTCAGTATGTGCTGACTGACTCCTGTTACTTCCACATGTGGGGAAACTGGACTGTAATTTGTGGTGGTGGGGAATTGCGTTCGCGCTTTCTTCTGGAGGTTGTAGTGCAAAAAGCAGTTTGTCTACCAAGTGATACTTTCAGCTTTTACAAATGCTGAACAATATCCATGGTGTGTTTTCATGTCACCTCCTCTCCCTTCTTTGTTAGAAAAAAATGGAAGAGCACGTGGATGTTTTGAGATGAGAAGAGGTGCGTTCACCACCTTCACATCCGTGTAGGCTTGTTATTAAGGGAAAGGGAACAAAGGAGTCTCACTTATGTAAGATGACCTTACATGAGAAGAAGAAATTCGAGTTGGTGAAAAGAAAGAAATTCAATTTCAGCCGGGCGCGGTGGTTGACACCTGTAATTCCAGCACTTTGGGAGGCCGAGGCAGGCGGATCACGAGGTCAGGAGATCAAGACCATCGTGGCTAACACGGTGAAACCCCGTCTCTACTAAAAAATACAAAAAAATTAGTTAGGTGTCGTGGCGGGTGCCTGTAGTCCCAGTTACTCGGGAAGCTGAGGCAGGAGAATGGCGTGAACCTTGGAGGCGGAGGTTGCAGTGAGCCGAGATCGCACCACTGCACTCTAGCCTGGGGGACAGAGCGAGACTCCGTCTCAAAAAAAAAAAAAAAAAAAAAAAAGAATTCAATTTCAACAGTCTAATATCCTGGCATGCAAGAGAGAAATTCTAAGACTGTCTCAACTGTAGAAATGTTCAGGGGGAAAAAAAAATAGATGATTATTTATTCTGGTTCATTCATTGTCTCGTTGAGTTTGTCAGATGCCAGGTGAGGTGCCTTACATGTGTTCATAACCTCAAGACATAAAAGGGAAGGAATTTTAGAATGATTCAATGATATCACTGTTTTGCCTAATAAGCAAATAATTCAGTAAGAGACACTTATTAACAAATCTAAGAATAAAGTTTCCTTTTTAATCACAAAATTGCCTTTCTTCACATTATCTTTCTTTACATTCTTTGACAAAGTACCCCAACCCATCAATATTGTCTGTCTTATCCAAACTGAAGGATGATAATCCAGATTTAAGAAAATATCTATCAAAATAATGACAACATTGAGCATGTACTCAGTATCTGCTGGGTATAGGGCACAACAAATATCTCTCGAGTTAGTACCAGGCCCTGTGCTGAGGCCTCCACTCCTCTCTAGCTCATGTGCACTGAGCAGCGAGTGCCACTGGCTCCTTGAAAGCTGCTCAGGCACCACCGTTTTTAATTCCCATGAGAGGTGCTGTGTGCACCCCAGTGGACAGATGAGGGAATGGAGAGCAGGTGGATACCCTTGGGTAGAGAGCCACACACGGTTGGATCCAGCTCTAGAAGGACTGACCCCTTCTCTACCCGACTCGAGAAAGCCCACTGTCAATGATCTCGACCTCTACTTTATGTCTCCTATTTCTGGAACGGAAATGACCTCATGCATATTTCAAATTCTCCAGCTTTTCCTTGCCTTTCCTCCATCTTGTCAGTACTCAAATAGGAAAATGATATATACATATATGTTGATCATGTACACTTAATTTCCTAGTTGTAATTAAGTATAAATTTCAGGCAAAATGCTAACTTGAATATATTTTTATGTTAAAACTTTTCCATATTTCATTCACTTATCATTAAGAAAGCAAAACCTTTGCACAAAATATTGTGCTAGCCTTTGCCAGGAGACAGAAATGAGGAGTCATGGGCTGTGTTCTTCAGGAGTGTTGAGTTCTCCCGAGAGTGTGAGAATACACAGGTAAGCCCAATAGAAAGCAAAAGTCAGGGCCGGGCATGGTGGCTTATGCCTGTATTCCCAACACTTTAGGAGGCCGAGGTGGGCAGATAACTTGAGGTCAGGAGTTCGAGACCAGCATGGCCAACATGGTGAAACCCCATCTCTACTAAACACACACACACACACACACACACACACACACACACACAAATTAGCTGGGTGTGGTGGGATATACTTATAATCCCAGCTACTTGGGAGGCTGAGGGAGGAGAATCACTTGAACCAAGGAGGCAAGGGTTGCAGGAGGCAGTGATTGTGCCACTGCACTCCAGCCTGGGTGACAGAGCAAGACTCTTGTCTCAAACAAGCACACAAACCAAAAGCAAAAGTCAGATGACTAAGGCAGTGATGATTGCCACATCCTGTGCAGGGCAGCCTCTGGGATTTGTCTCAAAACACACTCGATCTAGTTCTTGACACCCATTGAGATGGATGCTAGGCTATAGGCAGTTACATAAGATCTTCGAGCCTCAGTTTCCTTATCTCTGAAGTGAGAAAAGTAATATTGATATTGTTAAAAAGGCATGAGATTTAGATATAAGTAAAATACTTGTATTTTACTTAGTACCTACTTAATCTTCATGAGTGAGTCAAAGAAAGCAAGTAGAATTAGGCAGGGTTGTGCGGATGGGGAGAGGCAAGCTGTGCTAAAGACAGGGGAAATGAGCAGATAGAATGCAGGGCTAAACACAGATACCTACAACCTGCAGCAGAGGCAACTTACTGAGCTTAACATAGAGAATACAAGTCACTTTAAAATGTACAGCTCTATGTTACTTTTCACCCCACAATAAAATCGGTCCTTACCTAGAAAAAAGTAAAGATAAAAATGAAAGAAAAGAGGAGTGGGGGAAGTAACATACATGTGTACACATTCAGACCTTTGGCATGCTTACATCAGAGAAAGAACACTTTTGCAAGTTTTCTTGGCACAACGAATGGTAATAATTTTTAAGTCTATTGTGTCTGTCCTCTATTCATATATTCTGAAACTGCTGACCTCTCATTGACAACAGTATGCCTCTTTTTCTAAGATTAGAAATTTTAAAATGTAATTGCTGATAATAAACAATGGACATTATGCTAAGCGAAGTGAGCCAGTCAAAAAAATAAACAAACAAACAAACAAATAAATACTACATGATTCAACTCATTTTAGGTTGGTGCGAAGTTATTGTGGTTTTTGCCATTAAAAGTAATATAAAGTACCTGGAATAGTCAAATGTATAGCAAGAGAAAATAGAATGGTGCTTGCCAGGGGCTGGAGGGAAGGAGAAATGGGGTTGTTGTTCAGTGGGTGCAGGGTTTGAATTTTGCAAGATGAAAGGGTTCTGTGGCTGGATGGTGGTCATGGCTTCACAGCACTGTCAACGTGCATGATGCCACTGACCTGCGCACATCTTAAGTGGTTAATGATCAATTTTATGTCATATGTATTTTTTCACATTTGAAAACACTTTTAAAAACCATTCTTGTTAGTATTTAAAGAACTGCAAGATAAAAAAGAGACATTTTTAAAGTATGAAGTCGTGTGCACAGGTTCATCGTCTAGGTGTGTACTCATGAAAACAAATCTCTTGTGTTGCAGATAGCGCTCGTTAAGGTTGATTTCTGCATATCAGTGAGAGTTCAGTGATCTTACATTCAACATAAATATGACAACTTTACAAACATCCCCCCTTTCATCCACTGAGTGAGTTTATCAGGAAAACCCAACAAAATCCTTCCAGGCCTCCCTGGGGGAAGGTACACAGTCCCCTGCTCTGGAGGAGGATATGGAGGCAGACATGGAGGCTCACGCTGGTTAAGGGAGTTTTCCAAAGTCACCAGCAGCAAGGAACCTTCTGAAACTGCTGACAAGTCCGTGCTTTTCCCACGTCCACTTACATTATTTAGGCAAGACCCACTTGGGAATCTATTTTTTCAAGGCATGATCAGGACTAGGTTCAGGATGGTAGAGCAGGGCTGTTTTTGAAAGGCGGTCTCTTTCTCTTTGCACCAAGCTTTCCGTAAGTGTGTGGGTGACCCTCCCAACTTCCTCCTCTCTCCCACAACCACGGCCCTCGCTGCTTCTCTCAGCTTCTCTCCCCGACACCTGGACACTCCTCTTGGCTACCTGGGGGCTGGCATTGTGGGAGGCAGCCGACGCCAGTGGGTGCTGCTGGGATCCCTGCCCACACCCAGCAGTTGCCTGGAGATGGAGGTATGCCAGGTATGTGGGCCAACAGCTGCAGAGTTGCCACTGACAGGCCGGAGGAGGATTCTTTGTCAGTGACCGCACCAGCCCGAGCCCCTGCCAGCTGTCCCACTCAGTATGCCCTGGCTTCCAGGGCCCCAGCCAAGGAAGGGTGTGGACATGAGATACAGTGGTGGCCACAAGGCAGGGGTCAAGGGGAAGGCAGGCTGATACTAGCAACAGAGTAAATGACACTTCAGAAGCGTCCTCTCTTACAAACAAGAGCAACTGTGTGTGTCCCAGTGAGTATGGGAAGCTCAGTCTCCTAACATCATTCAAGGGTCTCCAAGTGACTGTGCATACAGTTTTAAAAATATCACCGAACTTGTTTTTCTTACCCCAGCCATTTTTTATAACTATATCTAGGGAATGGGTTGGTTGACTCTAAAGAGCAAGGAACTAAAGAAAAGATAAACATGGAAACTTCAGGTTTTCCAGAATCTTGCATATTTCCCTCCTGTTTCCCTATTATAATTTACATTTAAAATGGAGAGATATGCAGTTTAAGCCAAATGTTTTGAGTCATGAAAACAAGTGAAACTCTTTTGCCTGTTCATGATAAACCTTCAGATTTGGTGACTTCTTTCCACCAAGGCAAGATAGGTTTCACTGGGGGGAACTGAACTGGTGTGGTGTTTTCTGCCTTCAGCCATCTGTGTGTACACTGTGACAATATGGTTCTGTGCTGGATGAGACGCCTACTATTTTTTCATCTCACTAAAGAGCCTCAAGTTTCTCAGCTACAACCTGGAGGAAGTGTCTGAAAGCTGATTTTCTGATGCCCAGCCCCAGGACTCCTTTTCCACTGCACAATATCAGACCTGCTTTTCTCTAAATCAGAATTAGGCACGCCACTCCAGATGAAAGAGCCCTGTCGTTGAAATGCCTTTCTTTGGCCCACACTAAGTATACTTTCTGCTCCCGTTTGAACTCAAATATCATGTATATTTTAACAGCTGCTGCTCTCTAAGCAAACTGATTCACATAGAAAATCCAGGATTGTGACTACTTATTTTTTCCTCTCTACACATGAAACAGATTCCCTGGAAACACAGTTATCTTAAGTAGCTGGAATTGTCTAACTTCGGTTACTTTATTATTTACAAATCAGCCAGGTGAGAACAAGAAAGTGAAAAGCAGGAAACAAGATAGGCAGAGAAACAAAGGGCTCGATCGCAAGAGCAGCAAGATGCCTGAGCAGATCCACAGGGTTCTCAGGGCTGCAGCAAAAATCAAAGAACAGTCGTGGTCTCAGGGCTCGCCATAGATCAGACCACGGCTTCCAACCATGCCACAGGCTGTCTGTGTGTTCCCTGCACACCATTCATTTTTGTCCTTCTATTTTAATGATCTGAAACCAAGTTTGGGCCATGTGTAGACAGGCCATTCGGAGGAGGCTTCGGGAAGGAGGGCGCATCTGAGACTAGTTGTAAAAGATGAGGAGGATTTCCACAATCGCTCAAAGGAAAGGGGCATTTCAGAAAGAGAGAAGAGCACGTTCACGTGAGCCCAGATAGGAGCACGGGGCACACGCATGAAACTTCCTGATGCTGGAGTTCACGCGCACGGTGGACGCAGGCTTGGCAGCCCGCAAGGCAGAAGGGGAGGTGGTGCGGGAACCGTGGCTGCTCTAACAAACTTGAGCTCCATTCTGCAGGCTCAAGGAGACATGGAGTAAGAGGAAGGACTCCTTGGGTGCATTGTTCATGGGAGGACAAATTAGAAAGGGGATTATCTCATGGCAGGCAGCCACTTCCAAGTAGGGAAGTTGGAGAACTTGTTGTCAGGTGGAAGAAAAGAGAAGACCCTTGAAAAGTCATCCAGGAATGGTTGTGCACAAACATGGAGTGTGTTCCTCATGCCGTAATTCTGATCCAGGTCCTTGACTTAACTGCATTGCCATTAAGCTTGTGAAAGGAGGGGAAAGCCGGTACCAGACATTGGTTATATGTCCAATATCTGTTTGACTCTTTGTTAGAGGTATTACCTAAGTTATCTTACAATACTCTAAAAGCAATTCTACAAAGCCCATTGCTATTTTACAGAAATGAAATCTGAAAATGAAGAGGGTCAAGTAAACTAAGAAGTCTACGCATAACTAAGAAGTGGGGCTGCCTGACCCCAATCCTGCACTCTTGGCTCTTTATGACTTCACTTGTGAGCGTACTGAACTCAAAGTGTTCTGGACGTCTCCAGGTAGAGGGCTCTAGGAGGCAGCTGAGTACGTGAGTCTGGAACTTAGGAGAGTTCCAAGCAGGGCTGTGGGTGTGGGATGGGGTGCATGGGAAGGAGGTTGTCAAAGCAAAGCAATGCGCAGCTGCTTAGGGAGGGGGCACAGGAGAGTGGCCTGGCCCTTCTTAGATCATTGTCAACTCAACTTGTCTAAATGGCTTTTATGACCTCAGTTATCACCTGTATTAATTCTGGCCTACGGTATTTTGCAGCTCTTCGGGAAATAGTGATCCTTTGTTTCTGACAAAGTTCTTCTTAAAGGGTTTATTGTCTTATTTACTAGGAATCATGGGGAATAGAGTGTTACACAATGTAATTTTTTCCCTAACAAATAAAGCTTATTTTTATAAATTCCAGGGCTTTTAATATGAATCATACTTAACTATTTTTCTATATTTTATTACATTGTTTGCTTCCTCCCTAAAGACAGTATATTTTCGTATTTTCACAGAAAAATGAGAAGCCCTCATTATGAACATACCTGATTAAATTGAGCATTTCCAAGTGATGACCACATCATTGCTCAAGTGTTATGAGGCCACAGGATGAACTACTGCCCCCCGAATGATGCTAGAATGCTATGCCTTTATTTATTTCATTGGACAACTCATTCAACATATATTTATCAAGTGACTCCTATAAGAGTAACTAAAATAGAATTTCCTGCTTTTGTAGACCTTACACTATAGTTGATTCCATAGTGTCTAGTGTTTCATGAAATTATACAAAATGTCACTAAATCTAAAATGCCATTGGTAATGACATACACTTTTTAATGCACTAATATTAAATAATGCTGAAATTAAGTTATGCTTATCTAATGTAAGATACATTGCAGTTTCAGATACTAAAATTTGAACAAGTAGACAAACGTTTCTCTTGAAATCAGTGAAATCTCTATCTAAATCCCTTAGAATAGGGTTAGCACATAGTATTCCAGGAAAGCAAAGCACTAATTATTATTGTTGTATTGTACCCAGATTATGTTACTATTTAAGTTTCTACTTTATGTAAAGCACTTTTTCATATGGATATTCTTTATCCTAACAATAGTCCATTTGTTACACCAGAAGTAACACCAGATACTTCTGAATAATAATGGCAGTTAAATCTGTGGTTTTGTGGAATTTTGCTTATATACGTCACTGTTGATTCAAACAATATAGCAGCTCTAAGAACATCTGTGCTTCCAGCCTCTGCATTTTAACCATGAGAGCGTCATTTCTCTCCATGATGCTTAAATTAAAAATCTAAATATTTGGTAAATTTTACGCTTTTCTAGAATATGTTTTGTTAATATTATATTCTAGTAAAAACAAAAAATGTTCTTAGCCTGAGAAAGATTTTACAGAAAAGCTTTAGTAAACATTACAATTCATAATGTACCTGTACTACACTAAATGTATAATGTACTTATACTAAAGAGTGAACTATATTATCTTTGAGTTTAGGAATAAGATGAGTAAATATGTAAATGTAATAATGAGAAACTATTAAAATGCAGTAGTTTCATTCAATATGATTATTTAAATAGAAAATCCAAAAATTTGTACATGAATTAAATTAATAAACAAATTCAATGAGTTTACTAGATACAAAATTCATTGTCCAAAGGAATTGTATTTCTTTACACCAGCAATAATGTTAAAAATAATAATTTATAAGATTAACTTCATATTTCATGAAAAGTGTAAAATTTAAGAATAAATTTAAAAATAGTGTACGAAGTCTTTATATACAATAATATAAAACTTTTGTACAATAATAACATCAAAATGAGGGGTGATATGTACTACGTTCATAGGCTAAATGTCTCACTTTTATAATAATGTTAATTCTCAAACATATTTATATTATGCTTGAGTTTGACAAAATTATATATGTTTGACAAAATTCCAATAAATTCCCAATATATTTTGTGGAACTTATAAACTACACAATAAAGGCCAAAACAGTCCTTAAGAAAAACAAGTTGAGAAGACTTGACATATCATGAATGATTTGAAATTTACAAGTTTCAGAATTTTTCCCATTGTAATATAAGCATGTAATACTATCACATTTCCCCAAATGGCTACTTTAAGTGCATCCTACAAATTGTGATATATTCTGTTTTTGTTTTCATCTTCGTTCTCTTTGAAATACTTTCTAAGTTCATCTGTGACTTCCTCCTTGACTCAGGAATTTTTAGAAGTGTGTTGTTTCATTTCAGAACATTTGGAAATTATTTATTTCTAGTTTCATTTAGTTGTGCTTAGAGATCATACTGTGTATGATTTCTATTCTTTTTAATGTACTGAGACATGTTTATATAGCCCAGATTATCATCAATTTTAGTGAATGTTTTAAATGTGCAGTTGCTAACAATGTCGTTTATATTGCTGTTTAGTGGACTGTTTTAGAAAAGTCAATCAGGTAAATCTGATTAAGAGTATTGTTTTTCTTCTATCCTTTTGCTGGTTTCTTATCTCATTCTATTAGTTACTGGAAAAAATGGGTTAGAATCTACAATCTCCAACAATAACGGGATATATCCATTTCTTTTTTCTGTTGTATATTTCTTCTTTGTATATTTTAAAGCTCTATTGTTGGGCAATATTTGGTATTGTTGTGTCTTCTTGTTGAATTGACCCTTCTAACGTCATGAAATGTTATGCAATTCTGGTAACATTTCTTATTGTAAAACTTACTATTTCTGTCCAAATCTATGCCCTGTCCCTTTATAAAATAATGATGATAACAAATAATACATAATATTTATTGTTTTTTTATCTCCCATTTTTAAAAATTCTGGGGGTTTAGATTATTTGAATTTATATAATTATTGATAAAACTAAAATCAAATCCACCATCTTTCTATTTGTTTTCTACTTGTTCCATCTTGCTTCTTAATTTTATTTTTATTTTTTAAATTTTTATTTCATCTAGAGTTTACAATACACATCTTTAACTTATCACAGCTCTATGTAGAGTATAAAGAATGTACAGCAGGAGAAGTCAGTTTTTCTCTTCTGTCTTTGCACTACCGTTACCATACATTTTACTTCAAATGCATACATTTAACATGTGCCACAAATCCTATAACACTTTATTGTTTTTGCTTTAAATAATCAATTATCTTTTAAGGAGAAAAAACAAAAAATTTTTACATAATTTTTATATATTTCTGGGACTCTTAATTTCTTTTTTTATAGATCAAATTTTCCTTCTGGTATTATATTTCTTTTACTAAAGAAATTTTCTTTAACACTTATGTAGTGCAAATGTGCTAATAATGAATCAGCTCAGTATTTGTTCTGAAAAGTCTTTTTCTTTTTGGAAGACATTTTTGCTGGTTAAAGACTTCTAGGTTGGCAAAAATGTTTTTAAGTACTTTAAAGAACAGCTCTATAGTTCCTGGCCATTTTTTTCTTACTTACATAGATTCCGATGAGGAGTCTGCAGTATTCTTGATTGTATGTAGTGGGTTTTCCCCTCATGAGCTGTTCTGCCCCTCTCTCTCGGTTCTCTTCTTCTGGCACTCCAATTACATATACAGTCAACTCCTTGACGCTTTCCCAAGTGCAGTGCTGGAGACTGAAGATTTAACTGCAGTGAGCTTGGACTGTGAGGATTGAAGAAGAGCCAAAAACTGACAGACAGTTAGTAATCATTGCAGATGTTTGCTGAACAATTGCAAGGTAGCAAGCACTATTCTACTTTTCACCTGTATAATTCTGACTTATCCTCAAGATTTATCTTGAAATTTTCCAGAAAGCCTTCCTATACCATCCTTTCTCACCCTAACCTCTACCTCACCTCTCACACTAGGTTAGGTAGCCCTCTTTTTTAGTTTTACTGCACACTGGGTTTCCAGTGTTTTTAAATCTACTACTCTTTATTCTATTAGATCTTTTTATTTTTAATCTCCATGGCTAGGCTGTGAATTCCATGAGGGCAAAGACTATGACTATTGTCTTGTGTCATAGTCAAATGACCTCTCCTTTGCCCAGGGTGTGTTATATTCTCAATGTGTATTTCATGAAAGAATGGATGAATAAATGGTGTCTCCCACTAGACTGTGAGTTCCTCAGAGGCAGAAATTACACTTTTCCCATGTTTTCGTGACCCTGGTTCAATATATATGATTGATGAAAAAGAGCGTTTCAGCAATTACAGTTTTTGTTTGTTCGGTTTTTGTTTTTTGTTGTTTTGAGACAGGGTCTCGCTCTGTCTCCCAGGCTGGAGTGTAGTGGCACTATCTCAGCTCACTGCAACCTCTGCCTCCTGGATTCAAGTGATTCTTGTGTCTCAGCCTCTCAAGTAGCTGGGATTACAGACGCAAGCCACCATGCCTGGCTAATTTTTGTATTTTCAGTAGAGATGGGGTTTCGCCGTGTTGGCCAGGCTGGTCTCTGACTCCTGACCTCAAGTGATCTGCCCTCCTTGGTCTCCCAAAGTTCTGGGATTACACTAAACTCATGGGAGGCAGAGAAGCAACAGCTAACAGAAGTGGGGAGGAGGCACTGTAACAATTACATTGAGGGCCATCTTTGTTTAACATCAGAAGATTACAGGATAAAATTATTTGTCATGTAGTGAGCCAGGGGTAGAAATCCTGTTTTAAAACTGATTTTCTGTGGCTTCAGCAAATCATAGAATTGTCAGAGCAATTACCCAAAGCTCCAGTGGAAAGGAAGAGTCAGTCTTGTTTGCATACTTGCCTGGCCTAGATCTTTTCATGATCTTTCTGCCACCATGTTGCTGAAGAAATCTTCACTCCCTTTGCCTGTGTGTGTTTGGGATGGAATTACTGAAATCCTTCCTGAATTCTGCTTACGTGAAATGTTACTCCATGTGGTTTTAATTCCATGAAGATATTTCCTCCAGTGCATGTGAGTTATATAGGTTGGGAATAACTAGAAAAAGAGATGACTGGGTTAGAAACAGGAAAGAAAAGGAAATAAAATGCAACAAAACAAAGCACAAAGCAGGCAGAACAGGCAGAGGTCCTGCAAAAGGGCTTTGGGCAATGGAGGGGAGTGCTGAGAGCCAGACGATGTCTGGACATGCATTAGAGGGGGTGAGTGCAGGTCTTTGGGGAATCTTCCTCTGTCCCTGTAGTCACACTGTCCATCAAAGGTGGCAGACAGGCCAGGCACAGTGGCTCACGCCTGTAATCCCAGCACTTTGGGAGCCCAAGGCAGGCGGATCACCTGAGGTCAGGAGTTCGAGACCACCCTGGCCAACATGGTGAAACCATGTCTCTACTAAAAATACAAAAATTAGCCAGGCATGGTGGTGCACGTCTGTAATCCCAGCTACTCGGGAGGCTGAGGTATGAGAATTGCTTGAACCCAAGAGCCGGAAGTTGCAGTAAGCTGAGATAGTGCCACTGCACTCCAGCCTGCGGAATAGAGTGAGACTCTGTCTCCAAAAAAAAAAAAAAAAAAAATTGGGGGACAGACAGACTTTCACTCCATCAACTCAACCAGGAATCTTGTGGAGAAACCCCCTAAGAAGAAAAAAAAAAGCAAAGGAACATGTCTCTCAGTGGGTGTATTACCCACGAGGAACGAAAATGAATGTACGGGAGTCTGGTTGGAACAGACAGAAGGGGAGATCCTGAGAAGATTCTTCCAGCAAAAGATATTAACAGGAAATGGGCTTCAGAGAACCCAGTACATGAAGATGTGCAAAATGCCTTGTATAGCCTTTTTTAGTTTGCCTTTATTGCTGTATTGTAATAGATATTAAAATAGATATTTACGAATGTCTTCAGGGTGAGTCACAGCTCTTGTTTCCCAGCCCTCCCTTTCTCAAGTCTTCCATTCCTCCATTGCAAGTTTTCCAGCACAGATATTTTCCGAAGCTGGATTCCTGTATTGGGGAAGTTGTTCTGCACTTTAATCACCGACTTGTACCTACACAAGGGTAGAGGTTGTAACTCGGGAAGCTAATGTAAAGAGAAGCTGTACCATTCAACCTATGTATATGAAAGTTGTCATTTTTACTTTACATGCATTTATTTGCTTACAGAAAATTGCATAGTGCAGCAAATCTATAAAAAGTCAAGCTTTATTGTCAAGAAGCTTAGAGTGACCAAAGACAAAGGGAGACCCATAATATGCTCATTACTGCTTACACTTTTAACTCGAGCTAATCATATTCTTATGTTCGCCACATGTACACATTAAAGAAAATGTCAGTAATTACTGAAGAATTTAACATAATGAATCCATGTAAAAACAAGGGTTTAATTACAGCATTTACACAGGTTACAAACTCTAACATGTCTTTGTATAAGAGACAATCAGATCCATACATTTTGTTTTCTAAGCCATTTTGGGGAGAAAAAAAAAACAGCCCTTGATATTTGAGTCATGCGAATACTCTGAGGTTCCAAGATAGTACTCTGGCATTTTTCAACAAGGTCTTTTTCCTCACTATGGAGAAAGCGTCAGTCGCAGAGTTCACAGTGTGTAGTCACATCACTGAGAAATGTGCATGCATCTGACCTCACACCGGGATACTTCTCCCTGTGTGACCAGTTCCAAAGACGTCTTCTCAGTTTAGTTCCAGGACAAGCTAAAGTGAAATGTTGACTTTCAGTTTCATCAACTGCTGATGTTGACCGCACTCCAATGATGGAAAGAGTTTGAGGTCACAGCAGTTACTGGGCCAGGGAGCCTATTTTCCTCAGGAATCCAAGAGAATCAAACCCTCAGTATGGACCAAGAAGCAATATGGACTTATCTGATCTACAAGATGAAAAGTATTCAAAATTGGCTTTAAAAAATAGTCAATTTGGTTCTGGAAATAAATTGTGAGAATTTGTGTATCTATTTCTATTATCTTAAAAAGTAGGCACATATCTAAGTGTTACTAATATTGAACATGTAGACTGATTCTGGACTCCCCACTCAGGCTGCATGTCAGAGATTTGCATAGCAAGTGAAGTCACTGGTTTCCTGAGAAATGTGGGCCCTGCAGAGGGCAGAGGAGTTCCCACAGCCCCACTCACAGGATCTCTTGCAGCTATTGTTAAATGGCACAGTCATCTTAACCACGGCAAGTGAATTCAAGGATTAAATTGTCTACTTTTGACTAAACTAACTTCACAAAAGGTTAAGTGGGTTAAAAAATTTCCTACAAAGAAATACCAAATTTAGATAATATGATAATTCAAGAACAATAAAATATCAGAGCTACATTTCTTCAATTAGTTGTATATACTCTTGTCAACCACATAGCAAAGTTGAAAACAATGGCAAGGAGTCAGCCAAAAATTCTACATTATCATCAGGAAAGCATTTTGAAACATAGGTTATATCCATTGTCATCAATGTCAACTCACTCTAAGTGCATATTCTAACTCAAGATTTGAAGTTGATGATAGTATTCAGGAAACACGTACGATTTGATTACTCATGCTCAAAGCCATGTGTTATTGAACCAGCCACTTTACAAAATTTAATTAAACTTAATGATGAAAATTAAAAGTCTCTCTGAAAGATCTTATCAAAGAGCAAAAGACAAAAGCCACTTACTATTGGGGGAAATGTGTTCCTTATAATATGCAAGCTTATTTTCCCATCATTTTGATCAAAACAGAAGAAAAAATATATGAAAACATATAATAACAAGCTTAATAAATAAAACATGCAAAAATATGGTGTGTTACTTATTTTAACATGAATTTCTATGTATTTACAGTTATCTGAAACAAATATAAAATAGTTTGGATCCTTGTGATTGGTCACAAACTTAGAAAGCCTGCCTTTTACATGCAGCAAACTTTTAAAATTTTTGCATATAACAAGCTTTTAACTGATTAAAGTAATGCCACTCTAGTTATTTATGAAATACATCAAAAAGGCCGGGCATAGTGGCTCACACCTGTAATCCCAGCACTTTGGAAGGCTGAGGCGGGCAGATCATGAGGTCAGCAGATGGAGACCTTCCTGGCTAACATGGTGAAACCCAGTCTCTACTAAAAAATACAAAAAATTAGCTAGGCATGGTGGTGGGCACCTGTAGCCCCAGCTACTCTGGAGGCTGAGGCAGGAGAATGGCGTGAACCCAGGAGGCGGAGCTTGCAGTGAATTGAGATCATGCCTCTGCACTCCAGCCTGGGCAACAGAGCAAGACTCCATCTCAGATAAAAAAAAGAAAAAGAAAAAGAAAAAGAAATACATCACAAAGTAGATGGTATTTTATTTGGATTGATAGATTTATCATTTATAAATGCTTTTCTGTAGTATTCATTTTGTCCATAAAGCACAAAGATGCTAAATCATATACAAATTCTTCCAGGTACTTGTCAAGTGAGTTGATTTTTGTTTTCTAACTATGTAGAAAGTTAAATTCATCAGTTGCTTTTCCAGACGGACCCATTTCAGGTCTCTTGACTACCATCACCTATGTGAGCAGAAGGATTCAGGGGATCCTTGGTGGACTGCTGAAGAATGAAGCATGTGCACCCACTTTACTTCTACACTTTGGCAGCTGTAGAACAGAGACAGTGGTGGTGCAGGATACATCCTTGTATCTGGGAATTAATTCCTTTCCGAGGTGTATACTACTTAGCTTTGTGAGTAAAATCTACGGGCTTCAGTTTCCTAGTCTTGCTAAATTGGAAACATGTTAATATCTATGATTGTAGCACATCACAAGTAAAGATAAATGAGAAAATGAATGCTTTGGCTGGGCATGGTGGCTCACGCCTCTAATCCCAGCACTTTGGGAGGCCGAGGCAGGTAGATCGTGAGGCCAAGAGATTGTGACCATTCTGGCCAACATGGTGAAACCCTGTCTCTACTGAAAGTACAAAAATTAGCTGGGTGTGGTGGCGGGTGCCTATAGTCCCAGCTACTTGGGAGGCTGACGCAGGAGACTCACTTGAACCTGGGAGGCGGAGGTTGCAGTGAGCCAAGATCACGCCACTGCACTCCAGCCTGGCGACAGAGCGTCACTTCATCTCAAAAAAAGAAACCAAAACAACAACAACAAAAAAAAAAAACAAAAAAAAAAGGACAATGTACGCTTTGTAAACTTTAAGTCTGGGAGATGGCTAACATTATGGGGGAAGACTTGGCCAAGACAGCCCAGAAACCACAAGGTGAATAACAGCACCCAGAACAGAAGGTCCACCATGAAGATAAGGACTTAATCTATCAAGAAGGATTAAATGTAACCGTCAAGAGTAGGCTTGATGGAGGAGGGTGAATCTGAATGGAGCCTTGAGCTACAGTGGGGTTTACAGCACAGGCAAATCCTGGTGACTGCATGCTAGATGAAAGGAATTGGACAAATGAAATAACTGAGGCAAGAGAGGTTGGGCATGTTCAAATTCGTATCTGTATTGCATAGATAGCTTAAGAATGAAGTAGAGCCAGAAAAAACATACTAGGCTCAGATTACGGAACATGTTTAATGCTAGGCTAAGAACTGTGTTCTATTATATATGCAAAGAGGATCCATGATCGCTTTTTGAGCAGAAAAATCACCCAACTTAATGTGATGTTTTAGGAAGATACTTGGGTAACAATGTGGAAGAGGCACTGAAGCAAGCAGATTGAAGGCAGATGCTACGTATAAGACCATAAAGCTTTTGCACTGGATTTGATCAGTTGCAATGAAGGCTTGAGTTTGGATGGTGGTCTTGGGAAAGTTCAAAAAAAAAAAAAGGAGAGGAGGGGTCATAACTGAAAGCCATTTTATCATGACTAAGAAGTCAAACATGTTAATAACCTCAAGAGATATTGGAACAAGCAGAAAATATTCCTCTTTTGTGCATCCATACTTTTATTAAGAAAAGCTTAACGGAGCTTGAGATATTTATAGAAAAGGCCAGTACCATGAGGAAGGAGATGTGTTCCTAGAACACGTTTAAAATGATAGTGTTCTTTAATTTTAAAATATGATGGAGGATAGTTTTCGAATTTTGTGTCGCAGTTTTTGCAAAGTTACTAAAGTTTCCAAATTCTAAAACCACATGGTAGTCTGCCAGCTACACATGGAGCAAATTACCTGCCCTGATGCTCCCCACTTGTAATCCAGCCAGCAAGCCCTGTCTCTCCATTCCCAAGGCTGTGTTCACAGACAGCATTGACGAAAACCAGCCAGTTACCCCCAAACCCCTGCTGCACAGTATCTGACAGATATCAGTGATGGCTTATCTTCACTTGTCTTTCAACCCCTCTTTATTCTCTACCCCTCTTTATGCACCCCAAAACTGCCAATATCTCTATAAATAGCATGACTCTGGCTTTCCTGGGCTTGAACTTCCATGTGGATTTGGCTGACGGAGATCAATGTAAGGTGATGGGATGCTCAGAAGACAGAGAGTTGGGGGTAATTTTCTCCCACTCCTTTTCTGCAGTGGGAACTGCAGTGATGGCAACAGTATTCTCTCCATGAAAACACTCCCTGCCTCCTGCTATGGTTTCAATATTTGTGTCCCTCCAAAATTCATGTTGAAACTTCATCTTCAGTGTGACAAGATTAAGATGTGAGGCCTTGAGGAGGTGATCATATACCCTTATAACAGCACTCTAGGGGACTAGCTAGATCCTGTTTGCTTTTATATTCCTTCTGCAATGTGAGGACACAGCAAGAGTCGCCATCTTGGAAGCAGAAAGCAACCCTCTCCAGCCCCCAGATCTGCTGGCACCTTGATCTTGGACCCACAACTGTGAGAAATATGTTTTTCTCAATAGACTACATAGCCTCCATGTCCATGTTCTGTTAATGCAGAACAAACAGATTAAGACATCCCACAGTTCGGGCATTGACCAGTGCCCTCTTTGCCCACCTTTGCTGCTGGTAGCCTGTCTTGCAGATACCCAGTGGCTTTACTGAAGGGGAGGTGGCTTCCTGGAGGTTCTCACACAGTGCGAGCTGAGAGATGGCGTGCTGCAGGCCTGGAGCACTCCTCTCCAGCATGCAGAATGACTGTGGAGCAATGACCAATGTATGACTCTGTCTCTTGTGTGACCATGTGCTCCAGTTTTCCCAGGACATAATAATAATAATTTCTAACATAATTATTAACAACAACCCCTTTCACCGTCAAAAGTGACCTGACTTAGATAACTGAATTGTAAGTTCACTCCACCTTTTCCACAAAGCCAGAATACTAGAACACACGGTCAGAAAACAAAAGGGTGAAATTCGGTATGACCTCCCTCAGTCTTACACTGATGGGATCTGTATTTTTCATTCTTAATTCCTTATACTCAGTGTGTTGTGAAGTCCTAGGGCCAAGGGAATAATTTTGCATCAAGAAACATAGTCCTGGTTTCGTTCAATGAGAACCTGAGACTGTTCTATAATCATGTTGGGCTTTTCATGTTACGAGATAGAGAATTCCTATTTTGAACTGGCATTTTACAGTGCCGAAAGGATGTTGGAGTGTTTGTATACAATGGGAGCAAAGAAGATTACATCTAGAACATGGGCAATTTACTGGAGCTCCTTAATTCACTAGTGTCCAAAGATAATGGTTAGTGGGAAACTGTAGCTGTAAAGGATTTGCAGTCTATTGGAATGAAAATTTTGGTCATACTACTAGTTTAAAATTTCTGATAGGGAAAGGTGTTGGTAGAAGGTAAAGGGAGCATTGATAGGTGATTTGAAAAAATGAAAAAGAGGAGCTGACTATCAACATAGAACATAGACCAACAGCAGAGGCAGAACCTATATCAGCTATTGTTTACTTGTGCTGATTAATGCCTTCCTTCCCTTTATCATGCTGCCTGATCTGAAGAGTACTGGTGGAACTAACATTACAACCTAGGTTCCAGGTAGGGGTATGAGTGAGTTGATACCAGCCCACCACCATACAGTGGCAGGTGCCCTTTGTAAGTAAGGAGGATAGTAAATGTTATCCTCCTTACTCTACCATTGCACTGCTAAGTAGGCTTTTATTTTGCTGTATTTGCCACCTTTAAAATTTATCCTTCGCATCGTAGTCATAACAAGTGAGGTAATTAATGAGGCTTCCTTACCTTCACTATCTTTCTTCACCTTTGACATGGTAAAGTTTATTATTTCTATGTTATTGGGGCATATGACATTTCCAGCCTATTCTGTAACCCTAATCCACATTTGGTTTCAGTCTACAGTAAAATACATTCAATACTTACAACTTTTTTTTTTTGCTGTATTTTACCAAAGCATCTTCCTTTAATTGGTTGTTATTGTTTTCCTTCCTTCTGTAACCAAATGTATTGCCCTTTTTCTCCACATACCCATGTTTTTGTTCTCTCAAAAACATTAATGAAAATATTTTTTCCTGAATTCTTGCTTGATAAAAACCGCAACAAATTGTAATATATCATGTCTGCATAGTAAGACTAGCTTGGCTGCACATAAAAATCCTTGGTTGGCATTGAGAATCTTGTTGGTCTTCCCTCATGACCATCCAGCTTCAGTACAGCTAGGGGAGCCAGGACAGCCTTCTTCATTTCTCCTGTGAGTGACTTATTCTTTTTTTCTGGCTGCCCAATAGATACCTTATTTTTTTTAAGTCCAATACCTTCATTAAGATGTGGTTCACTTTTTGCCTGTCATGAATGGATATACCTTGCTTCTGATATGCCCTTTTGAAAGGTAGATTCAAGTCTTCATGCATTGCATGGAAGTGTTCTTGAATTATAATTTTGAAGTATTTGTTCTGTCTCTTTTGGTTTCTTCTTTGGATGTTCCAGTAATGTATGTGTTCAATCCATTTGTCGGTCTTCCATAGTTCTCATTTTCTCTGTAATACTTGAGTTTTGCTTTTCAGATGTTTGCTTAGATAATTTTTGTATAAATGGGTATCTATTTCCTTTTATTTTTGTAATATACTACTAAATGGTTTGGGTTTTCCTAGATAACTACAGAGGTTCAGAGAGAGAATTAAGACAACCTTCTGGGCCTCACACCAGAATGGCTCTTTCCTACTGGGCTGTCACAGAGACAGACTGCTTCCTGCAAGTATGGCTCCTCTGGTGATTCTCTGTGTGGTTGAATCTCCCTTGTTCCTCCCTTGAACAAAACTGGGTCCAGGAGGGGACTTTTTCTGGTAGACTGTGTACCCTGGTTCCCACTCCTGTGGTTAAAAAAAAGGGGTATAAGTTTTGAACATGGAAATGAACTCCCAAATTTTCAGGGAGTACATTTTGTTGGTGTTTTCTGAGATTATCAGCCATTGGCCTCACTACCTCCATACTTCATTTACTCCCATGTGGCTTGTGCCTGATTCCAACTAGATTTAGTCATCCCTACATAAGTTTTGAAATCTTTGGATTCTAACTTTTTCTAGTTTCACTAAGGATATATTTGGTTCTTTTTTTCTCCATTTTCCTTGTTGCTTTTTTATGTGTTCTGGAATAACATGAGGAAAAATGCTGACTTTTACAGCCTGTGTATACAACTACCTCTACAGAAAATTTTAAGATATATATTAGTTCTTTATATTCACACAATAACTTTGCAAATAGTCCTAGTGTACAAAGCTTATTCCGATATCTTGCTGTGTTTTTAAACAAACATATATACATATATGCTGTGATAGCTGATGTTGAGTGTCAACCTGATTGGATTGAAGGATGCAAAATATTGTTCCTGGGCATGTCTGTGAGGGTGTTGCCAAAGGAGATTAACATTTAAGTCAGTGGATTGGGAGAGGCAGACCCTCCTTCTATCTGGGTGGGCACCATCTAATCAGCTGTCAGCACAGCTAGAATAAAGCAGGCAGAAGAAGATGGAAGAACAGACTTGCTGAGTCTTCTGGCTTTCATCTTTCTCCTGTGCTGGAAGTATCCTGGTCTCGAACATCAGACTCCAAGTTCTTCAGCTTTTAGACTCTTGGACTTACACCAGTGATTTTTCAGGGGCTCTCGGGCCTTTGGCCACAGACTGAAGACTGCATTGTTTACTTCCCAACTTTCGAGGTTTCGGGACTCAGACTGATGCACCACTGGCTTCCTTGCTCCTCAACGTGCAGATGGCCTATCATGGGAATTTATCTTGTAATCATGTGAGTTGATTCTCTTTAATAAACCCCCTTTTATATGTACATCTATTCTATCAGTTCTGTCCCTCTAGAGAACCCTGACTAATACACATGCATACACACATGTGGTCATGCAGACATGTATACATGCATGCACACATATGTGACCACATGAACATGCATACACATATGTGATCTTTGCCATTGTGGATGGCTAGGATGATTTTTCTCAGGAAAGGTATCTGTGTTATTAGAAAAATAGCCCTGGTTCTCATCCTAAAGTCATAAAAATCAGGAGGTAACTCAGTAAAAGGAGACACACACACACACACACGATGTTATATGTATAAGTGATTTAATATTTTATATATATAATCAAATCCTTGAAATTGCCCTTTGTATTAATCAGTGTTCTTTATAGAAACAGAATCAAGAGTATATGTGTGCATGTGCACGCATGTGTGTGTGTGTGTGTATATATATACACATATATATTTAATACGTGTGTGTGTGTGTATATATATATATAGACAGAGAGAGAGGGAAAGAAGGAGAGAGAGGGAGTTTATTATAAGAAATTGGCTCATGTGATTATGGGGGCTGAAAGTCTCACAATCTGCCATCTGCAGCTGGAGACCCAGGAAAGACAGTGATGTAGTTGAGAGAACCAAAGTATCGATGGTATAAGACCCAGTCAAGAACAGCACAGGGGGCTGATGTGTCAGCTCAAGCAGTTAGGCAGAGGGTGAAGTCACCCTTCCTGTGCTTTCTGTTCTATTCGGGTCTCAATGAATCGGATAATGCCCACTCACACGGTGGAGGGCCACCTGCTTTACTCAGTCTGCTGATTCAAACGCTAATCTCATACAGAAACAGCTTCACAGGCATAACCAGGACCCATGTTTAGTCTGGGCACCTCATGTCTAAGTGAATTTGACACAAAAATTATCCATCATACCCAGAGTTCTTAATCAAAGTTTCAATGACTGAGGCCAGTCCTGGGCAGCTAATGTTCGTCCAATATTGCGTCTAGTTTTACCATCCCTTCCGTTTGCCAGAAATAGAAACAGAAAATGTTCTACATGTTTGCACCACCAAATAATGAATAAGCAATCAAATGCCATTTTGATTATTGACCTTCTAGCTTTTACAAAACACAAAACTTGCACAAATAAAGATACTATTGGAAGCCAAGGAACCTAGAGACACATGTAAATTCTCTTTATCTCTGCTCGATGCGTAAAGTATTCTTATTTAAGAGTAAATTTCCTCTTGTTTCAGTGAAAGATATTTTTAACTGATATTTTTACCTTCAGCAAACACATAAACGGTGAAAGTTATCCCAAACATTGCCATTTTCAATTTCCAAAGGAGCTTATGCTAATTTCAGAGGCATCTCTATGGTTTATATGTATATTTAATATATAAGGCAGGTCCTACTATCTCTATTTTACAGAAGAAGAAACTGAAGTTGGAAAGATCAACAAGCTTACCTGAAGTCACAGGGCGGGAGAGTAAAGGAGCAGAATTTTCAACCTAAGTTTATATGATTCTAAAATTTTCCACTACCATGCTACTAAAAGAAATTACTCAACTAGTTCTTCCTGTTCAGGTAAGTCAGTTCAGACTTTGCTAATTCTGAATAAAGGGGACAGAAGTTATGATGCTGTAACTATTTGACATAGACTGTGTTAGATTAGAGATGAGAGGCAAAAATCTGACCCTAGTATATTTGCTTTCATTGATTCCAATGTCATCTTTAGGTTTTTGTATATTTCTTTCTGATTTTAACATATGATCCTTTATTTTCTTCTTACTTTCCTCCCTTCCTCCTCTCTCTGTCAAATTGTTTTCCTCTTCCTCCTCTTTTAAAAATTCTCAAAATTTGACTATAAATTGCTTTTTCTTCTTTGCTCCTTTTCACAACTCTTTCATTGCCACAAGGCATTCAGGTAGAAAAAAAGGCCAAGGTAGTCTGCAGTGGGCTAGCTATTTACCCAATTGACCCACCATATCTTTTACATAAGCAAATAAATTAACAAGTTATGTAAATAATTTATATTCAAATATTCAGAAATGTCTTAGACATGTTTAACATGCTACCAGTAAACTCCTTTTAGGAGGAGACCACATGCAGCTTTAGAATAGAAAATAGAAGAAAGGAAAAAAATAAACAAATGAAGGTTTTTCTCTGCAGTCTTTATGCAAGCAACGACTTATTTCTTAAACTCTCCCCTTTGTGGCTATCACTCAAAGAAAATAAAGAAGAAAAGCTACTGGCTTTCTAGTTTAAATCACAGTCTCATTATTCTGTAGGTGAATGGGGAGGGGGATTGGAATCGTAGGTCCGAGTGGGCAGTAACTTGAAGTCAATGGAGATATTTACAAAACAGAAGCACAATCACGATCCAGCAGTTCTGGAGCTGCTAACTTTTTCTGCCTTTTTCTAAATGTCCAATAATAAGGTTCTAATGGAGACTGAAGATCCATCACCTGCTCCACATCTCCAGGGGGCCCATGTGTGCATCGCAGTGCAGATCATACATGCTTCTTTCCCCTCCCATGGCAAGGGGAATACTGAATGATGACAACTCACATGTGTAACCCAAGGGCTTTGCTTGGGTTTGCAAGGACTAGTGCACAATACATTCTTTGAGTGTTATAATAACATTAAGTCAATGCACGAATTATAATCCCTATTTCACAAGTACAAAAACACATTCAAAGAAATTAACTTCCTTGCTCACCAAACAGTTATTGACAAAAATTACAATATTTATGTTTCTTTTGAAAAATATTATAAAGATTCTCAAATTGTCTAACCAATCATATTATCCGTATTTGTCTCTTCTCAAGCTGTTAATAAAGACATACCCAAGACTGGGACATTTATAAAGGAAAAAGGTTTAATTGACTCACAGTTCGGCATGGCTGTGGAGGCCTCAGGAAACTTACAATCATGGTAGAAGGGGAAGCAAATATGTCCTTTTTCACATGGCGGCAGCAAAGAGAGGTGGGAAAAAGGAGGGAAAAGCCCCTTATAAAACCATCAGATCTCATGAAAACTCACTTACTATCAGGAGAACAGCATGGAGGTAACTGCTCCCATGATAAAATCACCTTCCACCAGGTCCCTCCCATGTCAGGTGGGGATTATGGGAACTACAGCTCAAGATGAGATTTGGGTGGAGACGTAGCCAAACATATCGTTATCTTGATAAGATATTGCTTTGGATTGAATCGTGTCCCTGCAAAAATCTTATGTATAAAAGTTCTGATCCCTGATGTGACTGTTTTTGAAGACAGGCAGGGCCTTTAGTAGGCACTTAAGGTCAAATTAGGTCATACGGGTGGGACCTCAGTCTACTAGGACTGGTGGCTTTATACTGAAAGAAAGAGACAGATGTCTCTCCCCTCGACCTCACATGTATAAAGGCCACATAAGGAAAAAGCAGCCCAAGCCGGTAAGAGGCCCCAACAGACGCCAAACCCTTCCAGCTTCATGATCTTGGACTTCACTGCCCCCAAAACTGTAAGAGAATGAAATTCTGCTGCTTATGCCATCCAGTCTGTGGCATTTAGTTACGCCAGCCTGCACTGGCTAATGCAGATATTCAGAATCAAATGAGTCATCCCAAGCAATTTCTCAGTATATACAGCACAGATTTCACCTTCTAAACTCACCCTTGTCTTCGCCTTTTTTTTTTTTTTTTTGAGACGGAGTCTCACTCTATCGCCCAGGCTGGAGTGCAGTGGCGCTATCTCGGCTCACTGCAAGCTCCGCCTCCCGGGTTCACCCCATTCTCCTGCCTGAGCGTCCCGAGTAGCTGGGACTACAGGCGCCCGCCACCACGCCTGACTAGTTTTTTTTTTTTTAATATTTATATTTTTAGTAGAGATGGGGTTTCACCGTGTTAGCCAGGATGGTCTCAATCTGCTGACCTCGTGATCTGCCCGCCTCGGCCTCCCAAAGTGCTGGAACTACAGGCATGAGCCACCACACCTGGCCAGTTTTTCTTAATTATTAAATAATCTTTCACTGATTTAAGAAATATTTTCATATGGTTCCTATTCAGGCCCAGGCATTGTTTTTTTGTGCTGCAGACAATGTGTTAATAAAAGCTGTCCAGCCTTGTTAGTACATCATGATATTTATATTTGACAAATCCTCTACTTAGATATGTATCACCTCCATAATTTTTTGGAACACATAAATTTTTTGAACCAAATGGAATAAAAAGCTAGATATATACGTATAATGAATATATTTGAAACTTTGTACTTTGCTTTACAATTTGCAAAAGAACATCATATACAGTGTTGTATTTGAGTCTCCCTTAAGCCCTATTAAGAAGAAATTTTTCTATTTCTGCTGTTCAGTGAAGAAAATGAGCAAAAAAAGGTGCAGCAACTTCCCAATATCCCATATTTACAAACATAAAGGAGTGGGACTTTAAGGTAGACTCTTGGTGTCCACGTTTGTGCTCTTTATGCTTCATGACACCAGGTAAAGTGCAATGAGCACAGCAAATGTGCCCCCTCAGGAGCCAGCTAAGACCTTCCGGGGGCTTCTCCTGGAAGTACAGAGTCTGCGACCCCCATCCTAAATACACAAGCATTGGCATCACTGCCTCACAGTAAAACAAAACAAAACAAAACAAACAAACAAAACAACAAAGAAAAAAACAAATACAATCTGTTCAGCAGAGTAATTGTACATAACACAAAAGAACTTCTGGGAAAAACACGGAAAGGATATTGAAGTCAGAGGCTCAGTCATGTGAAAATAAAAGGTCTTGTTGGGTGCCTAAGTCTTGTCTTTGCTAACAGCTGTTTTCGTGCAATACCAGTAAACCCAGCCAAAGGCATTCTAGTGAGCAACACAGGAAGACTCCTATACACTTCAATTTTCCAGCAATCCATAAAATTGAAACATAAAAATAGGATTCTATTTCCCTTGTTCATTCTATATCTTACCAGAACTTATATTTGCATATGTGTAGAAACTCAAGGTTTACAAAGCATATCCACGGTCTTTATTGTATTTGATGCTCCACAAAATGTTGCAAGGGACTCAGACAAAGTCTTGTTTGTACTATGTTACAGGTAAGAATGCTGACATGTAGAGGGGCAAGTACTTACCTGATCACGTTGTCTTAGTATGATGAAGCCTCACTTAAACCCATGATCTCATGTCTTCCCTTAAACTGATGCACTGAAATACAGTCAGGTAAAATAAAGAGTTAGGGGCACATTTTAAAATACATTTAAGGTGCATCAAAGATTTAAACCAATCACTTGTAACATCTCTATTTGTCAAACTCATTGGTGATCATTAGCATTTAGAGAGACCCAGGAAAATCGCAAGATTCTAAATAATTTTCAAACCATAGTAGAGGATACTTTGTTTACTGTTATTTATGTATTAAATATCTTTTAATATACTATAGCTTTATAAGAACAGATAATCCATTTTTGGAATTTGTGTTTTAATTGGCCAAAGAGTTAAATCCATTTTTTCTAGATCCTCTGGATAATTAGGAATCGGTAGTAAAAAGCAATTGCACTTTTCCAATAAAATAATATGCTCAGTTGTTCAAACCCACATTCTTGATAAAAACAACTAGAAATTCTGCATAAGATAGAAGAAAAAGAAGATTTTGGAGCAACAAAGAGCATACAAGATGGTAAGGAATTACAAGACCAAAATCTAAGTGATGTCTTGATCTCAGAAAAGAAAGCTAAATGTTGAATTCCCTTTGGCCCTTGGAGAATTCATGAAAGCAGTGAATTTGAGCTTCAGTTTTTCAGTCTCTGTGGAGTGATATGGAAGAAGGAAAAAATCTCAAGTCCCCAGCAACACGCATGTGATAATAGAAGACTTTCCCCCTATGAAACAAGACCTCCAAAGAGCTATAATTTCACAATAAGCATAAACCAAAAGTAAACCCACACTACCTCACTCCTGCTTCCATGTGTCGGCAAGGAAGTGTTCGTTGGTGCTAAACAAAGCATGGGGAAAATGCTGCTGTTGCATAAATTACAATCTCAAAAACTCAAGCTATAAATTTAGTTTAAAACAGTTCACAATACCTAATAGAAACAAATGTGCAGTTCCTCCTCATCCTGAAAGAATCTCCACAATAATATTCCAAGGAAAATAATGCACTCACAGCGTATGTATGTATCACCTATATGATGTATATAGCTGATAGATAAGTACATATGTATCATATATATATATACATATAACCATTACAGAGAACTAGAAGAAATAGTGGAGAAAGAAACAGTTCTACAAAGACCCTAGATTTAAAAATAATCAGAGAAAAATGTTGTAAAACAGCTCTTCTCATAACGTCCAAAGCTAGAACACACTTGAAACAATCTCAGCAAAAGAAAGCTGTCAAATATGCAGCCATAAAAAAGGATGAGTTCATGTCCTTTGTAGGGACATAGATGAAGCTGGAAACCATCATTCTCAGCAAACTATCGCAAGGACAGAAAACCAAACACGGCATGTTCTTACTCATAGGTGGGTACTGAACAATGAGAACACTTGGACACAGAAAGGGGAACATCACACACCAGGAGCTGTCGTTGGGTAGGGGGAGGGGGGAGGGATACCATTAGGAGATATACCTAATGTAAATGACAAGTTAATGGGTGCAGCACGACAACATGGCACATGTATACATATGTAACAAATCTGCACGTTGTGCACATGTACCCTAGAACTTAAAGTATAATAATAATAATAATAACAATAATAATAAAAGAAAGCTGTTAAAAATGACCAGCATAGAATCTCTCTTCCCCACTGTCAGACAACATTTCAGTGGTCCCTGTAACTATTGCTCTGGTCCTGAATAAAATCTTTCTCGCCATGCTTGAAAAAAAAAAAAAACAGAATTGCAAAATATGTCTCTGACAAAGGACTAATATCAAGAATCTACAAGGACCTCAAAGAATTCAAGAAGAGAAAAAGAAACAACCCCATTAAAAACTGGGCAAAGGACATGAACAGACATTTTTCAAAAAAAAAATGCAAGCAGCCAACAAACACAGGAAAAAATGCTCAGAATCACTAATCATTAAAGAAATGCTCATTAAAACCACAATGAGATATCATCTTAGTCAGAATGGCTGTTATTAAAAAGTTGAAAAAAGAAAAAAACAGAGGTTGACTTGGATGCAGAGCAAAGAGAGAATGCTTATACACTATTGGTGGGAATATAAATTAGTTCAAGCTCTATGGAAAACAGTATGAAGATATCTCAAAGAACTGAAAACAGAACTACCCTTTGACCCAGAAATATTCATAACTGGACACCTACCCAAAGGAAAACAAATCATTATAGGACAATACCATGACAATAGCAAAGTCACGGAACCAACCTAAGTCTAACCTATGGGTCCATCAATAATTGATTGGATAAAGAAAATGTGATATATATACACATCATGTAATACTACACCACCATAAAAAAGAATGAAATCATGTCCTTTGAAGCAACATGGATGGAGGTGTAGACCATTATTCTAAGTGAATTAACTCAGAAACAGAAAATAAAATACTGCATATTCTCACATACAAGTGGAAGCTAAACAATTGGTACACATGGGCATAAAGATGGAAATAATAGACACTGAGGTTTCCCAAAGGGGAGAGGATGTGAGTGTTGAAAAACTACCTATTAGGTACAATATTCATTATTTGGGTAATGGGTGAACTAGAAGCCCAATCCCCACCAGTATGCAATATACCCATTTAACAAACATTCACATGGACCCCTTGAATCTAAAATAAAATAAATATTTTTTAAATGACTGGAATGTGTGAAAAAGGAAACAAAGAACATTTCTAAAATAGAAAGATGCAAAAAATAAATTTTTAAATGCAATGGCTGTTCACTATTTTGTAGTAGCTAAAGTAGGTACTAGTGAATCCAAAGATCAGTCAGAAGAAATTATGCAGAATGCATCACAGCAAAACAGAGGCAGTGAGACATTTTACCATATTTTTACTTGGATTCCTAAACAAAGAGGAGAAAGAACATAGAACAGAGAAAACGTTTGTAAGTAATATTTTAAGATAATGACTGATACCCTACATCAAAAGAAAGCCAACGGGAAGTTCCTAAATCTATAGAGGGTACACAAACATAAAACTACACTTGAACATGTCATGGCGAGTTGGACGAACCAAAAACAATAGTAAAACCAAAGAACAACCACACACATGCATAAATCCACAAGGTAGTGAATAAAATAGCTTACTTTCAAGGCAGCAGAATGGCATTGACCACTAACTACTCAACAGAAATGATGAAAGACGGATGCCAGAAGAATGAGATCACCAAAGTGCTAATAAAAAATAATTGCCAACCTAGAATTTCTAGGACCCACTTTTTAAGAGTAGGATGAAATGCAGACATTCTTGGGCAAACAAAAAAAGAGAGTTTATCTGCAGTATATCCTCAGAAAAGGATGTAATTAAATCAGAGAAAAAGATGAGGATCAAGAAGGTAGGAAACATGCAAAAATCATGACAAGTAGTTTTTGCCATTAAGAAAAAGATGAAACTAATTAATTCCACAAAACAAGTCAAGAATAACTCGTGAATTAGAGGGAGCAGAAATGGAGTTGCCATCTTCAAAGGCACTCGTTTTCAGGAGATGTATACAATTTTTGGAAAAACTTGTATTTGAAAAGTTAAGTATGCATTTTGCAATTTTCAGAGAGTGAAAGAATAGCAACAAAATACTTATAAACTAGGAAAGGAAAAATCTTGAATAAGAAAATAATCTATACCAAAAAAGCCATATTTAAGTACTATGTTTATTTTGTTAAATTAATTTAAATTTTAAAAAATTATCTTCACTCTATGCAATAATATTTGTGAAATTTTGACTCTGGTGTGTAAATTAACTTGTTTACTGCATTGAATCCTTTGTCATTTTTGTAATACTTTGATTATCTCCATCTAAATATTCAAACATCACCTCTTAACATAACCAGTGGTACACTTTCCATGATTTAGATATGGTGGTCTGACTAGCGTTGAAACTTGAGAGAAGCTAGCCTCAATAACAGGACCCAGGGATAACCATCTAGTTCTCCAGCGAAGGGCCTTAAGCCTTCTGGGGGTCCACATTGTTGGTTACTCACTAATCAAAGATGTACCCGGCCCCTAGTTTTCTCCTCCCTGACTCAAGTTCATGTCATTCAACTCTCTGCCTGGTTCACGGACTCATGGTATTCTGCCCTACTCCTGCTGCTTGGCTATCCACCAGTTACCAAAAGCTGAAGCTGATGCAACCACGTGAAATTTCTACAAGACCCTCCCCTCTTTGGGCTCCCATCACATTATCACTACTGCCAGATGTCATCAGCGTGAGAGAATCAGTGGTGGTCCACAGGAGCATCTTGTTGTCCCTCCCTAAATGATACCAGCACCACTTTCCTCCCAAAATCAATGCTCCCAACCACAATACCCCCCTTGACTTCACTTGTGTTCCCAGCAAGCCATCAAAACTAGCACCAAGGCTCTCTCTAGGAGGCTATAAATATGTATGTTTTCCTTTTTTCTGTCTTTAAATGGTGAGTTAACACAAACAGACCTACGTACACCAGACCCCAAGGTATCAATCTGGATCCCTTCACAGGATCCTTTTCCATTCACAGAACCAAGAAAAAAAAGCAAACTCTGAAGCCCAGCCCTTCCCTCCTCTATTCCGGAGCAGGCAGCTGATGGGACGCAAATGGGGCTGCTGAGCTTCAGGGTGGAAATGGAAGCCAGTGCCTTGTGCTCCTTGTGATGTGAAAAGTGTTGCAGCTGCGCAGAGAAACAAGAGTTTTCACTGGACACAGTGCAAGGAGCAAGCAGGATGCCTTTCATGGACAGAAGCTGCATCTGTCTATACTTCAGCCATTCAATCAACAAACATTTCATGATCATCAGTTACTGCTATGAAAGGTAGATGCTGAGGGTAAAACAAGGAACAAGATGAGAATGCCCCACTCCCATATGGCACATGTAAAAGCATAAAAGTCTATCTGAATCATTTTTGAAACAGAAGGCCCATGACATTGCCTGCTGAGTCCACATTGGCTCTTGTTTGTGGATACCAGCACATATTAAAATTATCTGAAATATTCAGTTGTGAGCCCCCTCCCCTGATATGGTTAGGCTTCACGTCCCCACCCAGATCTCATCTTGAATTGTAATCCCCATAATCCCCATAATCCCTATTTGTCAAAGGAGAGACCAGGTGGAGGTAATTGAATCATGGGGATGGTTTCCCCCATGCTGTTCTCATGATAGTGAGTGAGTTCTCCCAAGATCGGATGGTTTTATAAGGGGCTTCTTCCCCTTTGCTTAGCACTTCTCCTTTCTGCCACCTTGTGTAGAAGGTGCCTTGCTTCCCCTTCACCTTCCACCATGATTGTAAGTTTCCTGAGGCCTCCCCAGCCGTGCTGAACTGTGAGTCAATTAAATCTCTTTCTTTTATAAATTACCCAGTCTCAGGCAGTTCTTTATTACAGTATGAAAATGGACTAATACAGTGAGAAAAAAAATAGCTCTGGAGGGCTGGGTTACATTCAGGACATGTACTAAATATTTTAATGCATTTTTTTAGCAAGCACGTAAAATGTCTCCCCCAAGGCTTTAAGCTCTCTTTCTACTTCCCTAAAGGTTTCCCCATCAAAATAGGAAATAAATATTGAAGCTAGAAAAGGCTTGTCCCCTTCAAAGTAAGTAAGGGCACGCTTCATGACAGGCATATCTTTCTTCAGACAGTGGGGGAGGACACTTAATTCCTTCACCTAAGAAAAAAAAAGTTACAAAACAGCAACCTATGGAAACAAAAACATGGAATCAATGCATCGCCTGAAATAACTTCTCTGTAGTCCTGAGGGTGGTGTTTTGTTTGGCTTGTTCTCCTTCCCACCTTTTTATACCCCCCAAGGATCCTTCTCATTCTGTTGTAGCCAGGGCTCCTAGAGAAGGCTGTCAACATTGAAGGGCCCAGATCCCTTCTACCAGTTTTTCTTGTGCTTCCTATGTGCTTGTAACTGTGAATCTCCTGCTTTTCAAACAACTCTTCTGCCTTTTGTATGGGTATACATTAAAGGGGAAAATCAGGGCCTCTTCACACTACTCTGGCAAAATCAACCTGAACTGCTGGATTATAGGTCTTGGCATCTGGAGCTGCCTGCTTGAGCCCTGGCAGGTCTGGAGGCTTGGGGCTCTTTCATTGACTCAGGAAATATTTCTGCTTCCCACCCAGGACTTCTGTTGTCTCTTCCTCCCTTCTCCTGCCCTGCTCTCAGGACTCTTAGATGTAGCCCAGGTTTGCTTCCACACAGTTGACATTGGCGGTGCACGGTCTTCTCCCCTCTACGCCCTCAGATCTCCACGCCTGTGCCTATGACACGTGCCACCTGCACCGGTGTTGCCAAGCCTGGCTCCTCATCCGTGGCCACTCCTGCCCCCACAACCTGCCAGTCCTGCCTCCTTTTTGCCTGCCTCCTGCCTATCTTTACTTCACTGATTTCTTTGGCTGGAAAATATTTCTACAACTTCCCCTCCCACACTCACCTGGGGCTATGACATTGTTGTGGGCACTGGTTGGGCCTCGCCCCTGCCACCTAACAAGTACATCCTACAGGCCCAGGAGGGCATTATCTGTGGTTTTGAATTTCTAGTGTCTCGAACTGTACTGGCCCAGAGAGGACCTCAAATATGGAAAACTGAAGTGATTGCTTTCTGCACGCGTTACCTATGCACCCATGCATAACTCACACAAACTTACTGAATCTTCATTTACTCTTCTGTGAAAGGGGAGTAATCAAAGAAATGCACTTTACTAACAACAAGAGGATGGCATAGTTTATCTTTTAAACTGATAAAGATGTTCTGAAATAAGAATCTATGTTTTCAAGGGTACAGGACTTTGGTAGTTACACCATGACAGTAAAGATGCATATTTTAGGAACTTGGTGGGGGATAATTTGACAATACACATCTACATGTTTACATTGTACATACCCTTTGACTGACACTCCACTGTTAGAAATTTGTACTAAGGAAATAATCAGACCTACAACATAAGCACTTAGCTATAGGAATACTGGCCAAAGAGTTGTTGATCATACTCAAAAATTAGAAACAATCTAAATATGCAATAAGAAATATTTAAAATAAATTATATTGCATTCATCTGATGTAATATTATACAGACATTTAGAAAGCTCTTGTAGTCAAAGGATAAGTAGGTTACCTTTGGCATATTAAATGAGTAAAACTGATACTAAGTTGATATACCCATTGTGATATAATTTTCTTTGGTTCTTAAATATTTTTATATACCTAAGGAAAAAGATTAAAAGCTTATGAAACCAAAATATTCACAGTTTAGTTATCACAGTCTAGTGTGATTATGGGTAATTTTTATTGTTTTAATTTCATATTTTTCTGTTCAAAGTTCCATCGCTTGTTTAATTAAAAAAAACTTTTAAATAATATTATAAAATGACCATCACAGAAAAAAATATCATTAGGCAATATTGCCATGACTATAGACCTTTCTCCCTACACTGTTATTCTTACAGTTGGATGCTTTGAATCGGGAAGTGATATATCGCCTTGCTTTTCACTGGAGAAGGAAGCGCCAGCCTTTGTGAGCATGTGTATCACAAGCTAACTAGCACGAAGATTGCATAGCTCTTTCTACATAAGGCTACTGTTCGCAGAAATTTGGTCCATGGTCTCCAGTCTCTTGGGGTCTCACGCTCTGTGAAAATCTTCGTGTTTTTCCCTAGCCCCCAGAGTCACCTTTCACACAGCGTCTGCTTGTAACCGCGGTCCCCACAGGAGTTTGTAGGATTTCTGTGCCAGCGGTGAAGGTGTTCTCACCTTATAGAGCAAGGTAGAAACTACGCAGACAGGCGCTGTTCTTTGGGATGAAAGCAGGGCCTTTGGGGCTCTTTCTTAGTGTCCCCGTTCGGTTGTAGACATAACACGCTTGCTTTGTGTAGGAGATCGGCTCTGCCGGCGCCCAGGGGCCCTAACGCAATTCATCGAGACCCGCAGGTCAGAACTGCAGACTCACCTGTCTTGGCGGAAATGCGCTGCGCTCCTCCCTGTACTACATAAGCACGAGAATTCCACTACAGAAGAAAACCCCAGGCCTAGTGATGGCGGTTCTGGGCATTTTGCCAGCTTCTCCCAGGGTGTGTTTTCTGACCCCACCCACTTCTGATCTGTAATGTCATGGTCAATAGAAACTACTTGGCCCAAACGGAAAAGGCAAGGAGGAACACAGCGGGAAAGCCTATGGCGTTCCCTGGTGGCTACCCCGGGGACTGCACTCATAGATCCGCGTGTTCCGAGAAGCCTCTGCCATCCCGACCCCGGAGCCGTGCAGAAACCCGCGGCTCCAAAGAAAACCGGCTAGAACGCACAGGAAGCCCAGCCAGTGTTCAGGACACTGCGAGTGGAAGCCGTACGTCCCACGGACTGATCTAGTTTGCTGAAGACGAGCCATTTACTTCTAACCCCAGCAGCGGACATTGCCTTGCTCAAATATAAAATATATGAACCAAGACCGAAAGCAACTCTTATTGCGTTACTGATGAGCAAACGGGTTTTTAGAATGGTTAAGAAATGTCCCTTGTTTTGGGACCGTCATCACTAACGTATGCTTGGGATTCCTGATCGAGGAGCTTCTGAGCAAAGCAGCCCACCAATCCAGTGGCTGAGAACGGCTTGGATATTGGCTTCCAGGCGCATCAGAAATACTGAGGTTCTGACAAAGACGTGAGCTTCTGTCTGCCTTTGGGAAGGCCTTCTTCCAGTCCTGGCGCTGCCGCTTGCCTTCTGTTTGACCTGGGACCAGGTCCTTCAATTTGCTAGGCTTCAAGTTGGAAAGTGTTACAGGAAAATAATAATACGAAGTACTTCTTAGAGTTATTGCACAGATTACAGAAGATAGTCTAATAGTACAGCTAGCATCCTGTATGGCTTACATTAAGGATTTGCTGATAGGAAACAACATCCCAGATAAAGTTTTTTCCCCTTAATTATGAAATATAACAAAGGAAATTGTGTAGACTTATGCTTCAGGCCTCTGTAACATTTGAATGAATTTTGCACTTGTGAAGGTGACATCATTTTACAAAATCAGTTAATAATAAAGAATGACAAGTGGAATTTACAAAACATATATTCACAAAAAGAACTTGTTCTTAGCAGCTTTGTTTACAATAGTCCCCAAACTGGAAAAGGTTCATATGCATCAAGAGGTGAATGGACCTATTGTGATATATTCATCCAACGGAGTACTACCCTCAATAAGATGGGACAAATTATGGAAACATGAGATAGCATGGGCCAATCTCAAAAACCTCATGCTGAGTGATGAAAAGAGTGCATTCTATGTGGTGCCATCAAGATGAATTTCTAGAACATGTGAAACTAACCTGTATAGTGGCAGAAAATACATCATTAATTGCTGGGGTCAGGGAGTCGAGGGGACTGACTGCAAAGGGCACAAGAGGACCTTCTGGAGTAGTAGACATGTCATCAAACTTGAAATGGATGCAGTGTACCATATTCAACCAATGCCTTAATCAATTTGATTGTAAAAAGTAGTAAGAAAACCACTGCAGGCTGGACGCGGTGGCTCACGCCTGTAATCCTAGCACTTTGGGAGGCTGAGGCAGGCGGATGGGAGGCGGAGGTCGCAGTGAGACGAGATCGAGCCACTGCACTTCAGCCTGGGCAACAGAGCCAAAAAAAAAAAAAAAAAAAAAAAAACCTCCGTCTCAAAAAAAATAAAAAAAAAAAAAACACAGCAAATCATAATGCATTCTACTTAATTTAATGTATGTTTAGCTTTAGAGGATTCCTTTAGAAAAGCGTCTCGCTAAATGTGATTGAGAGTTCAGGAATTCCTTCATTTCTGTTTCTGTCTCTTTGTCTTCAGTTAAATTCATGCACTATTAAATGGAATATTTGTAAAATAAAAATAGAGTCTAAGTTCAATTTTACAAAAGCATATATATAATATACAGCTCCCATATATATGTGTGTGTATATATAGAGAGAGCTTTATTTATTGTTTGTTTTTTCTTTTGCGGGGGTGCGGGGGGGACAGTCTAGCTAAAATATACATTCTTCTCTCTGTAGATATACCAGAAGAACATGACTCGATCAGTGTTGCCCTAATGTTAACAAAAGTTATTTTGAACTTAAGGTGATCAGAAATTTTACCTATCTGTACTTTTTCTGTATTGGTGGTATGGTCTATGCTAAGCGTGTATAATTAAAAAAAAAGAGAGTAACTTCAAAATGATTTGGAAGAAAAAATATGTACATATGTGAATAGTACTTAATTCCAGGTGATGGGAATATGGATGACTGGTTATCTTCTTCTTTCTGTATCTTTTATATTTTTAAATGGAAAAACTCAACGACCTGGAAGTGAAAGAACAGATTTGGAAGAGGTGTGGGGCAGGTGAGAGGAAAATGCAGAGTGAAACTCTGTCTCAAAAAAAAAAAAAAGTTACTTGTAATAAAACTCACCAATTTTAAATCTACGATGTAACCATTTAAGGAGGTTTGTAGAATTGTGCAGCCATCAGCAGAGTCACGTTTTAGAATATTTTTGTCATTTCCCCAAATACCCTAAAGCCTCTGCACAGTCATTTCCTAATCTCTGGTGCCCATGACTGGGCCCCAACAAAATAAAAATTTGGAAATCCGACATCATTAAATTTCAAATTTTCTTAGATTGGGATTTTTTGTAGTGAATCATTGTCTTACTTTTGTGACATTTGAGGAAATATTGCATTTTAGGGACTTTTTTGATGAACTTAATAGTCCTGTTCATTGCTCTTCGTGAATTGTTTCATTTTTACCGATAACTGATAGTTGCTACCAAACCTGGTCTGGCAAGCCTAAATGAATGAGCTAAAAAAGAAAAAAATCTGCTATAAGAAATAGAGATAGATGATGAATTTGCACATAAGATTATGTGGAGTTAGTATTGTACCATCTTTATTCTTTCAGAAATTTGGTTGGTAACATTAGAGATACTCCTCACATGCTTGGAATGCCTCTCATTATCTTCTTCAGGTTGCAAGGGCTCCAGAATAGTGACATAAAGGTGAACGTGAGTGCAAGATTTTTGCTGTAGTTCTTTGCTCTTTAATTTTTTTCTCTTAGAGGGATTAGCTTCCATGTATCTGAAATAATAAATCAAGAGTAGAGATAGGCATCTGTACCAGTTTTCTATTGCTGCCTATTAACACATGCAACAAACTAGTGGATTGAAACCACAGAAGTCTGGAACAGAGGCTGAGTTCTCTGATAAGGGTTTTAGGAAGCTGAATCCAGGTGTGTCTGGCTATGTAGTTACGTGGAGCTCAGGCTACTTCTCCAATTTCACTTCAGGTATAGGAGGAATTCATTTTGTGGGAGTTGAAAGACTGGTTTTTCTTTTTCTGTGCTGGCTGTCCCAATAACAGCTCATGGAGTCCTTCTCAAGCTCCCATTCTTCCTGACGTTACCTTCTTCTGACAGCTAGAGAAACCACTGGCATGTATGCAGTGATGTGATTAGATCCAGTTTACACAGGTAACCTCACCATCTTAAAGTCGTATAACTGGCTTATAACAACATAATCACCAGAATGATGTCTCAGCACCTTAACAGGCTTTAGAGACAAGGGTGTGGCATGTTTGGGGACCATTTCAGAAATTCCATCTACCGCAGTTGGACACTCACATTCCCCCATCTGCAAAATACATTCACCCTCTCCCCTAAGGTTTCCAAATTTCATGTCATTAAAGCGTTAGTTCAAAGTGAAAAATGGTATGTAGACCACACCAGATCAAAAATTTAAAATCTTATCTTAATCATCCACACCAAGTATGAATGAGGCTTCTGAGGGTGTCCTTGACATAATTCCCTTCCCTCTATCAACCTGTGAAACTGAACAAACAGCTTATCTGCCCTCAGTGTGCAATGGTGGGACAGACATAGAAAAACGATTCTTTTTTTTAAAAATTTTTTTATTATACTTTAAGTTTTAGGGTACATGTGCACAATGTGCAGGTTAGCTACATATGTATACATGTGCCATGCTGGTGTGCTGCACCCATTAACTCATCATTTAGCATTAGGTATATCTCCTAATGCTATCCCTCCCCCCTCCTAGAAAAACAATTCTAGTGATTCTTGTTCACAAACGGGGAAAGTGGAAGTAACAAAGAAGTCACTGATCCAAAACCTTTTTGAAATGGGGCTGAGCAAAGTCCAGCAGGAATTGCGTGGTTAGGATCCACAACCTGGAACTAACCTTCTGTGACATGGGGCTTTGCCTCTGGAGTCTGCATTTCTTTCTATCTTTATGGCAATCATTTTATTTTCCTTCCTCTCCTACTCCCTTGGTTCTTCCCCTTTCTCCTTATGGCAGCATCCTCCCCTTAATCCTTGGCACATCATCCCCAGCAGAATTGGTCAAATGTTGCCCACGTCACGGTCCTGACCATCTCCATGAGGGGCTGTCCTTGTGACCCCCTGCTCCCCTGGGACCCTCTTCACTGACCTGACCTCTCTGTCATGATTGCTTTCAGCTGACCTGGCTGGTTTAGGAGAAAACCTAGAATTGTGGAGACCCAGAACCAATCTCTGCCCTCTCTTATCTCCAAGAGAGGAAGAAAATAATAGGTATCACCATGGAGAAATGACCCACATGAGGGCTGAGACTCTCCAGCAGTTAGAGCAGAGGAAACTCCCTGAAGAAGGGAGGAGCTGAGATCCCAGGCTGGGAGAGCAGGCTTGTGTTAAGCATTACTTAATCTTTAATTGCTCCCTGCCTGAATCTACCAGCCAGCGAATGACAACTGACTGAGTATAAATACTAGGACTACAGAACCGTGATAAAAGGTTTGTCCAAGGAAAAGCCCTTTTACTTTATTTGTTTTCACAGTGGAAATTGCTGTTTTTGATCCAAAGTTTTCTGAAACGCAGCAGTGAGTTCCTGGTGGGTGAGTTAGGTGCTTTGGACCTGGAGGCTGAGGCCAAGGCTTGTGTGGTCGATCTGCTGCCACCATGTGGTGAGGGAGCCTGGGAGAGTCTTAGTCTTTCTTGGCTTCACTTTCCTCCTCAGTGAGGTAGGGGCTTATTGTTCCTCTCTGAGGTCGCTTCCTACTGTGTTTTCTCTGAGTCTCTGAGGAACTGAGATGGTTTTTATTTATTTATTTTTTTCCTTCCCTTTCCCTCCTTCTTTCGTGTGCCCAGCTGCCAATCAAGCCACCCACCTTTCCATTTGCTGGGGAAGGGGGCGGTACCCAACCCCCTCTATTACTAGGGGGTTGTTATGGTAACTCCCCACGCGAGGGCTGGGTGGCCTCTAGATAGGACGGGCTGTCCACCCACCCAATTGCTATGGCAACAGTGGAGCCGCTGAGGGAGGGGCCACTCCGTGAGAACTTGGCTGGAGAAACCACGTGGGAGTTGGGGGGCAGAGGAGGGGCACCGGCTGCCTCAGGAATGCCCTTTCCACCCTCACCTAGCAGGTTGGGGAAGCATCGAGGTGCTCTCAGATCTCAGGATAAGGAATCCTACCGCAGACGTGTATCTCTGCACCTCTTTTAACGAAGTGTTCTGCACAAAGGAACTGTTTCCACAATTATTCATTGATCACTGGAGTCGCGCGTGGAGGAAGGGGTGGCGAAGGGGAAGAGAGGGAATCTGCGTTCAGTCCCTTAAAATATTGCTTGGGTCGCCTTAGATCTAGTCATGTTGGCATAGCGCCTACAGCCATTAGCCTCAGTGGAGGCTGGGTAATGCTATCTAAGAACCACGAGTCATGTTCTACCGCTGAAATGCTGTGTGACCTTGAGCAAGTTGCTTTGCTTCTCTGAGGTTTTCTTTCACTGTGAAATTGAGGGGGGAGGCTGTATGATCCTCAAGAGCTCTTCTAGCACCAACACTGCCTCTGAAAGACTCCACCACCAGCCTTAATATAAACATCATTTAAGAGAGTTTAATTTAGAAGTCCTTGAAAAATAGCTGAACACATTCCTTTCTGGACCCTTTTTAGCATTTGGGTGCACAGCCAGTCGGCCCCCTTCCCTAACCCCTAGCCCATTTTCCTTGCCACTGCCCTTATTCCAGCCGCTATCCCCATTCATCTCCTATTTGGCCTTCCGGCCTGACTCCTTCAAGTCAATTCTTTTTTTTTTTTTCTTTTTTCTTTTTTTTTTTTTTTTTTTTGAGACAGAGTCTCACTCCATCGCCCAGGCTGGAGTGCAGTGGCGCGATCTTAGCTCACTGCAAGCTCCGCTTTCCGGGTTCACGCCATTCTCCTGCCTCAGCCTCCCGAGCAGCTGGGACTACAGGCGCCCGCCACCTCGCCCGGCTAATTTTTTGTATTTTTTATTGGAGACGGGGTTTCACCATGTTAGCCAGGATGGTCTCGATCTCATGACCTCGTGATCCGCCCGCCTCGGCCTCCCAAAGTGCTGGGATTACAGGCGTCAGCCACTGTGCCCAGCCTCTATTTTTTTTTTTAAAGAAAAAGTCTCGCTCTGTCACCCAGGCTGGAGTACAATGGTATGATCTCTGCTCACTGCAACCTCAAGCTTCCCGGCCCAAGCTATCCTCCAGCCTCAGCCTCCCAAGTAGCCAGGACCACAGGCAGTGCATGCCACCACGCCTGGCTGATTCTTATATGTTTTGTAGAGATGGGGCTTTGCCATGTCGCCCAATCTGGTCTCAAACCTCTGGCCCCAAGTGATCTGCCCGCCTCGGCCTCCCAAAATGGGGAGATTACAGGATCCCTTGAGGACAGGAGTTGGAGGCCAGCCTGGCCAACATGGTGGGGTTTTTTTTTTTTTTGAGACAGTTTTAGTTTAGTTTAGTTTTTTGTGAATTTGTGAATTTGTTTTTATTGGGGAACAGGACACAGGGTGGAAAATGTCACCTTGGTGGAGACAGAGTTTTGTTCTCATTGCCCAGGCTGGAGTGCAGTGGCACAATCCCGGCCCACCGCAACCTCCACCTCCCGGGTTCAAGCAACTCTCCTATCTCAGCCTCCCGAGTAGCTGGGACTACAGGTGCACGCCACCACGCCCAGCCAATCCTTTGCATTTTCAGTTGAGATGGGGTCTCACCATGTTGGCCAGGCTGGTCTCGAACTCCCCATCTCAGGCGATCCACCTGCATCGGCCTCCCAAAGTGCAGGGATCACAGGCGTGAACCACCACAACCGGCCAAGCCTGGCAGACATGGTGAAACTCTGCTGAGATGGTTTTTAATGCCACCCAGGACCTGCAGCTGAGACCTGACTCTGTGTGTCTCCTGCAGGAGCCTGAGCTGAGTCCACACACTGGAAGCCCAGAACTGAGGGAACAGATGAAAGAAAGAAAGTCAGCAGGTTTAGGGGATGAGAACAACTCACAAAGGACAAGCCATTGGTAAATGAAAACCAAAGAAGGGGGGAATAAGGACAAGTTGGGATAGAAGCCTCAGGGGAAATGGGCAATGCCTGTCATCATCCAAACTCTCAAGGAGCAGCGCGAGCTGAGCAGTGGGGACTGAGAGAGAAATTTACTCCACAGGAGTCTCCTGCCCCTGGCCAGGGAGAGCCACAGGCTGGATGACATCTGGTTTATAGTGAGGGGCAGCAGCAACTCCAAGAGGGGGAAGATGTGACCATGAGCCCCGCCCCAGACCCAGGAGGCTTGACCTTGGGGCTGCCGTAGCAGTGGATGCTCTTCAGGTCAGTGTGGGTTAGAGGGAATAACCATGCTGGGAGAAGGGTTGGAGACATCCATTCTTATGTTAAAAAGCTCTGCCCTAGGTCAGGTGCTAGAGTAAGTGTCCCTTGCTAGTATACAAAGCAGTGATACTTATAATATTCTTCTGTACTTACAGTTGAAGGAGGTTTCCAAATGATATCTCATAAATATTTATTGGTGTTTAATTTTCTTTACGCTGTGTTAAACACTTGGGATTCAGATATTAATGTCTCCCCAAAGGAACTCAAGCCCATGAGAGAAAGAACAGAAATATAGCTTTTTAAGAAAATATGAAAGTTCCCCCACATTGGGGTGCTGTGGCAACCCATAGAGTGGGAGTTTAAGTGAAGACATTGCTCCTAATGACAGGGGGAATCATAAGAGGACTTCTTCAGAACAGACTCATTTTCCTCCAATGTCCCACAGAGAGGGATCCTGGGGCATGAATGGTGTAAGGCAAGGGCCAGTCTAAGGAAAGGGATTTGCTGCATCCTGGGAGAAATCTCAGCCTCCCTGACAGGATATTTGGGACAGGAATGCAGGTGAGAGGAGGTTTGCAATCGCTTTTATTCAATAATTGATGAACACTCTCCTGAGAACTCCCTTAGTGCTAGACCCTGAGCTGGGAACCATGAACACAGAGATTAGCAAGATATGATCTCAGCTTTGACAGAACTCTCAGTCTAGTGACCAGCGATTCCTGAGAAGTATGGTGATGGTGGGTTCACTGGAACCAGTGGCCCATGCTGCATGGAGATGACCTCAGTGGATGGCCTGGTCTCTCTTCTGTTTTTTTCAAATAGCTGAATGACCTATCCTGGGCCCGTGACCCTGGACTTCAGCCAGATCAGCATCTCAAGGTACAACCAACATCTTGGCTCCATGATGGGTCAAAACAGTTAACACACCCAAGGTATTCAAGGTATCAGTAGCTACTGACTATGTCCTGGCCAGCTGTGAAAAGAAAGGGGTGAATTTAACAAGTATTCTAAAATTGTCCTTGACATAGTAATCACAGATTATCTATCTTCTGTCTGGTAATATATATATATATATATATGTTTTTGTTTTTGTTGTTGTTGTTTTGTTTTTTTGTGACGGAGTTTCGCTCTTTTTACCCAGGCTGGAGTTCAATGGCATGATCTCGGCTCACTGCAACCTCTGCCTCTGGGTTCAAGTGATTCTCCTGCCTCAGCCTCCTGAGTAGCTGGGATTACAGGTGTGTGCCACCACGCCCGGCTAATTTCCTATATTTTTAGTAGAGACGGGTTTTCACCACGTCGGCCAGGCTGGTTTCGAACTCCTGACTTCAGGTGATCCACCCACCTCGGCCTCCCAAAGTGCTGGGATTACAGGCGTGAGCCACCACTCCCAGCCTCTGTCTGGTAATTTAAATGCTTTGGAGACTCCAAGATTCACCCATGTCCAAAATAAATTCTATATCAGTCATAGTACTAGCATTTAGAAGTTGTGTGTTTTATCCTCTAATTATAGATGAAATACCTAAGGTGGAAAGGAGTAAAGCAGCTTCCATGAATGTAGTGAGAATGTAGGGGGGTTAGGGACTAAAGTCCTGCCTTAGGATTCCCCAGCAGTTGCCAGTCACAATTTTTGTACTCTTAGAAACAACAACAACAACAACAAAATGACAACCTGTTTTGTTCCTCTGCTTACCCTATCCAATTCTCTACACCATAACATCTCTGCTTATCAAGACAACTTGGATTCTCAATTTGTTGAGCTCAACAAATGCATCTCTTGAGCCCCTGTGGGTAAAGCATTATGCTAGTTATGGCGGGTGATACAGAGGAAGCACAGAAGAGTCCTTAGTGACAAGAGCTTAAGATTTCTGCTCTCAGCTCAGCCTGAGTTGCCTGCAGGTGAGAAAATCAGTAGCCGACACCCACAGGTGCATTCTGGTGAAAGGGTCGATGATAATGAATAGTGGTTCTGACAGGGCTGGGCTCTTAACCTCCCAAAGATGCTGGTCAAACAGAATCTGGAGGATCTCTGCACATAGTGTCTGACTACTGACTGTCATAAGTGAATGTCGCCAAGTCTTGGCCTGGATCCCCTCCCTTTGTTTCATTTCACAGATTACATGTTGACAGCAGGAAAATCAACAGAAAGACCATGAGGCTAGACTCCAAAAGACTTAGTAATGCTGCTGGGTGGGCCATGAATTTTTAAAAACACATGAAGGGCCTTCTCAGAAGTGAAGTTTTAGGAAATATAAAATGCATAGCTGGGATACATTATAGTGTACTGATAGAACAAATATTGGATATAGCAGCATCTAATAACTTCTGGAGGAAAAAATATTTTTCACATTACTCCAATTATGGCCTTATATGACAAAAAAAGAAAAAAAAATCCCTAAGAGAACCACTAACATCCACTGGTTTTGTAGAAACAGGATACCCTTAGTGCACTTAAAGTTGGAAAAATGGCTCTGCCTTTAGGGCCATGCAATGAAACAGACTGTGTGGTAGTTGACACAGGAAGAGCAGAGCAGAGTTTATAACAATGGCCACAAGACAGTTAAGGAAATGCTTTGGGGCTTTTAAGCAGCAGATAAGGTGACTCAGAGGAATGTTAGACAATCGCAGAAAAGCAACTTCAGCAAAGTTTTTGATTCAGTGGGCACTGCATACTTAGTCCATGCTCTGCATCTGTTCTTTCACAGTCTGTCCCTTCATCGACTTGGGCCTACAATGACTTTTCTGGGAGGGGAGAGGGATCAACACAACAGCATGCACACACCTGAAATAAAGAATGAATTTCTGATTTTCAGATTTTAGTCTCTGACATAACCAAAGAAGTGACTACCATAGATGTTAACTTTTTTTTTTTATTATTATACTTTAAGTATTAGGGTACATGTGCACAACGTGCAGGTTTGTTACATATGTATACCTGTGCCATGTTGGTGTGCTGCACCCATTAACTCATCATTTAACATTAGGTATATTTCCTAATGCTATCCCTCCCCCACCCCCCCAGATGTTAACTATTAATAACATAAATGATGCTCACAAATATGCAGATCTTATAATAACGAGGTAAAATAGCTTAAAAAATAGATGGTAGAACTGTAGTCCAGGGACACTAATAGAAGTGACCCATAACATTACATCATCTCCACTTCCAACAAAAATCAGGCAAAAGAAGGAAGGAGACTGGCAACCCAATGCACAGAACTATATATAACAGGCATACTAGTTATTGGTTGGTTATAAACCAGTGGGAATAAATCTTTTTTATATACTGACTCTTGGTTTATGTCACTGAGGCACAGCATGGAACAATAGAAAACCGGACTGTAAGATAAATACATTTGAGTAACTGGACTTTTGTAAACCATTAGACAGACATTTGAGAAACCAAATTTAAAGCTGTTTGTGAGCCATGTTAGCCTATCAAGGTTGAAATTCAGGAGAGATTCATAACGAAAAATAAATGCTTTTTTTTTTGTGACACTGTGATCTGATGCATTGGGAATGTGATCTTGTGAATCACTCAGGTGAGCAAGCCTGACATGAGTGGGCATAAAGGTCAGTAACTGAAGAGGTACCAAAATGTGCTACATGTGTCAATTGTGACCTAAAGAACTGAAGGCATTCACCCTCCCTTGAAGTAATGAAGCTGACACAGCAGGGGGCTGCAAATTCCACTGCAGATCAGGGTCTTGAAGCTGACATACTGAAGAGTGGACTCCCACTTGAGATACAGAGTAGGAACTACTGTTTCCTACGGCTACTGAATATCCCACAAACTAACCTCCTCAGCATGCCATTATTAATTATTTTAAAGCTCTTAAAGGTCTCATTTTATAATAGATCACATCAGAAGGAAGACTAATAAGGATCAGGTACAAACTCATACTTGCTGGACATATCATTGCATATCATCCCCAAGTTTTTGGCACTACATAATGTTGGAATAGATTCTTGAATATTAAATTTTAAACTAAGGGAGAACATTGGCTTCTAAATTTTACAACTATAGTATTGCAGCTAAACACAAGTGCAGATGGGCAGCCTTATAACTGCATGAGTAATCTTAAGGAAAACTTATTGGTGAACATACAGAACATTTCACATGCATTTGTCTACAAAGGACAAACTCTTCCCAACCTCAGAACTTGATATGCGTTAGGACATTCCTCTCCCTTGGGCTGGTGATAAAGCTCCAATTGAAATGAGAAAGATTCTTCATGCCTGGTAAATACGCAAGTTTCCAAAGATATTGCCACTGGCCAATCAAACCTGAATCCAAAAAGCATTTGTTTCTAGCAGGATATAAGATCAATATGCAAAAATAAATTGTGTTTATGCAATTGCACAGCAGAATTTAAATGTAAAAGGAATACCATTTACAATAATGTCAAGTGTATAAAATCCATAAATGTGAATATGACTGAAAATTAGAGCATATTTCACAGAGAACATAGTGCAGGCCTAATAACTGGAAAGATATTGTTTGCTCATGTGTAAGAATATTGTTGAGATGTTCATTTCCCCTAATTTGATCTATGAATTCAATGCAATCCGACTCAAAATTTCAGCATGCATCGTTGGTAGAAAATGGCAGCTGATTCTAAAATTAACATGAACTAGCATAACCAAAATGCCTGTATAACGAAGTGCAAAATTGGAGGGCTAGCTCCACCTGATTTAAAGAACAATCACAGAGTTGTAATGGCCACAACAGAGCTTTGGTATGTGATCAATTAAATGGATCAAAAGAAAATAGAGTCCAAATATAAATGAACACATATATTGAGAACAGATTTTTGACAATCTTGAAAAAGCAATGTATTTAAAAATGCATAATATTTCAACAAACGATTGAAGATTTTCTTTTTAAGCAATGGATGTGACATATTTGTAACCATATAAAAATAAACAAGTAGAAAAAACTGAATTCATGTGTCATATCATATATTAAAATTAGTGGTTACAAGAGGCTGGGAAGGAGATAGGGGAGAAGGAAGAAAAGATATTGGTTAATGCATATAAAATATAGTTAAATAGAAGGAATAAGTTCTAGTATTTGATAGTATATTAGGGAGACTATAACTCAAAATAACTTCTTGTATATTTTAAAATAACTAGAAGAGAGGAATTGGGATATTCCTAACATAAAGAAAAGATAAAGTTTTGAGGTGACAGATATACTACTTACACTGATTCGATCATTATAAATTGTATATGTTTATCAAAATATCATGTGTATCCCCAAAATGTGTGCAACAATTATACATCAATTAAAATAATGAAGAGTACATCTTAGACAAATTAACAATGATTCCAATCCCATCGAGTACCTTTTCTGACCACAATGGTATGAAACTAAAAATTAACTACATAAGGAAAACTGGAAAATTAAAAAATACATGGAAATTAAACAACTTGCCTTTGAACAACTGATTGATCAAAGAACAAATCAAAAGGGAAATTTGAAAATATATTGAGGCCAACAAAAGTGAAAACAAACATAACAAAATCTTTGGAAACAGCAAAAACAGCTCTTAAGAGTCAAGTTTATAACCATAAATGCATACATTAAAAAAGAAGAAAGACTTCAAATAAACATTACACCTCAAGAAACCAGGAAAAAAACAACAAAATAAATCCAAAGTTCACTGAAAAAAGGAAACAAAAATCAATGCAGAAGTAAATCAACTGAAGAACAGAAATACTACAGAAAAATAATAAAAGTGAGTTGTTGGTTTTTTGTTTTGTTTTGTTTTGTTTTGTTTTCCTTTTCCTTTCTCTTTCTTTTTCTCTTTTTAGGAGAGACAACGTCTTACTATTCTTTCCAGGCTGATTGGGAACTACTGGCCTCCAGTGGTGATGCAACGTAGGCCTCTCGCACCCGAGTTGTTTTTCTGGAAAAAGTAAAATTAACAAACACTTGGCTAAACTAACTAAGAAAAAAATAGAGAAGACTCAAATAAATAACATGCGAAATGAAAGTGGAGGCATTACAACAGAAGCCTCACAAGTAAAAAGGATCATAAGAAACTATTATTAGGCCGGGCGCGGTGGCTCCTACGCCTGCAATCCCAGCACTTTGGGAGGCCAAGGCGGGCGGATCACGAGTTCACGAGATCGAGACCATCCTGGCTAACACGGTGAAACCCCGTCTCTACTAAAAATATAAAAAAATTAGCCGGGCGTGGTGGCGGGTGCCTGCTACCCAGCTAGCTACCCAGTAGCGTGTAGTCCCAGCTACTCGGGAGGCTGAGGCAGGAGAATGACAGGAACCCGGGAGGCGGAGCTTGCAGTGAGCCAAGATCCTGCCACTGCACTCCAGCCTGGGCGACAGAGCGAGACTCCGTCTCAAAAAAAAAAAAAAAAGAAAAAAGAAACTGTTATTAACAGCTCTATACCAACAAATTGGATAACCTAGAGTAAATGGATAAATTCTTAGAAACACACAACCTACCAGGATTGAATCAAGAAGAAACCGAAAGCCTGAACGACCAATAACAAATAAAAGGACTGAAGAACCTCCCAACAAAGAGAAGCTCAGGACCAAATGGCCACACAGCTCAACTCTTCCAAACATTCAAAAAAGAACCGGGCGCGGTGGCTCACGCTTGTAATCCCAGCACTTCGGGAGTCCAAGGTGGGCAGATTACCTGAGGTCAGGAGTTGGAGACCACCCTGATCAACATAGTAAAACCCTGTTTCTACTAAAAAAATACAAAAATTAACCGGGGGTGGCGGTGCGTCCGTGTAATCCCAGCTACTTGGGAGGCTGAGGCAGGAGAATCGCCTTGCAGTGAGCCGAGATGGCGCCACTGCACTCCAGCCTGGGAGACGGAGCGAGAGTCTGTCTCGGGGGAAAAAAAAAAAAAGAAAGAAAAAAAAGAAAACGAAAACCACTGCAAATCATAATGCATTTTGTCCACTTTCTGAGAATGTGATTTCCTCTTCCTGTGGAAACAGCAATAATTTTTATGAGGGGGTGCTGCCCGGACCCCACTGGAGGAGTGGGTAAGATGAGGATTGTGCTCGGTGTTGCCTCCCTACAGAACCACACATACTGATCTGTAATACCTGTGGCCCCTAAGTGTCCGTGAAGGGACTGGTCCCTTTACAACATTGCGTATGGCTGCGGAAACCCACTATGTGGCAACAAGATGTATATGTGTGGGTTGGTGGTAAAACCATTATAGGCAACGGAAATTCAAAATGTTTCAGAACTCTTAAAAGTTCGCCTCATGTAGTATTTGGTTTCTTGCAGGGGGCCCCAAGCCCCCGGGGCTGTGGTCAGCTACCTGTCCTGGGCCTGTTAGGCACCAGGCCGCACAGCAGGATATGAGTGGCCCGCAAGCGAGCATTCCAGCCTGAGCCCCGCCTCCTGTCAGATCAGCGGTGGCATTAGATTCTCATAGAAGCACAAACCCTATTGTGAACTGCGCATGAACGGGATCTAGGTTGCGCGCTCCTTACGAGAATCTAATTAATGCCTGATGATCTGAGGTGGAACAGTTTCATTCCGAAATGATCCTTCCCTCTTTTCACGTCCCCCACCCCTGGTCCAAGGAAAAATTGTCTTCCACGAAACCAGTCCCCGAGGCAAAAAAGTTTGGAGACTGCTGGTCTACAGTGTCCCAAAACCCTTTTCTATGGTTCCTTCCCAAAGCCTGGAGGCTCTAAGTCCTCCCCTGTTCTTATACTCCTGTGTGTTGAGAAAAATAGCATTTCCTATGCTCTGAAGGTTCTCCAGAACATTCTTTCTAGGCTGCAGGATGGAGATTAATAATAACAGAATATTTGGCATGGCCTTGTTAGCCAATCCAAAGCCCTCTGGGCTGAAGTGGGGGTTTTTCACTTCAGGGTCATCCAGCCTGGGTACCTTCCATCTCAGCATCCCCAGGCACAGACAGGAAGGTGACATCACCCCATTTACATGATGTCTGTCTTTGTGGCCTGGGCCACTGGGTGGCTTACCTCAGAGGCGGAGATGTCAGAGATGGGTGTTCTGGGCATGATTAACAAAGGGAAAACTGAGAGCGTTCCTACTGAAGCCCCTTCTCCTTTCAGCTCCCACCCAGGTGGCCTGTCCTCACGGGCCTTGGAGTGGAGACTTGAGCCACCAACTGTCAGAGGTGGAGACTTCACAGGCACAGCTGGAGCCAAGAACCCTGGTGCCCAATTGTCTGTGACTGCAACTGGATCAAGGGTTTGACTGTGGCTATGGCTTAGCCAGGCAGGATGTTTCCTCCACCACCTGCAGCTTCACAACCAACGGTGATCCTGGGAACCAATGGCCCTTCCAAGGTAGGGAAGGAAAGGGGACCAGGAAGCTCTCATCCGGGTGTCCTGGTCATGGTGCTGTGAGGGGAGGAGGCAATGGGGTCTCTTCGTGCTCCCTCAGAGTCAAGCAGAAATCCACAATGTTCCAACCCAGTGAGGTGAGCAAGAGCCTGGGGTTTAGGATCAAATCTGCTCTCAGGTCCTGGGCTTAACCCTTACTCATTATTCATCTCGGCCAAGTTATTTGTGGTGTTGGCATTTACATCTCAGTCCTGTCATCTGAGAGACCTGAAAAATAATATCTACATTCCATCATTGTTGATAACATTAATTATGATAATTTCCAAAGGGCTAATTCAGTAAAAATTGCTTAATAAATCTATGAATAGATGTTATCTAATTCTGTTATCTTTCTGGTAAGTTAGCACTCAGGAAATGACTTCACGTGCATTGTTTCAACTGAGGAAGAGTAACTGTTAGGATCTCTACTTTCTAGAGACTCCCTTCCTGTGTTTACTTAGAAAGTATCTTTTGCCAGTTTTCTTTCTCTTCCTCAGCATCCCTTTTTAAGTCAATTTCCCCCGGTCATGCACTTCAGTAACAACCTATTAGGCACATTAGTAAAAGTGCAAATCCTGGGCCCACAAGTCAGTCTCCTGACATACCCAGCTTCTTGCTCTGTTTTCTCCCCTCGTTTTGAAATAAAAGAATGAAAGGGCAACCTTCTCATGGAAAGGGTATAAATCTGTCTCTTTTATGAAACTCCATTTAGTTCATCATCTCCATTCATGCCCACGGCCATGTCCTCAGTTTTCTTCTCACAGGGATCCACTTCTGCCCAGATTTCCTTAAAACCCTGGGTTGTGTTCATCCTTACTCTCCGTCCCACTCAATATCTACTCCTGGAGCCCCTGGGGCTGCCTGGTGCTCATCTGTCAATCGATGCCCCCAGCCGAGGAATAAGGAGACCCACGTCCTCAGGAGGAGGGAGGGTCACGTGAGATAACGAGCACCATCTGGGTCCATGGAGAGGACACATGGAAAACGCTCAGTGAGTGTCGGGGGATGCGTAGTCCCTGACACGTGCCCTGATAACTTTGAGTATTTAAACTGATTTCTTCCCACTGGTGTCTCTTTTGCTTCTCCATGGATTCCTGCACCCCTAGTCAGGACTCACCCCGCTGGCTCCAACACTCTTACCTGCTGGCTTTCCCAGGAGTCCGGATCACTAACCAGGTTCCAGGCAAGAGGACAGAGTGAATGCCTTTTGTTTCATTGTCCTTTACCTGGTGACTTCTCCTTGCTGTCTAATAGGGCATTTGTTTCTCACCATGTCTTCTCTCTCTCGTTCATCTTATTTTTCTAAAATTTTTTCCAGTTTCAGTGGACCAGATTATAATGTTAGTGATTATAACGCTAATTCAACATCTTCCACATCCTTATGTAACAATTTCTTCCAATAGATTTATATATATAAATATATGCATTTATGTCATTGGATATATATATTATGCATATTTGGCATGTATTTTTAATAAAATGTAGATATATGCTACATACATATCTGCATGCTCATTTCATCAATATCTCATGTTTAGTCTATCCAATTCTTTTCTCTCATATGTTCATTTAATGTTGAGTTTTAGAATCTCCTCCCTCCCAAAACACAGCCTGTATCCAGTCTGACTTCCTTGCCTTTGCCTTATCTACCTGGAAACTATTTGTGTTTATTAATCCTAAATTTTTTGAATATGTTTGTCAGTTGGGATCACCTTTTCCTCCTGGCAATCTTGTCATTACTGGGTGATGCATGAAAAATCAACAATACAGAAAATACCAAAATGTCTTTCCTGGCTTCCCTTTACCCGTTGGACTTTCTCATTCAAGACCACTTTCCTTCTCTGATGATCCTCTTGGGTGGAAGAGAAAGTCACAGTAAGATCATGGATGACAGTGAACACTGTTGGGTGTGGTTTCATTTTCAGAGCTGGGTTTAGAGCCTTCCCTTGAATGAAGAACCCTCCCCAGCTGGAAGGTGATGCTATTGAAGGCTCAGCTGACAACATACATGGGCATCAAGTCATTGGCCACATTCATGCCTCAAGTGTCCTAAAACCGAAGATGATCAAAAGAAAACTGCTGTTCAGCAAGTGGAGACTGGCATGCAGATTCCCTGGCCTGCAAGCTTAGAGCAGGAAGATAATCACATCTATGGCTCTTAGCTGCACTCACTCCTTATTCCTCTCTGTCTATGATGACAGCTCCTTCTCCCACTGCTTTTTTCTTCTGTATTTGTTCTCTCCAGCAGCTGCTGTCACCTCTGTCTGGTATTACCTCTGTGTCCCATGGGCTGCCATGCTGCCAGGTCCTTCTGATCCCCATCCCCTGAACTCTGCTCTCTGAACTCTGCTCTGTTCCCACTGCTGTTGTCCTAAGAGTCCCTCTCATGGCCGCAGGAGAGCCCAACTTCCTTGTCCCCCTCCAAGTGCATGGTGTGAGCTGCTAAACACAGGGTTCTTTGCCTGGAATTGCACGGCTTGAGTAATTTGCCTTTCCTTTCTGCATCCCAAACTCCATTGCCCCTTTCTGCCAGGAGCATTGCTTTAATACGTCATTTACACACAGATTTTTCTCTTGGGACAGCTTTTGAGCAACACAACTAAGTCAAACTGTAACCCTCACCTTGTACATGGGAATGAGAAGTGTTAAAACTGAGCACTAAGAACTCCAAATCAAAAACTAAATTAGAACCTGGGTCACAGACGAGAGTTCCCTACTAGCCTGGAGTCAGGTGTGTCTTCATCTCTAGATGGGCAACCTTATGCCAGCGTGGATGAAGTTTCCAGGGACTGTGTCTGCTCTTCATGGAGTCACTTAGCTGACATTAACTGGAGAACATTTATGACATTCCAAAGGGACCTCAGCCAAAGATAGATGCAGAGGGCAGGGCAGGACTTTGAACCTGCGTAGACCACAAAGTGCATTCTCACCTCTGTCCTTTTTATTCACGTATTTACTTCTACAAGCTCAGTTAGAGTCTAAAACACAACTCAGGTGAATCTTGAGGACAGAGAAATAAGAGAGCATTTAATGAATTAACTTTGAGAAAAGTGAGTTCAGGGGCCAGCTTTATGTCTACACAAGATGATAGACAAGAACCTATCTACAGGACAGACTTTGCCTCAGACCAGCCCAAGTGAGAGATTTAATTGAAATAGTCAGAAGAAAGACTAAAATCCACAGAGCCACAGAGAATGAAGGCAATCACGAGAGAAATGAGGGGATAGGAAAGAAAATGATGAGAAATCAGGTTGGTTCATTCATTGTCTCTAAATCCTGCTACCATGTAATAAGCACCTGGTGAGATTTCAATAAAGATGAATGCCTTGAACTGACATCTTGAGATTCTCACTTAAATGGTCTGGGGTGTGATGTGAGCATCAGTACCTTTAAAAAACTTCCATGATATTCTAATATACAACTGAAGATGACAAGGACCACTGGTCTACTCTGACCTCAGGTTTTCAACATGGAGATGACCACTTGTGTGGCTACTCCACACAAAAGGCGGAATATCCATCAGACATTGATGGGATCTGTATTCACCTCTCAACAGTAGTATTTGTAGAACGTAGAAAAAAATTAAAAAGAAAAACAAGAAAATAGATGGATTAGACCTGTAGTCTCTCTACTTAAAGCACACTTGCTTAATTTTGAGTACAAGTAAAATAAGAAATAGTCATTGTATTGAAACCCAGTATACAGAAAACAATACCTCGTATATTACTCATATTCAGATTTAGTATTTTCTTTTAAATTTTATTTTATTTTATTTTATTTTTAAGACAGAGTCTCTCTCTGTCACCCAGGCTGGAATGCAGTGGCGCAGTCTCGGCTCACTGCAACTTCTGTCTTGCGGCTTCAACAATTCTCATGCCTCAGCCTTCTGGGTAGCTGGGATTACAGGTGCCTGCCACCACACTTGGCTAAGTTTTGTATTTTCTAGTAGAGGCATGGTTTCACCATGTTGGCAAGGCTGGTCTCGAACTTCTGGCCTCAAGTGATCCATCCACCTCTGCCTCCCAAAGAGCTGGTATTTAGGCATGAGCCATCATGCCCAGCCTTCTTTTCAATTTTAAAATAAATCCTGCAGTTTACATTTCCACACACTGATTCCACAGCCCATGAATGGGTTCGGCACTGCAATGTAAAAATTCTGCTTTGCTCAATTCTTGTCATTCAGCCAAGTCCTCAGAGAGAACTCGTAGGTCTCACTCCACTAGACAGAATATAATAATAAGTAAAAACTGAAACTTGGCCGGGCATGGTGGCTCATGCTTCTAATTCCAACACTTTGGGAGGCTGAGGAGGGTGGATCACCTGAGGTCAGGAGTTCGAGACCAGCCTGACCAACATGGCAAAACCCTGTCTCTACTAAAAATACAAAAATTAGCCATGCATGATGGCACATGCCTATAATCCCAGCTACTCGGGAGGCTGAGGCAGGAGAATCACTTGAACCCGGAAGACGGAGGTTGCAGTGAGCTGAGATCACACCACTACACTCCAGCCTGGGTGACAGAGTGAGACTCCATCTCAAAAAAAAAATAAATAAATAAGAAATAATAATAATAAAAAAACTGAAACTCAGGAAGAGATGATATATGAATACTTTTTTATGCTACCCTTGATGCTGGCAAGAAATTCTAAAAAGAAATCTTTCCCAACAAACCACTCTGGGAAAAATGTAACAGGGAGAGGAGAATGTAATAAAACACAAACTAATCCTTTTCACTTTCTACTTCAGAGTTTTGTTGATCAGATATTGAGCATGTTTCTAGAAATGCCTTAAGGTGTAACCAGGTGTGGAATCAACTTCAGGGAATTAGGGATAATAAGTTGGGCCATGGTTACAATCACCACCCTTCCTTTGTAATTCCATTTGACTCTTTCCTTTTCTTCTGATCCTTTTTGGAAGAACACATAATATTTCTTTTGTCTTTTTCTCATTTTTTATTTTAACCAACAAAACAAGCAGCAGTGACATCATATTTCTTTGTAAAAGCTCATTCCTATCCTAGCCAAGGTGACCCAGCAACCTCTAGTGACTGTCGAGAACTCCAGATTGGAGAATTGACTCTCCCTTCTCTCTAACTTATTGAAAGAGACTTCGTGCGTGGGTTCTAGTTTCAGGGTTGTCCATTGCAAGTCATGTGGCTTTAGTTAAGTCAGCCCTGTGGCATCACTGCTCCTCTGTTGTAAAAGGCAGAACTGGATGTGGATGCGGTCTGAGGTCCTTCCTGTATCTCACCTCCAGGGTTCTTCCCATGGCCCTGCGCACCCTTCCCTAAGAGACGGGGACATGGAGTTGTAAGGGAGTGGGTTTCTCTGCAAAAGGTCCTTTCCTTCTGCAGCCCTCTGTTTCTGAGCTTTCATGGTTGATGCTGAGAACATCCTCACTGAGGGGTGTGAAAAGCCATTACTCTGCTCCAGACACTGGGGATCAGGAGGAAAGGGGCTGCTGGTTGGGCAGAGCTAGGGTCCCTATATCCTTCACCTCAAGCTGACTGGAAGTTCAGGGGTGTTTATTTTTCACTTGCGGATGGCACTTGCCTCTTCACTCAGCCTGAGGCTCACCCTTCAGCTCATCCTCCTAGCAGGAGCTCAGTTTGCCCCTGGGCTATCACCACTTAACAGTCCCTCTAGACTCAGCCATCAGCAGGACCTGACAAAGATGCCCATTTGATCTTTCCTTCTCTCTCTCCTACAGATACTAAATGCTGCTGGAACAATGAAAAGAAAGAACGGATGTCACAAAAGCATTTTCATTTGATGAATAGAACTAAAAGAGCAAAGCAATTGAAAGCTCAACACAACACAGGAGGGATCCATGGCTGAGGATTGTATTTCAGAACCACTGACTGCTCTTGACAATTGTTAACCCACTAGGCTCCTTTGGTTAGAGAAGCCACAGTCCTTCAGCCTCCACTTGATACCAATACTTAGGAAGACCAAAGCCAGATGGACAAACAGCATTGAGAGGCTTTAGCCCTACTCCTCTCAGCTTCCATCCTGTAGAGAACAGGAGTCAGGAGCTGCTGGCAGGAGACAGCATGTCACTTGGGACTCTGCCAGTGCAGAATATGAACAATGCCATGTTCTTGCTAAAAATGCTTAGCTTGAGTTTCATAGGAGGTAATCACCAGATAGACAACTGCAGAATGCAGAATACTGAGCAGGACAATAACCTGTCTCCTTCAGACAGTCCATGTCACCACGAATCACACAATAAAAAGGAGAAAAGACATTTTGGGTTCAAAAAAACTAAAAAGATAATGTAGCTATATTTCTTTAGTTATTTTGAACCCAAAGTATCTCCTCATCTTTTTGTTGTTGTCATTGATGGTAGGGACATGGACTTGTTTGTAGAGGACAGGTCAGCTGTCTGGCTCAATGTCCTACAAGAGACAGGGGGGACATGGAAGCGTACAGCTATATTTGTGGATTAGTCTAGCTATCTGTTCAGTATTTAAAGTTGTTGTTGCATAGATATTTATGACTTTTGTCAGGGGAGGGTTTGGTGGATTGGTCCTTTCATCATTTTATAACGTCCCTTTCTCTCTCTGATTAGTTTCTTTGTTCTGAAATATACTATATCTGGCATTAATATAGCCAGTCTTCCTTTCCTTTAGCTAATGTTTGCATGATATATCTTTTTCCATCCTTTTGATTTCAACTTGCCTGTATCATCATATTTGAAGGTAGTCTCTTTGTAGCCAGGATGTAGTTGGGTCATGTCCATTAACCTACTCTGCCAATCTCTGTCTTGTAATTGGTGTACTTAGCCCATTGATATTTAATGTGATGATTGATATGGTAGGGCTTAAGTCTGCCATTTTATTTTTCCTTTTCTGTTTGTTCTCTCTGGTTTCATTTTCTGGATATGCTTTATTTTTCTTACCTGCTGTGGTGACTTGAACATCTTTGAGAATGGTGTTTTGCCTTATCCATAGTATTTTTTAGTATATGCGTTTGTATAGCCCTCTTGGTTTTTCCAGGTATATATATATATATATTTATATGTCTGTGCATCTATATCTGACCACATGGTATACTGGTGTCATTGTTTCACCAGTTGAGTGAACGATAGACGAGCAACCTTCTATATAGGTCTCTTTACCCTTCCAGTTTATAATTGTTTCCAACATTTTCTGTATGTAGAGTTAGAACCACATCGAATGGTTCTATGATTTTTTTTCTGAAACCGTCAAGCATAGTTTAGAAAACACAAGAGGAGAAAGAAGGCCTATTTTGCTCACTGTTTTTTAAAATTTTCTTTCTGACATCCCAAGTTTCCTTCTTTAATCATTTCCTTTCTGTCTGGAGAACTCCCTTTAGCCTTTCTTTTAAGGCAGAACTGCTGGTCAAAGATTCCCTTAGCTTTTCTTAATCTGGAACTGTTTTGATCTTCCCCTTAATTCCTGAAAGATGTTTCTGTTGGACAGAGGAGTCTGGGCTGACAATTATTTTCTTTCATGGCTTGAAAAGCACTGCACAACTTCTTTCTGCCTCCATGGTTTCTGATGAGAAATCCATCATCACCGGAATTGTTTTTCCTTTCTAGGTAAGGTGTCACCTTTCTCTGTTGTTTTCCGGATATTTTCCTTGTCTTTCTTTTCCAACATTTTATTTTGTCACGTGTCTTGCCATAGACCTCTTTGGGTTTTATCCTATTTAGGGTTCTCACAGCTTATTGAGCCTGTAGGTTTATGTCTTTTGCCAACTCTGGGAAGCTTTCGGCCATTTACTTCTTTGAGTATGTTTTCAGCCTTGTCTTCTTCCTCTTCCCCTTCCAGACACTGATAACAACATGAAAGTGAGAACTTTTGAGGTAGTTTCACAGGTCCCTGAGGTTCTGTTCACTTTCCCCCCCAGTCTATTTTCTCCCTGTTAGGATTCTGTAATTTCTGTTTTTCTCATCTGCAGTATATGAATTTGTTTGCTCCACACCATCCATTCTGCTGCTGAGCCTATCTGCTGGACTTTTTATTTTAGTTGCATTTTTCACTTCTAATACTTCCATTTGGTTCTTATTTATGTCTTGTATTTATTTGCTGAGTCTTTCTACTTGTCCATTTGTTTCAAGTGTTCTTATAAGTACTCATTAAATCATTTCATTAGGCTTGCCTGCTTTAAACTCTTTGTCAGACAATCCCAACACCTCTCTCATCTCATTGCCAGCGTGTATTTGCTGTCTATTTTCATTCAGTATGAGATTTTCCTAGTTCTTGGTATGATGAATGATTTTCAATTGAAACTTGGACTTTTGGGTGTTATGTTATCAGAGTTTCGATTTTATTGAAACCTTCTGTTTTAACTACCTTTTTTTGAGTCTGTTTCTGCAGGGGAAGAAGAGTGGTGCCATCTCATTGTAGCCAGGTGTGTGTAAAAATCCAGGTTTCTCATCTGACTGACCTCTGTTGACACCCTGAGTGGAGGAGCTGCTAAGGTAGGAGAGGGAGTTCCAGCAGCCCACTCCTCCTCCACTGCTACATCCCTGGCTGGGTGGGTAGGAGTGCTTCATTACTGCTTTCCACGTGGCCTCCAGTGACACCACAGGACAAGGGCAGCCTTATTACTGCTGGGTGGATGAAAGTCCTGACTCTCCACCAGGACTCCTCTGATACCAGCCTAGCAGACAGAGGGAGAGGTGCCTCATGACCATCTAATGAAGTCTAGGCTCCAAATGTAGTTTCTATTGACAGGGAGGTAAACATATTATCACCTGGCAGGGATGATGATGACAGCCCCAGCTTCCTCCTCTAACATCTGTCATTGAAATTGTTTTTCCCCTCTAGGTAAGATGTCGTCTTTCTCTGTTGCTTTTGAGGTATTTTCTCTGTCTTTAGTTTCCAGCATTTTAGTCATTGTGTGTCTCATGATAAATAAAATGCTGGAACCTAAAGAACCCCCGGGGCAAGGTGGGGGTTTAGCATATGTCATTATACCTGCGCAAGTGTGAAACCCGAAGCCCCTCACTGGGATTTTGCTAGCTTTTATGTTGATGCAGCCACAGCTTTTCTTCCACGGTGCTTGACCTGAGGAAACTGATGATCGTATATGTGTCTTGTCTTGCTAGACTGCCCCTTTGCTGATCCTTTGCCTAGAGAGAGCAAGATTGTATTGGGGTTTGCTGGATCTGTAGCCATTGGTATTTCTGGGTTGCCATCTCCTTTGGCTCTACATCTAGGATGTATGCGGGGGCATGGAGGAATCCTGGGAACTCATCTCCTGGCTTTCTGTGGGTCTTGAGGAAGCCAGATGGCCTCCTACCTTCTCTTTGCCCTTCAGTCTTCCTATGTTTGTTGTATGTACAATGCCCAAGGTTTTTAGATGTAATGAGCAGGAAGAATAGGGCAAAGTTCATCTATTCCACCTTCCCAGTGTATGCCTGTGATTTCCCTGTCTTGCCTTATTGATTTGGGTAGGATTGTCATGTGAAATATCAGTGGTGAGCGTGGTCTTCCTTGCTTAGTTCCCAGTCCTAGAGGGAAAGCATGTGGTCTTTCACCATGAGGTAAGAAGTTAACTGTGAATTTTTTTGTAAGTTGTCTTTATCGAGCTGACAAAGTCCTGTGTTCCTATGTTTCTGATAGTTGTAAAACATTCTCTTTCTTCCCTTCTTTCTATTTTTTCTTATTTCTGTTGTTTGTTTTGTTTTTTTGAGATGGAGCCTCGCTTTGTCACCCAGGTTGGAGTGCAGTGGCGTGATTTCGGTTCACTGCAAATTCCACCTCCCAGGTCCAAGCAATTCTCTGCTTCAGCCTCCTCGTAGCTGGGATTAACAGGCACCTGCCACCATGCCCAGCTAATTTTTGTATTTTTAGTAGAGATGGGGTTTTGCCATGTTGACTAGGCTGGTCTCGAACTGTTGACCTCAGGTGATCCACCCACCTTGGCCTCCCAAAGTTCTGGGATTACAGGCATGAGCCAAAGAGCCTGGCCTCCCTTCTTTATTTCTATCATGAATAGATGTTGAATTTGTCAAATGATTTTTCTTCATTGACTGATAAACATTTTTGTGGTCTGGTTTTGGAGTTGGGGTAATCATAGCTTTACAGAAATAGTCGAGAGGTGTTCCTTCATCTTCTATTTTCTGGAACAGATTGTACAGAATTGATGTTAATTCGGCTGGGCGCGGTGGCTCACGCCTGTAATCCCAACACTTTGGGAGGCCAAGGCGGGCGGATCACGAAGTCAGGGGATCGAGACCATCCTGACTAACACGGTGAAAACCCGTCTCTACCAAAAATACAAAAAATCAGCCAGGCGTGGTGGTGGGCACCTGTAGTCCCAGTTACTCGGGAGGCTGAGGCAGGGGAATGGCATGAACCCGGAGGGCGGAGCTTGCAGTGAGCCAAGGTTGCACCACTGCACTCCAGCCTGGGAGACAGAGCAAGACTCTGCCTCAAAAAAAAAAAAAAAAAAGAATTGATGTTAATTTTTCTTCAACCGTTTGGTAGAATTCTCCAGTGAAACCATCTGGACCTGGAGCTTTTCTTTCTGGAAATTTTAAAATTAGGAATCCAATTATTTTCATAGTTACAGAGCTACTCAGATGACCTGTTTTGCTTTAGGTAAGTTGTGGTAGTTGATACTTATGACAAATTTGTCCAATTCATCTGGGTTGTCAAATATATGTGTGTACAGAATTTTAAATAGTTTTTCCCTTATTATTATCCCTTTGATATCTGCAGTCTGTAATGAGTGTAGTCCCTCTTTCATCCTGATGTTCATAAGCTGACTTCTTTTTTTCTTTGTCAAGTTTATTGATCTTTTCAAAGAGACAGCTTTATTTTCACTAGTTTCCCCTTTTGTTTTTTTCTGTTTTCAATGCCATTGATTTCCGCTATTATCTGTATTATTTCCTTCCATTTGCTTTAGGTTTTTTTTTTTTTTTTTTTTTTTTTTTGTAGATTCAGTCTCATTCCCATGGCGCAGGCCGGAGTGCAGTGGTGCGATCTCAGCTCACTGCAACCTCCACCTCCCGGGTTCAAGCGATTCTCCTTCCTCAGCCTCCAGAATAGCTGGGATTACAGGCGGGTGCTACCATGCCCAGCTGATTTTTTTGTATTTTTAGTAGAGACGGGGTTTTGCCTTGTTGGCCAGGCTCGTTTCAAACTCCTCACCTCAGGTGATCCACCCACCTTGGCCTCCCAAAGTGCTCGTATTACCGGCGTGAGCCACCGTGCCTGGCCTGCTTTAGGTTTCTTTTACTTGCTTTTTTCTTGTTTCTTGAGGGGGGAGCTTAAGTGTATTCATTTGAGACATCCCCTCTTTTCTTTTATCCCTTTTAAAAACTTTTGTATATAATTATTATTGTAGGAAGTTAGGCTTGGGCCCGCAAACTATGGAAGAACAGAATATACTAGGCCGCTGCTTTAATAGCTGGTGCCTGCTTGTCGCCCACCCCCACTCCCCCACCTTAGCTGCCTTGTCCAAACCAAAGAGTTTAGTCTAGAATGGACATTTACTAGCCTGCAAAATAGTTCACTACATCTATTCTTATCAGCTTGCCTGACTGCCCAGGTCATAAGTCAAATACTTGAAAAGCCCCCGAGCTGACCATGATTGCAATGCATTATGGACTGCAACAAAATACAGGGAGACAACCCTAAAAAAAAAAAAAAAACAACCTAAAAGTCCAAACCCAAGATCCAATAGGCGACATCCGGGAATACTGTGACCCCATAGTACTCAGCCTATGAGGAACCGGGGGAGGCACTTCCACACTAGGGGATAAATTGCTTGTTGTAAGCCTACTGGGTGTGCCTGCCTACCAGACACCCGATCTTGCAAGACTGTCATTAATAATAAGTCGCACTTCTGCTGTTTTCCGGGTCTTGGAGTCCATTCTTTGGGTTTGGACAGGTGAGTTTATTTCTCACGATTATTTCCAGGCAGGCCTTGCCCAGTGGGTGGCTCATGCTTGTAATCCCAGCACTTTGAGAGGGTAAGCCTGGTGGATCACCTGAGGTCACGAGTTCGAGACCAGCCTGGCTAACATGGTGAAGCCCCGTCTCTACTAAAAATACAAAAATTAGCCGAGCGTGGTGGCGAGGGCCTGTGGTCCCAGCTACTCAGGAGGCTGAGACAGGAGAATCACTTGAACCCAAGAGGCGGAGGTTGCAGTGAGCCGAGATTGCATCACTGCATGCGACAGTGCAAGACTCCGTTTCAAATAATAATAATAATAATAACAATAATAATAATGGCACGACCTAAAGTTATGCAAGCATTTGCCTTAGATAAAATTTCAAGTTTTCAAAGTTGTTAGCTGGGTGGGCGGCATGGCTTTACTTCCTATTTCTTGGTATGTCCTAATCTTGTTGAAAAAGTTTTTCTTTTTCTCAAAGGCTTATTTCAGTGGAAGCCCATCTGCAAAATCTGTTATTAATTTAAATTAGAAAATCACTACAAGTCCCACTGACATGTGGGTTATTGTTTTTGCGAGTGACCTAAGGCCACCTCTCGGGGGAGCTGGGGGTTGCCTTCCCACGTCTGCGCGTCTGCACCCCATGCCCGGGCCTGGAAGTCAGACTCGGGGGCGGTGCTGCAGCACCAGGCCTGCAGTCCTAAGCGCGGGGTCGCTCCGGGCCCCCGAGGGGGTGTGTCTTCTGCCCCTTTAACCTGGCAGGGGCGGTTCAAGTGGCCCTGGAAATCAGCGATTTGTAGGGTCAAGGGCTGGTGCTTTAAAAGAGAGGCGGAGGGGAGAGAGGGATTTCCCGGTCTCTGCTGCACTCTGTCTATCCGCTCGGTTACTCCTTTTCCTGGCCCGCGCGAACCCGCTGTGCCGCAGAGGCGGCCATGTACCTTTAAGGCCCCGCTGCGCCTGCGCCTTGGGCTCTCCTGACGCGCCGGGCGGGACCCTGAGGAGCCAGCTGGCGCAGGCTATGGGCTGGGCGGCGGTTGAGACAGCGGCGGTATCGGGAGGGGTAGGTGAGGGTCGCGAGGCTGCGTGAGCATCTGAGTGAACGCGGTGCTTTTGGGAACGCGGGACGGGCGACCTGTGGCGCCAGGAGCGGGCCGAGGCGTGGCGCACGGATGCCGTCTGGATGGGAAGTTACGGTTTACAGCGAAGTCCACCCAGCGTTTCCGAGGTGAAGGCGCCGCGCCAGGCCGGGCGGGCGGTGAGTCCGGGACCCGCGGGTACACAGCTGGGTCGAGCTGCGGCTGTCGCAAGTTTTGTTGCGAGCGACGGAGGGCGAGGCGGGGTGGGGGGTTGGGAGGGCGTGTGTTCCGGCCCCGCCGGGGCTTAAGTTCCATGCGTTGGATTCCTCGCTTGCCGCTGCCGCCCGCAGCCCTCCTTGGGCGCTGGGGAAGAAACTCGCTGGCGGGTGTTCTGTGGCATCTCAGGGGGTGGAGGGACGAGCAGCTTCGGGGGCACGTCCTCGTGTATCCTGTGGAGGACCCTGACCCCGCACCCCACCCTCGAGGCCAGAAATCGGTTGCCTCTGGGGACCTGAGAAGCGAGACCACTCGCGCCCCTGACTTGCAAAGTTGGGGTCTTTATTGGCCTCCGGGATTCTGCTCCTGGCGGTTTCTCCAGGCTGGTGATGGGCAAGCCGGGTGTACCAAGTCCAGGATGCACATGAGGAGCGTTTGTAGCAGTCACTGAATCACCTCATGACTAGCGGGGCAGGCCTCTAATTCACCGCAGGATTTCCGGTAGGTTGGATTGTGGGGTTGGTGTTTGCACTCCAAAGAGTTGCTGTGATTTCCCTGTATCTGTCTTTCTGGCTTGTTAGATCTTCTCATTTGGCGTCCTTTCTCCGAAGAGTTAACCAAGACGTTTGGCATGGTTTCCTTGCTTTCCTCCTATCTTTTGCTGCTAGAGCTGCTTTCGAAAAGAAGTCTTTTCTTGCAGTGGTATCTTTTCTTTGGGTTACAGTGTTGTTCATCCTTTCTTTGCCGAAAGAATGAATCCCAGTGCTTCACAAGGTTAAAGGAAAGATCTGCTGGTAGTGTTTAGTCTTTGTTCTGAGCTGATATGTGTTAGTAGCTTTTTGTTTTTAAATTTTATTAGTAAAATTTCACCAGTGAACCAGAAGCTCTTTTTTTCTGTTGTGAAATGCTAGCTTTAAGATTTCTGAGAACTTTGTGTCAAAGAAATCTTTGAAAAGTTACTGAAGTATACAGAGAGGTTCACAATTTTAAATGTGCAGGTGGTCCGGGCGCGGTAGATCACACCTGTAATCCCAGCACTTTGGGACGCCAAGGTGGGCGGATCACTTGAGCCCAGGATTTCCAGACCAGCCTGGGCAACGTGCCAAAACCCTATCTCTACTAAAATTACAAAAGTTAGCTGTGTGTGGTGGTGTGTGCCTGTAGTCCCAGCTACCTGGTAGGCTGAGGTGGGAGGATCACCAGAGCCCAGGAGGTTGAGATTGCAGTGAGCCGTGATCATGGCAGTGCACTCCCGCCTGGGTGGCAGAGTGAGACCCTGTCTCCAAAAAAAAAAAAAAAAAAAAAAAAAAAAAAAAAGTACAGGTAATGAATTTTTACCAAGTGAACCACCACAGATCAAGAAATAGAACATTACTAGACTGGGGTATATTTGTAGGAGTGGCATTGTTGGTTTTAGAGGTATATGAATGATAAAACTTAGTATTACATATTGTTGAACGTTTTCCCAAAGTGGTTGTACCATTTAGCAGGGATACTCTGGTTACCCCACATCCTTGCTGATGCCTGTCAGTTAAAAATTATTTTGCCATTCTAGTAGGGGTGCAGTAATGTATCAGTGTGATTTCATTTTGCATTTTCCTGGTATTGAGATTGAGTATCTTTTATTGTCATTTGTGTGTCCTCTTTTGTGAAGTGCCTGTTAAATCTTTTTATCCAGTTTTCATTGATATGCTTGTTTTTCTGTTGATTTGTAATACTTTTTTCTGGTTATGTGTCCTTTCTACGATATATATGTATTGCATTTCCCTTTTTTCAATCTGTAGCTTGCCTTTTCGCTCTTTTAATGGTGCTTATTCATGAATGGAGATTCTCTAACTTTTTTTTTCTTTTTGAGACAAGATCTCACTCTGTTGCCCAGGCTGGAGTGCAGTGGCACAATCACAGCTGACCGCAACCTTGACCTCCCAAGGCTCAGGTGATCCTCCTGCCTCAGCCCCCAAGTAGCTGGGACCTACAGGTGAGCACCACCACACTCAGCTCTTTTCTGTATTTTTAGTAGAGATGGGGTTTTGCCACATTGCATAGGCTGGTCTGGAATTCCTGGTCTCAGGTGAGACATCTGCCTCGGCCTCCCAAAGTGTTGGGATTACAGGCATGAGCCACTGCACCCAGCCTGAGATTCTTAATTTTAATGAAATTATACTTTATCAATCTTTTCCTTTATGGTTAGTGCTTTTTGTGTCCTGTTTAAGAAATCAATGCCGAACCTAGGAGTATGAACACATTTTTCTGTGTTAACCTTATAGCAATTTTATTTTAGTTTTTGCATTTCTTTTTTTTTTTCAGACAGGGCCTCACTCTATTGCCCAGGCTAGAGTGCCGTGGCAGGATCTCAGCTCACTGCAACCTCCACCTCCTGGCTCAAGCGATCCTCCCACCTCAGCCTCCTGAGTAGCTGCGACTATAGGAGTGTGCCACCATGCCTGGCTTAATTTTCATATTTTTTGTAGAGATTGGGATTCAACATGTTTCCCAGGTTGGTCTCAAACTCTTGGGCTCAAGTAATCTTCCCACTTCAACCTCCCAGAGTGTGGGGATTACAGGCATGAGCCACCCCACCCGGCTATGATTCACTTTTTACTACATGGATGTGTCTGCTTGATCCAGCACCATTTATTGAAAAGACTATCCTTTTCCTTCTGCACTGTTTGGCACTTTTTTTCTTAAATCGGATGACTGCATGGTCATCCAATTTATGAAATTAGTGTGGGTCTGTTTCTGTTTCTGGACCAACCTGGGCAATATAGTGAGATCCCATCTCTACAAAAAATAAAAATAATAAATAAATGAGTAAAATTTAAAAAATAAGTGCATAGAGCAGATGGAGTCATAGGTGATAATTTATAAATGATTGTCAGTTTCTTGGCTACATACGGGTGTTGGTAATTCAGATGTGTTGGGCATTCAGGGAAAATGTATTAAGGGAAGTATGTGGTGTTCACAGTGATTGCTAGATGTTCATTGTGACTTGAATTAGATGTTATTTGAGCCTCACAGAGCTACAGTCTTGACTCTTTATTTATTTATCTTTTTTACAATTTTTACAATCTTCCTGTCAAGGCAGTAACTCTTTTATACTTCATTGTTCTTAGGTATACTTAATTACCAGGAAAACTTTATGGATCGTACCTAAATAAGCGTTAAGCCATTTAAAGGGCCGACGTGATGTGATGTAAACAATAGTATTCTACATAATAGTTTTAGGACTACATCGAACAATTTTTTTTTTTTTTCTTGAGACAGTGTCTCGCTCTGTTGCCCAGGCTGGAGTGGAGTGGTATGATCATGGGTCTCTGCAGCCTTGACCTCTCAGGCTCAAGCAGTCTGCCCACCTCAGCTTCCTTAGTAGCTGGGTCTACAGGCATGCACCACTATGCCCGGCTAATTTTCTATTTTTTGTAGACAGGGTTTTCCTGTAGTGCTCAGACTGGTTTCAAACTCCTGGGCTCAAATGATCCTCCCACCTTGGCATCTCAAAGTGTTGGGATTACAGGCATAAGCCATCACCGCTGGCCATTTTAGTTTTAATAATTTTTATGTTTTTCTAATTTAAAAGATTTACTAAAATCTCTTACAGCTATTATTTATGAGTATAGTATTCATTGTTGTTATTATGATTATTTTGTATGTGTTCAATCTCATTTTCAACATAAGCTCCTGGAAATTTGAGATTTTGTCTCTTATTCACCACTGTATTCTCAGTACTTGACCTTGCCTGGCATGAAACAGATATTGAATAAATATTTGTTAAAGGAATGAATGAAGGAACATACTAATACCATATTCAACAATCTCCAAGTGTCACAGTTTTCACCATCTAACAAATAAAATAGCTTGTATACAGCAGAGTCACAGTCAACCTGACATAAAAGGAAATGTCAATGAAAAATAAACCTTTGTATGTGTTGCTGCTAAGATTTTGGGGCTTTTGTTACTGTAGCATAACCTAGCGAAAGCTCAGCGAGACAGCCTGTAGAATATACGTGTACAGATAGACCAGATAGACCAGTAGATGAGATTCCAAAGAAGCATTAACTACACCCACACACTCATAATTCCCTAACAGAAAGAATCGAATTCTTGTTCACTAAGATCTGCCTCAAGTATTACTTTGTGAAAACTTCCCTGGCTACTCAAGTATTTAGTCAGGACTCTTTATTTTTTTTTCCCCCAGGCTGGAGTTCAGTGGTGCCATCATAGCTCACTAACCTCTAATTCAAGGCTCAAGGAATCCTCCTGCCTCAGCCTTCTGAGTAGCTGAGACTACAAGTGTGTGCCACCATGCTGGGCCAATTTTTCATTTTTTATTTTCAGAGATGGGGTCTTACTATGTTGCCGAGGCTGGTGAGGACTGTTGATTACATATGACAGGAACCCAAACAATTCTAGTTCCCCACCACCTTTCAACCTGCTCCTCCCTGGGTCTTCCCAGTCTCCGTAAACGGCAGCTCCATCCTTCAAGTTGCCGAAGCCCCAAATCTCAATATTAACCATGATTTCTCTCTTTTATCTCATAGGCAATCTGAAAGCAAATCCTGTTTAGATGCAGGCGAAGGTTCCTGGTGACCCAGGCTCTCACCTTACCGTCCCTTACCGTCCTCCTGAGGGTGTCCTGGAGCTTCAGTGCTGTGTGTTCTTGGCCTCCACGCTGGGGCTGCCACCAACTCCCACTGTCCAGGGCTTCCAGTGGACTCTCCGAGGTACTGATGTAGAAACTTCCCCATTCGGTGCACCAAGAGCAACCTCACACGGTGTGGGCTGAATGAAGAGCTGCCAGATCCCACAGGTAAAAACCCTGAGGCATTGCCAGCTCGATGGAGTCAGAGAGTCCTTTTTCTATTATGACTCAGATGTGAAGGGAAGATGCCAAGGGCCCTAAACATCGCAGGGCCTTGCCTGGCATGAAACAGATACTGAATTAATATTTGTTAGGTGAATGAACAAATATTCACAGCGTGTGCCACCCTCGACCTGCAGTGCCGTCGTCAGGTGGAAGTGATTTTACCTCAGGAGAGGAGAGTGTTCTCTCCAGGACTTTTCCTTAGTAGCTAGATCTGCATCCCACTCCTTGCTCTTCCCCTCTTACCCCCCATTCTCTGCCCCCATTTCCGTCTCTTGTTTCCACCCTGCCGTCCCCTTTCACCTGCTTTCTCCTCTTCAGCTTTCATGGCTCACCCCCTCCCTGTCCACCCGCATCCCCCAGGCTAAGGCCCTGCACTGTCCTGGGTGGGGAGATGTGTGTGGTTTTAGGCAGTGCCCTCTAGATGTGTCCAGGATGGGGAAACATGGCTCAGTTGCCAGTATAATGTGTTAAAAGAGAGGCCACTTTTGAAGGCCGTTCCCATCTCCCATTCCAGAATCCTGTAGGACTTAGAATTTATGGGCCACAGTGGAATTCTTGGTTCCCCAGGACCTTGTGGTGGATGCCTTCTTTCACTGAGCATTCATGGGGTGACTATTAGGTACCATGCCCTGCTCTGGGCTAGAGACCCCATAACGAGTAAATCTCAGGTCACTACCCCATGGAACCCACCACTGCAGGCATTGAGAGGGGGAGAAAGAAAGGGGCATGGCCTGTTTGTATCCTTCTCACGTGGCCGTCCACCAGGTCCTGGGGGAGTGGGAGCCAGTGCAAGGAGGGAAGTCCAGTGAGAATGACAAATGGACGATGTCAGACCCAGGGGCTGAGGCCCCCACCTGCAGCTGGGAAGCTTCTGGAGTGGACAAGGAGCAGCAGGGAAGGTTGCGGCCTGGTGTTCTGGGATCCACTGTCTCATCTCATTCTTTTGGGCACCAGAACTTATCCAAAGACAAGACTCAGTGTCTCTGGCAACAGTGGGCCAGAGGAATAATGTGTTTCAGAGGAGGAAGAAGGGGTTGTACCCCGTGGAAACAGCATATAGTTTTACAGTAGTGCATCTGTCTCCAATAACTAGTTAGCGTGTTCCTGTTAATGGGAAATACTGGTGGTGTAAGTTCCCCTGGATGTTCTCATCTTCATGTAAATTTGTTCATTTCCTTCCTTCCTTCCTTCCTTCCCTACTTCTCTCCCTTCCCTACTTCTCTCCCACTCTTTTTCTCTCTCTCTTTATTCTTTCCCTCCCTCCTTCCCTTCTGCCTTCCCTCCCTTCCTTTCTTCCTCCCTTCCTCTCTCCCTCCCTGCCTTCCTCCCTCCCTCCTTTTCTTCCTCCCTCCCTTCCTCCCTCCCTTCCTTCCTTCCTTCCTTCCTTCCTCCTTCCTTCCCTCCCTCCATTCTTTCCTTTCTTCCTTTCTTCTTTTCTTTTTCTTTGTCTCTCATGCTCTCTCTTTTTCTTTCCTTTTTGTTCTACTTTTTAAAAAAGACCACACTGCACTGAAATCTACATTACTTACCAAAACCTCTGGAGCTGCTTCTGTCTTGTAGGCAGGGAGCTCGTCCTGTAGCCCTTAGGTCCTCCCAGCCTCCTCCTCCTCTGATTTGTGGGTGCCACTGGGGCAGCTGCTGAGTCTCAGTGGTTCCTAGTCATCACCAAGTTCTGCCCACCTAGATGGTTTGCACCTGTCCTTACCAGAACCCTGCACTGTCTAGATGACTGAGGCTGCTTCTGCCTAACTGATCTGCTAGCTGTGTTCCGGGGGCACCCCAGGGTTAGAGGTAAATGGCACAGGCATTGAAATCTCCAACTGCTCTGACTCCAGGTTGGTGCACTTCAATGCCAAGTACTAACCACACAATAACAGGATGCCACCAAAACCTTGGTATGGGGCTGCTGCATCCTAATTAAAAAAAAGTAATAGATGTTATTTTTTAGAACAGTTCTAGGTTTACAGAAAAATGGAGTGGATAGTACAGAGAGTTCTCCTAGGCTCCCCTGTCCTCCAGCACACAGTTTCCCCTATTAGTATGTTGTATTAGTGTGGTCCATTCGTTACAATTGATGAACCACTATTGATACATCATTATCAACTAAAGTCCATAGTTTACACTAGAGTTCATTCTTTGAGTTTCACAGATTATGGGTTTTGGCAATTATGTAATGTCCTAAATCCCCAATACAGCATCATGCAAAATAGTTTCACTGCTGAAAATTCCCTGTACTTCACCATTTCGTGCCTCCTCCTCTCCTCCACCCCTGACAACCACTCATCGTTTTACTACTTCTATCTTTTTGACTTTCCAAGAATGTCCTAGAGTTGGAATTACAGTATGTAGGTTTCCAGACTGGCTTCTTTCTAGCATTATGTACTTTAAGTTCCTCCACGTCTTTTCATGACTTGACAGCTTGTTTTGTAAAATCACTGAATCAGATTTCATTGTATGGCTACAACACAGTTTGTTTATTCATTCACTTGGTGAAAGACGTCTTGGGTACTTCCAAGTTTTGACAATTATGATAAAATTGCTGCAAGTACTTATGTGCAGGATTTTGAATGAACTTAAGTTGTCCAAAGTGACTGTACACTTTTGATTTCCACTAGCTATGGAGAGTTCTGGTTGTTCCTCATCTTTGACAGCATTTGGTGTGTTCACCGTTTTGTGTTTTAGCCATTCTGATAGGTTTACAGTGATATCTCGTTGTTTTAATGTGCAATTCCCTCACAACAAATGATTTTGAGCATCTTTCTCATATGCTTATTTGCCATCTGTATATCTTATTAATGAGGTGTTCAGATGTTTCACTTTTTTTTTTTTTTTTTTTTTTTTGCTTTGTGTTGTTTAGTTCTCAGAATTCTTCATATATTTTGGACAGCAGTTTTTCCATCAGATTATTTTGTAAATATTTTCTACCAGTCTGTGACTTGCTTTTTCCATTCTCTTAACAGTGTCTTTCACAGAACAGAAGTTTTTAATTTTAATGAGGCTCAACTTAATTTTTTTTTCATTAGTAGATTGTGCTTTTGGTTTTGTATCTAAGAAGCCATCATTGAACCCAGGATCCCTCAGATTTTCTCCTATGTTATCTCCTAGGATTCTTATGGTTTTGCACCTTACATTTACGTGTAAGATTTATTTTATAAAGGGTATAACATGCATACCTGGATTTATTTATTTTTTTGCATGTGGTTGTCCAGCTGTTCTAGCACCACTAGTTGGAAAGGCTATCTTTGCTGTTTTAAATTGTCTCTAAACCTCCATGGAAGATCAGTGGACTGTATGTAGGCCTGCTTCTGGGCTCCGTATTCTTTTCCATGCATCTATATGTGTGTGTTTTCTCTTTTCACCAACTTCACACTATTTGGGTTACTGTAGCTTAATGTAAGTCCTGAAGTTGGTAGTGCCAAACCTCAGGGAGTTTTTCTGAACTTCATCATGAGAACCTGGTTGAGATCATTGTAGTAACACTTGGAAATGTGTGAGATTCCCCCTTAGTCTGGTCTTCAAGGAGTTTTTAATGTTCTAGCCAGGCTACCCTCAGCTTCTAGTAATCTGTCAGTACCATTTAAGTGCTCCTCCCACTTGCTGTCCCCAGTAGCTTCTCTTCCCTGTGAGCTGTGACTCCTTGTGTGTTAGCCTGTGTTTCTCATTTTTAAGGTGGCAGTTTTCCCTGTGACCTCAATTCTCTGATCCACCCTAGAAGGGTTGACTTTCAGTTTGTTCAGCTTTTTTCTAGCTGTGAGGACAAGTGATGACTGCCTAGCTCTTTCCATGTTGAAATAGAAACCCAAAAGTTTGTTTAAAGAATTACTTGTTATAAAAGTCCCCCATTGTTAATGTACAACTCAATGATGTAAGTTGATTTATCGAATTGTGCAGCCATCAGCAGAGTTCTACTTCAGCATATTTTGTCACTTCCCAAATTCCCTTGAACCTGTTTGTAGTCATTTCCTAATCCCTGGTCCCCATGACTGGGTCTGAATAGAATAAATATTTGGAAAGCAGACTTCATTATATTTATATTTTCCTGTGTTTGGGACTTTATATAGTGGACTATTGTGTTCGTTTTGTGACAAGTAGAGAAGAGATTGCATTCTAGGGATGGTTTTTGGGGGAACATAATAGTAGTCCTGTTTATGGCTCTCCTTGAATTGGTTCATCTGTGCTGGTGACTGGTATTTTTTACCAAACCTTGTCTGGTGAGCACAAGAAAAAGAATTTTTAAAAATCTACTATTAAAATTGAGATGATACATTTTCACATAATAATATTTGAAGTAGTGAACCGTCTTTATTTTATTTTATCTTTTTTTTTGGAGATGGAGTTATTTCTCTTTTCCTTGGGCTCGAATGCAACGGCGCCATCTCAGCTCACTGCAACCTCCACCTCCTGAGTTCAAGTGATTCTCCTGCCTCAGCCTCCTGAATAGCTGGGATTACAGGCGCCTGCTACCACACCTGGCTAATGTTTGTATTTTTGGTAGAGACAGGGATTCTTCATGTTGGCCAGGTTGGTCTCTAACTCTTGACCTCAAGTGATCCACCTGCCTTGGCCTCTCAAAGTGCTAGGATTACAGACATGAGCCACGGCCTGACCTGAACTGTGGGGAAAAGAAAGAGATATCAGATTGTTACTGTGTCTGTGTAGGAAGAAGTAGACATAAGAGACTCCATTTTGTTCTGTACTAAGAAAAATTCTTTTGCCTTGAGACGCTGTTAATCTGTAACCCTACCCCCAACCCTGTGCTCCCTAAGACATGGGCTGTGTCAACTCAGGGTTAAATGGATTAAGGGCTGTTCAGGGTGTGCTTTGTTAAACAAATGCTTGAAGGCAGCATGCTTGTTAAGAGTCATCACCACTCCCTAATCTCAAGTGCCCAGAGACACACTACACTGCGGAAGACTGCAGGGACCTCTGCCTAGGAAAGCCAGGTATTGTCCAAGGTTTCTCCCCATGTGATAGTCTGAAATACAGCCTCGTGGGAAGGGAAAGACCTGACTGTCCCCCAGCCCGACACCCGTAAAGGGTCTGTGCTGAGGAGGATTAGTAAAAGAGGAAGGAAGGCCTCTTTGCAGTTGAGATAAGAGGAAGGCATCTGTCTCCTGCTCATCCCTGGGCAATGGAATGTCTCGGTGTAAAGCCCGATTGTATATCCCATCTACTGAGATAGGAGAAAACTGCCTTAGGACTGGAGGTGGGACATGCTGGCAGCAATACTGCTCTTTAAGGCATTGAGATGTTTCTGTATATGCACATCAAAAGCACAGCACTTTTTTCTTTACCTTGTTTATGATGCAGAGACATTTGTTCACGTGTTTACCTGCTGATCTTCTCTCCACTATTATCCTATTGTCCTGCCACATCCCCCTCTCCGGAAATGCCCGATAATGATCAATAAATACTAAGGGAACTCAGAGGCCAGTGCTGGCATGGGTCCTCCATATGCTGAACGCCGGTCCCCTGGGCCCATTTTTCTTTCTCTGTACTTTGTCTCTGTGTCTCTTTCTTTTCCAAGTCTCTCCTTCCACCTAACGAGAAACGCCCACAGGTGTGGAGGGGCAACCCATCCCTTCACTGAACCATTTTTATTCTTTCAGAAATGTGATTGATAACAGTAAAGCCACACTACTCAAGTGCCTGAAATACCCCTCATTGTCTTCTTCAGGTGGCAAGGGCTCTGGAACAGCCACATAAAGGTGAGGGCAATATTTTTACTGTAGTTCTTTCATTGATTGGTTGATTGATTTTTTTCTCTTAGAGGGTTAGCATACATTTATCTGAAATTGAAATTCAAGAGGAGAGACAGGCACCTGTACTAGTTTTCTCTTGCTGCCTATTATCACATTACCACAAACCAGTGGTTTGAAACCACAGAAGTCTGGAATGAAGTGGCCGGGTTCTCTGATCAGAGTCATGTGAGGCTAAAATCCGGGAATGGGCTGGCTGTGTTTTATTCCTAGAGCTCAAGCTATTTTTCCAGGTTCACTACAGATAATGAAAGAGTTCCTATTCTTGTTTGTGGGGGGCTGAGGGCCCTTTTTCTGTGCTGGCTGTCAGCGGGGAGACACTCTGACTCCAGAGGCCACGTGCTTTCCTCCTTACCTGTCTGTTTCATCTTTCAACCAATAACAACTCATGGAGTCCTTCTCAAGCTCCCACCTTCTCTGACTTCATCTTCTCCAACCAGCCACACAAAGCTCTGTCATGTATGGAGTGATGTGATTAGATCCAGTTCATGCGGTAACCTCACCATCTTAAAGTCATATAACTGGCATATAACAACATAGTCACAGGAATGGTGTCTCATCACCTTAAGAGGCTTTAGAGACAAGGGTGTGGCATGTTTGGGGACCATTTCAGAAATTCCATCTACCACAGTAGGACACTCACATTCCCCCATCTGCAAAGTGCATTTACCCTCTCCCCTGAGGTTTCCAGATTTCATGTCATTAAAGCATTAGTTCAACATGAAAAATGTCATGTAGACCACATCAGATCAAAAGTTTAAAATCCCATCTAAAACATCCACACCAGGTGTGAATGAGGCTTCCGAGAGTGTCCATTAAGTGCAGATCCTTGACATAATTCCCTTACCTCTGTCGACCTGTGAAACTGAACAAACAGCTTATCTGCCCCTAATGTGAAATGATGGGACAGACATAGAATAACAACTACAGTGATTCTAGTTCAAAATGAGGGAACATGGAGGGGATAAAGAAGTCACTAACCCAAAATAGTTTGGAAATGGAGCTGGGCAAAATCCAGCAGGAGTTTCTTAGTTAGGATCCACAGCCTGGGACTGACCCTCTGTCCTGTGGGTCTTTACCTCTGGGCTCTCTGCTCTGCATTTCTTGAAACCATTATTATTTATCATTTTCCTCACACTCTTTTGCGTATGGCTCCTATTGCACTCAAAATGTTTTTGAGATTCATCCATGTTGTTTTGTGTGTCAAAAGTTTGTTCCTTTAGCCATTCCATGGAATGAATGTATCACAGTTTATTGATCCATTCTTGTATTGATAGATATTTGAATGTTTCCAGTTTTTCCTATTATGAATAAAACTGCTATGAACATTCTTGTATAAATCATTTTCTGGACATATGTTTTAATTTCTCTTGGATAAATGCTTAGGAATTAGTGAGTCATAGAATAGGTAGATGTTTAGTTCTGTAAGAATATGCCAGACATTTTTTCCCAAAGTGTTTATACTATTGTACATTCCAACCATTAATGTATGAAGGTGAGAAAGCTTTTGCTACTTCCAAAGAGGCCTCTCTATATACATGTAATTTTTTCTAACTGGAGACAGGCTGATGACTTCAGGGACATGAGCATGGGATACCTGTCATCACCACCACCATAAAGTTGGGATTCAGGAAGGAGGTTAATCATATAAAGAATCCTGTGACCAGTATGAGCTTCTCTCAGGCCACACAGGGCACTCAAGTGAACAGGGCATGGGGGCCCTGGGGTCATGGTAAGAAAGTGTCTCATTGGTAAAACCTTTTCCTCTGGGGAGGTAAATAAATGATTTGTTTCTTCTTGGTAGCCCTTGAAGATAAGGATGGTCAAACAAAATAATATCATACCTGGAGAAACTCAGATCTTGGTAAGATTTACTGGTTGGGAATCCAAAGTTAATGCCAAGAAGCAGCCGCCAGTTGGGATCAAATGTGAGCCTATGGATCAAGGTGCGTACTCAAACACAGAGAGCTTTGTGAAAGATGCTACCAGTAGTTTTTCCAGGGCAGAGATGGGTCCTTTATTTTTCTCTCTAATCTAGCCCATATGCTTAGCTGAGTTTTCTTCGTATCACTTTAAATGATGATGTCCCTTGTTCAACAATTTTCTAAACATTCTTTAGATAATAATTTTATGGGCATTCTTTATTGCATTAGGCTTAAATTTAATGCATCTTAAGGTTTTATTGCAAAATATTGCCTTGTTTCCTTTTTAAGATGATACAGTTTATAATATGCAAATTTGTTGTCTGTCCCCTCCCTTTATGTACATAGAAAATGAGCAAACAGGTGGCCATGAAACAGATAGTCATAGAATTGGTTCAGTGGTTGTGAGTGCAGCAACCCAAGAGTGTCTTATCTGAAATACCACCAGGAATGTCTGGACACAGTAGACAAAGGTTTTTCAACTGGACGCCTTAGGATACATGCTTCCAAAAACAAAGTAGCCAAAAAGAAACCAGAGTCACAGAATATCAGAGCCAGAGGAACATTTGGAGGTAATTCAGTACCTCCTCCTTTTCAACCTACAGGGGAGATAGTGGAAGAGAAGCAGGGATGGGTCTGCCTTCTGTGCCCACAATTCATTGGAGATTGTTGTGGTGAAGAATTTCTTTTATGATAAAGGAGAAATAAACTCCCATCAGCTTTAATTCAGGCAGGTTTATTGAAAAGGTGAAGAAGCGTCTTGCAGAAGCAAAGCATGGCTAAGGCTTGTGGGCTCTGTCTGGACAAATGAGCAGCCGACAGTGGCTGATGCTGCCCCTGACTCTGGAGCCGTGCGGTCTGTGGTTCTCTGTGAGCATCTCTTCTATTCTCTTGCACCTTCCCTCAGCCTGGCAGTCTCTGTGTACTCTTCAACCCATAATTGAGCGAGGCTGTACCAGCCCCAATGCCATGTAGCACTTTATTTCAAATTAGAAAGGCATGAAATAAACTAGCCCTTTATAATACAACTGTTGGAACAACAGTTGAAAATAACAATATCTTGACTCCTGGTTGAGTGCTTTACGCTGAGCTTTCTTTTCTGAATATGAGCACAGACTTGGGGATATTAGTGTCACCTGGCATTATTAGCTAGTATTCTCCTTTTGTTTCCCCATAACATCCCCTCCTCCTTCCCACAGATCCACTCTCCACTCATTTCCATCCTGTCTTATGCCACTTGGGGCTTGTCCCTTCTAGAATGCATCCCTGGCTCCCCTGTGTGCACACTTGTAGTTAGGTTTAGCATTGGGGGCACCCGATGGAGCCTGGAAGTGAGAGGAAGGTGAGGTCCGTATTTCTTCCCTCTCCCTCCCTGCTCTGGCACTGAGTATCTGGCAATAGCTGCATCTGTCTATTACTTCAGTGGCCACTCTTCCACAGCCCCAATTCTCAGTGGGTCCCATAGCATTATTTACCTTTGTTCCTTTAGCTCCCATCAAGGAAGACCCAGAGGCATTCTCCTCACCAAGGCATTAAGAAATGCATGGGTGAGGGGAACAGCGGCGTGCGTGTAAAGGTCCTGTGGCACCTCTCCTCTGCAGGCTGGAGGTCATGGCGGGAGATGCTGCATGGATTTGTCCTCCCTGCTGTCAGAACAACAGGGTTCTGGAAGAGTAGAGGACAGGCCGTGGGACTTGGCTGTCTAGAGACAAGGCGGGAGGGATTTCCTTGAGAGGCAGGGACATGTGGTGGTTACTAATCATTGTGAGGTGTCTGGGATGTAATGGATGGGAAATCTACTAAGAAGTCAACTTATGTAATAATTAGAAAAGCTCTAGTTCTGAGGACAGAGACCTGTTGGAGTCACCATAGTGGGAATTTTTGACCTGGCATCCAGTTCAGATACCTGGAGCTTCTTGACTGAGGGGAGATTGGATCCCTTGGGGAAGAGTGAAGCCTTCAATGCTGCCACAAGTGTGATCCGCCCGCCTCAGCCTCCCAAAGTGCTGGGATTACAGGCGTGAGCCACCATGCCCGGCCTCTTTTTTATATTTAAAAAATATCATTTTATATATTATCAGGGCAAAAGAGAAAAACCGTATGATTACCTTGTCATACACAGTAAAAGCATTTGGCAAAATTGAAAACTTTTTTCATGATTTATAAAAACAAACCCCAGAAAATGCTCAGCATGATGAGAACAGAAGGCAACACTTCCAACCCCATTAAGGGCAGATTTGAAGAACCCACAGGTAACATTATATTAAATGGCATAAGATTGAATGCTTTTCTATTAAATCAGAGAAAAAAGTAGAATACCTGTTGTTACTCTTTTAATTCAGCATTATACTAGAGCTCTAAATCAATGCAATAAAGTAAGAAAAATTAATAAAGTATTGAAAAGAAAGAATTGAAGCTGTCTTTATTCACAGATAATGACTGTGTTTGTTAACAATGCTAGAAATCTACAAAAATCTACCAGAACTAATCAGTGAGTTTAGTAGTGTTGCAGAATGTAAGCTCTCAATATAAGTGGTCTTTTGTATTTCTGTATATTAGCAATGAGCATTTGGAAAATGAAATAAGAATACAATTTCATTTAAAGTAACATCTAAATACATGTTGTGCTTATAAATAAATTCAACAGACTGGGCACCGTGGCTCACACCTGTAATCTCAGCACTTTGGGAGGCCGAGGTGGGCAGATCATGAGGTCAGGAGATGGAGACCATCATGCCTAACAGTGAAACCCCATCTCTACTAAAAATACAAAAAATTAGCTAGGCATGGTGGCATGTGCCTGTAGTCCAGCTACTTGGGAGGCTGAGGCAGGAGGATCACTTGAACCTGGGAGGCAGAGGTTGCAGTGAGCCGAGATCGCATCACTGCACTCCAGCCTGGGTAACAGAGCAAGACTCTGTTTCAAAAAAAAAAAAAAAAAAAAAGGAAAGTCAACAAAATTTATGTAAGGCCAGTACACCAAAAACTACAAAAAATTGCTTTGAGAAATTATGAAAGAACTAAATTAGTGGGGAGATAAACCTTGTCATGGATCAGAAGAGTTGTTATGTTTAAAAAGTCAGTTCTTCGTAAATTGATCTCCAGATCCAATGCAATTCTAATAATAATTCCAAGCGGCATTTTGGTAGAAATTTACAAGCTGATTCTACCATTTATATGGTAATGTCAATGATCAAGAATAATAAAATAGCAATATTATAAAAGAATAATGGCGAATGAATTCACTACCTATTTCCAGAATTACTCTACAGCTATGAAAATCAAGATTATGTGTTTTGTTGAAAAAAAAAATGGAATATATATCAGTGGAAGAGAGAATCCAGAAATAGATACTCACATGTATGTCTAATTGATTCTTAGGACATATATATATGTATACACACACACACACAAACGTGTGTGTGTGTGTGTGTGTGTGTGTGTATATATATATATATATATATATTCACCGTTTTGAAGATTATCATCTCCAAATAGGGAATATATATATATATATATATATATATACATATACAGACACACACAAACACACACACACACATACATATTGCAGTCTGATAAGATAAACAGCACATTGAAACAATTTCTCAAAAGACTTGAATAGATACTTCAGAAAAGAAGATACATGAATGGTCAGTTAGCATAGGAAAAGATGCTCCACTGTTTAGTCATCAGGGAGATCAATCAGTGCAACAATGAGATACCAGTACATATCCATAAGAATGGCTAAAATTAAAAAGGCTGAAAATAGCACCTGTTGGTGAGGATATAAAGCACTTGGAAGTCTTATACTTGTAGGAATGAAAAATGGTATGGCTCCTTTGAAAATCTAACAGTTTCTTAAAGGTTAAACATAACACAAATCAGATAGACAGTCATTCCCTTCCTAGGAATTTACACACTGTGTCTGCACAATGATCTGTATGTGTGTTTCCAGACCAACCTGAGGGGCGGGCTGCTATTTCTCGTGGCTCAGTAACAAGACACAGATGAACTGGGGAGGAAGAGAGTTTTGACTTCTGCAACTGGTTACAGGGAAACGGCCTGGAAATTATCACCAGACCAACTCAAAATTGGAAAGTTTTCCTGAGCTAATGTACCTTCTAAGCTATATGTGTATGTGGAAGTGTGCATTCATCTAAATACATAAGTGATTAACTTCTTTTAATCTATAACTAAGTCTGAGTCCTGAAGACCTTCCTCTGGAACCTCAGTTAAATTCAGTTAATCTAAATGGGTCTAGGTGCTGGGGGCCCTTATCTTGTCTCCTGCTAAATCACAGAGGTTTGGAGAGTCCCTTCAGATCTCCAATAAACTTGTTTGTGGAGGCCTGGGGAGTTTCTTCAGACCCCCAGTAAAACTTATTTAATACTAAATGGCTCCTGTTAAGAATGCCTTCGTTATTTCGTCATGCTTTAAGGCCCAGGAAAAACCTAGGCAAAACTCTTGGTGGGCTTTTGTTACATTCCAGCCTTTGTATAAGGGCACTGGCTTCTTTTTTTTTTTTTCCTCTTAATATTTAATTGAACCACTCAGTCGGTACTGAAACAGTTGTTACGGAGGCCTGTGTTAGTGAGACCTGGCCTGCCACGTATGGATGTTCATGATAGTTTCTTCATAATAGCCCAAACGCGGAATGATAGAAATGTCCAATAACAAGTGAAAGTACAAACATACATGGTATAGCCACACGAAGGAATACTACTCAGTATTTACAAGACATTACAGATGGATTTTAAAATTACATTGATGCATGAAAGAAGGCAACACAAAAGAACACAGGTATCATTTCATTTATAGAAAATGGTTAAAAATGCAAACGGACCTGAAGTGACAGTGGCTCCTTGGGGCTGAGGGTTGAAAGGCTGATGAACTGCAAAGGGGTACAAGAAACTTTGGGGCATAGGGAATTTCCTCTATCTTGGTTGTGGCAGTAGTTCCGTTAGTGTATCCATTTGTAAACGTGCATTGAATTACACATTTTAAAGTGGTGCAGTCTGTTGTACCGAAATTATGCCTTTATAAAGTTGATTTCATCATCTTAATTTCTCCATACTAGCAATTAGCAGCTAGAAAATGAAATTCAATAAAACATAATAGAGATTAATAGCCAGAATCATTACATGCTTAACAATACATGCAATGAAGCAGGTACAAGGCCCCTAAAAGCAATTGGTGAGAAAAATTAAAGAAGGCTAAATAAATATATATCATGTTCATTGATTGGAAGACTCAATTTTGTTAGCATATTACATCAACACAATTCTGATTAATATTTCTAGTAGGAGATTTTAGAGAAATTTGAAAGCTAGTTTCAAAATGTATTTGAAAATCAAAGAACCTAGAATAAGCAAGTCGGTCTTGAAGAAGCAATAAGTTGGAGGACTTACTCTGCTAGATTTCAAACCTGATTTTAAAGCTACAGTAATTTTAAAACAGTAGTAATGGTGTAAGTATTCATAAATATATCAAAGTAAAAGAATACAGATTCAAACAATATGCCCACATATGTACAGTTATTGATTTTTTTTTAGTAGAATCTTTTTTATTCATAAAAAATCCATCAAAACAAAAAAGTTTTCCAGCCACACACAGGAGGGGTATGGGTGGGGGAAGGTGTCTGTCCATCTATCCCTGGCCCCCAGCCCATGTGGTTTTGGCAGCAATAAGGTGTGTGGGGTAATGACCCCTGAAATTAAAATGGTGTGTGTATGTGAAGGAAAGGCGGGCAAAGCTATGGGGAGCGGTGGAGTGGAAGGAACAAAGGAGGTCAGTACTGGGAACGCTGAAGGTGGGAGGCCATTTCATAACATTACTTGTTGATGAAATTGCCATGAATACCTTCTTTGCCCATCAGCAGGCCTAGCGTCTTGGCAGTCATGGTGACAATGACGTTGAAGGTGGGGACTCCACCGATGCTCTTCATATGAAGATCCACGGTCAATTCCCCATCCTGCAGCAGTGAGTCCAGGACCACAGTATATTTCTGGCCCCCCAGTGTCAGTCCATTCATGACAAAGTTTGACCAGTCTTTGCCAACCAGGACACCAACCTCAGCTGGCGTGATGTTGAGGAAGGTTTTCCCTGGGATGGCGGCCCAGATGGAAGGTGGGTCCTTGTTGCCAACAATGGCCGTGTCCTAACAGGTCCCGTCCGCCACGAGGCTGTAGATGGAGGTGTCCACCTGGCCGTTGCGTTGCTGCAGGGGCTCCTCTGGTCGCTGCTGTTGGGGCCGCCTGGGCTGGCGGGTGGGGGAGGCGGAGAGCTCGATGCAGGTGCTGTCCTCCTCGCCACGACTCTGCTAGCTGTGCAGTAGCCCTCGCTCCGCCACTTAAAAAAGAAAAAAATATATATATATAATATATATACACACGTGTTATATATATTGTATAATATATATACATGTATACATGTATATATGTGTATATATATATACATGGCACACGTGTATATATATATAATATATACACGTGTATATATATATATAATATATACACGTGTATATATATTAATAATGGCCTACATCTATATTAATAATATATATTATTAATATATATATTATATATATTAATAATATATATACACGTGTATATATATTATATATATATATATATACACGTGTATATATATTATATATATATATATACACGTGTATATATATTATATATATATATACACGTGTGCCATGTTTGTTTGCTGCACCCATTAACTCGTCACTTACATTAGGTATATATCCTAATGCTATCCCTCCCCCAGCCCTCACCCCATGACAGGCCCTGGTGTGTGATGTTCCCCGCCCTGTGTCCAAGTGTTCTCATTGTTCAGTTCCCACCCATGAGTGAGAACATGCTCGCACCGCCGCTTCTAAATGTTTTAAAAACAAAGACACCAATGCCCTTCATTGGGGAAATGAAAGACTTTTAAGTAAAACAATTTTGAGTGAAATAATATTTGTTGTTTTAAAAAGTTAATATTAACCACTCTCCATCATATATTGAAATTAACTTAAGATGTGAAAGTTAAATTAGAAACCTTGTAAAGGAAAAATAGGAAATAGTTTCATGAACTTGACACAGGAAAATATTTCTTAGACTAGATACTGTAGCACTCACCACAATAAGAAATCAAGCGAATTGCACTTCATTTTTAAAAAGCTTCTCCTTATTATGTTGTTGTTTAACAACTTAAACGCTATCTCTAGACCAGGAATAATTATTTGCTATATAATACAGCAAAAAATATGTATGTATAAATGGACTCATTCAAAATATATAAAGAACTCCTATTACAAAGAAATTGACAAACAGCCCAGTATATCAATGAATATAAAAATTTGAGAAGATATTTTCCATAAGAAGATATCTAAATGAACATTAGGCATGAGAAAACCAAATTTTAGGATATCACTACACACCTGGTGTAGTTTAAAAGACTGAAAATATTAAGTGTGTGGGAATGTAGAGCAACTGAAAATGGCCTACATCTTTCATAGAAATGTAAAACAATACAAATACTTTGCAAAACTCTGTCCAACATTTTCTACCCATTCACCAAGCAACTCCATCCCTAGCTATAGATACCCAGGAAAATAAGTATGTATCTTCACAGAAATAATTGTATGAGAATATTCATAGTTACTTATGCACAGTAGTTACCAAGTAAACCTGTCTCCCATCAGAAAAATGGATATCAAATTGTGTGATAATCATACAATCAATAGGATATTACTTGGCCAAAACAAAATGAAACAAGGGAAAAACACAATCAAACAAATTAGTGGCATATATACCCACCTGAGTAAAGAGAAGTCGGCCGGGTGCGGTGGCTCATGCCTGTAATCCCAGCACTTTGGGAGGCCGAGGCGGCAGATCACGAGGTCAGGAGATCGAGACCATCCTGGCTAACACAGTGAAACCCCGTCTCTACTAAAAATACAAAAAAAAAAAGAAAAAGAAAAATTAGCCGGGCGTGGTGGCGGGCGCCTGTATTCCCAACTACTTGGGAGTCTGAGGCAGGAGAATAGCGTGAACCTGGGAGGCAGAGCTTGCAGTGAGCCTAGATCGCGTCACTGCACTCCAGCCTGGGCGACAGAGTGAGACTCTGTCTCAAACAAAAAAAAAAAAAAAAAAAGTCAAAACAAGAGAACATACTAAATGATTCTATTTTTTTATTTATGATTTCATGACTACCATTAAGAAAATATAACCTGTTGGGAAACTGTTTCTGCCTTGATGATGTTGTACAGACAAGAGATAAACAGTGAGGAATATGCTTAGATGTATTGGGAAAGACATGGGTCTGTGGCATTGTCACAAGGGTACACGAATACTGAGAGTGAATGCTGAAGGAATGATCCCCATTGGTGGTGACCCTCAGGTGAGACTAGGGTGCCTGTGTTTCAGCAAAGCCTGGGCAATTGGAATGCAGGGCTCCTAAGATTCCATGACACCCCCACCTTCTAATTCTGTTATTGCAACTGCAGACGGTTACCTGGCACGCTGGCCACAATCTACCTCACTCTTATCAGAGTCTGCGCTACTGACAGTGCTTTCAGCTCTGAGTTGAGGCACCTCGAACCTTGTTTTTGTGGTGAAGGATCCTAAAGTGCTGTGGGGAGTGATCACATTTTTGACAACAGTAAGTTAAGAATTTCAGTTACTTACATCCCTCAGTCCTGATTAAACCTATTTGATTTCACCAGTTTTTAACCCATCATATGTTTGGGTTTCTTCTCCCCAGTCCCTGACTCCACCTCTTCTGCCACAAACGTCAGCATGGTGGTATCAGCCGGCCCTTTGTCCAGCGAGAAGGCAGAGATGAACATTCTAGAAATCAATGAGAAATTGCGCCCCCAGTTGGCAGAGAAGAAACAGCAGTTCAGAAACCTCAAAGAGAAATGTTTTCTAACTCAACTGGCCGGCTTCCTGGCCAACCGACAGAAGAAATACAGTAAGATCTATAGGCTCACCGTCATGAAAGTGATGAATGATGTCCTGTCTTCTCTCTGAGACACTAAATGCTCTCTCCATCAAAAATAATTTCATCCTTCCTGTACTTCTAGGAAAACAGAAATGGGTATTTTAACATTTTGTTAAAGTTGGAAGACAGAGGTACCAAAGTATTTAGCAACTTTCCATGTTTGCAATCAGGTGGGGGTGGGACTAGAGTTAAACTGCCATTTATTGATTTCTGACACAGGCACAGAATGACCTGTTTTCTCCAAGAGGCTCAATCATGTTTTCAAGAATCCTCTCTGTACCATATAAGATCCTGCAGACAAATAACATCTAGTCTGTTGTTCTAAATGTCTGAGACTAGTGAACTTTTCTTCAGTTCAAGTTTCTGTGGAGGCCCAACAGGCAAAGCTCTGTTCTAGTGACTCTGAGGGAAACTTGGTGATAGTAGCCAGTACCTGCTCTGAGGGGCTTCAAGAGGAGTCTACTCCTAATAGAACCTGTGCTGTCTATAAGTGACAGCATCAAGAGCAGGGAGTAGGGGCCGTGCATGGTGGCTCACTCCTGTAATCCCAGCACTTTGGGAGGCTGAGGCGGGCAGATCATGAGGTCAGGAGTTTGAGACCAGCCTGGGCAACATGGAGAAACCCCATCTCCACTAAAAATACAAAAAGTAGATGGGCGTGGTGGCAGGTGACTGTAATCACCCCTGCCTAGGAGGCTGAGGCAGGAGAATCCTTTGAACCCAGGAGGCTGAGGTTGCAGTGAGCCAAGATTTTGCCATTGCACTCCAGCCTGGGCGACAGGGCAAGACTGTTAAAAAAAAATAATAATAATAATGATAAATAAAAATAAGAATAAAAAGCAGAGAGTAGCTTGGTGAGAGTGAAGTCCTGCTTCCTGGGGCACAGAGTCTTGTTGCTAAAGAGGAAGAAAGATCGCATCCGAGAATGTGTGGAGATAACAGTGCAGTGTACAGAGCAGGGACTGTGGGCCTGTCTACTGGGCTCCATCCAAGTTGCTTGTCTTGTCTGTCCCTCAGTTTCCTCACCTGTTCAGAGGGTACTACAATAATACCTACCTCTGTAAATTGCTGCAGTGAATTACATGAGCTATTTCTTGTCAATCTCCTAGAACATTTATTGGCACACAGTAAACACTATCTATTAGTTGTTCATTCTGCTGTTTCTAAATTAACACAAACTTTATTAGCATTTGGGCATATTTCCTTCATGGCCTTATGGTGTTATGTGTCACTCTTTATGCTTCAGATATGATTCTTAAAATCATAACTGAAGATATGATTTAAAAATCAAAGATTTTAAAAATCTTTCACATACTTGTCCTTGAAATTCCCAGTAAAAGGGAAACCATCAGTCCCATAGTCCTAGGGGCCTTCCCGACTGTACGAGAAATCACTACTTCATGCCCCAGTGCAGTGTTTTAGAGGAGAGGCTGCAAGGCTTGGGAAAGTGGCCCCGCATTCAGAGTCAGACCTCAGGGACTGTGAATTCTGACTCCACTTTGTTGTGGTTGAATCATCTTGTCAACTTCCTTGATGTGCCCTTGAGGTTCTCTTTCTTCATCTCTAAATTTTGGAGGATCAGATGCCAGAAAGTCAGGAGACTGAAGAGTAAAGATGTGGAAATCCCTGTCTAGACCCTGGTACTGGGGAGAGTTTTGTCCTTGGGATGGACCTGGCTCCTGTCCTGTAGGCAATGACCACAGCAGCATGTCCAGCCTTCCACTGAGGCAGGCGTGTCTGTCTTTTCTCAGAATATGAAGAGTGCAAAGATCTCATAAAATTTATGCTGAGGAATGAGCGACAGTTCAAGGAGGAGAAGCTTGCAGAGCAGCTCAAGCAAGCTGAGGAGCTCAGGTGAGGGGACCCCATGGGGGCAGGCAGGGGGGCAGGTGTGTAAATCTCTGAAGTACAGCAGCTCGGTGGGGAGATGTAAGAGCTAAGCTGGGCCAGGGGAAGGGCAGGAATTGCCATGGCAGGCTCGCTACACACAAATATTTATCAAACAGAGAAGAAGGATAATAAAAATGTATGGGTTGCAGTTGTTTCTCAGAGCCTTGTTTTCTCTTTTTCAAACAAGTAATTGTTGATGTGAAATTTACATAACACAAAATTAACCAAAGGAGTGTGAACCACACAGCAGCATTCAGTATACTCAAAATGGTGTGCCATCACCACCCCACTTACCCTTAGTGAGAATCACCTCCTGACTGACTGCGGCTTCTCATTCTTTCACTCAATCAATGTTGCCTTCTCGACCCTGTCATTCTTTTCTTCTTTCGTCTTTTCAATTCACCCCATCTGCACCTGGCCTCATTTCTGTACATGGCTTTGTATCTAGTGGCCGCAAGATGCACTATGTGTATTTTCACATGGAAATGTCCATGGCCAGAGTGAGGAACTGAAAGGATGTCTTTTTGAAACGGAATTAGGAAGACACCTACTTTTGTTTACAGAAGAGAAAGATGAATGGAACATCATCGAGGATCTTGCAGGAGCCCTCTCTGATACAGAGGAAGCCTGTAAACCATTTTCTATTCTTTCTCTTGGCCACAGACATTCCTTTAAACATGTGCTGACCTTCTGCTTCGAGGTCTCCTTGAGGACATTGTCTCAGAAATCTCTGTTGCAATATTTGAGCGGATCACTCAACCCTTTCCACTCTTAAATTTTCTCTACCGTCTCACCTTAGGCAATATAAAGTCCTGGTTCACGCTCAGGAACGAGAGCTGACCCAGTTAAGGGAGAAGTTACGGGAAGGGAGAGATGCCTCCCGCTCATTGAATGAGCATCTCCAGGCCCTCCTCACTCCGGATGAGCCGGACAAGTCCCAGGGGCAGGACCTCCAAGAACAGCTGGCTGAGGGGTGTAGACTGACACAGCACCTTGTCCAAAAGCTCAGCCCAGGTAAGGTGGCCATAGGCCCTGATGACCCAAAATCCCAGGCTTATGAGAGACTCCAGACCTCCATACTTTCACAATGACAGTTGTATCAATGGTGTTTTTTTCCACTAAGCTTATGTGGCCATGACATGACCAGGACTTCTTGGGTAAGAACGGAGATGGGAAACCCATGGGGTTGGAGGTCACAGTATTGCAAGTGTCCCTCCTCCCTTGATGGAAGGTGGTCTTTGGAGTATGAGGCAGCATCTGTCTAGTTTTAAAGGACAGGAAGGAGGCTGCGATGGGAGCAGGCTTGTTAGAGTGAAAAGAGCTCTGGACTAAGAATGAAGATTCCCAGGCTGTCTTTTCGGCAATGTTCTTAGTAACTGTCAGAGAGTGAATGACTTGTCCTTCCTGAGTTTCTCTCTCTCCGTGGCAGACAAATTGTCTCTTGCAAGGGTCTGAAGCATTCAAATGTGGGAACACTTACAACTGCTTTCCAAAATGAGATGAAGGCCCTCACCGTGTGATGTTGGAGAAGGCACTTTATGTGGGGGCGTTTTGTGGTAGGAAGTGCTTCAGACTGGAGCACTCCCCATGGATAGAATGTCCCTGAATAACACAGCAGAAGCCACTTGGAGGCTTGAAATCTTCTGATGCATAGAGGACTGTGGGACAAGTTTGTCTGCTTCTAAGAGAAAGAATTAGGTTTGAAATGCAAACTGTGACGGGACACCAAGCCTGTGCCTGGGAATCAGATCTGGCAGGATGGGGGAGACAGCTGCCAATGTCCAGAGAGAGGCTGCACAAGCCTCCAGTGATATGGGAAGCAAAAGGTCTTTTCAATATTTGGCCACATCTTGATGGTGGCCCTCCAGATCAGAAATGCATTGCCTGATGGATCAGGAAACCATGCCAGGGCATTCTGTTAAAGATAAAACATGAGAGTTTTCAGTTGAACGGTGACCCATGCCTAGATGTTCATGTCTCTGTTGCACATTGGGCTGACTGTGCTTGCAGACTGTGAAGTGGGAAATATCTGAACGAACACTTCTGTATTTACAGAAAATGACAACGATGACGATGAAGATGTTCAAGTTGAGGTGGCTGAGAAAGTGCAGAAATCGTCTGCCCCCAGGTAACACTGAATACTCAGGAACAATTAATGGATGGTAACATATGAGGAATATCTAGGAGGCACACCCTCTCTGGCATCTATGATGGGCCAAAAACCCGCATTCGCTTGGCCACAGTATGTGAAATATAACCCAGCTTAGACACAGGGTGCGGCAGCTGTCATGTTTCTCTGTGTGTGCCGAGTGTCATGTCTGCACCGTACAGGGATAGCTGAGTCTTCATCCTCCTCAGCTCCTATCTGTCCAGTGCAATGAACAGCAGCTGCTCTCTTCCTCTCTGGTTCCCATGGCAGCCATGCTCTGTTGCAGAGAGAACAGGATTGCATGTTCCCTCTTAATGGGAACGTCCATTTTGCTTTCTGGGACCACTCTCTTAATGCCGCCTGTCAAAACCAGCTAGGACTCCCTGGGGTCCAATCCCTCTGTGTTTAATCTTCTGTCATCTCTGTCCCACCTGGCTCATCAGGGAGATGCAGAAGGCTGAAGAAAAGGAAGTCCCTGAGGACTCACTGGAGGAATGTGCCATCACTTGTTCAAATAGCCATGGCCCTTATGACTCCAACCAGCCACATAAGAAAACCAAAATCACATTTGAGGAAGACAAAGTCGACTCAACTCTCATTGGCTCATCCTCTCATGTTGAATGGGAGGATGCTGTACACATTATTCCAGGTAGCCTCTGTTTTCCTTGTGTCTCATACCTCTCTCTAGGCTGAGGAAGATAAACTCTGAAGACAGGCTCTATCAACACAAATTCATTTGAATAAAAAACTGTGATGGGTTTCTAAACAGATATCAGGGAGTTTTTTTGTCCTTCTCAGCTAATGTCATGCCTTTGTCTGCCAGTCCCCAGTATCAAGTTACTCAACCCCAGGCAAGTGTGACAATCTCATAGTCACCTGAGTGCAGGAGGTGCACAGGCCATATCTGTCAGGCCTCCTAGCTTCGATTCAGTATCTCTTGTCATCTGTGATTAAGTCATCTGTCCCTGAACAATGCCCATGGAGTTTCTATGCCTGTTTAAGGAAGCTGGCAGCCTTGCCTTTGTATTTGGAAATATCGTTCCTCAGGCTTCACTGCTCTCAGCTTTCATCTGGATCTCCTTTAAGTCAGCTTGCTTAGCTGCACAGTCACCCTGAAATCAGGACGGAAACTTTTCTTCTTTACTTTGCTGATATATTTCCATAAAGCAAGG